>NT_113891.3:0-1200000 GCF_000001405.40 Homo sapiens
ATGATGAATCAAGGCAAAAACAAGGCCACTGCATAATTGTAACTGAACATAGACAAAGCACGAACATTGTCCAAATCGCAACAATGACCAGGTACCACCCTATTCTTGCCAATATGAGTGACTGCTGCTTCTTTACCAGTTACAGCTTTAGTCTTCGTTTCTCTCCCCATGTAGATATGATTGATTAAGACACCAAATCATATAATTGCTCACAGTTCTTGATGGCATCCAATCCAGAACAGAACTTCAATTCCTTGAACTCGTCTCCAAATCACGTAACAAAAGTTCAGATTCTATAGTAAGTCCTTTCTAATACTTTCTTATTAAGAAACCCCATGGTTCTCTATAGAACATGTTCTCCTTCAGGGTACCGAGTAACACATTCAACTTGTTCAACTGCAAGTGTGCTCCTGGTGGTCTTTAAGTCTTTGGGAAGGTCTTAGTTCTCAAATCTGGAAATAATTATCCTGATATTCTAAGGAGCAGAGCAGGAGCAGCATTTAGGGAGGTAGAGTCACCTGATCAGTTCTCCCATCGCATCCTCCAATAACACATTGGTAAAACCTTCTGGAATTAGAATATGGCTATCTGGCAATGCTGCTTCCAAAAGAGTTGAAACGTGAGTTCTTACCAGGATACTGAGCTGCCAAGCCTCAATAGGCGGCCACATTGACAAACAGGACGTGCTTGCCTGCAAACTGCTTGAATTGGATGTACTCCTCGCCGTTGAGGGTGAGGGCTCCATACTCATAGATGGTGCCTGTTACCCCTTTGTTGCAATCCACCTGGAATTTTACAAAAATAACCATAACGATATAAGATAAAAAATAATTCCCAACATTTGTGGACTTTTTCAAAACACTCGAAGACCCTTCATGTAATATCTTGAAATTCTAAGAACTGAAGGGATCTTTCCAAGTAAAATTTTTAGTTAGAGCTGATGCCATAGCTAGAATTTATGTCTTCTAAATTACAAGCCATTTTTTTGTGTGTGTGGCAAGACAAGCATTTCATAATATTCTTCCCGTTTCCAGAAGATTAATAACATTTACCTCTGTTCCCTGACACTGCATTCTCCCCCGACATCCTAACACTCCGTTCAAGTCATGCCGTCCTCTCTCAGATACTCTTAACAGATTTTGCAGGATTTCTCATAAGTAAGTTTTGCACAAACTTCTCATCTACATGTTCTTATATTGTAATTCCTGTCCCCCAAAATCAGGCCCATAACTTCTCCAGATGCCACTGAAGGGCCTTTCCAGGCTTGCCAATGGGGTAATCACTGGTGATGGGGGAGGGGCGGCCGGGAAGTGCTGGGTAGAGAAAGGCGGGTACCTAACTAGGGCTCCACCCTCGGGCCTGTGCCTACGGACCTACATGAGGACAGGCACTCCTGCCTTCTCACTCAAATGGGTCTGTGCCTATAAAAACTCTGAGACCCTAGCAGCCAGAGGCACTGGCGCTGGATGTGGAGAGAAGCACATCAGCGGAGGAACACACTCAACTGGCTGGACGTGGAGAGCAATGCACCATCGTGGTGAGAGGTGACAACATGCTAGCAGCCCTCACAGCCTTTGCTCGCTCTCCGCGCCTCCTCGGCCTTGGCGCCCACTCTGGTCGCGCTTAAGAGGCCCTTCAGCCCGCGGCTGCACTGTGGGAGCCCCCTTCTGGGCTGGCCAAGGCCGGAGCCGGCCCCCTCAGCTTCCGAGGAGTTGTGGAGGGAGAGGCGCTGGAGGGAACCAGGGCTGCGCGTGGCACTTGCGGGCCAGCGCGAATTCCACGTGGGAGTGGGCTCAGCGGGCCCCGCACTCGGAGCGGCCAGCCGGCCCCGGGCACTGAGGAGCTTAGCACCAAGGCCAGCAGCTGCTGTGCTCGACTTCTCGCTGGGCCTTAGCTGCCACCCCGCGGGGCAGGGCTTGGGACCTGCAGCCCGCCATGCCTGAGCCTCCTCCCGCTCCGTGGGCTCCTGCGCGGCCCGAGCCTCCCCGACGAGCACCGCCCCCTGCTCCACGCCGCCCAGTCCCATCGGCCACCCAAGGGCTGAGGAGTGCGGGCGCAGGGCGCGGGACTGGCAGGCAGCTCGGCCTGCGGCCGTGGTGCGGCATCCACTGGCTGAAGCCAGCTGGGCTCCTGAGTCTGGTGGGGACTGGGAGAACCTTTATGTCTAGCTAAGGGATTGTAAATACACCAATCGGCACTCTGTATCTAGCTCAAGGTTTGTAAACACACCAATCAGCACCCTGTGTCTAGCTCAGGGTTTGTGAATGCACCAGTTGACACTCTGTATCTAGCTGCTCTGGTGGGGACATGGAGAACCTTTGTGTGGACACTCTGTATCTAGCTAATCTAGTGGGGAAGTGGAGCACTTTTGTGTCTAGCTCAGGGATTGTAAAGGCACCAATCCGCACCCTGTCAAAACAGACCACTCGGCTCTCTGTAAAATGGACCAATCAGCAGGATGTGGGTGTGGCCAGATAAGAATAAAAGGCGGCTGCCGGAGCCAGCAGTGGCAGCCCCCGTGGGTCCCCTTCCACACTGTGGGAGCTTTGTTCTTTCGCTCTTTGCAATAAGTCTTGCTGCTGCTCATTCTTGGGGTCCACACTGCCTTTACAAGCTGTAACACTCACCGTGAAGGTCTACAGCTTCACTCCTGAAGCCAGCGAGACCACGAACCCACCGGGAGGAATGAACAACTCCAGACGCGCTGCCTTAAGAGCTGTAACACTGACCGCGAGGCTTTGCAGCTTCACTCTTGAGCCTCTGCAGCTTCACTCTTGAGCCAGCAAGACCACAAACCCGCCAGAAGGAACAAACTCTGAACACATCCGAACATCAGAAGGAACAAATTCTGGACACGCTGCCTTAAAGAACTGGGTTTCATTCTTGAAGTCAGTGAGGCCAAAAACCCACCAATTTTGAACACAGTAGGAGCACACTGGAAGGCCATTGACAGCGGAAGGACATGGAGTTTGGCCGGGCTCCAGGGAAAAACCATCTCTCTTTTGGCTCCCCCATCTGATGAGAGCTACTTCCACTTAATAAAACCTTGCACTTATTCTCCATGCCCACGTGTGATCCGATTCTTCTCGTAAACCAAGGCAAGATCCCTGGGATACAGAAAGTCCTCTGTCTTTGTGATAAGGCAGGGGTCTAATGGAGCTAACACAAGCTGCCTATGGGTGGCTGAACTAAGAGCACCCTGTAACACACGCCCACTGGGGCTTCAGTTGTAAACATTCACTCCTAGACACTGCCTTAAGGTTGGAGCTCCACAATCTGCTAGTTTGTATGCTCCCCCTCTGCTCCCGTACAGGTTTGAGCGGCGGGGAACTGAAGCAGCGAGCCACACGCCCCGTCGCATGCCTTGTGAGAGGGACAAGGGAACTTTTCCGGTTTCGCTGGTACCTTGAAAACTCATCCTTGGCACCCACTTCTTTATATTGTGGTGAAACAGCCTGAACTGCTCATGAATTAAAGTTCATAAAATAGCACAGAGCGGAAAAACTTTTCTACCCACAAGCATGCCAAGAATAAAAGGCATACAGAACCTGGAACAAAAGGCTAACATGTTATGTGGTAAGAGAGGCTATAAGTCCTGGCCATATGAAGAAAAATCATAGAATTTTAGAGTAATTTAAACTGGGCTTCACAGGATCTCAGTCCATAAAAGCATACCCCATGCAGGGAAGGAATTGCCTGTGGGTGAGCTACTGTGGGCAGAGTGGGGCAAGAAACTCTTTATCATCTTCTGAGTCTGTTACCACGACACAAGGCCACAGCTTCTCCTTCATTATCCTTGGAGAGAAGGAGGCTTGACCAAGGGGCAAGCCCTTTCAAGTCCATATTTCTGTACACATCTGTGCATATACATTAGTCACAATATTTGGGAACATTAGCCTAAGAAACCCACTATGATGGAGTTATCATCTATATGCCTGCATTCGTTTTGCCTTCATGACACCTTACGTCTGAGCTAAATAATTTCCAGCATTTGTCTTTCTTGCTACTATAATAAAAAGTCACACGGAAATCACCATGTGAGCTGTCATTTGTATGCCTCCATTTTCTTGCCTTTGTGCTACCTTAGCTCTGGGTGCAACAACTTCCAAAGATTTGGTTCTCATGAGGATGTCACTCTGTGAAATGAGATGCAGAATCCCACGAAAACTGCAGACTCGAAGAGCTCAATCCTTCCTACCCAGTTTTCAGTTCTGCTCTAGTTTGCTTACATCTGTTTGAAGAAGACAGAATACCCTAGAACACAGCTTTTAATTCACAAGATGCTATTTTACATCGAGAATTCCACACCCAACCAGGCAGCAGTGGCTGACATAGATCTGATGACCCTTGGAGGTTGTCCGTTCAAGTGATCTGTTACCTTTCTGGAAAGTAAGTAAGTAAGCTGTCTTATGGCTTGTAATAGGCACCATCTTACACTTCATATGAATCCAGTAACAGAGATTAAAGCTCAAAGCTTCAGGTGTGGAGACCTGCATGAGTATCAACCGGAAGCATTTTAGAAATGCAAATTCCTGGGCTCCCCCTAAAACTTACTGAATCAGAAAGTCTTGGGTGGGGCCCAGCAATTGTGCTTTAACCAGCTATCTCTTAGGTAAGCTCAAGTCTGGGAATCACTGCATTATATGATAGGCATTGTACGCCACCTTTTATAGAGGACAGAAAGGAACTAACAAAAGATATATAATTGGCATATGGCCACCACTGAGGCTGCTTTTGAATAAATTCATCTGATTTTAAAGTTAAAATTTGCGGGTGCCTCAGGTGATCTGCTCAGTCCGCATCCTAAGACATATATACACATCTTTCACAGGGGTGACTATGGACATCCAGTGGGGGGACTTTTCTAAATGGCATCAGGAGATTTGGGAGCAACACCAAGATCTGAGAACAAAGCCTACTCTGAGCTGAGCTTTGTCTCTACCTCACCTCATGACCTTCCCTAAAATTAATATTAGTGGACAACCATATTGGCCTTATGCATTTTATTTTTCTAGGGGTGTGGTGGTGGGGAGCTCCTCTTTCTGTGACCTAGAAACTCCTAGTGCAGATCGCAAGCCCAGATTCTCTCACCTCTCCCTCTGGGTTTCTGGCTGAGCAGCCTCTCCAGGAGTAACCAGGGCAGCCTCCCTGTCAATCCATTTGCGACTTCATGCCTCATTTGTTGGGATCCACAGCGCTACTCCAAGTTATGGACCAGCATGAAGGGGACAGGCTCTAGGCTATCAAGGGGCCACCAGGGGGAAGTGGCAAAGGGGAATGTGCTGAGGCAGCCCCCCAACCCCACTCCACATACATTCAGTTCAAAGAGCTACTAGGTGCAGAGGAAAAGATGCAAGTAAGAGACAGTGGATTTAGGGAGAGCCTGCTAAGGATAGCAATGTCAGGATTTGTGAAGAAGGGCTGGGAATGCAGATCTTGTCCTTCGAAAGGGGAGAGTAGAGAACTCCTTGCAACTCTGGCAGCCAGGTTGGTCATCACGTGCTGGAATCAGCTCGGATCCCCTGCCCCATGCTCACCTTCCTATTTTGAGGCTTTAGGGTCTGCTGAGCAAAGCCAACCAGGAAAAACAGGACAAGACAGGAGGCCTGGAACTGCTGGAACATGGCTAGGAGTTTTAGACGACTCTGAGGTCCCCAGGATTTCAGCCCCTTTTGAGCCCCTGGCAGGGACCAATTTGAAGAAGCACCCTCCAATCGCAGAGTGGCATTCATACACACCCACCTCCACTCCCTACACACACCCCCTTCCTCTTCAGTTGTAAACCCCTCACCATCGAGCCTGCTCCACCTGCGTTGCCTCTGCCAGCTTCACACAAAAGGCATTCTCTGCCTCTTGAAACTAAAGTCTGGGTGGGGTTGAGTTCTTATGAACTCTCTTGAAAGACAAGCTTTTAGTTATCTCAGATTTCTGAACTCTTTTCAAAAGCCTATAATCTATGTCCTGATCACTGATACCTGATCCAGCTATGCAGCTCCTTAAGGCAGCAGGTCAGATGCTTGCCTCTTATGGAACAGACCTACACACATTCCCAAGTTCTTTACCCTTCTCCTGCTTTTAGCTCAAAAAAATGGCTGAAACTTTGACTACGAGGCTATAAAGACCATTGAATTCAATACCTGTCAGTGCCACTGACTAGCTCCTTGAATCTGAAATCAAAGTTAATGTGTCTGTCCCCAGTTTTCTCATCTGTGAAATCAGAATAATAATATTATCTACCTTGTAGGGCTGCTGTAACAATTAAATGTGATAATAACTATAAAGCACTTACCACATGGCCTGACAATGGTAAACAACTAGAACTGTATTCACATAGTTTCATGTATGAGAAAACTGAAGCTCAGAGAGAGAGATAACATATAAAAAGTCACAAGGTGGGTAACAGTGAAATGAAGGCAACTTCTGCGTCCTACTCCAGAGCTCTTGCTCTGGTTCCATTTGGATCATAATTACTGTGATGAAATCTTTACTATCTGGGACAATTTACATTTGCTCACCTTGTAGTAATGAGCCCTTGAGAGGTAAGGAGACATTTCATTATGGACCTCATCAGTAGGTCAAATGGCCTAAAACCCCAACTTCATAGGTTTTGGTGTTCCCACATTCTTGATAGACTTTTGAGTACCTTGGGTCCTTGCCTCCAGCAATGAGAAGTGAAGGTACAGGAGCACACATGGAACAGGAGGAAACAAGGAACATTTCATGTCCCTGGTGCACCTGAAGGTATCATGGGGCTGCAATTGCCCTTCACCCATCCTTCTTTGGAGCCTTAGTTCCCTGTTATCTCCTTCCAGGAATTTTGCTTTCATCCCTTAGCTATCTCCTCACTTCCAGGATCTTCTCCAGTCCCTGTTTCCTTCACACTCTGCCTCTATGACTTTTCTAAAGGTCAGGTTTGTTGATATCACTTATGTTAAAGTGCCCCAATTCCTCCTAAATTCTTACACTTTTAGTTTGAAATTCTCCCATGAAGCACTCAAGGTCCTTTCTGATTTGACATCGGCCAGATTTCCCTGATGTAACCTTCCCTCCAGAAATGTTCTGATTCTGGTAGATAGAACTGTCTTCATCACCAGAGTCCACCTATCTGGGGTTGACTCTAGATCAAATCTTGGCAAGTACTTTGGGATCATTCCTGAGATATTTTATGATATACAAATTACATATTTTTATTCAAAATGATGGATATAGCTTTATCAAACAAGACTTCTGAGGTAACTTTCTGAGACTTGAGTCACAAATCAGGGTTCTGGTGAGCTTGACCACGCCTTAATATATATTAGGAGCCAGTTCACATCCTCACCCTCCTCCTTAGAATTTGGCTTGATTTATTAATTTACATTTTAAAACCTATTCTGTCCACAGATAGAAACATTATTTCAGGTCTGATTTCATCAATCAAGAGCATACTCTTTAGATACTAATCAGTAGAGTCCAAGATGGCATTATTTTCTCTAGTATCTTTGAAACATTATTGGTTCACTTATTTTAGTTTTTAATTTTTATTGGTTCACTTTTAACTTAAGGTCAAATAAACATCAAAGTTTATATGAATTGCCCCTGCAATGCTGGTGCCTATTATTGTCTATCCACCCAAGCAATTGATCTTTTAAATCTGAATTCTATCATCTATCAGACTAGCTATATTTATCATCTATCAATGATCTACACATTTGATCAGCATACCTTTTGTGTCTTCCACCAAATACATTAAAGTTTATAGGATAGAAAGAAGCCAAGTGAAGAAGTTTCTGCCCAGGACTAGAGTTTAACTTACTCCTTATTTCTTAATCAAGATGCTTGTGGTTGATTTTTGGTTAAGCTATGTTCCCATTCAGTGATCAGCACTCACATATGTTCATAACTCACTTGTTTAAAATTTGTCTTAAAAAGTAGTAGAAGCGCCAAGTGGAGCTTTTTCTTAGGTTCTGAAGTTCATTTCCCCTGCTTTGGAAAGTCAAAACATTTGCATGTCTACCAAGACATCTAGCATTCATGCTTGCAGGCAGGGATGGTCCTCAGTGTGTATACACAGGAATATGCACGGCAGTTGTTGGAGCCCAGGATTTGTTCTGATTGGTTGTGCCCATGGCATACTTCTAAATATATATGTACACACACACATTTTGGGACAAGGTCTGGCTCTGTCACCCAGGCTGGAGTGCAGTGGTGTGATCTCAGCTAACTTGTAACCTTTGACTCCAAGGCTCAAGCCATCCTCCCACCTCAGCCCCCTGAGTAGCTGGGACTACAGTCGCATGCCACCAAACCCAGCTAATTTTTGTATTTTTGGTAGAGATGGGATTTTGTCATGTTTCCCAGGGTGGTCTCGAAGTGGTGATCTTAAATGATCCACCCACCTAGGCATCCCAAAGTGCTGGGATTACAGGCATGAGCCATCCAACCCAGCCCTGCTAAATATTTTAATATCAGCTTTGATTGCAGAACCAATACAGGCAATGTAAGGTTTTAATTTTTTATCTTGAGATCTGCTTGTCTGTGCTGTGTCAACAAATTCACATAGAACAAGTAGGTGACTTTTATTAATATCTCAGGTTTAACTTTATATTTCCTCTTTGTTCTACATTTTTTTCTTCTTTTAAATTTAAAAAATGCATTTTTCTTACTGGAGAAGAAAGAAGCAAAGGATGTGTTAAAGAGAGTAGCTTTTTATCATTGTCAAGGCGTAACACTCTATCATTTTACTCAAATTCTGTATTACCTCTTCCTTATTCCTGTTCTGTTATAATTTAGCTTGAGCACACACACACACACACACACACACACACACACAGACACAAGAAGTCAGTGCAGGGCCATCAGAGGGGAGGCACAAACATTTGGGAGATCATGGATCCTCCTGGTTGTTGCCACTGTTTGAAGACTATAAAATTTCTTGTTTCCCAGTAGCAAGTGCAGCAGAAGGCAGGTAATGAATTTTCTGCTAACTTGCCTAAAATGAAAGATTAATCATCCCTCAGAAGGGTCAAGGTTTGAGTAATGCCAGCCCTAGTTACCTTCTATTCCAGTGATAGCTTTGGAAGGCTTCTTAACTGCTTCCCTGATTCTGAATTCACTGAATCTCACTTTTTTCTTTTTTTTTTTTTTTCTCTTCTACACTTTTTACCCTTTGCCACCTCTCATTACTTTCTCCTTTTCTCTCTCCTCATTGTGTACGAGAAAAAGAGTTTGGATTCAGGATTTAAACAATCCTGGCTTTAAGTTGTTTCTTGCTACACAATTTTGGGCAAGTTATTTAATTTTTCAGTGTATCAAGTTCTTTTTTTTTGTGAAAGAACATAACAGTGTGACTTTTAAAGATTAAGTAAGAATTTATATCTGGAAATGCCTGGCATACACAGTAACAACTCAATAAATGCTGATATAAGTTCCCATTATTTCTTTTTCTTCTTTCTTTTTTCATTTTCCTTCCTGCTCCATTTATCTCTTATATATATTCTTATCTGCTCTATTCCTTTTCTATCCATCAGTTAAAGAAGGTCCCAACCTTGAAGCTCCCAGCTTGTTAGGTTTTAATTCAACTTTTTTATTAAGGAAAATTTCAAACATATATAAAAAGTAGAGAGGAGTATAATTAAGCTCACATACCTGTTACCCACTGCATCTATAATCAATACAACTCTCCGCTAATTTCATTTTACCTACATCTGAAAAAGCTTGTTACCACAGCCCCCACCCTTGCACACATACCCATACTCACTGAATTATTCCGAACTAAATTCCAAACAACATATCACTTCACCTGTAAATATTGTCTGCCCCTTCTGATCATAGCCAGGAAGACAGCCAACATTTGTCCCTGGGATATTTCTGGGATGTCTACAGGGTGTTTCTATATCAAAACCTGGTGTTTTATTACTGGCTTTGATGCCTTTCACAAGTTGCCACAGGCTGAGGGATTGCAGAGCGAGAAAGGAGAAGCCAAATTGTCTCAGCCTTTAATTTGTTCTAAATCAGATTCTGATTGCAACTGTTATGGGGACACAGTTGTAGATTATCTGCCTAGGCCTTGTGACTTGGATGAGACAATCTCTAAACTTTACTGAGCATGTGCTTCTTATGTATATTGTTGTGGCCTGAAAAACATGACCTATAAGGCGAATGTTTGAATTCAAAATGTATTGATTGTTACTCGTGTTTCCCAGTCTTCTAGGAGTAAGAATTGGTCAGATAAGTGCCAATGATGAGAATCTCTGAAAAGCTGAGAAAATAAACTGTCTGCCTTAAAAGGGAATTTGGTGATTTTTCTGATCCAACTCCCGCTTTGTGCAAATAGGTAAATTCAGGCCTGTAGAGGAGCGGCATTCTCCATGTTCCACAGTTCTATTGAGTTGTTGGTGATGGTCTGCAGTGTGTGCTGGTGATGTGAGGCATATTTATTCTTTCTTGGGGAGCAGTAAGGATCTGAGTCATAGACTGCAGAATTTCCAGGTGTGAGGGCATCTGGTTTGGAATGGTGTGGGTCACTCAAATTCCTGTGTGTGGGCAAGGACACAGTGCTCTCTCCCCAACGTCCTTCCGGATCCATTAAAGCAGGAGTAATAGGAACACCATCTAGGGGAGTGCACATTATTTCTCTCACCACCTCCCCACCCCAGCCTCCAAGAAGCAGAGTTCTTCCTGGAGCATGTTGGAGGAGGAAAGCTTGGCATAAACAAGAGACCCTTCAGGAAGTCTGCGTGTCAGGGCCAGCTGCCTCAGTGAAGGCTCAGGTTTAGGGCCAGAGCCAGCTTCAACCATAGGTGAGTCCCAAACTTCATCATGTTTGGGGAAGATCAGAAAGTTAAGAACACGTGAGAATGAAAATTAAATGCCAAAGGACATTTAGTGATCTCTCTAGAATTTGCTTCCATTTCCAAACACATACATTATGAATAATTGAGCCTTGAGGGTGAAGCAACTAGCGGATTTGAAATTGAAACTCAAGTTTATGGTCTACATTTACACTATTGTGAATCTTTGGCCAAGTCGCCTTTCCTTTCTGAACTTACTTTTCCATTGCGAATTTGAGCTGAAGATGCCCATGCTACCTCTGTAACTGGCTGATTGTGAGGGCTAAATGAAATTATGGATGTGAAAGAGGCTCGTAAACTATAAATTCTGTATAAACTTAAGTAATAGTAACTTAAAATGGCAGACTTGGAGTAGATCCTATGCTTCATGCTTACAAAACTAGAGTAAGAAAAATCCTGGAGGCCTGAATGGAGATGCCAGATGCCAAGGGAGATTTTCTAATTCACGGAAAATAGTCAAGTAAAACCAAAGGGTGGACAGAGTTCTCTAAGTTAGACTTGGGTGGTTTCAGAGGCTATGGTTTGAATCTGAATAAAGAGGTGTACTGTCCCTGAGAAAGAATCAAACCTATTTCCTTTCTAATCAAAGGAACTAAAAACAAAAAACTTGATGTTGACTTTCAGGTAGGATTAAGTCATTACCAGAAACTAGGACAGGGAGTCTGAAAGCCCTCATTTCAATTTGTAAACTGCCACTCACTAACTACGTGACCTTGGGCAGAAAACTTATTCTCATAAGAATACGACCTCAAGGAAAAATTGGAGTCTGGTTGAGAAAACTAGGCAGCAATTGAGACATTGATTTTTCCCACCCAGGTGTCCCACCACGTTTAAGATCATGAACTGCTTGTAATTATAGGATTTTTAAAGTCAGGAAGTGACAGACCTTATAGCTTAATTTAGGCCTGGATTGGCTTTTCAGCCTTAATCTATGGCTCAGGCTACAAACATTTTCACCTAAAATCTTGATAGGTAGGCCGGGCGTGGTGGCTCACACCTATAATCCCAGCACTCTGGGAGGCCGAGGCAAGTGGATCACCTGAAGTCAGGAGTTTGAGACCAGCCTGGCCAACATAGTGAAACCCTGTCTCTACTAAAAATACAAAAAATTAGCCAGGCATGGTGGTGGACACCTGTAATTCCAGCTACTCAGGAGGCTGAGGCAGGAGAATCTCTTGAACCCGGGAGGCAGAGGTTGCAGTGAGCCGAGATCAAGCCATTGCACTTCAGCTTGGGTAACAAAAGCAAAACTGTGTCTCAAAAAAAAAAAAAATCTTGATAGGTAAAATTTGATAAAATTGTATTTCCTGTCTTTCAGTGGGAATTCCTTCTCCTGTCAAATTACTTATATGTATGTATAATTTGCGTAATGTATATAATTTGGACCAGGGGAGGTGGGATCTCAATGTTCTCAGCACCATTGACCTCCAAGGTCAAAAATCTAAATCCAAGGAGGTGTGTTTTGAAGAATGGAAAGACTGTAGCTGTCTGAGAGATGCACATAGGGAGCTACTGGGAGTGAAAACTAGAAGGAGGTTAAGAGCACATCAGGAGAGCTTCGAATACCTTGCTGGAGATTCTGGATTTGATGCTATAATAAACTGGTTAGCATCGCTGGCTCTTTTTAGGGGGAAAGATATCAGATAGGTGTTTAGAGTTTCCAGTGGCAATAGGGTAAAGGAAAAACTGTAGAAAGGAAGAGTCTGGAAGAGAGAAGACAAGTAGGAGATGATTTCAGCATTCCAGAAAAGAGGCAACAGGGATTTGATATGTGGCTCTGGCTGGGAGGCAGCTACTATGTGAGACAATCAGGGGATGATGACAAGAAGTCCCTCCATGTGGCCTCCTGCTGAGCATGAGCTCCCTGAACAGAGATCTTGCCTCCAGGGAAACTGAAACAATGGAACAAGGGGCTTGAGAAGGCCATTTGATCTGACCATTGAGGCATAGTTTATGATGAAAGTTTCTCTTCTGCTCTAGAAGTTAGTTATTGTGTGACAAGCAAAGATAAAGTGGTGAGGAAAGTAAGGAATTTATAATAGCAAGGGAGGAGCAGCCATCTCTAAACACAGGCTTTGGGTAAATCAGATTTTCTATTTGAGCACCTGTTTGTTCATCTGTTGAATTAACTCTGGGTGTTTTTCTTGGGCTGGGTCCAGTGGTAAGTTTAAACTAATCTCTTTTTTTCCCCTAAAATTAGCCCTATGAAGTTCATATTATTCTAGCAGTTTTACAGATGAGGGCCAGAGGCACAGAGAGCAGCTTGCCCAAAGTCACATAACTTGGGAAGGAATGAGGTTTGATATTTTGATCTCCACAGTTCTTTGAACTGTGATAGAGGGGAGACGGGCAGGCGAGTCAGCATCTGGGGCCAGGAGGTACCACAAAGCAGGAAACCTGAAGGGCTTGGGGTGTTTTGTGGCAGGGTGAGGCATTGCATGGGCTCCTCCCCTTAGATTAGAGGGCTCTTAGATTAAAGGGCTCTAAGAAGAGATCAGAAATCTGAGATAACCAAAAGCTTCTGTTTTCCAAGAGAGCTCTTGAATGCCCAGACTCCCCGAGACTGGTGGAAAATTAAACCCAGTGAGACTTCAAGAATTAAACCTCACTTAGACTTCAGTTACAAGGAGGTGGAGGCAGGATTTTGTGTGAACCTGGAAGAGGCAGGGCTGGTGGAGGGGGCTGGTTGGAAACAAACTTAGAACTGGAGAGGAAGAATTTATCATTTCCTAAACATGAAAGTTCAGCAAAGCTGGGCTGGCAGTGCCAATCTTATGGGAGGAGGGGAGATGTGTGGGAAGAGCAGTGAGGGAAACAACCCTGAGCCTTTTCACTAATCCACAGATTTTTCAGCATTTCTTTATCTCATTAGAGCCCATTAAGTTCCTGAATTCACTCCTTTCTTGTAGTTTCAAAGCATTAGAAACAGCCAACGCACCAACACTTTCCAGTCTGTAATATCTGTTCCTTTGCCACTCCTTCTCTCTAAAAGGTAGGAAAATGCCAGTGGATTGGGGACAAAAAAATTTTTTTAATTAATGTGAGAGAATCCCTGCACAGCCTAATGACGACAAATGCCATAAATTTAAGAGTATAATTCAACCCTTTGAAACTCAGGTCCAAATAGGGGGAAAAAATGAGTAACTAATTTTTTTTAATTTTAAAGAGCTAATAATCTAATGAGGAATATATAAATTGTTCAAGAATACAAATAATATGCATATTAAACATATTAAATACACTTATGATAGTGAGGGGAAGGAAAGTGGAGTTTGGGAAGCAAAGGATATAAATAATAAATAAAACAAGAGAGGGGACTTGCAAGGACAAATGATTGTGAACTTAGGAGCATGATTAATTAAATATTAGTGCTAGGGGTCCAAAAATTAAAACTGTATGGTAGACAAAAGGGAAGAATGTCTTGGTCCATCTCCTGTGAAGTCAGCAGTGATTAACTATGTTATTTATGTGAGAAACCCAGAAATTCCCGGGGCTCCAGGCCTGCATTCATCAATTCATATAGTCTAAAATTTTAGCCAAGACTACTGAGAGGTCATTGGAAACTGTTGCTGAATGAATGGGGCTTGTATACCAGTTGAAAGGCAAAGCAACTTTATTTTTAGAGGGACTTGTGTCTCATTTCCATGATTCTTCTTGGGCTCTGGGCTTCCAGGCTATTAAGAGTAGTACTTGCCACTATCTATTCACAATAGCAAAGACATGGAATCAACCTAAATGCCCACCAATAATAGACTAGATAAAATATGGTACATATGCACCATGGAATACTATGCAGTCATAAAAAAAAACAAGATCATGTCCTTTGCAGGGACATGGATGGAGCTAGAGGGCATTATCCTTAGCAAACTAATGAAGGAACAGAAAACCAAATACCACATGTTCTCACTTATAAGTGGAGGATAAATGATGAGAGCACCTGGACACATAGAGGGGAACAACACACACTGGGGCCTATTAGAGGGTGGAGGGTGGAAGGAGGGAGGGGATCAGGAAAAATAACTACTGGGCACTAGGCTTAATACCTGGGTGATGAAATAATTTGTAGAACAAACCCCTATGACACAAGTTTACCTATATAACACACCTGCACATGTACCCCTGAACTTAAAATAAAAGTTAAAAAAAATAGAAAAAAAAGAGGAATGCTTGCAATTTTTGTAAATATATTATTTTTTAAAAGTTATTTACTTTTTTAAAGCACTGCATTCAGAATGTCAGATTATTGTCCAGAAAGTTGGCAACATTAGTATTCGCCATTCCCCCACCCATCGTGTAAGAGACTCCTATACCAGACGGAGCCCAGGCTGGGAATCACCATTCCTTTTAACTTTTGCCAATCTGATAAGTGTGGAATGTGTCTTTTCGTATTTATACTTCTTTGATTATTGGTGAGAGAGAACACTGTATCCTACCACAGATGCCATTTGATTTTCTGCCTCATGCCCATTTTTTTCTGTTGGTCTGGTAGTTTTTTCTTACTGATATATAAGCACTTGAAATCATTTCTAAGGATTTGTATTAATTTGCTGTCCTTCGCATACATTGTGACTATTTCCCCTCCTCGAGCCAGTTTCCTCCTAACTCTTTTTGAGAGATCCTAGATGGCCGGCCCATTCTTTGATTTATTTTTAAGCTCAAATAATATTAGAAATAACATTTGAAATGTCTAGACCAACCCTTTTGCAGTGACTTTACTGGGAGGTTGCATCAGCATCTAGACACTTCCATACATTGAGGAAAAACAGACAGCCGTGTTTAAGGACCTCAGAGGGCTTGCTATCACCCATTTATAATTTTCCCAGAACTTATGAGTCCCAGGTCCTCATTGCAGTGGTAAGCGCTGAGTGCTCACGGGGGTGTGTGTGGGACAGGATGTGGTTTGAGTTCTGTGATCCTCACCCCGACCTCATGCGTCGGGAATCCTTGCAGCCCTGTGACTGGCCTGTGGGGGCTTGGGCTAAGTCCCTGCCAAGATACCAAAAGACTGCAGAGGTGGGCAAAGACCTCAGGCCCCCAGACTAGCAATCTACAAACACTAGTCATGACTACACAGTTAAGGGTCGTCCATCTGCTTCCCCTTCTCCTAGCCTGCTTTGTGCAAACAAGTCCCAAGCAGGAGAAGATGAAGGTGAGTGAGCTTCAGAGAGGGCATGGTAGTTACTCTTCTGTCCTACTTCTAGACCCTGCCCTCCACTCCTTCTTGTAAGACTCCAACTCCTGCTTTCTTCTTCTTTGCCAGTTCCCCTAAACCTTGCTTTTTTTTCTCCTTGAATCTTCTTCATTCCTATGGATGGGTATTCCTTGCGTTGAATATGACTAGGGAAGAAAGGGTCTCCATATGACTAGGGAAGAAAGGGTCTCCATACCTTCTTCAGGTGGAGGTCCCCTGGAGACCTCTCTGGCCACATCAGTCTCTGCTTCAGAGCTGGGTCTGAGGCTGGGACAGCGATGGGCTTTAGAGTAGGTGGGGACTGGGGTTTGGAGGAGAAGCTGAGTGGACTTGTCTCAGACACAGCTCAGCAACAACCCCTTGAAGAGGAGGAAAAAACGAATGTGGAAGTTTTAAGGATGGATAAAATCAGAGAGTTATCAGAGAAACATAAAACATGAAAAAAAAAATCAGAGCCCTAAAACAACTGGATTTGGAGTCAGGCATCTTGGATTCTGGCCTCAGTTCTATGCCCAATTCATGGCTCGTTACCTTATTGATAAGACACATGTGTCTGGCAGCAGAAGGGGCAGTTTAGGAAAGGATAATAATGAATGCGATAACTTGGAGGCAGAAAATAATCATGAAGTTAGGTAAAGGCAAACTTTCATTTACATAATGGGTTACCACTTTTGACTTTGGACAAATTAACCTCTGTTATCTCATTGTAAATTTATGGGTAACAGTAACTACCTTATGGGTGGGTGAATAACAATTATTATGCATATAATACATTCTACAAAATGCAGTTCTAATAACATCTCCCCATCCCTCGCCTCTAAAATTAACTAGATAACATCCTGGGTGAACTTCTATTTTGAGAATTGATATGGTTTTTATGTTACCTGTGGTGCTTAATTGAGTGTGGAGACTCTGGGCTGCAGAATTTGCTTAATAAAAGCTGCGTCTAGAGATAATTGAGACACGTTATATGGACTTCAATAAATTTGAAACAGCAGTCAATATCAGAAGTAAACTGGACTAAAGGAAGTCTTCAAATTGAGAGTCTCTCTAAGCTTTTGCATACTGGTACCCAACATGACTGTGAGTGATTGTCATTGCAGTAGCAAAAGAAAAAAAAAAGGCAAATTCTTGCAAATGTTTAACTTGAAACTAGGTAACATGGAGATAGAAACAGATACTTTTACACAATATTCTCTTTATAGATCCCTCAATTTTGCTGGTGCATGTATATATGTATAAATTTAGGGAAAGGTGTAAAAACCTGCATAGAAAAATATCTTTTTCCTCAAGAGTAAGAAGTGAGTAGCTACAACCTAGTATGCTGGTGATAAAATCAGTGGGATAACAGGACTAGAAAAAAGTTGTGTTTTGTTTTGCTTTGTTTTGCATTACTCCTTCTCTGAATGGGGGGCAGATGATGTTCAACCAAAATCCTTACTAGACTACTGCATTTCCAGGAAGTCTAGTTTAATCCTAGTTTGTCTGGACATTCCTTATCAAATAATGCCCTTCTCTCTTTTCTCCAGCCAGTTCCTTTCCACCTTTTTCTCACCGGATGGTTTGGACATAGAGCTTCCTTTTCATATTCCTGTCATATATATTCTGTATTCCATGAGCAATTTGTGGCAGCTTCCCCAGTATAAGAAAAGGGATCAGCATGTGCTGGTGAGCACTGTGGCATCGGTACACTTGGGGTACTGCATGAACACTGTAAGGGTAGAGACAGAGGAGGAGTAAGATGAGACCTGCCTTGTAGAGGAATTTAATAAAAGAACATGCAATGAGAATTTCAGGCAGGGCTAATTTATATTAAGTGGAACTTAACAAATGTTGCATGGAAGTCTGCTCAAATATTAATATGTTCATGAGATTTGAGAAGGAATGGGATAGGTGGAATGGAATATGAAAGTGGATATTAGACACCTAGAGCACAATGGGCTGATGAGCTGGGTGATGCTGCCCAACAGATTTCAGGGACTCACTTGCAGATGGACTTTAGGGTTCTCCATCTCCTTTCTTGAGAGCTACCAAAAGCTGGGATTTCAGAGTATTGGCTTACATGACCACCATGTTAGTAAGAGAGTGACAGGAGAAATTTATTCAAGGTGGGGATAATATTAGATTCTAGAATGTTAAACATGGAAGCCCACTTGGAGTTCTAGTAAGAATCTAGATAAATATCTTCATTTTACTCATGGGGAAACTGAAGGCCAGGGATGGGAATTGCCCAGGTTCACAAAGGAATTTAACAATGGAGCTGGCTTCTGATTCCCAGGGCAGTGTTCTTTCTACTCTACCTGCTGATGAGTGGAGTAAGAGGTCAGAAGACCTGGGGAAAGATAAGCAACTAAGATATCCTAAAAATAGTTCAGCAATTTAAAACCCTCCCTTCTCAGAGAGTCCAGACAGGAGGCCTTCAATCCAGAGCCAAGGAGTAGCCTGTTTTTTACAGAAGCATGTAAGGCAAGTGTGCTTTTCTCTTCGGCCCCACTTACTTCCAGCTCCTACCATCCCAGCTTATGAATCAATATCCTTTTCCATTATCCGTGTATTTCCTGGTATCTCACAGCTTTCAAAATAATAGGAAACTTGATTCTTATGTGTGTGTGTGGAGGGGGGAGTGTACATAGTAAGTGTGTATATATATGTGTATATATATATATGTGTGTATATATATATATATATATATATATATATATATATATATATATATATATATATATATATATATATATGGTACAAGAGATGTTTTGATACAGACATGCAATGTGTTATAATCACATTATGGAAAATGGGGTATCCATCCCCTCAAGGATTTCTCCTTTGTGCTACAAACAATCCAATTATATGCTTTTAGTTATTTTAAAATGTACAATTAAGTTATTATTGACTATAGTCACCCTGTTGTGCTATCAAATACTAGGTCTTATTTATTCTTTCTAACTATCTTTTTTTTTTCTCATTAATCATCCCAACCTCCCTTCCACCCTCCTAGTATCTTTCCCAGCCTCTGGTAACCATCCTTCTACTCTCTATCTCCGTGAGTTCAATTGTTTTGATTTTTAGATCCCACAAATAAGTGAGAACATGCAATGCTTGTCTTTCTCTGCCTGGCTTATGAGACTTGATTTTTTATTTCCAAGTTACAAGAACCAAGTTTCAGTCTTGTCATTGACACTTTAGACAACTCTTATTTGTTTTCTAGATCTTGGTTAGAACATAACTATTCTTTGACTTCTTTGAAAGATTACACAGATGCCAGGAATTATTGTTACCAGTATTATCACTTAAAAAAAATCTTCCAGATGGATTGCCACAAAGACGAGAAAGGCACCATCTATGACTATGAGGCCATCGCACTTAATAAGAATGAATATGTTTCCTTCAAGCAGTATGTGGGCAAGCACATCCTCTTCGTCAACGTGGCCACCTACTGTGGTCTGACAGCGCAATATCCTGGTAAGAGAATTCATAGTTACTTCTCTTTGGGACTAAATTTTCCAGCTGATCATATTCTAAATTATACTTGGAATTATATTTTAATTATAATTATGTACCAAAATAAATACTCATAATCAAGTGACTTCATCCTCCATATCAGAAGTCAGCAAGCTTGGGTGGACAGGCCAAATTTGGTCAGCCTGGCTTTGTTAACAAAGTTTTATTGGAATGCAGCCGTCCCCGTTCATTTACACATCACCTATGGCTGCTTTCATGCTGTAAAATAGAGGTTAGTAGTTGTAGGAGTAGTGATGATGGAAACCATGTGGCCCACAAAGTCTGAAATATTTCCTATCTGGCCCTTTACAGAAAAAATGTGCTAACCCCCTCCCCATGCCCTGCCTCTGCTTTTTCCTGAGATTTCCAGGGGAATCAATATATACTTGAGAACTAGGAGCCTCTCAGAAGATTCCAGAAGTCTTCTTGATAAATACAGGACAGAAGACCCATGTTTTTGAGACTTTTGCAAGGTTTTACAGGTAACTTACAATGACAAGAAAAAGGAGTTTTATACCTGGAACTGCATTTGATTAGAGTGAGGGCTGGCGGATGAGGCTGTAATAGAAGCAAATACTCCCTCTCCAACCTCAACCCCTTTTTAGGATGTAGTTTTTCCTCCCTTTTTGTACATTATTCAGGGAAGAATTTTCTCATATTTTAGGGCATGTGGTTTAAAAATCAGTGAATAACAATCAGGATGGATTATACCAGAGACAAATGTACTTCTTATATTTGAAGTAATAAGACCTTCATTTTTTGTTTTTAATTATGTTTTGAATAAGCATTATATTCACAAGTCTCAAAGTTCAAAAGAAAAAAACTTTAGAACCAAAGGTTTCCACCTTCTTCCCCTCCCTTCAGTAGACCAATATTATCTTGTTTACAGAATACATAGATATTCTTGTTTCTGCTCCCCCCTCCCCAGCTGATAACACACAATAAATACTATTTGCTGCCTTGATTTTTTAATTAATAAAATACATTTGAGTTCAGATCATTTCCTCATTCTTTCTTAAGACTGAATAATATTTATTGGACCACAATTTATTTTCCCAGTTTATAGGGACTTTAAGAATCGATTTATTCAGTTTCCACCCTGCAAATAACAGATAACAGAAGGACATAGGGAGGGGTACTGAGGAACCCTGTGAAAACAGGAAGGCAATCTCTGTTTTTTAAAAAGGCCTAGAGGAGGTACCAGTTGGCTGAGCTGAATCTGAGTGGGACTGGTTAGTGTTTGTCAAGGGACTAAAGGCATCTGGCTCAGAAAGGGTTAACAAAGAAGATGATTATAAAAGTCTGAGCAGACAAGTTGGAAAACTTCCTGGTAGTGGACGAAGGCAGCTGAAGCTTGTTTTTCAGCATATTACTGAGGATTTTTAGTAAGAATGCATCTTCAGCATCTTAAGGACTGTTGAAAAATGTTAGGATTGTTGATTTCAGATTTCTCTGTTTGTCTTTGCCTTTGTCAGTTTTACTTCCACTCCACTCAGGGTGAGCCAGGCTGCACAGAGGAGAGAAGCTCAGTCCTGGCTAACATGGCGAAACCCCGTCTCTACTAAAAATACAGAAATATTAGCTGGGCATGGTAGCAAGTGCCTGTAGTCCCAGCTACTCGGGAGTCTAAGGCAGGAGAATCACTTGGATCTGGGAGACGGAGGTTGCAGTGAGCCGAGATCGCGCCACTGCACTCCAGCCTGGGCGACAGAGTGAGAATCTGTCTCAAAAAAAAAAAAAAAAAAAAAAAGAAAAGAAAAGAAAAGAAAAGAAAAGAAAAGAAAAGTCACCTGTTGAACTTTTGAATAATAAAGAAGACTAAGCCCCATTTCAGAGGAACAGAAAACTCTCTGAAATGGGACCTGGGCATCCCTATTTTTAGGAAAGGGCCTTCAGCTGATTCTGATGTGCTGCAGGTATGGAAAACACTGCACCATGACAAAGGGCTTTTGAGCGCACGTCTGAAGATCCGGCCTCTAACTTCAGCTATGCTACTAACAGCCCTTCTGATGCAGAGCTGTTTCCCTCCCTGGGCCTCTGTTTCCTTCTCTGTAAAATGGGTAACCCCAGGGAATCATCCTTGCACAAGGCAGAACCTCTACCTAGACCAAAATTGTTCCTCCTCTAACTGCAGAACTAAATGCACTCCAGGAGGAGCTGAAGCCCTATGGTCTAGTTGTGTTGGGCTTTCCCTGCAACCAATTTGGAAAGCAAGAACCAGGAGATAACAAAGAGATTCTTCCTGGGCTCAAGTACGTGTCTTCTTGAAATCCAATAGGAGGCGCCTGTGTACCTTTCCTCAGTCTCCAGAGGCCCTTCCAGCTCAGGAACTTTCTGGGGAGGTATGGATTAATAGGCTCAGGGGCATTACAAGCAGAGTTTAACTTTGGCCTACCGTGATGAGCGTCTGGCAGTTTCCAGACTCTCTCTCCATCCCTGGCTGAGACTTGGATGGACTATGGAGGACAGAAGGGATGGAGGAAAAGAGACAAGTCATGGGATAGAGAGAAATAAAGTGAGTCAGAGAGCCCAAAGTCAAAACATGGCCATATTCCTCCCCACCCACAACGATACTTCCCTCTTTCTCCCCTTTCTCATGACTTCAAATCCTAGTGTCCCATTATAATCTTTACTTGCATATCCTGGAGCTTCCTGGGAACATTATGGCTTGTTGCAGGTATGTCCGTCCAGGGGGAGGATTTGTACCTAGTTTCCAGCTTTTTGAGAAAGGGGATGTGAATGGTGAAAAAGAACAGAAAGTCTTCAGTTTCTTGAAGGTGAGTAAATTCCTGGCATAAGCCTCCTCCTCTTTTCTAATATTGCTAACATAGAGTTGGTGTGGCAGAAATGGATCCAAGGGCTCATGCCCAGAGGTGGGATTGGTCTTTGTGGAGAAAAATCTCCAGATCAGCATTCCACATTGCACATGCTGATCTGGAGATTAATCTGTGAGTATCTATGGGGCTCTAACTCTGTGTGGTGAAGAAAGTTGTGTGGAATGGCAACTTTTACTAGGACCACCCTCTTTTGCTCATTGACATTCATTCATTAATTCATTCCAGGTACACTTGATGAATGCCCGCTACTTATAAAGCAATCTAAATAATAAGGATATAAAGATGAATAAGGCATAGTCTGTACTCTTGATGAGTTTATAATGGAGAGAGAGTTAGAAACCATTAGCTATGTAGCTGGGGTGGTGGTTCATGCCTATAATCCCAGCACTTTGGAAGACTGAGGCAGGACAGGAGAATTGCTTGAGGCCAGGAGTTCAAGACTAGCCTGAGCAACATAGTGAGACCCTGTCTCTACAAAACAAATCAAAAAATTAGCTGGGTGTGGTGGCACGTACCTGTAGTCTCAACTACTCGGGAGGCTGAGGCCAGAGGATTGCTTGAGCTCCGGAGCTGGAGGCTGAAGTGAGCTATGATTGTGCCACTGCATTCCACACTAGGCAACCAAGCAAGACACTGTCTCAAAAAAACAAAAACAAAAAAAGTAACAAACCAACAGGTATGATACAGTGTAGTAGGTACCTTTTATGAAACACTGATTTTTAGACATAGAGAATGCCAGAGCTGAAACAACCCTAAAGATTACCAAAGTGAATTGTTCCTAAATGCTGGACTGTGAACCAAGACCAGTCCATGTTAAGACTTTATATATCCTCAATAAATTGAAGACAATAGAACAGTGTATCATGCCTCTGCACCCCAGCCTGGGCGACACAGCGAGACTCTGTCTCAAAAACAAAAACAAAAAAGAACAGTGTGGGAAGTTTTTTATAAACTCAACTCGTCTAACTTATAGGACTTCCCTTTATTCACAAATTATGACCCACACGCAGTTTATTCTTCCAATGGTCTTTTTAAATTAAGTGACAAAATGATGGTGTTTTAAAAATTTTTGTTATTTGACAAAATATTAGTAATTCAGTGTTGGTCCCAAAAGACAATTATTGAAATATTAGTGGCCCATGGAACCCTAAGACCTGGAAAACCACATTCCAATCCAAGCTATTTACTTTGAAGAAAAGGAAACCAAAAGCATAAAAGGTAACATGTCTTATCCATGGCAGCAAAATTTTGTTATGGGGCTATGGGGAGAAACCGAAAGAGAGCAGATTTTGCTATAATATCTATAATATTCTTGGTAGTTGGCATAGTGGTGATTCAAGAATTTATGGAGTTTTTTAGGAATATCAGGAAGTTAAAATATCTAGGTATAGGAGGGGGTGGATTACCTGTGGGTAAAAATAGCCTGGATCATCCAGGAGCAGAAATAACATTGTTTCTCTTTTCCATCTCTCTGGTTTAGCACTCCTGTCCTCATCCCTCTGAGATTTTGGGCACATTCAAATCTATATCCTGGGACCCTGTAAAGGTCCATGACATCCGTTGGAACTTTGAAAAGTTCCTGGTGGGGCCTGATGGAATCCCTGTCATGCGCTGGTCCCACCGGGCTACGGTCAGCTCAGTCAAGACAGACATCCTGGCGTACTTGAAGCAATTCAAAACCAAATAGGAAGGTGGAGTTAAGGGCAGGAGCAACCCTACTTCTCACCTAATGACTTGCTCTCCCCACCCCTCCAAAAAAAAGGAATACCCATCTTCTCACCACACTCTCTTCCTGCATGGGCTCCACCTGAGTAAATCACCGCCACATACTGCCAGAATTCCCACTCTCCACAAACTAGATTTATATTTGGAAGGCTACTGCTCTTTTGCCTCTCAAGAGTATGTGGGTGAAGACTGAAACAAATGGAAACCTAAAATCCCCAGACCTCTGTTACAGGTTGAATCATTCATATCCACCAGAGGGAAATCATCCTTCCACGACAATGGTTCAGTCGGCCATCACATCCTGAAGAACATTCCTAGACATTCTGACTCTTCCATCTCTCTCTACCCTGGAGGTGTAGAAATAGCAATGGGGTCACAGTCACACAATTTAGGTTCCACTTCATAACATTTTTTGTCTCCTAGGACAAACGTGTATCATCAGTTTCCAACTGTTTTGGCTCAGTTTTCATCCATGACACCTCCCCCTACCAGCCATTCTCCTGTGGGAGCAAGAACATTGCTTCAAAAGAAGAGAGGGCATCTCCATGCTTGTGGGACCCAAAACCTATCTCTGGCCCTACAAAAGTTTTCCTAATTGTCTGATCTTTAGTGCATTCAGGTTATGGCACCTGGAGAGGAATGCCCTTTATCTTTTGAAGGATGGGATTTCCCATCTCAACCCTGGATTCCTCACCTTCAGAACGAGCCCTGCCACTGTCTCCAATAAAATGTTTTCTGCAGCATCGACAATCTCTATGGTGGTTTTAAAATCCTGTCTGGTGCTTGAACTCATTTTATCTCCCTCCTCCTTCTTACTCTGTCACAAATGATGTATTGCCCACATGACCTGAGCCCCCCAGACAGAAAGATTTATGTTTGGAAGGTTGTCACCTAATGCCTCTCAGTTGTCATTCCTCTTCAGGAATTGCCTCAGCCTAAGTTTTTCCCCTTTCCAGGGCAGCCTGTATCCAGTTACTCATCCCTGAGAGGCATAGAGGCCAAACCCTGACTGCTCAACTTAGCACAACTTTGAAGGGCCATACTAGCTCTAGACATGCACAAGGGGTAGGCCGGTGGCATTTTGTGCTTGCACTGCACCCCAGTTTTTCCCTCTGACAAATTCTGCTCCTCTTCTTTGCCACCCCCCCCAACCCTCCACACTGATTGTCAGTTAATGCCCTAGTAAACTTTCTGAATGCAAATATCCATCTTAGAGTCTACTGTCTAGAGAATCCAACCAGTAATTATTGGTACCAAATATGATCTGAGAAAGAAGATACTAAGAGGAGATTTTTGAAGCTGAATTATTCACCGTCTGGTTGATGATGAGAAGATGGGTGGAGCACAAACAACTACTGGCACAAGTAGCAGTGCAGTTGTCAAAACTTTTGCCAAACCTGAACTGGCATGGTAAACTGGTGGAAGAATATGCACTAGCAGACATGAAGTTTTAGGTGCTTGAGAAACATGAGGGGAATGGTAATTATAACGTAATAGAATTGGATGGTCGTTGCCAGAGGAAATTGATGTTTTGGAGAGAGATAATTAAAGACTGAGGATGATATATTATTAAATTAAGGCTAACTGTGAAAGTGTTTCTCCATGGGATGTATAAAGGACCTCTCCTATCTGCAACTTAACAGCAGCAAAACCGAAAGTTCAGGCTCAAGACTTAATCATAGGAATAGTATGTACAACTCTAAAAGAAGTTAGCTTCCAGCTGTCACGGTGGTTCACTTCTGTAATCCCAGCACTTTTGGAGGCAGAGGCGGGAGGATCTCTTGGGTCCAGGAGTTCAAAATCAGCCTGGGTAACATAGGGAAAGCCCATCTCTGCAAAATAAGAAACAGAACCAGGCATAGAGGCACACACACCCATGATCCCAGCTGCTAGGGAGGCTGAGGTAAGAGGACCACTTCGGCCCAGAAGTCAAGGCTGCTGCAGTGAGCTGAGATCTCAACATGGAGACATCTGGTTTGATGTATTAGAATATCCAAATCTCCAAATTTTCCAGGACCCCCAAAACTTTTAGAAGTGGCCCATCCCTTCTTATTGAGGGTTAGCATATCCTTCTTGCTTGAAAACAATGCAGATGACTCTGTCTGGCCAAATATTATGTGCCTCTGCTCCCACTCAGAATCTGCCTCATGTCAAACTAGGTTCTCAGAGTTCGTGAAGAAGGGGAGTGCAACCTAAAGTTAGATAAGGAGACTTCACTGATATGGGAGCGCTCTCCCTGAATACAGAATTTTTACACTCTGTCAAGAAACCAACACACTGTTCGGATGGCTCCTATTCGGAAAAAAAGAAAAATGTCTCTCTCTCAATGTGGTAGAAACACCAGAACTGTTTCAGCAGGTGGTAGAAATAGGGGATCAAAAGTTCAGAAAAGTGGGCAGGTTCAAGTGGTTTACCATGCAGTGCTGGGAACCCCACTAGATAACTGTACATCACAGGAAGGCCAAAGGACATTCAGTTTGAAAAAACAAAAAAGGAATGTGCTGGTGAGAGGGGCCATTTTGTTATGTTGTTCAATTACTTTAACAAAAATTTTAAAAATATTTAATCTTTCTCTGTTAAACCTTCATAGAAAAAGCCCGACATGAAATATAACAAATGTAAACAATGGATTTCTCAAGATATGAGACTTTGGCAAATTTTTAAATAATTATATTACTGTTTTTCTGCATTTACTTAGCCTGCGTTGCATCTATACGTCGAAAACAGTGATTTTTGTAAAGGAAATATTCGCTCTCTGAGTGTTTCCGAGTAGCAAAGTATTTTAACATTATTAGATTTAAAATCAGCGAGTGTCTGGATGGGAGTGGGAGGTTGGCATTTCATGTAAAGCAGCAAATAGTGTAGCCGAACGCAGAGTGGAGAGACAGGAAGTAGAATGGCGAAAATGAAAAGCCCGCGGGATTCCGAAACAATGGAAAATGCTCTCGCTGGTTTTGTGCAGGCGGAATACGCGCTTCTTGGTGGAAACTTCACTCCGAATGTAGTGATTGACACGTCTATTTTACATGCAGCCATCTTAGCTTCCTGCTTTTGGTGAACCGATGTGACTTTCATTCAAATGTTTTTAAATTATTGTCTGACTTTAGAGAAGCCGTGGGAAAATCTGAGCAGAAATTCAAGGTACCGGTGACGTCAACCCTGAGTCCCTAGGGCATCTCTGAGTTGGAAGGAAAAGGGCTCCGGATCAGCTAATTCCAGGGTTCTCTTGATTGTTGCTTTTCATCCCATTCGTGGAAGTCCTGTATTAGAAGGTGCCTAAAGTTCATATTATTTAATACCTTAAAAAACAATGTTTAAAGAGTTCATCGTCAATCTGTAAGAGCATCTTCTCTTATACCTTTCCAAATCCTTATTATTTCTGTGGCTCCAGTGGCGCAATCGGTTAGCGCGCGGTACTTATAAGACAGTGCACCTGTGAGCAATGCCGAGGTTGTGAGTTCAAGCCTCACCTGGAGCAGTTTTACTATTCTCCGACCTGTAGAAATTCAAAAACAGGGAGAGCTTATTGCGCCTGAGATTTCTTTCAGCGATGTATGTACTCAGATTTAGACTGCACTCAGAACCCTCGCGTGATTTGACTTAAAATTCCCTGGTTAAGGTCATGGGTGATAAACGTCGTCACACGGTCCTTTTTGATGCTTGCCTTTGTCCAATACCTCGGCAACAAGTGTATGACAGTCGCTAAAACAGCTCTTCACAGTATTCATTTCAATAAGAAACTGACCGGGTGTGGTGACTCACACCTATAATCACAGCACTTTGAGAGGCTGAGGAGAGCTGGTCTCTTGAGCCCGGAGGTCAAGACCAGGCATGGGCAACATGATGAAACCTTGTCTCTACAAAAAAATGCAATTTAGCCAGGCGTGGTGGCGCGTGCCTGTGGTTCCTGGGTGACAGAGTGAGACCCTGTCTCAAACAAAGAAACCTGACCTTCACAGTCTCAGGCCCAGATAGATCAGGCATATATAAAAATTCATAACTAGTACTTCTGTGTGACTTTTCAACTCTGTGAAACAAGGACGATCTTAGGTTTTTAAAATCACTGTATTAGTGGGAATTTTCTTGTCTCTGAATCTGCTTTCCCTACCTCAGTTTCTTCATTCCTCTGGGATTCTTAATGAGCCTATGATGTCTGCAGTTATGACAGAGACACAGGTATTGAGTCTCAAAAAATAAACCAAACCATTACAGCCTCCGAGCTGAGCAGGAAGCCTACATGTGGGCCACTAATCTCACCCTCTGGATCTTAAACATCTGTGACATCCTGGAGACACAATACAGCTCTCCCTCTTCACAGATTTATGACTGCCCATGTGCAAATGCTCAGCACTACCTGTTCTTTTCTAGCTGCTGCTGCATTTTGAAATGTTTACATTCTCCCTGGTCCCATCCTGAGCTGCCCACCAGGTAAAAGTGGGTTCAAAACAAGACCTACAGACCAACTTGAATTAACACTTGTTTAAAAAAAAAAGTGATAGTGGATAATTTACTTAAACAAGATGTACAATGAACATATCAATAGGAGGGCTATTCACCGTGTTGTTTGATAATAAATTAACAATTGATTAACAGCTGCAAGTTCCTCCCATCCCTGTATGCATATCCCTCTGTAATGTGTGTGCGTATGTGTGTTTGTTTTGTTTTGTTTTTTCAAGACAGGGTTTTGCTCTGTCCCCCAGGCTGGAGTGCAGTGGTGCAATCTTGGCTCATTGCAACCTCCACCTCCTGGGTTCAAGCGATTCTTGTGCCTCAGCTGCTCAAGTAGCTGGGATTACAAGCATGCGCCACCATGCATGGCTAATGTTTGTATTTTTATAGTAGTAGAGTCAGGGTTTCGCCATATTGCCCAGGCTGTTCTTGAACTCCTGAGCTCAAGTGGTCCGCCTGCCTCAGCCTCCCAAAGTGCTGCGATTACAGGCGTGAGCCAGCACACCAGGTCTGTAATGTGATTTGGCAGCAGCTTTCATCAAGAGGCCAAGTCTGTTTCCCTCCCTGTTGTATGTGAGTTGACTTTGTGATTTGCTTTGACCAACAGAATTCTGTGAAATGATGTAGAAATGGTGGTGTAGGAGTTCTAAAATTAGGCCTCAAGAAACCTTGTCACTCACCTCTTAGAACCTTCATACCAAGTTGGTACAAGATGCTGGAAACCTCATCAAGCATCTTAGGTGGAAGACCACATGGAGAAAGAGTCTCAGCTATCTCAGCCATCCCAGGCAGTCCAGCTGACACCCCACACATGTTAGTGGGACCATCTTGGACCATCCAATCTCAGTCAAGCTGCCAGATGACTACAGTCATATGAGTGACCCAAGACAAAATCAACAAAAGAATTGCCCAGCTAAACACAGCTCCAATCATTGACCTGAAGAATTATAAACAGAAGAAACAATTGTTGTTTTAAGCCACTAAATTTGAGTAAGGTTTGTTACACAGATATAAATGATGGATATAAGCACTAAGCACAGTTCTGAGCACAAAGTAAGAGCCTAGGGTAAGTTAGGAGTTTATGACTTTTGGGGATCTTCTCATTGCCCCAAGAAGTGGGTCTTCTCTCCTCTTGCCACAACACGGAAACTCCAGAATTGTTTGGAATCCTGGGTTGTTCAAATTGATCCTTGGAGTAAGCTTCTGACTCCTTGTGTCCTTGCACCAAGCTCAGAGTTCCTGCTCTGAAAGACCTAGAGCTTCCAGATCTCTAGAGTGAGTTGAGGTATGAATGGATAGAGGTGTCCTACAGTCCTTGCCTGATTTTGTAAACTAAACTGCAGAGTCCACAGTCCTTTCTAGCTGCATTTTCCTAGTGCTGGCTGTTCTTTTGGTAGGTGTGCTGATTTGCCTTGTCACCCGTGACAAGGAGAAAAGGGTTTGATATCCATATTGAGAGACATTTGAATATTTATTTTTAAATAATTGTAGTAGTTTAGAGATGCCAGACAGTCATACTTGGTAGCTTGTTTCCAGTTTGCCTAATATTTTTTTCAAGAAAATTCCATAACGGACAATTCTTATGTGTCACATACTTGTCATCATGGTGGCTAGAAGCAGAGTATACAGTTCTGTTTTCCAGAAATTCCTGAGTAGCTTCCCACCAGGCAAGATACCAGAATCAGGCAAAAAAAATTTTCTTTTTTGCTTTGGATTTTAAACTAAATCTGAACAGAAAGCAGCATCTGTGTATTTTATTTAGAAATGTTTCCTTTGATAGAAGGAAGAGTTGAAAATGACAATTGAACAATGTCATAAATTATGACAGAAAGAATTTCCTGTCTAATTTATTAGTCAAACTATCAATCAAAACTGAGTATGTTATAAAGCCATTTGTAGACAGAGTCACCCTCTCAGAAAATTCCTAGAGGTTATTCTCCATCAAAATGATACAACACTAAAAAAAGGAAAACATAAGGGTCCAAAACAGGAAGAAGGCAAAGTATATCCCAGGTCGGTGGAAGAAAAGCCCCAAGAAGACACCTGTGTAACATGCCTAGAGAACAACCAGTCCAGATTGAAGCAGGGATACAAAGGCTCCAGAGAGGAGACCACTAAGGAAAATATTAAAATTGATAGGTTCTTTGAGGTATTTCACTATATTGAGAGTTGCTTAAATTCAAGGAAAATCAGTTGAGAATGAATTGGTTACATGATCATAAAAGATAAAGAAAAAGTAAAAGGCAGTTAATAACTTTGCAGAAAACTAAAAGGCACATAAGAAATATAATCATAGTACTATATAGCACAGCTGTGAATAATTTTTTATAACCAATAAACCCTGAATTTAGAATTATGATGAAATTAAGTAGGAAGGATGAGGGAGGGGAAATATATATGCAGGGATGAGTAATGTATGAGAGGTACCTCCAGAGATTGACTTTCAACATGAAGTGAAAAGAGCTCTGCAGACCAGCTTCCAAGTGAAACTGGTGAAAATTATTTTTTTCAAATCAACCATTTAAAAGTCTCTGGCAAAGTGCTGGCCGTAGTAGCTCACGCCTGTAATCCCAGCACTTTGGGAGGCTGAGGCGGGTGGATCACGAGGTCAGGAGTTCGAAGCGAGCCTGGCCAGCATGGTGAAACCCTGTCTCTACTAAAAATACAAACTTATCTGGGCACGGTGGTGGGTGCCTGTAGTCCCAGCTATTCAGGAGGCTGAGGCAAGAGAATTGCTTGAACCTCAAAATAATGATAATGAATGAAAGAATTTTTTTAAGAGTCCATACTGTATGATCCCACTCACATGAAATTCTGAAAACTATGAACATGTAATGATGGAAAGCATATCTGGTTGTAAGAGGGGAACAGGGCTTACAAGAGGGCAGGAGGAAGCTTTTGGGGGTGATGTCTATGTTCATTATCTTTATTGTACTGGTCGTTTCATGATTACACATGTTATACATATATGATTGCATATATGTGTAAAACTTACACATAGTTTAAACTTGTGCAGTTTATTGCATGGGAATTATGCCTCAATAAAACTGTTTAGAGTACATTGTCTGGAAAAATATCATGAAGCCATTCTGCAAGTATAGTTGTGGGTCTTTTCCCTCTTTTTTCTTTTTTCTATACTATGGAGGAGATCGTGTCTTGTTGGATTTCTTGTTTGTTTGTTTTTGTTTTGAGAAGGGGTCTCAGTCTGTCGCCAGGCTGAAGTGTAGTGGTGCGATCTCGGCTCACTGCAACCTCCGCCTCCCGGGTTCAAGCGATTCTCCTGCCTCAGCCTCCCCAGTAGCTGAGATTACAGGCGCCCGCCACCACGTCCAGCTAGCTAATTTTTTCTATTTTTAGTAGAGAAAGGGTTTCACCATATTGGCCGGGATGGTCTCAGTTTCCTGACCTCGTAAACCCTGGGTAAGTGATGGGACATGGGGTTTTCTCAGTAGGAAGATGTTTGACAACTTTTTCAATTTATTTCGTAGTTTAACTATTCATTATTGCTATTCCTTCTTGAATCGTACTTAATAGTCATGTCGTCCTAATAATTTCTCCATTTCATAAAAGTATTCAAATGTATTTGGCCAGATTCTTTCCCCTTTTGTTTTGTTTTAACGTTTACTGGTTTAATTTTTTTTGTTGTTCTATTTTTTATATCTTCCTGACCAGACAATTGTTTTGACTTTCACTGGTTTATTATAAAGGGCATTACAAAGGCTCTCTTTCGCCTTTTGGAGAAACTGCTTCCTCTTCTTCAAGATCTTTTCCTGGCTCGCCTCTTCTCCTGTTTTCAGGTCTCTGTTAACACCTTGGTTCCTCAGATATTGCGGACAGTCTAATTCGCCCCGCGACGTGAGGGAGAACCCAGGAGCGGGCTCCGGTAGAGAAAGAAGCTTCCGGTCAACGACCACATCCACCTGAATCATGAGCAGGTTTTAAGGCGTGTGTTTCTTCAGCTCCTCTAAATTTTAGAAAGGGGGCGATATTTAAACTGACCTCAAAAAGACAAGGCTCTCAAGTTACACTCTTTTGTGTGTCTGCGAGTCAAACTTGTAGCGCCTACTGGGGACCAGTGGAAACGTGATGGTCGCCCCCTGCGGGACCAGGTGAATAAAGCTCCTTAAGATGCATTCAACTGAGTTCCCTGAGCCCATTCAACAGGCGGGAAGAGGATACTCCCGGACCAGGGCTCACGCTTTCTCCATCCCACCCCGGACTCCAGGCACCTGTGTGCCAGCCTGGCCAAGCGTTTCCTCCAAAGTACAAACAGCTGAAAGGTGGTGTGCTGGCCCCACCTGAATCACTCGCAACTCCAAAGAGGTGTGTGATGCAACTTCCCATTTCCACGGGAAAGGACTGCAGAGAATTCACGTTCACTTTCGGAAATTAATTGGATGCTATAATTTTGTGGTGTGGGAGGTTGTGCAGTCTTGTTTTAGAGTGAAAAAGGGAGAATCAACCACGAAGGGATTCGAACCCTCAATCTTCTGATCCGAAGTCAGACGCCTTATCCATTAGGCCACGTGGTCCCATGGCTTAGCAACTGCAAAAAATATGAGAAATGTTGTAAGATTGGCTATTAACCTGGATTTTATATATATATTGTATGGTTCTACTTATATGACATGATTTCTGTTGTTAACCTAATTTCAAAGATAGTGTAAATTATACAAAAGCTAAATAACTTGCCAGTGTCACACAATAACAAGGTAATGCAAAGTGAGTATTTGGATTTTCTCCAAACTCCTACCCTTAACTTGACACCAAATGTTACACCAAATTTTGCACATGCACCACGTTGCTTCTCTCAGCTGGTGACAAAAAGTTGTAAAGAAAGGGAAAAAGAAAAGCATTGAATGTCTCTCTATAATCACTACTACACATGATCAGTTTGCATTCAGCATTGAGACCCTCTGGAAATAAATGAAAATCACCAGGTGAACGAGAAAGACCCCCTCAGGCGACCTTCTCAGCTTGGCGTCCAATTCAGCTGCAACAGCTGCAATTAGCATTAAATAGAGGCATCTTCCTAGGCCTGGCTCCGCTTGGTAACCAAAACTAGGCCCTGCTGAATAGTCTCTAGTGAGACGTTTGTTAAAAGCCCAAGAGTATAGCGGGCACTTAGAGAATAATGTAGAAAATGCGTATCATCTTGTGCAACCACTCGGTGGTGGCGCTGAGTGGTAGAGGGGGCAGGAGCCAGGCTTTAGGCCCGGAAAGTTGCAGTTCGAACCACTTCGTAGTGGTTGTTTTCATTTCAGTTCTTCATTTGACCCAGCCATCCTTGACTGGCAGCATTCTGACCTCCCACTAGTGATGTGCCGGTGGGAAACACACAGGAAGGAAAGGCGCGCGCGAGGCCTGCCCCCGGAACGAACGACGCCTGCGTGGACACCCTCCTGTGAGTGCCGGAGGCGTGGTGAAAGCAACGGGGTGCATTTGGTGGTCTCATTCCCCATTACTGGGAACTCTTTGAGAGCCTGATTTGAGTCTTTATGGGACCTCCCTCTTCATCCTGGCTTCCGGCTCTCTCAAAGTCTGTTACACAGATTTTTCATATTCCAGAAGGGCTGGAGAAACATATATTTACTGAAAAGCTCTTCTATTCAGCAACTGCATCCTGAGGAGGCTGCGCTCTCTTTCTCTTGCCCTCCACGAAAGCACCACCCGGATTCTCTCACCCACCTGGTCAAAGTGTCAGCTTGCAGGGATCTGTTCTTAACCCAGCCTGAAGGGGTTCAGTGAACACCTAGGAACCAAACTTACTCTTGAGACCTAAAAGATAAGAAAGAATTAGTTTCAAAAGAAAAAAAGTGCAGAAAGAGGCTGCACGTTGTGGCTCACGCCCGTAATCCCAACACTTTGGGAGGCCAAGACGCGGTAGGGGGGTGGGGGAGTGGAGGGGAGAGTTGGAGGGGGAAGTTGGAGGGGGGAGTTGGAGGGGGGAATTGGCGGGGGGCGGGGGGGGATTGCCTAAGGCCAGGAGTTTGAGACCATCCTGGGCAACATAGCGAAACTTCTCTCTCTCTTCTCTCTTAAAAAAAAAAAAGCCAAATAGATGATCCAGCAGATGGATCAGTATGTGCAATGGTATAAAAAATTTTGCCCAATTAATTTGAAAATTAAAACAGTAAATTCTGCAAAAGTTATCAGTTATGAAATTCGATTCAAGAGGAAATAGCAAGTAACTGTTACATAAATTGAATAGTCAAAAATTGTCCTACAGAGAAAGTCCTAAACCCAGATATTTTCACCTGAAAGTTCTTCAAAACAATCCAGGGAGAATAATTTCAATTGGATACAAACTTTTCCAAACGTAGTGACAGAGGGAAGACTTTTCACCTCATTTTCACCTTCATCCTAATACCAAACCAGAAAAAGACAATGAGAGAAAGAAAAATCACAGGTCAATCTCATTAACGAACATAAAATCAGAAATAATAATAATAAAAAAAAGCTGAATCCACCAATGTTTAAAAATCATAACAAATCCAGATTTATACCAAAAGCAGGATGTCAATTTAACGTGAGAAGAACAGTGTTATGATTCAGTACATTAAGAAATTAAAGGAAAAAAATAAGTTCACCTCAAAAGAGGCAGAAAAACATTGGATAAATTTCACTGTCTGCTCACAATGCAACTGTTAACAATCTAGAAATAGAAGGAAATTTCTTTTACTTAATTTTTAAAAGATAAAAATAATCTACAAAAAACAACTCTTAAAGGTAAAAAGTTTAAAACACTTTACTTGAGATTGGGACTACAAGTGGTATACCAGGAATTGCGACTTCCATTCCTTCCCAGACAAAAGGAAAGTTAAAAAGTTATAATTCTTAGAAAGGAAGAAACAGAACTATCTTTTCTTTCTGTTTTTTCTTTAACAGATTGTTTGTGTGCAAAATTAACAAATTTAAAATTAAATTATTATATTATTAAGAGTCTTAACACATTTTCCCTTGATAGCTGTAACAATTTATGAAAGCAATGACATGCAATGCAGAAAAACCTAGAAGTCACAGGAAATGAGATATTTTGATATTTCAATTAAAAAAACACAAAAATATGGCATAATTTCATTTATAGAAACTACAAACTAAGCATCCTAAAATATCTATTGTTTATGGATACAAATATAATTAGTAAAGCTAACAAATAAGAGCAAGAGAATGATTATTTCAAACATTATTATAGTGGTTATATCAGCATGAGAATGAGAGAGATATACTATAGAGTGGGGTAAATGGAGTTTCTAAAATAATGGTAATGCTGTCTTTCTTAATGTGACTTCATATTTTTTAAGAAAATTTTTAATTGCAGTATAAGAAACATACAGAAAAGTGCCCAAATACAAGTATATATAGATCATTGAATGTATATGAAGAGAATGTATCTTTGAACTCCCACCCAGATCTTCTGTTTCAATGTATTGCCACTGTTTCCATCAAATAAGATCCCAGAACTAAGTTTTGTCACTTGAGCTGTGTCAAGAGATAGAAAATTATCAGTCCCTCCAGAAGCCACCCTCATGCCCCCTCTTAATCACATTCTCCATAAGGATAACCATTTTCTTGACATCTAATATCATCTTTGAATTTTGCATATTTTCATACTCCATATAAATAGGATTATATAATAAATACTCTCTTATGCCTGGCTTCTTTTATGCAGGAATATGTGAAATTCATCCATGTTGTTGCATTTAACAATTGTTCTTTCTCACTGCTGTGTATATATTCCGCAATATGAATATACCAATTTTTTATGTTTGTTTACCCATTCTGCTGGTGATGGATGTTTGGGTTGTTTCCAGTTTGGGGATATTATAAACCGTACCTGTAGGAAAACTCTTGGACTTGCTTTTTTTTTTTGGCATATATGTGCACAAGTTTTACTGGGTATTAAAATAAAGAGAATAAATCGATTTTTAATGTTTGCTGACAGCTTTCAAAACCCATTATTCTCTTTGATCTATCTGCCTCACATTTAGGTCAGCCTATAAGAAAGTGTATTTAATCTATGGATCACTTTTGGTAGTGTGGACATTTTAACATTATTAATTATTCCAATCCATGGACATGAAATATCTTTTCATGTATTTGTGTCTTCACCAATTAATTTCATCAATGTCAATAGTTGGTTAAATTTGTTCCTAAGCATTTATTCTTGTTGATGCTATTGTAAATGGGATTCTTAATTTCCTTTTTGGATAGTGTTCATTGTTGGCGTATAGAAATGCAACTGATTTTTGCATGTTGATTTTGTACTCTGCAACTTTACTGAATTGTTCTAACAGTTTTTTGGTGGGGTATTTAGGGTTTTCTATATATAAGATCATGTATACAAAAATCAACTCAAGATGAATCAAAAGCTTAACTCTAAGACTGGAAACCATGAAAATGCTACAAGACAGCATCGGAGAAACTCTCCTAGACATTGGCTTAGGCAAAGAGTTCATCACCAAGAATCCAAAAGCAAATGCAACAAAAACAAAGATAAATAAACTAAAAAGCTTCTGCACAGCAAGATAAGTAATCAGCAGAGTAAAATAAACTAAAAAGCTTCTGCACAGCAAGATAAGTAATCAGCAGAGTAAACCAACAACCCATAGAGTGGGAGAAAATCTTTGCAAACTATATATCCGACAAAGGACTAATATCCAGAATCTATGAGGAACTCAAACAAATCAGCAAGAAAGAAACAAATAATCCCATCAAAAAGCGGGCTAAGGACATGAATAGACAATTTTCAAAAGAAGATATACAAATGGCCAACAAATGTGAAAAATGCTCAGCATCACTGGTAATCAGGGAAATGCAAATCAAAACCACAATGTGATACCACCTTACTGCTACAAGAATGGCCATAATAAAAAAATTAAAAAATAATATATGTTGACGTGGATATGGTGAAAAGGGAATACTTTTGCACTGCTGGTGGGAATGTAAACTAGTACAGCCAATATGGAAAACAGTATGCAAATTCTTTAAAGAACTAAAAGTAGATCTATCATTTGATCCAGTAATCCCACTACTGGGTATCTACCCAGAGGAAAGTAAGTCATTATATGAATAAGACACTTGCATACACATGTTTATAGCCACCCAATTTGCAATTGCAAAAATATGGAACCAGCCCAAATGCCCATCAATCAACAAGTGGATAAAGAAAATGTGTTATGTATTAAATATACACCATGGAATACTACTCAGCCATAAAAAGGAATGAAATAATGGCATTTGCAGCAACCTGGATTAAGTTGGAGACCATTATTCTAAGTGAAGTAACTCAGGAATGGAAAACCAAACATCATGTGTTGTCACTTATAAGTGGGAGCTAAGTGGAGACGCAAAAGCATAAGAATGATATAATGGACTTTGGGGACTCAGGAGGTGTGGGGGGAGGGTAAGGGATAAAAGTCTACACATTGGGTACAGTGTACACTGCTTGAGTTATGGATGCACCAAAATCTCAGAAATCATCACTAAAGAACTTATCCATGTAACCAAAGACCATCTGTTCCCCAAAAACCTATTGAAATAAAAAAAAATACTAAGATCATGTCATCTGCCGATAAACTTAACTTCTTCCTTTCAGATTTGGATATCTTATTTCTTTTTTCTTGCCCAATTGTTTTGGCTAGGACTTCCAGTACTATATTGAATAGAAATGGTGAGAGTGGGCCTCCTCAGCTTGTTCCTGATGTTAGAGGAAAATCAGGTTTTCACTATTGAGTTTGTTAGCTCTGGGCTTATCTTATATAGCCTTTGTTATTGTGAGGTACATTCCTTCTATACCTAACTTACTGAGAGTTTTTATCATGCAAGTTGTTGAATCTTGTGAAATACTTTTTCTACATTTATTGACATTATCATATTATTTTATCCTTTATTCCATTAATGTGATATATCACATTTATTGATTTGTATATGTTTAACTACCTTTGCACTCCAGGGATAAATTCCACTTGATCATGGCGCATGATCCTTTTAATGTACTGTTGGATTCAGTTTGCTACTATTTTATTGAGGATTTTGGCATCTATTTTCATCAAGGATATTGGCCTGCAATTATCTTGTAATGTCCTTGTCTGGCTTTGGTATCAGGGCAATGCTGACCTCATAGAAACAGTTTGGAAGTATTTCCCCCTCCTTGAGTTTTTGGAAGAGTTTGAGAAGGATTGTTACCAGTTCTTTAAATGTTTGGTAGGATTCAGCAGTGCAGCCATAAGGTCTTGGGATTTTCTGTGTTGGGAGGTTTTGATTGCTGCTTCAACCTCTTTACTTGTTATTGGTTTGTTCAAATTTTCTATTTTTTCATGGTTCAGTCTTGGCAGAATGTATGTTTCTAAGAATTATCCATTTCTTCTAAGTTATCCAATTTGTTGGCATATAATTATTGAAAGTGTATTACAATCCTTCATATTTGTCAGTGGAAAAAAAACACACTCAAAGTGTTGTTTTTTTCTATTCTCTCACCCAGCAGCCTCAACACCAACCAACGTCTTTTGTGACCAAATGTTTCTGTGTAGGGGGGTGTACCCCACACACCAAACAAGCAATCAATTTTGTAGCAGAAACCAACTCAGCATCCTCCAACCCAGTTCAATTCTGACATTATCCACCTGGAAATAGTTTCACATCCCACAGGTTGAGAGCTCAGTTTCACAAAACTGCCCCCACTTCAGACACAAGCCACAAGTCTGGGCCTCCAGAACTCCTGACCAACCAGCTTCAAATTAGGGTTCCCATGACCCCCTCTTTGAGTTTGATTAATTTGCTAGAGCAGCTCACAGAACTCAAGGAAACACTTATGTTTACAGGTTGATTATTAAGGATATAATAAAGGATGCAAACGAACAGCCAGATAAAGAGATAAACAGGGTGTGATCTGAAAGGGTCCAGAGCACAAGAGCTTTCCTTCCCATGAAGTTGGGATGTGCTATCTTCCCAACATGTGGAAGAGTCTGTCCTCCCATTGTAGGCCCAGAGCAGGGCCTTGAGGGCAAAATTTCCAGAGAGGTGCTCTGGAGACTTCAGCATTTGCTGCCCAGGGCTGCTTCAGGAAGCTGCTTGCCACACTCTGGCACAGAGCTCCTTGGATGCTCCAGCCATGGCTCTGGAGGGCACAATGGTAAACCTCGGTGATGTCTACATGTTGCTGATTCTGCAGACATGCATAGTACAAGAGATGTGGGGCCTCCACCTAGATTTCAAATGGACAGCCTGGGGGCCCAGACAGAAGCTTGTTGTAGGGTTAGAGCCACCAAAGAGAGTTCCCACTAGATCAAACCTAGTGGAGCTGTGGGATCAGGACTGCCTCCAAAACCCTAGAGGTGTAGAGCAACCAGCATGTAACTCCAGCCTGGGAGAGCTTCAAGCATGAGACTCCAACATGTCAGAGCTGTGACATGGCCTGCACCCAGCAAAACCATAGGGGTGGGGCAGCCCAAGGCCTTGGGACCTAACCACCACCCCATTGTGCCCAGATGGAGGGACATGGAGTCAAGGAAAAGAATTCTGGAGCTTTAATACTTAATGTGCTCTTCCTGTTGGGTTTTAGGCTTACTTGGCATTAGTTATTCTTTTATTTTTGCCTATTTCTCCCTTTTGGAATGGGAACATCTATCTTATACCCGGGCCACCACTGTATTTTGGAAGCAGATTACTTGTTTTGATTTCATAGGCCCACAGCTGTAGGAAATTTGCCTCAAGATGAATCATGCCTTGAGTCTCACCCACACCTTATTTAGATGATACTTTGGAGTTTTGTGTTGGTGCTGGAAGGAGTTAAGATCTTAGAGCTATTGGGATGGAGTGAATGTGTTTTGCATGTGAGAAGGACATAAATTTTGAAATTCAGGGGTGGAATGCTATGGTTTGAGTGTGTCCCCTAAAGTTCACATGTTGGGAACTTAAGTTCCCAGTGCAATACTGTTGAGAGATGGAACCTTTAAAAGGCAATTAGGTCTTGAGGGTTCTGCTCTCATGAATGAATGAGTGTCATTATCACAGGAGTAGGCTCATTATTCCAAGAGTGGGCTCATTATGGTGAGAGTAAATTTGTTATAAAAGTGAGTTTGACTCTCTGTCATTCACGTGCATACTCTTTTGCCCTTCTGCCTTCTGCCATGAGATAATGCAGCACAATGGCCCATGCCAGATGTGGCACCCTCAATCTTGGATTTACCAGTTGCCAGAATTGTAAGAAAAAAAATTTCTTTTCTTTATAAAATACTCAGTCTGTGATATTCTGTTATAGCAACACAAAATGGATTAAGACATTCCTCTAGTTGGCAAATTTCAAATAATCTGTCTTTGAGTTCACTGATTCTTTCTTCTGCATGATTGAGTTTGCTATTGAAATCCTTGATTTAATTTTTCTGTTCTGTCATTGTATTCTTCAGCTGCAGTATTTCTGTTAGGTTCCTTTTCATGGTTTCTAGTTATTAAACTTCTCCTTTTGTTCATGCATTGTTTTCCTCATTTTTATTTAGTTGTCTATATACATTCTTTTATAGCTTATTGAGCTTATTTCAGATGATTATTTTGAATTCTTTATCAGGTAATATGTAGATCTTTATTTCTTACAGTTCAGTTACTGAAGTATTAATAGTTTTCTTCAGTGAAATCATGTTTGACTAATTCTTCACGATCTGTGTGGCATTGCATTGGTGTCTGTGTATTTGAAGGAAGAAAAACTTCTTCCAATCTTATAGACTGGTTTTGGCAGGTACAGACATTCTCCTGTTGAGTTGCCTAGAACAGAAGATATATTCCTCTCAAGTACACATGAAACATTCACCATGAGGACCACATTCCAGGCCATAAAACAAACCTCAAAAAATTAAAAGGGTAAAAATGATGCGATGCATTTTCTCTTACCATAATGTAATGGAATTATAAATCAATGGCAGGGAAAAAATGTGCAAAACACAAAAATATGTGGAAATTAAGCAACACTCTTGTATAACCAGTGGGTCAAATAAGAAATACCAAAGGAAACCAGAAAATATTTTGAGATGAATTAAAAGGAAGACACAACATACAAAAACTTATAGGATGCAGATAAGGCAGTGCTTGGAAGAAAATTTATAGCTGTAAATGCCTGTATCAAAAAAGAAGAAAGATGTCAAATCAGTGACCTAACTTTCTACCTGTAGCTTTATGATAATTTTTGAAGTCAGGTAGTGTGAGCCCTTCTACTTTTATCTTCTTAAGCAATAAGCAGAATCTTTTACGAGCTTATATATACCCAGATACTTTTTAATATATAAATTAAAAATCTCAGAAAAGAAAACCAAGGAACTGCTGAATATGGTTGCCTTTAAAAGAGTGGCCCTAGAGAGACATGCTGTGGATTTAGGGAAGAATAAGCAAGTGTTACTTATGTAATACACACACACACACACACAAACACATATTCTTTTGAGTGATATATTCCATTTAATATGACAGGAGATGATACCATTGAGCAGTTAACATTATCTCTGTTTTATCAGTTATGCAATGATGATATTAAAATAACTGATTTATAAGTCACCTTCCCGCTCTAGCAATAAATATATTGATTATAAGCAAACAAAGTTATAAAGATGAATCTGGGTTTATGAGAAAAGAGATGAGGTTTCAAATTGAAATGTTTTAAAGAACTTTGGTATAGGAGCATTAATTTCTCTTGTATAAACTAGCTTTGTCATATTTGTTAAGCTGTCACAGTTTGAGGAAATGGTAGTGGGCAGAAAGAAAAAATTTCTGACACAAGGAGATAAGACAAAGAGAAGGAAGAGGAAGAACAGTTGCAGTTCTAAGGCACAAGGTGTCCTAGATGTTTTTCCTGATGCATAGGTACCACTTGAATAGGACAATAGTGAGACAGCTTCCCTTGTCCTCCCCACTCTGATCCCTGCCCTATCCCACGGAGCTGAATTCCCCATCGCTGCTGTCCACACCTCCTATTGCTGAGTTGGGTAAACACCAGGAAGTCACCTATGTGGATTCCTGTCTCATCTTTGGGAGCTTTACAGAAACTCCAATGTTCAAAAGTGAAATTGAAAATAAGTGAAACAAAGATTTGTTTGGTAAATCATTCTCTTTAGCTCTTAAAGATTCTGCACAATATTGAAGAATAAAAAAGTAAGAAGACTCACATTACCAGACTTCAAGAATTACTGTAAAACTACAGTAATCAAGACAGTGTGGTATTGGTAAAAGAATAGACACGTAGAACAATAGAATAGAGACTCCAGAAATAGACCCCCACAAATATAGCCACGTGATCATTGACAAAGGAGCAAATATAATTCAATGGAAAAAAGGACAGTCCTAGATAGGTATTTGCCCATCTGATTTGAAAACTCTTGTCCACACAAAATGCCTATACATGAATGTTTATAGTAGCTTTATTCATAAGATTCATAGTATTCTTCAAAAACTGGAAGCATATAAGATGTCCTTCAATGGGCAAATATATTTACAAGATGTAGTACATTCATACATTGGAATTTTATACAGAAATTTAAAATGTGCCATAAAACCATGAAAAGGCATGGATAAACCTTAAGTGCATATTGCTAAGTGAAAAAAAAAGTCAGCCTGAACAGGTTACGGACTATGATTCCAATTATATGACCACTGACCTTCTGAAAAGGCAAAACTACAGAGATAGTTAAATGATTCTTGATTGCCAGGAGTTTGTGGGGAGGGGAGGAGGGTTGAAAAGGTGAAGCGCAATAGATTATCATTTAATTCAGTAAGCTCATATAGAAAAAAGAGGAGGAGAGTCAAGGTGAAACACAAAGTTTTGATATCAAAGTGGAAAACGAAGAGAGAGGGAGATAAAGGAAAAGAGGGTGAGATAGTGAAAGAAAAGGACACAGAGGGACAGTGAGAGCGATGACTGGAGCCAGAGTGCAAGGGAGAGAAGAAGGAGAAGGCGGGGAGCTAGAGAGAGAAGGAGGGAAAGGGAGAACAAAGTGAGGGCGAGAGGGATGAGACAGAAAGAAAAGGGAGGAAAGAGGAACAAAGGGAAAGACAGTGTGCCCAGTTATCAATGTATTGGCTGCCAGCTCCAAATCGCCCCTTCCGTGCCCTGCTCTATGATACTGGAGGTGGACCCTGAAAACATTTCTATTTGGCAAAATGGTAATGTTTAAGCTGTGCTAGGGGAGTACACTGCAAGAGGAAGGGGCCTCTGGACCCCATGATTTTTCTGCTTGTTCCTGCTGAAACCAAGATGTTAATCTGAGCGGGTATGCCAAACTTAGCCTGCCCTGCTTGCTTTTGGCCGCTGTCTTTTTGTGATTTTTTCCCCCTGTGAAGCTGAGGGCTGCTCCGCTGAACATTAGAACTTAACCCTCACCGGCGACCTTGTAGATAACGTCTATAAGTCACCATGGTAACGGTCGCTTCAGTTGTTTTTCAGGAACCTGGGGCAACTCCTGTCCAGTTTAAACCGGTTGAGACTACCGACCTTTCAACTGGACCCACGCAAGTGCCCAAGAGGTGGCCAAAAACTCCACCCTCAAATCATACTAACGGCGCCATTTTCTGTACATTATGTCCAATGCAATACCATGAACTTTTGCGCAGAACGAACCTGTTACTTCATTTTCCCTAACTGCCAATCACTTTTCCCCACACCTTAGACCACCCCACTTCCCTAACTCGTAATTATCCCTAAGACTTCTCTTCCGGGAAACGGATCTGAGAGCTGCTCTTCTGCCTTCTCCCTGGGCAGCCCTGTGAATAAATCTTTTCTCTTTTGCACAAACTGCTTATCACAGTGATTGATTTTCTGTGCGTGGGCAGAACAAACCAGGTCAATAACACTGCTGTGTGCGGTGGGGCTGTGGGACACCCAGGATGATCATCCCCAGCGAGTTTGTGAAACTCCCGGCTGACGACTTTCCAACGAACCTTACACAAGCCCTAGCAGGCGGCTCCCCAGAGAGCTCATTCCACACTCTCATAATGGGTGATTGCCTGCATGCCAGCTCCAGCCTCTGGCACAGAGAACTTTTCAGCCAGTGGCAGTGGGAAGTGCTTTTTCCGCTTTGTTCCTGTCTTGGATGCTCTGCCTCAGGCCTAGAGGCAGTGGCTGCTCTGGAGAGTTCTCTACTCTTACTAGACAGTATCCTGCTACTAGTTAATAATTCTTTAAGTTGAACATTTCTTGTTCAAATTGCCATGCGGTTTCTGCCTTCTGACTAGATCTTAACTGATTAAATTAAGTAGTGGATAACAGAGAAGGAAGCTGGGAGAAAAGGAAAAATGAAAGGGAGGGCAAAAGAAATAGAGTAGAAAGTTGAAGTGATTAGTGTGGGTCCATACAGCTTGATGGAAAATGTTCTGACTTTGGATCAGAATCAAGTCCGTAGAAGGAATCTTTCAGCCTCCTTCTGAGAATACAGCCACAGTGTGTGAATCTGAGTTATCTTAGTTCAGCTCCTTAACTTTACAAAGGATAGGATCATTTTCTCTTTTATTTGATGCCCATGGAGATGAAGTCCTCTTTTTGTGTGTAATAGGTGATCAGTAATTTTAGAGTGAAATGAAAGAAAGTAGCTCATGAAAGAGAGTTGTCTTGCTGATATGCCACCCCCTTTTCAGATGAAACACACAGGAGCTGGTAAAAACGACCTCTGAATCAGCTGGCCTGCCCTATGAGGATAATGTGTTGTTCTTTTTTCCTCCTGAGCAAGCATGACCCTAGTTCTCCCACACTCTGGGAGTAAATAAACAGGACTGTCAAAGAGGTCCTCACCACAGCCTCCAGCCAATGTCTCAGGAACCGAGGCTTACCTGAGACATAGAAAGTGAGGTGATGTGGTTGCTTAGATTTATCTTTTCATTTGTGCTGCTCCTGGCACTCTTATTGCTATGAGATTACTAAAAAGTTTCCTGGAACATATTTTCTAAAATAATTAATTGATACACTGATTTGATCTTTACCAATTATATGAATGGCATGAAATTATCACATGTATCCTGAAAACAGGTGCATCTATTACGTATACATTTAAAAAATTCAAAGGGAAATAATCTATTACAATCTCTTCCTCTCTTACATATCAAAGGGTACTATATTGAGTCCAAAGGGAAATTACTTTCTTTCTTTTTTTTCTTTTTTTTTTTTTGAGACAGAGTCTCACTCTGTCTCCCAGGCAGGAGTGCAGTGGCGTTCCTTCTACCACAGCCTCTAAGTAGGTGGAACCACAGGCACTCACCATCATGCTGGGCTATTTTTTTTCTCTTTTCTTTTTTTTTTTTTTTCTTTGAGATGGAGTCTCGCTCTGTCATCCAGGCTAGAGTGTAGTGGCACGATACCAGCTCACTGCAATCTCCGCCTCCCGGGTTCAAGCGATTCTCCTGCCTCAGCCTCCAGAGTAGCTGGGATTACAGGCACCCGCCACTGTGCTGGGCTTATTTTTGCATTTTTAGTAGAGACGAGGTTTCACCATGTTGGTCAGGCTGGTCTTGAAAACTCCTGACCTCAAGCAATCCACCTGCCTCGGCCTCACAAAGTGCTGGGATTACACATGCTGGGCTAATTTTTAAATTTTTTGTTGATACAGAGTCTCACTGTATTGCCTAGGCTGCTCTTGAACTCCTGGGCTCAAGTGGTCTTCCTGCTTCAGCCTCCCAAAGTGCTGGAATTACAGGCATGAGTCACCACACCTGGCCAGGGAAATTATTTTCTTTCTTATTGTTTTTAACTTTAATGTTTTGAATAGATAATATGACATAGTTTACAATTTTTTTAAATGTAAAACAATATTCAGTAACATGTCTTCCTCTCACCCCCATCCCAATGCCCTTGCCAGTCCTGGGTTCTTAAGACCTCAGTTGACTAGTATCAGGTTCAGGTGTCTCCTTACAGGGCAATTTTTGGCATATAAATTCAAACTTGTATATTATTTTCCCCACGTTTACACAAATGGTAGAGTGCTATTTACACTTCTCTGTACCTTACTTTTTCATTTAATATATTCATTCAGTAGTAAATGTTATTGAGCACCAACTATGTGCTGGACATTTTTCTAGACATTAAAGATACAATAGTAGGGTGAAGTGAATGATATATTTCCTGCCTTCGTGGAGCTGATATTCTAGTGGAGAAGACACAATAAATAAATCAGATAAAAATGAAATATATTATGTTAAATAATAATAAATTCTAAAGAGAAAAGGCAGAAAAGAGGGACAAGATATGTTGAGAGGTTTGAAATTTTATCTAGTGTGGTTTTATCTAAATGAGGAAATTTTATCTAAATGAGGAAAAGCCTCATTTAGATGATTTTTTGAATAAAGACTGAAAAAAATAGAGGAGCCAGCCATGAAGATATCTAAGAAAAGGGAATTCTAGGCAGAGGGAAGAAAAGTGAGGATGCTCTGAAGCAAGAATTGAGCCTGCAGTGTCCAAGGAACCCCAAAGGGACACTGAGGTTGGGGTGGAGTAAAGGAGTGTAGGATAGAAGATGAAATCAGAGAAATAAAGGAAGAGGCCCAGATCCTACAGGATGTTAGGATTTTCTTTACAAAGACTCTTCTTGACTCAGATCTTTTTATAATACTCTAGAATCACAGATGCCAATACAAATGGGAGTGGCATTGTGGTTCCTATTTTTATTAACTGATTAGAGCATGACATGGAAGATTTGGGGGAAAATGCTAAAATCTGGTTGGACAACAGCCACCTGGATACCCAAATGAGGTACAGGATATGACTGAATATTATCAATGGCCTATCTTAGAAGACAATTTTTAAAATACTGCTGGCTAGGGGTGATGGCTCACATCTGTAATCCCAGCACTTTGGGAGGCTGAAGCGGACAGATCACGAGGTCAGGAGTTTGAGACCAGCCTGGTCAACATAGTGAAACCCCATCTCTACTAAAATATACAAAAAATTAGCCAGGCATGGTGGCACCCACCTGTAATCCCGGCTACTCAGGAGGCTGAGGCAGGAGAATCACTTTAATCCTGGAAGAGGAGGTTGCAGTGATCCGAGATCGCGCCACTGCACTCCAGCCAGGGCAACAGTGCGAGACTCCATCTCAAAAATGAAATGAAGTCCAGGCGCGGTGGCTCACGCCTGTAATCCCAGCACTTTATGAGGCCGAGGCAGGCGGATCACCTGAGGTCAGGAGATCAAGACCATCCTGGCTAACACAGTGAAACCCCGTCTCTACTAAAAAAAAAAAAAAAAAAAAAAAAAAAAAAAAAAAAATTAGCCGCGCTTGGTGGCGGGCGTTTGTAGTCCCGGCTACTCGGAAGGCTGAGGCAGGAGAATGGTGTGAACCCAGGAGGTGGAGCTTGCAGTGAGCCGAGATCGCGCCACTGCACTCCAGCCTGGGCGACAGAGCGACACTCCGTCTCAGAAAAAAAAAAAAGAAGAAGAAATGAAATAAAATAAATAAAAAATACTATTAAACCATAGTTGGCCCAAGAAGTACAGCAGCTGGGCAAAGCCATGCAAACACAGTGAGCTCAGAGATGCTCAAATAAATCTAAATCCGTTTTTGAAACAGAGGATTTGGGGCTCTTTTCCAACACTACAATTTGTCATTGAAAAAACAAGTCCTTGAATAGCAACCTGACATTTATCAAAATTGAGTTCTAGGAAATTTCTCCACTGGCAGTTCTCAAAGTAATTAATTCTTACCAACATACTCCAGGGGAAAAATGTTTGAAAAGAAATCATGGCATTTTAGTTAATGAGTGGAGCCTTGGTTACAGGCATGAGCCACTGTGCCCAGCCTCTTTTTACCTTTTTTCATCTCCCTGTGTTTAAAGATACTCAATTTTGGGGCTTTTAAGCTTGTAGTTTGGAAAATATGAGTATCAGTTTTATAAATTGATAAACTGGGCTAGTGCAGTCACTGTGGAAATTCAGTCAACAAAATCTATTGTTGATATGTGTCTTGGATGAGGAGTAGAAGAAAGGATAAAAAATGGAATTGCAGTTAACTAAGAGGAATAAAAAGAAGGTTGTTTTGGCAGCTGTCCCATGTACACCCAGCTGCATCCCCATCTGAGACCTTGCTTGACAACTTTGCATAAAGCCAATAGGTACCTCAGTTGCTGCTGAGCAGCAGCCTTGTCACTACTCCTGGCTTTGAACTGCCCTCCCCACTTCCGGGTCCTCATGTCTTGCTACTCAATGCATGGTTTGCGGAAAATAAATGTTGACACCATTTGAGAACGTTAGAAATGCAAAATATTGAATTCCATCCAGACCAAAAGAATCAGAATGTGCATTTCAACAACTCCCAGGTGATTCATACACCCATTACAGTTAAGAATCACTGCCCAAAAACAGTGGTTCTCACATTTTGATGTGTGCTATGGTTTGAATGTTGGCATTCCCACAAAATTCATATATTGAAATCTAATGCCCAGTGTGGCGGTATCATGAGATGGGGCTTTTGGGAAGTGATTAGGTCATGATTGCTCCACTCTCATAAATGGGATTTGTGCCCTTATAAAAGAGGCCTGAGGGAGCTTGTTTGCTTCTTCCATCACGTGAGGACACATAGGAAGTGTCATCTGTGAGGAACAGGCTCTCACCACACACCAAATCTGCTGGCCTCTTGATCTTGGACTTCCCAGCCTCCAGAATATGAGCAATAAATTCCTGTTGTTCATAAATTACCCAAAGATACTTTGTTATACCAGCCGGAACAGACAAGGCAGTATGCTGCAGAATTACCTGGAGGGCTTTTAAAAACAAATATTGCAGTTTCTGATTCATTAGGTCCTGGGGTGGGGCCCAAGAATTTGTATCTGTGACAAATTTCCAAGTGCTACTGATCTGGGATCACCCTTTGAGAATCATGATCCTATTGAAACAGTGTATTTGTGACCCTCGTCACCCCATTCCTTGGTCTCTACCCATTTCCACACAGATAATTGAGCTCTAACATCTGGATAGGAAGTTGGCAGCAAAGACAAGGATTTCTGAGAAGGGGCATTCATTCCACCAGTATTACTTAAATTTTTTTAATCCACAGGATATCACTAGATTAAATTTTTGTTGAGTGCTTACTGAATGGTATTGCTACTAATGTGATAGATGGTGTAGAGGAAAGTATGAGATTCTGCTCTTAGTGACAGTATACTGTCATGTGAATATGAAAAAGTTATTCCTGGTTTTCAGTATTGGAATATTAGGAAGTATTTGTTTTCTGCTCTCTCCTTCCCTTTGCACATAACGAGGCAAGCTACCTGGGTAGAAGTGCTCACAGGATTGAGGACAGTTTATTTAGGAAGAGGAACAGCCATTTCATAAGACATAAAAGTAGGATTAATTACCACAGCAACTTTTGCAGAGAATATAGTCTCTAAAGTGATCCTCAGTGGATTCCAAGTATCCTTGCTTCCCTCCTTTTCCTTTTTTCCTTTTTTTTTTTAAATGCCATCTTAGACTCAGACTTCCTTTTTCAAAAGAAGGTCCTTTTTCATCATCTAGGTAAATCTGTCCACTTGTGATTTTAACTCTATTTTTACTTGCCTCCTTGAAGTCTAAATCCATCAGTAACCCCTATTTCTGTCTCCAGTCTCTTCCTGTCATTCTCTCTCTCTCCCCTTCCTCTCTGAGCCATACTCTTATACACTGCATTGAAAATACCTTCTTATCAGCTTCCTTCAAAAGGCTGAGAGTTTCTTGAATAGAAGACTATATCATACTCATCTTTTGATTCATCTTTATCCCTGGTAAAGTCATATAGTAAGCCCTCAATAAATATTTATTAAGGAAATGAACAAAGCTAAAATCTGTCTACACTAGCTGTTACCTCTTTCTTACTTCTTAATAATTCGATTCACTGTAATGTTTTCATTTCTACTACTCCACTGAAACCACTTTGAATTGAACAGAGTAATCAATGACCTCTGTTTTTACCAAATTGATAAACTGTATTAATTAAAACTTATGGTATCAAATGGCACAAATCCTAAACTAGCTTAAGCAAAAAGGAGAATTTACTAGGTCCTATTGATAGAATCCAAGGAAAATTCAAATAATTGAACTTTGGAAAGAACAAGAATATAGCTGATTCTTGGTGACAATTGAAACCTGGAACTCTAGTGATGTCAAGGGCTTTCTATTATATCTACTTCCTTCTGCAAGTTGGCTTTACTCTGTCTCTTGAATTATCTCTATTCTGTACTCTCTACAGAATCGCTGTCTTAACATGAAAAAGAAACTCTCAAGCTTTACATCTTGACTTAAGCCAAGAGACAGAATGTATGCTGATCCTTTTATTTGCCCTCACATCCAAAATCCTTGGAAGTCCATCGCAAGCCTAGCTTATATCAGCTGTGCAACATGAAACAATCAATTCTGGTCAGGTCGGTGGATTTGTGTAAGATCAAGGTACTTGCCAAAGTATCCAAGAGGATGTGGCTGGGGTACGTAGGAGAAAATAAGGGTTCCCAGGAGAAGGGCAGGAGAATTGCTGAAGAGGCTGTCCAAGTTCCCTTTAGACCCATCTTACCAAGATTTTATCTTATCAAGGATTTTATATGGTTGACAATTACTCACATGCATGTCTCTCATTTCGTGGCTACCATTAAATTATTACTTCCCAGCTGTCTTCTGACTTCTTACCATTTTCTTCTCTGTATCTTTTTTTTTTTTTTTGAGTCCTCTTTTTCTGTCTGAACCTTATATGTGGTGTTACCAAGTGTTTGGTCCTAGAATATTTCTTCTATCACTTCATACATTCTCTCTTAGATTATTTTATTCAGTTTCATGCTAACCAAAAATTTTCACCCTAGCTCCAAACTCATGATGTAGACTGATTGGAGACCTGAATTTCCCAGCAAACGCTCCAAACTCATCAAGTCAGAAAAAGGTTACCTTCTTCTTCTTTTTTTTTTTTTTTTTTTTTTTTTTTTTTGAGATGGAGTCTTGCTGTCTTGCTATGTCGCCCAGGCTGGAGTGCAATGGTGCGACCTCAGCTCACTGCAACCTCTGCCTCCCGGGTTCAAGCAATTCCAGTCCTCTGCCTCAACCTCCCGAGTAGCTAGGATTATAGGCGCCCACCAAACACGCCTGGCTAATTTTTGTATTTTTAGTAGAGACAGGGTTTCACCACCTTGGCCAGGCTGGTCTTGAACTCCTGACCTTGTGATCCACCTGCCTCAGCCTCCCAAAGTGCTGGGATTACAGGAATGAGCCACTGCTCCTGGCCAAGATTACTGTCTTCTATCAATTCCTCCCTTGTTCTCTGATCCCAAATCAGTGAAATAGCAACTATAACTGCACTGAGGTAAAATATAGGCCATCATAAGGACGAGGCAAAATTCTTATGCTGGTATGATGGAAGTATCCATGTTAAAAAAGCAGATATTTTGAAGCTTTTAAAAAGAGATCACTTATACATATAATTACAGATATTTTCTTTGTGAAGTAGATTTTCATCTCTGTGACACTTGTTTCAGCTTATCCTCTTTCAACACAAAGAAAATTTTCTTCTCCTTTAAAAAATGAAAGATCAGTATTTATGTCAAGGGTTTAGACAGTATACTTTTCCTAACCCACAAGATAATTTTTGGTTTTGTATATAGTAAAATTAATTATACTACTATCAGTAAGTTCGTAGAAGGTTAGTTAACCAGGATTAGCATGGAAATTCATGAAAAAAGCATAATTTATAACTTTAAGGAAAAATCTCAAAATTCTTTAACATGTATCCTTAACAAACAGTTTCCTGTGATAAAACATTTTACTAACAAATACTGAAGGCAATTAATATTAAAATCTTTAAATTTTACATAAAAACTTCTTGTTCATCTCAGCAAATAAGTTAGCCAGAAATTAAATTTCATGAGGACTATATACATAAAACTTAAGTATGACTTTAACCTCACCTGGTAAATGCACTATACTTTTGTGACAATTAGGATATAAATATTTCCCTAACTTCTCCCCTTTCTTTATAACAAAGAGTGTTTTTATAAATGACTGTTTTTTCAAAAGCACTTGAGTCAACAATCATCTTTCACTTTCAAGATTTTTAAACTCATTGTAATTATAGTTTTAAAAGTAAATTTTATTTTAATCAAAGTTGAATTACAGTTTTTTTTGTTTTTTGTTTTTTTTTGAGACAGAGTCTCGCCCTGTTGCCCAGGCTGGAGTGCAGTGGTGTGATCTGGACTCACAGCAGCCTCCTCCTCCCAGGTTCAAGCAATTCTCCTGCCTCAGCCTCCTAAGTAGCTGGAACTACAGGCATACAACACCACACCCAGCTAAATATTGTATTTTTAGTAGAGACGAGGTTTCACCAGGATGGTCTCGATTTCCTGACCTCATGATCTGCCTGCCTTAGCCTCCCAAAGTTCTGGGATTACAGGTGTGAGCCACAGCACTTGGCTGAATTAGAGTATTTTAAGCCTATAAATGTATATTCATTAGACCCATCCATCACTTAATGATTTTGCAAACTACTATCTCAGTCTTGATTTGCACTGTTGTCATTTTTGGGAAATAACTTTTCAGATATTCTTAATACACATAGAATACAATTTCCAAATTAAGATTGTTCTATGTAAACTGTTTTATAATCTCTTTGTCCCAGTCAACACAATATTTTGACCAGCTTCTCATGGAAGAAAATGCATCTAAATCTTTATTATTAGGATTGCTTAGTATTTAAATATATGAAAGAAACACTACTTGAGTAAGCAGTTCCTCTAAAGTTGGCCTGTCTAGATGGTTTCCTTCTCTGTCTTAGACTAATATAAACTATCCTAATGTTTTAATCTCATAATTAGATTTGTATATATATTATATAATTCTAACAATTATAGTTGGCCAACTGTTTTTAAACTTTTCTGTACTTATTTCTAAATCATCCTCCTGAAAGGCTGTAAAAATTTACTCTTTCCAGCAAGTATCCAGAAAATGTTTGCCCTCATATTTATCAATGTTGACAGACACTGAGGGTTGCCAACCCGAGAGCTATTTTCTACTCTTCTTGGAAACAGGGTTCCTACTGCATGGTAAAGTACCCTGGCATAGGGGGTGAATCATGATTTTTCTAAGGTATTTTTCATGGCAATCTTATTCCCCTTAAGTAAACATGTGTAGGGTAAATTATGTGAGGCAATTAAGGCTACTTAGCTGAAGGGGGAATCTGCTAGAGATTTTTAAAAAAGACTTTTCCTAATTGATGGAAGAGAGTTCCAAGAAAAAGCTCTTTTGCCTCATGACACTCCCATTCTTAATTACTGTTTTGTGAGTAGCTAACACTGCGGGTGACAAAGCCCACTTGTGACCTCCAATGATGAACCTGAGGGCAAAGGCCAACAGATGGAGGAAGGAAGAGAAAACAGGACAAAAACACTCTGTCCCTGCTGACATACATTTCTCGGCCATTGAAATAATGTTCAGACCACTTTATCTTGTGACATAAAATATGTGTTCATGGTTTAAACTACTTTGATCAATTCTAGAATATTCTTATCCTTTATCTTGACAATTACTTCTCCCTGTTCTCTCCTTAGGAGCAGATATTGGAACACTTTGGTTTCTCCTTGATAACTTTACTTCTTTCATTATTTTTTATTCTTTCTATTCTGCTTTCAGCATAATTTTGTCAGATTTATATTTAACTAATTCTTTTATATTTTAAACTTCAAAAACATATAAAATAATATTTATAACATATTTATAAGCCATTTACAAAAAATAATAAGCTGAACATCCTTGTTCCCCCCACTCATGTTAAGAAACAATATGACCTTAGTGGCTCTGCCAAAATCACAATCCCTCCCTTCTTCTGTCACCCAAGAGAGATAATCCCTATCCAAAATTCTCTCTTTGTATTTTGTGGGCTTTCTCTTGCTTTATAGTTTTACCACGTAGCATCTCTAATTTATGCTGTTTAGTTTCTTCACATATATAAAATTTTTATAAAGTTTTTTAATATAAATGGTACAATATTTGTGATTCTTCTGCAACTTGGTTTTCTTTCTCAATATTGTATTGTTAAATTTAATCCATGTTGATGCATGTAAATGTAGGTCATTTATTTTTAAAGTTGACTTTATTGAGGTATAATTTACACAGAATAAATGCACCCATTTTATATACTTTGATGATTTTTAACATATATGCATTTACATATATATATACCCACTACTTAATCAAGATATAGTCCACTTCATTACCCCCCAAGATTCTCAGTAAGCATTCATTTTTGCTACTGTATTCTAGTTGTTGAATATAGTACAAATTTTAGTTGTTGAATAAATATATTACAACTGTCTTGTGAATAAACATTTGGGTTGTTCCCAATATGGGTTATATATTGATGTTATAAACACTCAAAGACATGGCTCCTCACAATGCATGTAAATAAGAGTGGATTTGAAAGATTGTAGGGCATGCACATCTTCAACTTTACCAGATAATGTCATATTGTTTCCTAAAATGCTTGTACCAACATGTACATAAAATTCAGAGTATAAGAGCTTGAGTTTGATTCACATTCTTGCCAACACTTGATACTTTAATTTGGGTCAGTCTGGTGAGTGTAATTGTAATTTAAATATGTATTTCTATGATTACAAATTATTTTGAATATCTTTTTATTTTTTGAGATAGAGTCTTACTCTGTTGCCCAGGATCACTGCAACCTCCACCTCCTGGGTTCAAGCGATTCTCCTGCCTCAGCCTCAGCTGGGACTACAGGCGTGTGCCACCACGCATGGCTAATTTTTGTATTTTTAGTAGAGATGGGGTTTCGTCATGTTGGCCACGCTGGTCTCAAACTCCTGACCTCAGGTGATCTACCCTCCTCGGCTTCCCAAAGTGCTGGGATTATAGGCATGTGCCGCCACACCCAACCTGGTTTCAAATATATTTTTATATGTCTGTTGGGCATACAGACTTTTTCTTTTTTGAAGTGCCTATTTTGCTAATTTTTCTATTTAGTTGCTTGTTTTTTCTCATTGATTTATAGTAATTCTTTATATTCTCAATAATAATCCTTTGTCAAGCATATGTGTTGCAGATATACACTCCAGTTTTGATTAATGGTTTCACATTTGATGGTGTCTTATGGTAGGCAGAAGTTAATCATTTTAATACAGCTAGATTTCTTTTTTATAGTTTGTGTTTTTGCATCATAAGAAACTATTTCCTTCTTCAGGTTCAAAAACGCATTCTCCCACTTTCTCTTCAAAAAGTTTTATAGCTTTGACTTTCACATTTAAGTCTAAAATATTTAGAATGCAGGGATCCAATTTCATTTTCTTCTAAATGGACCATCAATTTTTTCTCTTCCTCACTGAGGAGCAAACTTCTGTTATATACCAAGTTTCCTTATACCCACAAGATTGTTTCTGGATTCCCTATTCTGTTCTAATGGTTTATCAATTGCTGTCTTAATATCATGTCTTAAGCACTATAGCTTTATAATAAGTTTTGTTATCTGATAATGCAAATTTTCTCCTGTTTTTGTTTTTAAATGTCTCTAAGCAAGTATTGACTTTTGCTCTTATTCTAGACACAGTTGTAGCATAGTATGAAACCTCTATTGGTGTATTTGAGGAAAGAGAGCATTTTCCTTGGATTTTCCCTCTGCCTCCTGTGGTAGAGTTGCAAAGGAGGAAGTAAAAGCTGAAAAATAACAGAAGTAGGGTCAGTGGCCAGACTGACTGACGCCACTGACCAGGCCTGAATGTAAAAGATTAACCCCCACCCTAACCGCATGTGCGGTTAAGCTCTGGTCGATTCCAGACATTGTATGGAGAAGCATTGTGAAACTTTCTGTTCTGTTCTGCTAGCCCTCACCACTGATGCATATAGCCCTCAGTCAGGTAGCCCACGCTTGCATAATCAATCATGACCCTTTCACGTGGACCCCTTAAAGTTGTAAGCCCTTAAAAAGGCCAGGAACTTTTTCTTCAGGGAGTTCTGTTCTTGAGACGCAAGTCTGCTGATGCTTCCGGCCGAATAAAGCCTCTTACTTCCTAAATCCGGTGTCTGAGAGGTTTTGTCTGCGACCCATCCTACTACATATTTATTTTATCTTTAAAATATTTTTAATTTAAAAAATTTGAGGGATAGACAGGATCTTGCTCTGTAGCCCAAGCTGGAGTACAGTGACACAATCATATCTCACTCTAGTCTCAAACTCCTGGGCACAAGTGATCCTCCTGCCTCAGCCTCTCAAAGTGCTGGGATTACAGGTGTGAGCTACTTCACTTGGCCTCTACTGGTATTTTCAATACAATTGCTAACTGGCACCTTTATAATATGGAGCCTTTCAGATATGTCTGTAGCAGGACAAGCTGCAGACAAAACCCCTCAGACACCGAGTTGTAGAAGGAAAGGCTTTATTCGGCTGGGAGCTTCAGCAAGACTCACATCTCCAACCACCAAGCTCCCGGAGTGAGGAATTCCTGTCCCTTTCAAGGGCTCACAGCTCTAAGGGGGTGCGTGTGAGAGGGTCATGATCGATTGAGCAAGCAGAGGGTACGTGACTGGGGGCTGCCTGCACCGGTAATTAGAACAGAACAGAACAGCACAGGGATTTTCACAGTGCTTTTCTATGCAATTTCTGTAATCTATAGATAGCATAACCGATTAGGTCAGGGGTTGATCTTTAACTACCAGGCCCAGGGCGTGGCACTGGGCTGTCTGCTTGTGGATTTCATTTCTGCCTTTTAGTTTTTACTTCTTTCTTTGGAGGCAGAAATTGGGCATAGGACAATATGAGGGGTGGTCTCCTCCCTTACATCCACTTTCTTGAATCCCTACTCCCATTTATTCAGTTCACACCATTATCATAAATCTATTCCATTACAAAATTCTTCCTAGTGTCCTGCTGTCCTTCAGCATTCCAATCTATTTTTTACATTGTACCTGGAAAAGCTTTGCTAAAATGTAACTCAAGTCATCTTCTACTTATCAATCTTTTATTGACTTCCCAGTGCCCCCAAGATTATGGCTAAACTCCTCAACTTGGTTCATCTTTATGAACCAGCTTCTGTTCTGGCCATCTTTTTCCAACCTACATCATCTTGCATTTCTTTGTGCTCCTGTCACTCTGAGTTCAGTTTTGGTTCCTCAAATCAACTGAAAGAAGGTTTTTCTGCTTTCAAGTGGAAGAAGAAAATGGCAATTTGAAAAATTTGCTCTCCCAAAGAGATTTCAGCCACAAATTCATTTGCATTTAAATCCTAAAATAAAGCACATCATTATTTCAGCATAAACTCTTAAAAGTCATGCAATCCAGCCGGGCATGGTGGCTCACGCCTGTAACCCCAACACTTTGGGAGGCTGAGGCGGGCAGATCACCAGGTCAGGAGTTCGAGACCAACCTGGCCAACATGGTGAAGCCCTGTCTTTACTAAAAATACAAAAATTAGCCTGTTTGGTGGCGCATGCCTGTAGTCCCAGCTACTCTAGAGGCTGAGGCAAGAGAATCACTTGAACCCGGGAGATGGAGGTTGCAGTGAGCCGAGAACATGCCATTGCACTCCAGCCTGGGCAACAGAGTGAGATTCCATCTCAAAAAAAAAAAAAAGAAAAAAAAAGAAGTCATGCAATCCATAACAACCTCAGGCTTTTCACCTTTATATAATTTTAATGAGCCGAAGGTTTGATTATTAAAACAACTATAACTCCTATTACTCTCTCAATCATAACAAATTGATCATAAATTCAATTTAACACACATATGTCAGAATACAAAGCACACAGTATGTTCTTTGAACCAGTAAATAAATGTCTTATTCTTTATCATAATAATTTCTAATTGTATAATGTTTGAAACTTTCACAATCTTTCTATCTTGGTGAACACTGGCAAAGACATTCTGGGAGTTATTCAGGAGAGATTCACTGCAGAAAGTACACAGCCATATATCAGAGAAGGGACACTTTCTAACAGGGATCCTTTTAGAACCTGACTCAAGATTCTTTTGTCTTTGAAATATCTAAGCAGCCAGCCAAACCAGAACAGCCAAACTCCAAAAGCCCAGAGTTTGACTGCACCACTGAGATCACTCAAGTAATCTCTACCCTCCTTTCTCTGCCATAAAAGCCCCACCCTGGGTTTCCCCTCACTTTGGTTCTTTCTCAAGTTTCTCACCAGCAGAGCTGAAGGAGAAGTGGTCTTTCATCCAGGTGGCTGGGGTAATATAGAGGAATCTGGGTATAAGGTTGCAAAGGCCATCAGGCCCCTTAGCTGCAATTCCCTCTTGTATCCTGCTTCCTCAAACCAGGGCTAGACCAAAGACTTCAAAATATGTGCACGCGCGCACACATACGGGTACCAAGGGTAAATTTGTAATTTGCCCTCTAAGCCCCAGAATTCAAGCTTTCTCATTCTTTCATGGGGACCATGTGAGAATTCTCCAAGATATTTGTGGGGGCCTTACCCACAAATATATAAATAGATAGATAATGGCTTTTACCTCCTTCATCTGTCCATAGCTATAAATGCCCACAGGCTTTGTTGGAGAGTTCTCCAGGCTGAAGGACAGTTTTCCTGAATGTGACACTAGCCGAGAGGTCAGAATTAATTACATTCCTTGGTGTCACCTGACCCACAGGAAACTTGCGTATCTTTGCCACCCCAAATTGTGAGACTACAGACTGAACTACTGCAAGTCTAATCGCCTCCCCTCCCCACCCCACCTTCCCTTTTATTTTCCTGATAAAGTAGGCAGAAAGCAGATGAACAAGTTTGCTGCCTAAATTAACACCCAATCTGGAAATAAAATACAAGTCTTTCCTTCCTGAAGGCATCTTCAATCACTACCAGTGATTCCTTTGGCAGAAAGCACAATTTTGGGAGCTAGTTCTACGACTTCTTAATCATCCTTCAAGTTAGGTCTGGGTGTGTGCATGGAGGCAGTGGGTGGTGGGGTTTTCTGATTCTAGTCATTGTCAGATTTCTTTAAAAAGTGAAGTACTTAGCGTTCCCTTGACCCATCTTTGACTCCTCCCTAGTTGCTGTTCTTTGAGTAATAGGAAAAGCCCAACACAACCTCCTGTTATACATAAATACAATTTTTTAAAACCAGCACATATATACATGATAGATGGAAATAAACAGTACTGCATACAGTAGTTGTAAGTATACACAAATAAAGATACCTTTGCATTGTATTCATATACCACGTTTATAGACATGTGAACTTGCTGCAAAACAAGCAGAAAATAGGAAGAGAAAATCAGGTTATCTACAGAATCACTAGTCATCAAATTCACGTTAAGAATAGGCAGTAAGATTTCATGATCTCAATAAAAATCTCAATAAAGCTGTTGCCCTAAAAAAATTTACAGTGAGACAATAAAACAGGGAGGTAAGGGAGGAAAGACAAATATTCCTATGTCTTAAAAAAAAGGTAAAGCAAGTTAGCCTCCTGGCACTGAATCATTTGCAGAAAAAAATAAAAATAGTTGTTCAAGTATATGAGAAGGCTTTGTACCAATCTCAGACATCCAATACTTTATATTTCTTAGAGAGAAAGTGAAGGCTTTGTACCAATCTCAAACATCTAATACTTTATATTTCTTAGAGAGAAAGTAAGGGAATTTAGTTCTCTTTTAATATGTACTCTTAATTCCCTCTTAATTTCTTCCAGACTACTTTAAGTTTTTATAGAAATAAATATAAAATCACCACATTGCCTTTTGAAATTAAAAATGGGAAACACAATACTTTATTCAATCAATAAAACAAACTGTAAAACATTTTAAAATCCCTTAGTTCTAGAATATGGTCAGATAAGAAAGAGGGCATATAATTTGTCAGTGGGAGAAATTAAACCACTGTCTTCTAAATCTATCCACCATGATAAGGTTTTTTGTTTTTGAAAAGCTGTAAGATTAAAACAAACACACAATAAAACATAATCCAATTAAGGTTTCAGGACTAAATATGAACCTTTCCTCTACTTTCAAAGGTTTGGAGGATCCTTGAAACTTCCATTACCAAAAGGTTAAATTATTAGTAACATTCTGAATCACTAAATAGCCTTCCTTTCCTTAACTTTGAATATCACATTTATTTGAAACGAAGCACTTACTGTAAATTGCTACCCTGTCTAGGAAAAGATATTTTCTTCATGGATTCTGTCATGTTTTGATGCTAAAGAACCTGTTTTATCGGACTAATTTGCTTTCGATTATTCTAAATGAGTTCACAGACACAAGAGCAGATATTTGTGGCATTTTTCTGAATCATCTCCAAACAAAATAGAGGTTGTTAAATCTAATTGAGGTGCCAATAATTTCTGACTTTGTCCCAGAGCACCTTAAAGGCAATCAGTTCTAGCAAAATCTAGAAACCACCTAACATAAACTTGTCAGTATGGCCCAATCGCCCATCCTTATGAAATCAGAATTTATCGGCCGGGCGCAGCAGGTCACGCCTGTAATCCCAGCACTTTGAGAGGCCGAGGTGGGAGGGTCATCTGATGTCAGGAGTTCAAGATGAGCCTGGCCAACATGGTGAAACCCCATCTCTACTATAAATACAAAAATTAGCCAGGCATGGTGGTGGGTGCCTGTAATCTCAGTTACTCGGAAGACTGAGGCAAGAGAATCACTTGAACCCAGGAGGTACAGGTTGCAGTGAGCAGAGATTGCACCAATGCACTCCAGCCTGGGCAACAGAGCAAGACCCTGCCTCAAAAATAAATAAGTAAATAAATTTATCAATATGAATCCAAGGCCATAACACCATTACAAAATAAGTGTTCCCTTCCATCTTTGTCTAAACATGCACCTACAAAACAAACAACATCAACTTCCAACCTAACCACTCTGGATCAGTTTAACAAACTTCATACCCTACTGACCTGTCCCCTGCATTTGAATTCTAAGCCTACCCCTTTGAATTCACTTCCTTTCACTGACCTTGTCTATTTCAAAGAAACCATCTCCCATCCTGAAGTTGTCCTACAATCTTAACATGCTAATGAAATACAAGAAGAAGACACAAAATATAAGATCAAATGTTTTAATATTAGAATCAACAGATTTAAAATTATATTTTAATAAATACGACAAATATGAGGAAAAATAGAATTATAAAAACTGTACACATTCTTAATTGAAAATATACATATAGGCAATTTATATAGAAAATTGCTGTTTCACTCATAACTTCTCATACTTCCATAACTGTAACTAGACAGAAAGTTTAAAGTGAAATAGCAAATTCCTCACACTCAATGCTTATATGCATACTTTGAACCAATACCTTACATATCAATATTTAAAGCTTTTAATGTGATAAGTGAGCTTGCTTCTTGCTTGTTAATTTGTCTAATCTAGGTTGGATTGATGACAATGCTACCCTCAGGGGATAATGTATATTTAAACTGTTTCTATGTTTTGTTTTAATAACACTTAAAGTAGAGAATCCGGTCTCACAGAGGTATGTTGAGGGGAAAAGAAGCAGCAATTTTAAAGCAATCTCAGCAAGCTCAGGATAGTCATTTTTAGCTTTTATCCAAAATGAAGGAAGTGATGCTGTATTTTCAAAACTGATTTTCAATCCTTCGTCGGTAGCCAGCTTCAACAACTTATCCTGTAGAGTTACAGTTAAATTTAAGTTATCTTTTGATGAAAGAAATGGATTTTGGATCCACAAATTTCCTATGCGTGGATCTTCTTTTGATGGAAAATAAAATTCAAAACATTCTAACAAATTTGTAAGATGTTCACTGATAACTTTTCGCAGATGTGCAATATCAAGATCATTACCTACTTCATTGATAATTGTTGTTAAATTATGAAACATGTCATAACAATCTGTAGAAATTCTGTTTTTCCAAGCTTCTAACTTCTGTTTTTGTCCTTCAACTTTATCTGCCATTGAAAAATAAGTTGCATTCTTCCCTTGCATAGAAGCATTAAGATCATTAAAAATACTGAAGATATCAGACAAATAAGCAAGTCTGGCTGTCCAATTCACATCTTTAAAAAGTTGGGACCACATGGGTTTCTTGCCTTGCAGAAACACTAAGAGTTCATTTCGTATTTCAAACATTCTTGACAGAACTTTTCCCCGTGATAACCACCGTATCTCAGCATGCAGTAACAGTTGCTTATGATCAGCTTCCATATTATCACATAATAAAGAGAATAATCTTGAATTCAATGAATTAGATTTTATATAATTCACAATTTTTACTATATCATTAAGTACACTATTTAGTTCAGCTGATATTTTTTTCATGGCAAGACTTTCTCGATGAATGAAGCAATGTGTTGTTTTACATTCTGGCGCAAGTTCCTTAATCTGGGTTACCACTTCAGAATGTTTTCCTGTCATTGAAGCTGCACCATCAGAACATACTCCTACACAAAATTTAAATTCCAAACCACATTTGTTAACAATATAATTCTTTACAGCTTCATACAGTTCTGAGCTAGTTGTGTTTGTAGGCAAAGAGGCTGAAAAAAAGAACTCTTCCTTTATATCATCATCATGTTCAAACCTCACATAGACTAAAAGAATTATCATGTTAGCAATATCTCTGCATTCATCAAGTTGCAATGAAAAATACTTTGCTAGTTTTATTTGTTCTATGAGTTGATCTTCCATATCATTAGCCAGTTCCTGAATACGTCGAGCTATGGTGTCATTGGAAAGTGGTACCTGAGCTACCTTCTTTGCTGCAGATTCACCCAACATTTCCAAGCAAACTTCTTTGATGCAGTCTTTCACTAGTGTCTCAGCAATTGTGTATGGTGTTTTAGACTTGGCAACCGGAAGTGCTACTTTATATGAAGCCCGCAAAGCACTAATGTTTATATGAGAAACGTTGAACACCTGCTTTGGTTGGCTTTTCAATTCACTACTCTTTCTTTCAAAGAATTCTTTTGGTTGTGAACTTATTTCTTTATGTTTTGAATATAAATGTCGCTTAAGTTTTGATGGTTTCATTGCTTCATTAGCCAGTACATCTCCACAAATAATACACTGTGGTTTTAGTACTTCACCATCAATTACAGCTACAAAACCAAACTCAATATATGAAGGATCATATTTCCGAGTGAAACTAGCATGAACTCTTTTGGTTTTCCCTTCTTCAGGATAACTTCTATTGTTAACATTTCTTTTATTACTACTACTGTGTTCAGAAAAGGCATGTCTTTTCTTGACAAAAAAGTCCAGTGAAGCTTGTTTCGCCATCTGAAATTAGGAATAAAAGTAAATAATATGAATTTTACTTTCCTCCTTCAGCTAACAGTGTTATACCACAAGTTAAAAACTAGATTTGATTAAAATAAAAAATTATTTTAAAGTTAAGTTATAAAAATAAATAAATGCCTATATTTTCTCAGAGTTTTATACATCTTTGGGTTATGGCTGATAAACGAAACATAAAGTATCACAGGTTGTAATGGGGACCTATTGTGTTTGACTAGTGTGTAACTGCCACCACATGTGACTCACCTTGAGAGTTTAACAATACCTAAATTGGTCTATATTCTATTCAGTAAGATGAGTCCATTAATCATGTGCTTGGATGTTGCAGTAATGTCAATTGTTATAAAGGTTTCTAAATATTTACGCTTAATTTTTATATTTATTTCCTTATGGACTGGAGTTTTTATACCAGTACTGCTCTACTGATCACATGTTGCGTACCACTAGTTTAAGTCATAAGTAACCTCCATATTTCAAAACATTAACCCTACTTCATAAAGCCTATTGATTTTAAATTTTTTTGGTTCTATTTCATGCTCTCCATTTAAATTCCCAAACTGAAGTCTTTCCCAACACAAACCCATATCTTCCAAGCAAATTTATCATCCCCTACCCCTACAAATACTTCTTCACTTGATTTGAGAAGAAGCATTAAAAGTAATTAGGCCTTCTTTGGGGGAAATATATCCAAGGTAATAAAAATGTGCTTTCATATACCTTGTCACACAACACTTATTCACAGTACACTGTAATGAGATTCTTCCCCTGCTTTCATCTACGGCAGATATTCAATCTTACCCAATCTCCTACTTTGTCTGGTGAAAATGGTGTCCCTGATGGCTTTAGCATTTTGGAAGGTTTAACAGGCAAACTTCTTTGAATCTCATCATGTTTCCTTTTCATTGTGCTGGTTTCATAGCAAAGGCTACAAGTTATTTGCCGACCACAGCCCTCAGTCCCATGTTGAGAGGGCACTCCACAAATTGCATGGATATTTCCATCACATGATATACAACTATTAACACCTGTGCATTCTTTTTCACAAACTACACAGGATAAAAATCTTAGTCTGCTCTCAGGAGGGCTTTTTTCAGCCACCTTAGGAGTGACAGAAAGATTCTCTTCAATATCACTACTGTCTGTTCCAGTCTCAATGTTTTCTTCATACTGGGCTCTTAAAGTATTTTCTAACTCTTTGTCAGCCTGATCTAATTCATTTTCTGTATGCAAGCTGGCAACAAGTTCTTCAGTTAGCTGAGAATGGGACAAGCCCAGTTTAGCTTCAGAGCTAAATGCACTTTCACATGGAGTCTGTTGCATGCTTCTGTGATAGGGCTGATTTTGGGACATCTGAATGAACCACAAAAATTCAGTCCAGTGTGATGAGTTGTTAGTTTGCATCCAGGAGAAAATCCTCTTTCGGATATCCTCAGTTTGTTCTGCAGAACTCTGGCTTTGGCAGGTCTGAGACTTCCCATGGACAATTTTCAATTCTGGCCAAATATTACTGAGTTCACTGACAACCTGGCTTGAAAATTCCCTCCCATTGTCAGATTGTAGGACACTGGGTGCTCCAATAATTGTAAATATATCTAAAAGAGCATGTGCAACTTCCGTAGGCCTTTTAGACTTTAATGACCGTAAAAAAGTTAACTTTGTACAGAGATCTTGATAATGCAAAATAAATCTGTACTCCCCATCAGGATTCAACTGCATGTCTATAAGATCTACTTGGCATCTTGAACTAACTTCCTTAATTGATTTTGATGTTAGAACCTTCTTGAGTTTTGAATTTTTCTGTTGGCATGGTTTACAGAGGGTCAGATACAGCATTATAACTTCTTTTGTGATGTTCTTGTATTTCGCTTGTAACTCTTTCTCCATGCGAGTACGTCCACCATGTCCAATGCTGAGATGTGTATTATGCAGAATGTCAAATAAGTCCTCACTGTGTAAGTAATACCGTATTTTATCTGTTTCCCCATTTACAGCCTCAATTAGCTTCTCATTTCCTTGTACAAGGATAACATCAAATCTAGCCAAGCGACGGTAGTCAACTGATTCCTTTTTCGCCTTAGCTTTAGCTTCTTTCACTTCCTTTATCAACTGACAGTACTTTGCTTTAGAAAATATCTTAGTATTATTACTTTTGTTTTCCAGTAACCTTGCTAAGCTTCTGAAGAACTTTTCTCTCATGTTTTCTGGTTCAATTTCTGCTTCATTAGTATCTAAGCTACTGAGGTTATCACCACCCATGCTTTGAGACATCATGGAAAACCACAAAAATGACCCTAAAAACAAAGGAAAAAAATCAATTAGAATATTCAGGAATATAATTTAAAAGACATATATTGCCAAAGGAGCCAGTAGTGCTTGAGGTAGAAGTAGGGAATATGGACACACAAAAGGGGATACCATTTTCTTTCTTTTTTGAGACAGAGTCTCACTCTGTTGCCCAGGCTAGAGTGCAGTGGCACAATCTCAGCTCACTGCAACTTCTGCCTCCTAGATTCAAGCAATTCTCCTATCTCAGCCTCCCGAGTAGCTGGGACTACAGGTGCGCACCATGACACTTGACTAATGTTTTTATTTTTAGTAGAGATGGGGTTTCACCATGTTGGCCAGACTGGTCTTGAACTCCTGGTCTCAAGCAATCTGCCTGCCAGCCTCAGCCTCCCAAAGTGCTAGGATTACAGGCGTGAGTTACTGCACCAGGCCAGGGGGATACCATTTTGATTAAGGAATCCAACTTTGGTGGAATGAAGAGCGTAAATGAAACTCCAGCCAATAACAAAAAGTTTCAAACAATAAAGAGCAGAAAGCCAGGACATGAATTTCCAGAGCAGTTTTCAGGATTGAAGCACTGTTTTATGTAAAATAGGATGCAAATTAACATTTACTTGTTTGTTTACTATGCAAAGACTTTTTTTTTTTTTTTGTATTTTTAGTAGAGACGGGGTTTCACTGTGTTAGCCAGGATGGTCTCGATCTCCTGACCTCATGATCCACCTGCCTTGGCCTCCTAAAATGCTGGGATTACAGGCGTGAGCCACCACACCCGGTCTCAGACTTTTTTTTTTTGGAGGAACCTCAGCAAGACAATAATAGATTTTTAAAAAAATCTCCACACTACACATTTTCTCTTTTATTCAGTCAGGTTAGCTATTACATCAACATTTGAGGAGTAAGTTCCAACCTAATATATTCATATCAGCTCCCTTTTAGGGCTATTAACTACAAACTCAATACAAATAGCTTCATTACTAATTTTAATAAGAGTACTGGATGAGTCAAAATCAGTGAAAAATTTCTGACTTAATAAAGCTTATTAAAAGAAATTTCTAGAATACTCATAATAACAGAAACACTAAGAATACTTCAAATTTGGCTAAGTGTTAAGGAAAAAAACTATTTTGGAAAAAGTAAAAAATAATAATTTGGAATTAGCATAACATCTCTAGATAGTTTTATAGTTGCTTGGAAAAATACTTTCACTCAAGTCAACATCATTTATACTATCAATTTGCATACCAAATAGTGAGACAGAGCAGGGACCCCTCTTAGGGGCCTGTCAGCCACCCCTAACCCCAAGCATGGTAATAACAGAAAATCTTGAGTTCCTTCAAGGGAAATTCCAGGCATCTAACTATCTTTAAGAAGTAAATGAGCAACTTGATAAACAAGAAGGTAATACCTTAAAACAACATCCAAAAAAGTTAGTCATGAGATGTTCCCTATATTAACTAAAGATAGCATCTTAACATATATCCCTAAGTTGTTTTTCAGAAACCCATACCTCCACCAAATGGATCCACTGGTCTGAAGACCTCAGATAATGGGGAACTGAGGACTGAACTCCAACCGCTGCTTTGTTCTAAAGTTCTTCCTGTGGGGCCTGGAAGAAGTCACACCCGCAAGCCAGAGCTAACCTTTTTTTCTGCTGATCCCAAATTTTCAGACAAAGCTTTGCCTCCTTAACCAATTGCAAATCAAAAAATCTTTGAATCTACCTATGACCTGTAAGCCCCTTCTCTGAGATGTCCATCCTACCTTTTTAGGTCAAAATAATGTACAGTGTCCACGTATTGATTTATGACTTTGCTTGTAACCTCTGACTCCCTTCTTTTAAAAAAACTTTACTTGCAAACCATTGGGGAAACTGGGTCTTAATTTTGAGGGGACCAATTCTCCTTGCTTGACACTCTGCAAATAAATGCCCTCTTTTCTCCTGTTGATGTGGATGTTTGGCTTTCCTGTGCCAGGCAAGTGAACCCGTTTGGTTCTGTAGCAGTAATGAACTACTAAATTTAAATCATCTAAAATGTTTATATTTTCTAAAACTAGGTTAAAATTAATGATATGTTACTGTGTGGTTTGGCCTCATTTAACTCTCAATTGTTCCAGTAAGGCTTCTTTGATCATTAAATTTAAACTCACAGTGAGTTTTCCTTTCCTGAAAATCATTATCTATTTATAACACAAGTTAGCACTATCGCAGTTTTTTCTTTAACTGTTTTATAGGTAGATGCAACAAGACTGTAAGTTTCTAAAGAAACAGAGATCACTTATTTCTCTAGTATCTTTCACATTATCTAACACGTTACTACATCTAGTGTTCAATAGAAAATTGTTAACTTTATAATAAAATAACAATAATGGTAAGTGCTATCTCAAAATGTGACTGAAAAAGACCATCCTATGGATAGCATTTCTTTCCATACTGATCCATTTTGTGCCATGCTATAGAACTAGAAGCAGAGAAGGAAAATAAATAAGAATGAATTAGAAGAAGAAATACAGGGCAATGTCAAGAGAACCAGGAAAATATGAGCCCCAGAAGTTTGTAGAATCAATATTAATGTCTAAGAAAATTGTTAGGGCTATAAGAGGAGAAAAACATTGTATCCATTTTACCTAATCCTTTTTAAATGGAAAAGATAGCTGTTCCAGAACCAGGCCAGACTCCACCTCTACTATACATTATACCAATAACAGACCTTAGAACACTAATAAACATAGACTTCAGAAATTCCATATTCTAAGGTAGAATTTCCAAATAGTATTTCCAATGTATACACAGTCATTATGTGACAAAAATTGTGGTCAGAGGCTACAGCAATGGGACCCATGACTACACTGACAAGTGCTCAGTATTTACATACAGAGGTATCTGATTTATCCACAGGTACTTACTAACTTCATTACAAAGTATCCATGAAAAATCTTGTGTTCAAGTATTTTTGACATTATTATCTGACTGTTTTAATTCAACTCCCTTAATAACATTACACTATACTGATTGGCTTTTCCTTCAACTATTAATACATTCAATAGAAGCTGAAATGGAATGAGGTTTGATAACTTTCAATACTAGACCCTTCATTCTCCCAAGTCTCACCTTCTTTCTTAGAACTAAATTATTCTCACCATTATCTTGAAGTGGGTGTGGCTCTGGAGATTCACATTCCATTCTATCTTCCATAGACTGAAGCTGGGTGCCTAAAGACTCCTTTGCAGAATCCAGAGGGATCATTTCTTCCATAGAAACTTCCTGCCCATATGTGCCCTGTGAGACCTGTGGACAAGTAGGTGCATTTGGTAAACAATACAAATAATTGTAGTTTGTCATAGCTAAACTTGTATTCTTCCACTAAAATAGAATGTAAGAAGAAAATCAGTCTTTACTGAATTCTTAAGTACAAGATAAAACATGAAGAGAAATGAAAAATGCTGGGACTAATAAAGCCAGAGCCATACAACAGAAACTGATGTCTCTATAGGACAGGAGTTAAAACGCATCCCTTTGGTTTCTGTTTCTGGGAATAACAATGAAAGCACGTTAAAGAAATATCTCCTAAACCGTGATGACTGAAAAAAATTGTAAATGAGTTCCAGTGTGGTTAATTAAAAGTAAATATTGGGCTGGGTGCAGTGGCTCATGCCTGTAATCCCAGCACTTTGGGAGGTCGAGGCAGGTGGATCACCTGAGGTCAGGAGTTCGAGAGCAGCCTGGCCAACATGGAGAAACCCTGTCTCTACTATTAATAATGCAGATTCACCAGGCCTAAGAAAATGTACAAATTGTTAAAGGATTACAGAGTTATTAATGGTTACACTTACGCTACATCGAGTTGGAAAATGTCCATGGATAGTGAATCCCAAAATTGCACATAAACCAGAATATTCTAAAAGGGAATATCCAGTGACATAGGAGGAGATGAAAGCCTACATATTATTAGAATATCATGTTGGGATTTAAGATTCTGTGTCATGCTCCTTTCCTCCAACTTGGATACCACATAATAAATTTATTCTTGCCGGGCATGGTGGCTCATGCCTGTAATCCCAGCATTTTGGGACTAATAAAAGGAGGCCAAGGTGGATGCATCACCTGAGGTAACGAGTTCGGGACCAACTTAGCCAACATGATGAAACCCCATCTCTACTAAAAACACAAAAATTAGCCAGACGAGGTGGTGCACGCCTGTAGTCCCAGCTACTCAGGAGGCTGAGGCAGGAGGATCATTTGAACTCAGGAGGCAGAGGTTGCAGTGAGTTGAGATCATGCCACTGCACGACAGAGCGAGACTCCGTCTCAAAAAAAAAAAAAAATTCTTAAACTGTGCAAAGCACATTTCAAAAAATCATTTTCTCAAAATTCATAAAATGGTTAAGCCAGTTCCCTTTGGTATGTTTTTCCCTTCTCTGAGCTTAATAAGGTATCTTATGTAAATTGCTTTGTATAATATAATAGCATGCATTTCAATTTGTCTAAATCTTTGCATAACTGCCAGAAACAGAATCTGTGAAAGAGGGCCACCTGCTGTTTATAATTAAACAATGTATCAATTCTGTAATGTTAGTATACACAATCCCAGCTTTTGGAGCAACTAAGAAACAAAATATGGATATGGTTCATTGTGCTGAATTATTCACTGACTCTCCCCCACCCCCCCACCCCCCCAAGCACAAACACAAATCTAGTCTCTTGATTCCTCTACTTTTCCACCAGCTGGACTAGACCAAAATGGGTGGGCCTGGTCTTAGAACCGGGAGGAACTCCACTTCTGCCTCTACCACAGAAGTTTGAAGAGTACCTTGGGTAGTGGTAATAAATTACAAAACTGAAGTTACTTCAAACTGGTCATGACAGTCATTAGTCTTTCAGTATTCAATTCCTGGGTTTGATTTTTTTTAACGCTGGAAAGAAGCTGAGTGCAGTAGCTGACATCTGTAATCTCAGCACTTTGGGAGGCCGAGGTGGGAGGATTGCTTGAGCTCAGGAATTCGAGACCAGCCTGGGCAACATAGTGAAACCTCATCACTGCCCAAAATACAAAAAATTAGCCAGGCATGGTAGCACATATCTGTGGTCCCAGCTACTCAGGAGGCTGAGGAAGGCAGATTGCTTGAGCCTGGGAGGTGGAGGTTGCAGTGAGCCAAGATCGTGCCACTGCCCTCCAGCCTGGGTGACAGAGTGAGATTCCATCTCAAATAAATAAATAAAAATGCTGGAAAGAAACTTTTGGTTGTAATATGGTAGAGTAAATATTGCTGTGTTCATTAGAAATGCACATATTTCCAATAAATTCGAACATCTAACTTACAGTGGCACAAACAAATAGGGGTTTATTTTTGTTACATAACAAGAAGCCTAGAAGAAGGTAGTTGCTGGCACCAACTCATTTATCTAACAGTTTTTCAGGGACCCTAGCTGTCTTCATATTTCTGCTCTGTCACTTTTAACACTAGCATTTGGCCTCATGCTTACCATCACTTAATGGTCAGAAGATGGCCAGATATCATATTAGTGTTCAAGACTGGAAGTGAGAAAAGGTGAAACTAAAGTAATCTCCCCTATCCTATCAGGAAAATAAAAGCTTCCCCAGGAACCTCCTCCCCGAAATATGCTTATTTCTCCCTGGCCAGAATTCTGTTGCATAGTTAACTCTAGAACAAGGAAGCCTGGAAAAGAATTTAATTAGATATATTGCCAGTATGAACAAAACCAACATTTTGTCGGGAGGAAAGAAGGGTAGAATAGACACTGGGTTGGCAGCTAAAAGTGTCTGCCAGTGGTATTTCCCCTGTGGGGGAAATCACACAAAAACAAGAAAAATGAGAAACATTTATACAAACTTGATATTCAACAACACTAAGAGATATTTATAACTCTGACCACATTAAAAAAACTATCAAACATGATCAGCGTATAACCTGAACAATACCCAAGGAACTGACCAAACACCAAGTCCTACCAGAAGCTACATTTTTCAACAAAGCTAGAAGGGGAAATTTTAAAGCAAGCTTATCCACCCTGCAGCCTGCAGGCCACTTGCAGCCCAGGACAGTTCTGAATGTGGCCCAACACAATCTTGTAAACTTTCTTAAAACATTGTAAGATTGTTTTGTGATTTTTTTTAAGCTCATCAGCAATCGTTAGTGTTAGTGTATTTTAGTGTGGCCCAAGACAATTATTCTTCCAATATGGCCCAGGGAAGCCAAAAGATTGGATACCCCTATTCTAAAGTAACAGGCATATCTTAAGGGGGAAAAAAACTACAGTATTTGTTATTTAAAGCAAAGAGAAAAGGGTGTGCTGACTAGACGTGAGAAACTGCTTATATAGGCATTTGTGCTGCAACATAACATATGAATGTATTAAAAAAACATGCTTTCTGCAAAACTGCAGAAAAGTGACAGGATTTATGGGGAAAATACGGTTAAAGGGTGGACTATTTTAACACCTACACAACTTTGTCACTAGAGCATTATTAAAACTATAACAACTCCCGGCTGGCGCACGGTGGCTCACGCCTGTACTCCCAGCACTTTGGGAGGCTGACGCGGGCGGATCATGAGATCAAGAGATCGAGACCATCCTGGCCAACATGGTGAAGCCACGTCTCTACTAAAAATACAAAAATTAGCTGGGCGTGGTGGCGCTTGCCTGTAAATCCCAGCTACTTAGGAGGCTGAGGCAGGAGAATCGCTTGTACCAGGGAGGCAGAGGTTGCAGTGAGCCAAGATCCTGCCACTGCACTCCTGCCTGGGGACAGAGTGAGACTCCGTCTCAAAAAATAAAAATAAAAATAAAATAAAATAAAAAACACTATAAAAACTCTAGTAAAAATATAAGACATTAATAAATCTTACTTTAAGTATAGGATTTTACCTTAGAAAGGTGATGTTATCTTGTTAGAAACAAGTGTGAGGAAAGGGGGGGCAAGGGTGGAAGGATATAATCATCAAAAATTCAAAGGTGGGTCGGGCACGGTGGCTCACGCCTGTATTCCCAACACTTTGGGAGGCCGAGGTGGGCGGATCACGAGGTCAGGAGACTGAGACCATCCTGGTTAACACGGTGAAACCTCGTATCTACTAAAAATTAGCCGGGCGTGGTGGCGGGCGCCTGTAGTCCCAGCTACTCGGGAGGCTGAGGCAGGAGAATGACTGAACCCCGGAGGCAGAGCTTGCAGTGAGCCGAGATCGTGCCACTACACTGCAGCCCAGGGGACAGAGCGAGACTCTGTCTCAAAACAAACAAACAAACAACAACAACAACAATTCAAAGGTGGAAAGATATAATCATCAAAAATCCAAGTGAAGACGCTTGAACATTTGATGTTATATTCTTCCACCCTTGGATATAGTGATACTACAAGAAACATGATGTGGGTTCCCGTTTATCATCTTGTTTTTATTTATTTGACACTGGCTTATAAAAAGATACCCAGTGTTTGCTGTTTTAACACTTTCCTTCTTTCATAAAGAAGCTGTTTATATGGGTCCAATTAGGGCTTTATGTCATGAAGTGAAATCATGCTGCGTTCTGCATTGTAGTCATTATCTTTTATCTACTCCAACTGCTTCTCTATCATACTTGAAGCAGAAGATAACTGAGAAGTGAAAAGCTCTTGGGAGGCAGCTTGTAGCTTGTGGAACTGCATGTTCTTCTTCCTCCACACCTTCCATTTGTGCCTCAGCAACTAACTTGCAGCTCTTCTGTAGAAAGATCCTGTGTGTCAGATTGCAGCAGCTCCGCATTATCCTCACTAGCAACTTCTTCAAATCCAACCCCCTTTGCAAGAGCGATACAGCTTGGGTTGGTTTTGGGGAGATCTTCTGAAGGCTCAAAGGCTTTGGAATCATAAATTAAATCAGGGAGAATTGTATATCACACCCCGTGCAAACAGGCTTTTGTGAAATCATTCCAGGCCTCTACAATAATATCAATAATAAGTTTAATGTTGAATCATTTACAGAATTCAAAAAATGTTAGGGCACTGTCACCCCCTGTATAGGCAACCAATATCTTGAATGTTTGCTTTAAATAATAAGCTTTAAAGATTGCAATCACACCATGATTAAGGGGCTGCAGTAAAGAAGTTGTATTGGGAGGTAAAATGAGAACTGTGATATTTGAGGAAAGCTCAGTGACTACTGGAGGGTGGCTTGGTGTATCACTGAGAATTATAAGAATTTTAAAAGACAATTTTTTTCTCTTGCAATGTTTTATTTTTTTTAATCTACAAAAAAATCACCCGAAAGATCAGAAAATATCTGCCCTGTCATCTAGTCTCTCTTGCTAGACCTGTAGTAGGCACCAAGGCTAGTCTTTACAATTCATTTTAAAGCTTATAGATTGGCAGAATGATAATCACAGGCTTTAGCTTTAAAATTCCACTGGCATTTGCACCCAGCATCACCATCAGTTGATCCTTTGTAGCCTTAAACCCCACAGTGTGTTTCTAGAGTACTTCCAGTCCTGCTTACTCCATTCTGGATCAATGCATCCAAATTCTCCACATATCCCCTTGAGGGCATCTGCTTCCAATAGAGACTGGTTTCATAAAAAGTAAAAATCTGAGCCAGGGGATGGCCTTCCTTATCAATCTAATTTCTTAATGAGGGGAAAATGTCTTTGCAGCTTCTTCATCTGCACTTACAGCCTCGTCTGCACAGACAGTTTAACACTGTGGAAAGTACAGTAGTTCTTGAAGATACTAAACCAGCCACTACTTCCACTAAATGAAGGCACTTCTGCGGGACTTCCATCTTTTTTTCTTAATGTCTCCATACATTGTGAAGGTATTTTCTTTAACTCTGAGAAAGACTGCATTGGATTGCTTCCTTGTTTGGTATTCAATCCACACACTTAACAAATGCTCCATTTCCTCCATTTCCTTATTCCTTGTTCCAACAGATTTCATAACACTGGCAGTTGTTCCAGCTAGATAATTTTATTTTTCCCATCATTGTCTCTAATTGTACATACATTTACTCCTTTATGCCAGTTGCATGACCAATCTCACAGTTTCTTTTCTTTCAAAACACTGTATAGTTTCAAACTTGTCTTCAATTGTTAAAGCTTTTCTTCTTTTATACTCACTAGCAGAAATTTTATCACAAGCACACTTCTATGGCACTTGCAAAACCCTCTGCTTGCTCCTTTTCTGGAATACAAAAAACTTTAGCAAAAAATACACAAAGATGGGAGGGAACAATGTAAATAAGTGCTTCCAAGACAGCCAGAGGAAGGATGTGGGGGCAAATGGGAATTATGTACAGTACTGTATGTATTCAGGACTTGCTGTGCTCAGCTACATCAGATACTCTGAATTCAGCTACTCCCACCTGGTGGCCCCAAACATCAACTTGCTGGGAAAACTCATACATGAGCTTACACAATTTCAGCATTATACTGACTCATTTCTGGCATACTGACCTCATTTTAAAAGATTTTGCATTCCAGAAACATGCGTTTTTAACAGATCAGACTGTATACATAAAGGGTTCACATTCTGAAAGAGTTCAGATAAATGTATGAATAGTATCACTAAAAAATATAAGAATGTCTGGCAATATCCACAATGTTCTAAAATTACTGTCAAAGAAGGCAAATATACTCCTTTAGAAACAACTCCACTGTAATGGCAAAAAGCTTTTAAAATTCTTCTAAAAATAATTTTGAGCTCAAAACATTTTACATACCAACTCTAGATACTGAAAAGAACCAAGGAAATCATGCAATTAGTATTTTCATTGTACAGATGAAGACATTAATGTCCCAGAGAAGGTGTAATATGCCCAAGGTTACACAGCTAATTAGTAACAGAGCCTAGATAGCTTCAAAAGACAGTAATTTTTTTAAAAAAATTTACTATTGTATATTTCTTTAATCTCATAGTCACTACATAAAATATATTTTCTACTGGTAAAAAATAGATCAAGCTTTTCCATTTGGTTAAATCATTTAATTATTTGTATCATACACAAAAACTGTTATCTCATATGCACGCATCTATTCATCTACACCAGTGATCAAATAAGAAATAATGCCCCAAACCAGGGTTTCCAACCACCAGCGCGAAATTACTCCCATTACTCCATTCTGGATCCATGCACCCAAATTCTCCACAGAAGATGGCACCTCCAATTTCTCACCTGCTGTCTAGGTTCATCAAGCTCCCTCTCCAAATCTTCCAGCAAAGTCACCACCTCTTCTCCACTCTCAGGATTATGCTCCCGCACCCAAGACTGGAGCTCCTCAGGCAGGATGGTCAGGAACTGCTCCAGCACCAACAATTCCAGGATCTGCTCCTTGGTATGTATCTCTGGGTTCAGCCACTGACGGCAAAGTTCCCGCAGTTGACTCAGAGCCTCCCTGGGCCCAGGTGTCTCCTGATAGCAGAACTGCCTGAAGCGCTGACGAGAGAGTTCCCTGGTATAAGACAAATTCCTACGTAGGGCTGATTCCTGATCCCAAGTGTGGTCTTCTTCTTTAACCTTTACTTTGATAATCTCCCCTTGTTCTTCTGGAGCCTGGCCAGCCAAGGCTGGGAAGACCCTAGAGACTGCTTCCATCCCGAGCTTAGACAGCTCAGGCAAAGGTTCTCTCCAGTTGGGGTCTAGTCAAATGGGTGATTTTACTTGAGCTCCTTTTTTGTTCTTGGTCAGGAAAGTTTTTGATATAAGAAAACACTCAACACAGGACAACTACAGACTCAGTTTAAAAGGACTTGTTTACGTGACAACACAGGGCAGTTACTCGGGCAATTCCATTGAAAGTGAAGCCATCCTCTGAAAAGACCAGAAATAGTGAGCACAGAGCGACTCACTAAAGCTTCAGGGTCACAAATTGAGCGGCAAGATACTTGCGAGACAGAAAACCGAGGTTATGACGGATACTTTGGCCCTAAATAAAGCCTGGGTGTATGAGCCTAGGCAAGGAAACGAAGATCGGAGCAGCCTGGGCGAGGGCGGAGAGGGAGAGGGGCTCACAAGCTGCCTGGGGAAGAGGCCCGATTGTCGCCGCGCACATGCACCCTTCCCTCGGCCGCAGCTCCCACCTCTGAGGAGCTCAGACCCTGTGGAACCCAGACTAGTGGGTCGAGGGAAACACTCTACAGCTCAGGTGGAGGTTCCGCAGACACACCCGCAGCTGTGCCCGTAGGTTCCGGCCGGGCCCGGTGAGCCACGCTCACTTCCGGTCCGCTCTAGGATTCCAGGTGGTGCCGTCTTCTCACTGGTTGTGCAAACACCTACGGTACCAGTAATTCTGGGGAGGCAAGTACTCTGGAAACGACGGAGAATTAACTCCGGAATTACCTAGTTATCTGGCATCACGGTGAAAAGAGTTCCACAGTGTGAGTAGTGCTGGAGTAGATGCTGCTGGTCTGTGTTTTCCTGTCACCGTGATAAACCATCGCTGGCACTCAGACCCGTGGTGCTCACCGCAGCGACCTGAAACAAAATGGAGAGGAGCATCCCTAAGGACTACCACGTCAGCGAATCTGTAGGATCGTCCCCCGCCTTTCCTCGTTAATTTCGGGCCACTTTCACCTTTCCCTTTCACCCTAAATCAGACTTAAAAAGAAATGTAAGAGTTAGTCCATTGTTTCCATTTTACGGATTAGAAAACCAAGACCACCGAGAATGAGCCTCAGTTGTTTAGTCACGGAGCACAGAGCCGTGACTAAACAACTGTGGGAAACTGGTCCCAGAAATCTAACAAAATCTGGACGGCTGATCAGCGCCTAGCGAATCACTGGAGTGGAGTAACCAGAACATTCTTTTCAAGCAGTCACTGGGTTCCTCCATACCTCTGGTAGCGCAGAGATGCCCAAGGAATATTTGTTGAATTGCTGCCTGGTTCCCTTCTCCATTCTCTGTTTCCTTCTGCTGTGGTCCTCATGTTGATTTCTCACATTTTGGCATTTCTGAGTAGAGAGTCTTTGAATAATCAGAACATCTCTTTTAGAAATCTCTAAATAAAAAAGAAATCTTACGCTTAGAGTCCGTGAATGGTCTTGAGTAAAATTCTGTATAAAATTTTTGTCTGTGTGCCTGTGTCATCCAACCCTGAAAAGATCATTTTCCCAGTCACTTTTAACGTGCTGAACTTATCTTTTGTTTCCCCCGCTAACTATCCTTTGCAATCAGGGATTCTACTACCTTTTTCTCATTCTGCAAGGCAGTGATCTCTGCCATGCTGAGCACAGTAGGCAGTTAACATGGAGTAAGCATGACTTCTAAGTCCTTTACTGACGAGCCTTACTGTTTTGTTTGTTGTTTTGTAGATTTGCATTTGTTAATTACTACAACAGTGATAGACACTTATAAAAAAAGTCAAATATTTAAAAAGTCAACGTGGCAAGAAGTGAAGTTTCTTCATCCTCAGTTCCATTCCTCAGAAAAATTGATGCCGAGTTTGTTGTATGTACCTCCAACCTATTTTTAAAATGTACATACAAAATTGAGTACAATATTATTATGTACAAATATAACTGAGTCACAATTATAACTCATTATAATTTGCAAAACTTAAATCATACTAGACTACAATTCACCAAGTTACTGGGCTTTTTTGGTTTGTTTTAAACTTAAATCCTCCCCCAGAAACTGCCAAGCCAACATGTGTTACATGTCTATCCCATTCTTTTTAGTGGCTGTAGAAGAGACTATTTTGATAGATATTGCTAAAAGATCTGCACCCCAGAGGGATGTTTATCGTGAGTCTCGCTAAAGTGTGTTAAGATCCTTTCCTTGCGCTGTGCTTTCCAAGGCCTTGGGAAGAGGTTGCTCTGTATGAAACATATTTTGTAAGATTTGCAAAAGTATGCTAGTATAGTGAAAATTAGTTAAGACAGCTTCCTCTCCCTACTCCAGCTTATCCTCAGATACATCATACAGGCCTTAGAGTACCCATAATTTTATGTTGATAACAGCTGTTCTTTTTCTTAAAGAGGACTTTCTAAATTGTTAAGTTTCAGACCTCACAAATCTGCCCCGGTTGATTTCTGGAAGCTAATTTATGCTCCCAACAAAAGCGCAGGAAAGAGTGAAGAGATCTCCCTGAATTTTATTTTGACAGTTACTCCTTCTTCAGCAGCAAAGCGTCAGCTTTCCTGTCAGCGTGAGTCTCACTGAAGCCTGACCTAACTCTTTCGGATCGGAACTAGAAAGTTTATTATCAAGGAGGTATTTAACCACGACTATACATACCTACTGTACCCTTGTGGTTGGTCCCATGGTGTAATGGTTAGCACTCTGGACTTTGAATCCAGCAATCCGAGTTCGAATCTCGGTGGGACCTTTCAAAGGTGAACGTTTTACAGTTCCTGGCTTGGCCTCTGAATGTGGGAAAAATTCGTTCCTCCGCTTCCCATCGAATTCTCGTCGAAAACAACTTTGTGGTCGCGTGCACGGTATTGAACTCTCCCCTTCTATCCAAGCATGAAAGTACCAAGCTCTTTCGCCTAGAAGAACGCTTTCAAAGCGTATCAAATTCACGGGTTTGGAGACAAAGAGAAAGATGCTGCTCTTATCGACTTACGAAAAGCTCCAGCAGCAACGTGGAAACCCAATTCCTGTGATGGAGACAAACGCTTCCTCAAAATTTCCTAGGTTCGAAGCCCTCCTCGCTGCCACAACCAAGTCCTGCGTGTAAAGTGGCTGAGCCTTGGTCTCGGGCGTGTTTCTTTTGTTTGTTTTTTTGTTTGTTTTTTTTTTTTTTTTCGCTGTGGACCTTGCGCCCCGGGTTACTTCTCGCCCCTTTTCCCTATCCCCCATCTTGATGAGACAATTCACCCTCATCTGCTTTCTCTAGTCCCCTGTACTTCTTAGTCTCTCCGCTCACCCCGACTGCAACGTCTGGAAATCCCTCCAAAGCCAGCAGCCCCGGAGGGCTCGGGTCCCTGGTATCCACGGCGTCGAGTCTTCCAGCCGGAGAGAAAAACTCACCTAGGACCGGACCTGGGCCTCGCCGCGCTGGGAGCTGGCATTCCCAATTCAGGACCAGACACGGTGGAGGGGCCCTACAACTTGTGTGGGAGACAAGGGAGATGGGGGTAAAAAGACCTCTGCCTTCAGCCGTTCGCCTGGCATCTCGCCTCTTCAGCTCCTAGTACCAGGGTGAAAGGAGGGGGCTCCCTGACCGAGTCCTCCCCAGACACTACCAAACACTCGGTCCGAAGCATCCGGGAAACAGTCCCTTGGAGCTGAAGGTCAAGAACAGAAAATGTAGCCGCTATCTTGCCTCCCCTGAACTGTGTGTGTAGACGAGGATTGAATTGGAGATAGAGTTGATGAAACCCGGAAGGTCTGGAAAATTCCTTATAGACACTAATTTAGCTGTTAGAATGAGGTGGGAAATGTGAGGTGTCAAGGTGAGGGAAAGGTGTGCCCTAGAGGACAGAGAGGACAAGAACTAAATTAGAAACAAGTATTTGTGTTTCGTACAAATTAATCTCTTCTATGATGTAAGAGACAACCTTTAAATCCAATTATTTATTTTCAGATTTCTTACTTTGACATTTTGATTTTCGCATACATACCAAAAAACCAAATCGAATCCTACTTTCACCAAGTCCATTAAACCATTAATAATTCATTAGCTCATATTTTGAATTACCATTGGTTACACAGAGACTCTGTAACTAAGTTTACAAAATTCATGAAAGCATTATTTTGGCTCCCGTTATGTGTGCTTGATTGTACTTCATATGGTCTGTAATGGTGCTAATTGCAGAGGGAAATAACATTTTCTTGTGGTGTTGCCTTAGCTAGTGTGGCCCCACCTTCTTTCCACTTTGTTGATGTTAGCGTGATGAGATCTCACCCAAAGTGTTCTCCCTTTTCCTAATGGCCTAACAGCCTCTTCTGCCTGTTTGGGATGCTTATAAGTCCAGCCATCCTTCCGACCAACACCATAGCCTGCCTGTGTTACTGTAAGTAATCATTATGATCACATCCATCATCAAGCATCCACTTATCCTAGCTCAAACCAGTAACTCAGACTTTATCCCAAGCCTCTAAATTAAGGTAATGGACAAGACCTGATTGGAGATGGTGCCTGCACAACGTGACCCAGAACTGAACAGAAGGCCAAGGAGCAGCTGCTATGAGGAGGCGGAAGCAGCCACCAACACTGGGAGAGGCTGGGAGCATATGTAGATGCTCCCCCTGATGCCTTACATGTTCTGTGGGTCTACCAATTCCTTTAGGAAGCTGAGGAAATTCCCGTGGGTATTTATAAAAACTCCACCCTTGAACAAACTTTAGTTAGGTTCCTCTGAGCCCTCCTCTCAACTAGGTCCCATCCTTGGCTTGTCCAGCCCAATTTCAGCAAATAATCCAGTTGAGCCTAGTTTTAGCAAGAATCTTGCTAAGCCAATTCAGTAAGAATTCCTCACCTCAAAATCCTATCAAGTTTCTCTTTTTCCACCCTTGATATCTAATCAAGTTCCTCGTAGTCACTTTCTATCAAATGGTTGTCTTACCCTTACTATTAGCTATAGATCCCCAGCTGTCCCTGATGTATTTGGATCTGAGTTTATTTAATTTCTCTCCCCTATTGCAATTGTCTGGAATAAAGTCTTCCTTGCCTATTTAACTCCATCTGGTACATTTTTTCTTTGACAGTTTCATCAAAGATGTATAGGCATATCCTGGGAAAACTTCTTTTCCAAAGAAGATATCCAGCTAAGGATTGAGAATATGATCAGCTGCCGAGAGAAGATGTGTTCAGAATAGAGGACCAAGCAAATTAATGGTAGCTGATTTCCTGAGGAAATTAAAACAGACTTTAAAATCTGTCCATATCAAAAAATGTGTTACACCACATTAACAAAAATGAAGGATAAAAACCATGTGATTATATCCATAGATACGGAAAAAGTATTTGACAAAATTCAACACCCTTTCATCATAAAAACTCTCAAAAGATTAGTTTTATAGAGCCAGAGCAATTAGATAAGAGAAAGACATAAAAGTCATCCTAATAGGAAAGGAATTGAAATTAACTCCATTTGCTGATGACATGATCAGCAAATAGAAATCCTAAAGATGTTACAGAAAAGTTAGAACTGATAAATTCAGTAAAGTTGCAGGATACAAAATCAACATTAAACAATCAGTAGCATTTCTATATAATGATGTACTATCTGAAAAGGAAATTAAGAAAACAATCCCATTTACAATAGCAACAAAAACAAAATAAAATACTTGGGTATAAATTTAACAAAAGAGATGAAAGACCTGTACACTGAAAACTATAAAACTCTGATAAAATGACAAAAACACAAATAAATGGAAAATATTCCATGTTCATGAAAGAATTAATATCGTTAAAATGTCTACACTACCCAAAGCTATCTACAGATTCAATGCAATCCTTGTCAAAACTCCAATGTCATATTTTACATGAATAGAAAAAACAATTCTTAAATTTGTATGGAACCACAAAAGACCTCAAATAGACAAAAAAATCTTGAGCAAAATGAACAAAGCTGGAAGCATCACATTCACTATTTATATCTATTATAAAGTGATTGTAATAAGGCATGGTACTGGCATAGAAACAGACATACTGACCTTTGAAAGAGAATAGAAAGCCCAGAAATAAACCCATGTATTTATTGTCGATTGATTTTTGACAAAGGTGCCAAGAACACACAAAAGGACAGCTTCTTTAATAAATGGTGATGGGAAAACTGGTTATCCACATGAAGAAGAATAAAATTAGACTTCTATCTTACACCATATATAAAAATCAACTCAAAATGGATTAAAATACAAGACTGGAAGCTATAAACCTATATACTGAAAAAATTAATAAATAAGGGAAAAGCTCCATGACATTGTCTGGGCAATGATTTTTTTTTTTTTTTTTGACTCCAAAGCACAAGCAACAGAAGCTAAAGCAGACAGATGGGATTGCATCAAACTAACAAGTTTCTGCACTGCAAAGGAAACAAAGTGAAGAGGCAAACCACAGAATGGGAAAACATTTGCAAACCTTATATCTAATAAAGGGTTAATATGCACAATATATAAGGAATTCAAACAACTAAATAGCAAGAAAACAATCAACCTGATTACAAAATAGGCAAAGGACCTGAACAGACATTTCTCAAAAGAAGATATACAAATGGCAATACATATAAAAAAAAGATGCTCAGCATCACTAAGCATGGAGGAAATGAAAATTAAAGCCACAGTATCACTTCACAACCATTAGAATGAGTTTTTTTTTTTTTGCTGGGCGCGGTGGCTCACGCCTCTAATCCCAGCACTTCGGGAGGCTGAGGCGGGCGGATCACCTGAGGTCAGGAGTTCAAGACCAGCCTGGCCACCATGGTGAAACCCCGTCTCTATTAAAAATACAAAAATTAGCCGGGCATGGTGGTACGCACCTCTAATCCCAGCTACTCAGGAGGCTGAGGCAGGAAAATCGCTTGAAACCGGGAGGCGGAGATTGCAGTGAGCCGAGATCTCGCCATTGCACTCCAGCCTAGGGGACAAGAACGAGACTTCGTCTCAAAAAAAACAAAAACTTCTTTTTTTGGCTTTGTTTTGCTTTTTGTTTTGAGACCGAGCCTGGCTCTGTCGCCCAGGCTGGAGTGAAGTGGCAAGATTACGGCTCACTCAGCCTCAACCTCCTGGGCTCAAGTGATCCCCTTGCCTCGGCTTCCCAATTAGCTGAGACCGCAGGCATGCGCCACCATTCCCCGCTGATCTTTATTTATTTTGTAGAGATGGTGGTCTCCTTATGTTAGCCAGGCTGCTCTCAAACACTTGGGTTCGAACTCCTGGGCTCAAGCGATCCTTCCACCTCGGCCTCCCAAGGTGCTGGGATTACAGACGTGACCCACCACACCCGTAACAATCTTTCACCTTTTTGACAAAATCTTTTTTATAAAAGCCGGGTTTTATCAAAAAGATGAAAGATGGTAACAAGCGTTGACAAGGCCATGGAGAACAGACAGCTTTTGTACATTGTTGGTGAAAATGTAAAGTAGTACAACCATTATGGAAAATAGTATATAGATATTTCAAAAACTAAAAATAAAATTACCTTATGATCCAGCAGTCCCACGTCTAGGAATATATCCTAAGGAATTGAAATCAATATATCAAAGAAATGTCTGTACTCTCATGTTCATTGCAGTTAATAGCCAAGACATGGAATCAACCTAAGTGTCCATCATCAGATGGATATATAAAGAAAATGTGCTAGGCCAGGAACAGTGGCTCAAGCCTGTAATCCCAGCATTTTGGGAGGCCGAGGCGGGTGGATCACCTGAGATCAGTAGTTTGAGACCAGCCTGGCCAATGGGTGAAACCCCGTTTCTACTAAAAATGCAAAAATTAACTGGGCATGATGGCACATGCTTGTAATCCCAGCTATTTGGGAGGCTGAGGCAGAAGAATCGCTTGAACCTGGGAGGTGGACGTTGCAGTGAGCTGAGATGGTGCCATTGCACTCCAGCCTGGGTGACAAGAGCAAAACTCCAAAGAGAAAGAAAATGTGCTATATATACAATGAAATACTATTCAGACTTTAAAAAGAAAGAAATTCTGTCATTTTTCACAATGAGGATGAACCTGGAGGACATTATGCTAAGAGAAATAGCCAGACCCAAAAAGAAAAATACTTCATGATCTCACTTATATATGGAATCTAAAAAAAAAGTTGAACTCGTAGAAATAGAGAGATTAGAATAATGGTTACCAGATGTTACAGGATGGGGTGGGAGTTGGGGAAGGAATAGAGTTGTTAGTCAAAGTAGTACAAAGTTTCAGATAGACAAGAGGAATGTTTTGAGATCTATTGCACAGTAGGGTGGCTATCGACAATAATTTAAAAAGTGAAATTAAATTAAAAAAGAAAACCTGTCCAAGTTATGAAATGTGTACCTGGGAACATCGAAGATAGAAACTGGCCAGAAGCGGTAATCCCACGCCTGCAATCCCAGCATTTTGAGAGGCTGAGAGGGTCAGGTCAAACCTAGGAGTTCGAGACCAGATTGGGCAACATGGTGAAACCCCGTCACTACCAAAAAAAAAAAAAAAAAAAAAAAAAAAAGCAGTCCCAGCCACTAAGGAGGCTGAGTTGGGAGGATTGCTTGAGTCTGGGAGGTGGAGGATCAGCCACTGCACTTCAGCCTCGGTGTTAGAGCAAAACCCAGTCTCAAAAAAAAAAAAAAAAAAAAAAAAAAAAGAAGAAGAAGAAGAGGACGAGGAGGAAGAAGAAAGCAGCTTTCCTGAGGCAAACATTTACAGAAATAAAGAAAATTCTAGGCCAGGTGCAGTGGCTCACGCCTGTAATCCCAGCACTTTGGGAGGCCGAAACGGGCAGATCACCTGAGGTCAGGAATTCAGACCAGCCAGGCCAACATGGCGAGACCCCGTCTCTACTAAAAATACAAAAATTAGCTGGGCTTGGTGGCACGTGCCTGTAGTCCCCACTACTCGGGAGGCTGAGGCAGGAGGATCGCATGAACCCAGGAGGTGGAGGCTGCAGTGAGCTGAGATCACACAATTGCACTCCAGCCTGGGCAACAAGAGCGAAACTCCGTCTCAAAAAAAAAAAAGAAAGAAAAAGAAAATTCTAGATGAATGGATATAACATGTAGATACTTCAGCCATGTACAAGCCTTAAGACCAACATAGGAAACATCTGAATACTTTATTAAATCACAGATTCAAGAACATCCCATCCCCCACTGCCCCGCCACTGAGGTTATAATGCAATAGATCATGATCGAGGCCCAGAATTCTTCATTCATAACACACACTTTGGGTCATTCTGATGTAACAGTCCAGAGGAGGGTGAGAGGAACAAGAATTTTAGTCATTACTGGTTAAGAGTGTAAACTAATAAAATCCTTTTGGAGGGCCATTTGGCAATATCTATAAATATTTTAAATGAGTATATCCTAAGACACAGCAAACTCACTTTTAAAAATTTATATTGCAGTATTACAGATATACACATTCAAAATTTTATGTATGTATATATAAAGTTATTTGTGCAGCATAGTTTATAATAGCAAAAGATACAGAAAACCCAAATTGTCCAACAGAGAACTGGTTAAATAATATATGGTAAAGTATGCATTGGGATACAATGCATCCTTAAAAAAGAATAAGCTTTCACTTTTTGTGATGATACAGAAAGCTCTCCAGGATATATTGGTTAGGGAAATGGGGCAGGATAAGGAATGATATTCATAGTATGTTGTCATTTGTGCTTTTTTTGAGATAAAAATAGAAATATATATGTTATGTAATATATATTCATATGTGCTTAGTGTAATCCTGGAAAGAATTAACAACAGTGGTTATCAGTAAAGAATGTAATTAGGTGGTTGGGGAATAATTATGGATGGGTGCAAGATTTTATATAGCTTTATAATTTTGGAATCATGTGAATGCAGTGCCTATTCAAAAACTTAAATAAAATAAATAAAATAAAAAATATATATTTTTTTCTCCCAAGGCCCACGATGGAAATCACAAGTAGAAACTATTCAATATGGACATTCCTCTCTGTCTTGCTTATGGAGGCATCTTTAGACATAACTGGGAATGTCGTATGGAGTATATTTTTCAGCTTTGTCACATCTCTAAGCAGAGACAAATCCTCCTCAAAGCTAGAGACCAGCAGACAATAATGGTTAAGTATTTTGTTGGGGGAGGGCAGTTTAAAGTTAGCAAAGAGTAAAAATTTCAGTAAGGTTAAAATTAGGCTGAAAATACCTGCAAAATATAGTATCAATAACTTGTTGTACATATTTATGTGGATGATTTTTATCATTTACTTTAAGTTTATTGACAATATTTTTCTATAGCCCTCAATTAATTATTCAGTTGCTCCTTCAGAAGAGCTGGAAACTCAATGGAGAACACATATATTTCTTGCCCTTAAGAAGGTTACCATCTGGAGGGAAAAGTAAACACTACCCAAATGTTTCAACTGGCTAATTTAACTTACAAGTATGATCAATGTTGCTGAGGAAGAATTGTCCCTGAGATTTGAGAGAATCTTGTACTCAGAACTGAAAATTAGCAGAGGCCAGTTAAGATACATTTAGTAATTTACTTGGTTTCTTGGCAAATTAATCTACCAAAGATAAACGCTAACTAGGCAGCACTCAGACCCATCCTTTCAGAGGGTTAAATAAAAACCTCCAGAAACGACGAGGATGGGATTCGAACCCACGCGTGCAGAGCACAATGGATTAGCAGTCCATCGCCTTAACCACTCGGCCACCTCGTCACATGCTAAGCGTGGCAAAGTCATTTTCTTCCTCCGCACAGTTAGTCCTGTAATAATATATTTTTAATCGCTCTTTTTCTGGCTTAATCCTGATTCAGTCCTTACAACCACACCCAGAATCGGGTATTTTTAGGTACATTTCGCAGCAACCACAAAAGTGATAAATGACACCTAGAGTGGTTCAGTTACTTGGCACATATCAAACGAACAGATAAAAACAGTACGCCTAGGTATTAAATACGTAGATCCTTGCTGAACACTGGAATGCATGGACATAGGATTTGAACCCTGGTTTGCTGACCTGGCTCCAGCTAGCTCCTCTGTGTTCTCCCTTTGGAGGGACCGGATTATTCCTTCTCCTGATGAGAACATCTCCAGAGATTCCTGTTTTCTGGGAGGTGCCAGAAATTAGCAAACAAACTACAACGAACAATAAACCGGCTCTGTGATTCCTTATACATTTTTGCTTCTGAAATATGCCGGACAGCAAAGAGACGCTTTCATTTCTCTCTAGTTCTTTATCTGGGGTTTGGAATTATTGCATTGCTGAGATATGCAGCAATGGGTCAAAACGGGGTTGGAAAAAAGGTAGAAAGACTCCCCGATGTGAGCATTTTCGTTCTAGAGTAGTTTGGAATGTTACTGCGTAAGATGATTTAGCCTGGCTGCCACCAACACTTACAGGGTCGGGTGGGGCAATCCTTCCTAGAGCAGGAGCCAGCTAGCTTGGGTCGGGGTTCTGTCCCACTCACCGTGTGACCTGGGCGGGCCACTTAACCAACTCCATCCCATAATTTTTATCTATCCAGGAAGAAGCGGACTTTGGCAATTTCAAATAAACCCAGCACCAAGGAACCCATCTACTCACTAGAGCTTCTCGGCTTTTCTATATTTGGTGGAAAATATTGGAGAGATTATTTCTTGCCCAAATGCTGGGGTGTTTTTGTTTTTGTTTTGTTTTGTATTGTTTGTCCTTCCTTTGAAATCTTTACTTCTCTTTAGGCAGAAGGGACTGTCTTCTCTCCCCATCATGTTCCTTTACCAAATTTCATATATCCATCCTCACCATACAACTACCCAGCATGGAAAACTGACCTGGGTTAGAGGACTAAAGATTTGTTTATTTAATGATTCAAACAATTGTAGTTATTTATTTGAATGAGGACAGTTGTTATGATTTTCCGGTCCGAGGTGGGTGTATCACTTGAGGTCAGGAGTTCGAGACCAGCCTGGCCAACATTGTGAAACCCTGTTTCTACTAAAAATAAAATAAAATAAAATAAAATAAAATAAAATAAAATAAAATAAAATTAGCTGAGTGCGGCGGTGCGCACTTGTAATCCCAGCTACTCATGAGACTGAGGCACGAAAATCGCTTGAACTCAGGAAGTGGAAGTTGCAGTGAGCTGAGATCACACCACTGCACTCCAGCCTGGGTGACAGAGTGAGACTATGTCTCAAAAAAAAAAAAAAAAAAAGAAAAAAGAAAAAAAGTAATTATAGCAAGGTTGCAAGACACAAGGTTACTACATAAAAGTCAATTCCTTTTCTACATACTAGCAATACTCATTTGGAATTTGAAATTAAGAAAGCAACACTATTTATATTAGCACCAAAAAAAGAAAAGAAGAAAGAAACAGAAGAGAAAACAAAAAAGAAAAAGGATACTGAGATATAAATCTAACCAGTTATGTACAAGATCTATGTGAGGAAAGCTACAAAACTCTGACTGAAGCAATCAAAGAGAATCCAAATAAATGGAGAGATATTCCATGTTCATGGATAGAAAAACTCAATATTGTCAAGACATCAGTTCTTTCCATTTGGTCTATAGATTCAACACAATCCTAATGAAAACCCCAGTGAGATACTTAGTTGTAGAAAAAACAAACGAACTCGAAATTTATATGGAAAGGCAAAAGATTCAGAATAGCCAACAACATGCAAAAGAACTATGCTGAAAAACTAACATTACCCAATGTCAAAGTTATAGTAATCAGGACAGTGTGGTGGTGGTGTGATATGGTTTGGGTGTGTCCCCGCTCAAATCTCGTCTTGAATTTCCATGTGTTTTGAAAGGGAGCTTGTGGGAGGTAATTGAATCATGGGGCAGATCTTCTCCATGCTGTTCTCATGATAGTGAATAAGTCTCATGAGATATGATGGTTTTAAAAAGGGGAGTTTCCCTGCACAAACTCTTCTCTTGTCTGCCACCATGTGAGACATGTCTTTCACCTTCTGCCATGATTGTGAGGCCTCCCCAGCTACATGGAACTGTAAGTCCAGTAAACCTCTTTCTTTTGTAAATTGCCCAGTCTTGGGTGTGTCTTTAACAGCAGTGTGAAAATAGACTAATACAGTTGTCAAAATAATAGAAAAATAAATCAATGGGAAGAAGTGAGAATTACAAAATAGACCCATAGTAAACTTACCTTTGACAAGAGAGCAAAGGCAGTTCAGTGGAGAAAAGCATGATTTTTTAACAAATTTTAATAAAACAATTGGAGATCCATATGTTAAAAAAAAAAAGACTTTAGACACTGACCTTAGCACTTTCATAAAAATTAACCCAAAATTGATTATACACCTAAATGTAAAACACAAAACTATAGAATTTCTAGCAAATAACATAGGAGAAAATCTAGGTAGCGTTGGCTTTGGCAATTAGTTTATAAAAACAACACCAAAAGCAAAACATCTGGAAAAAAAAATAAGTTGGATTTTATTAAAATTAAAAACTTCTCTGTGAAATACACCGTTAAGGGAATGAAAAGAAGATGTACAAAGAACTCTCAAAAATTTAACAAGAAAACAAACGACCCAGTTAAAATGTAGGCAAAAGATCTGGACACTTCACTAAAGAAGGTGGCGGCTAAGCTTATTTATAGATTCTCAACATCATACGTCACTAGGGAATTAAAAGTCAAAACAGCAGGTGGGGAGTGGTGGCTCATGCCTGTAATCCTAGAACTTTGGGAGGCTAAGGCAGGCGGACTACTTGAGGCCAGGAGTTCGAGACCAGCCTGGCCAACATGGCAAACCCCCATCACTACTAAAAATACAAAAATTAGGCGGGCATGGTGGTGCGTGACTGTAGTCGCAGCTACTTGGGAGGCTGAGGTGAGAGGCCTGTTTGAGCCCAGGAGATTGCAGTGAGCTGAGATTGCACCACTGTACTCCAGCCTGGGTGACAAAGTGAGACTCTGTCTCAAAAAAGTAAAATGTAAAAAAGTAAACAGAGTTTTAAGAAATTTATCACCCAGAAATAATATATGAACTTACTTTGGATCATAAATCGAACAACTCACCCATAAAAAATTTTTTGCATAACTGGGAAAATTGAACACGGACTAGGTATTAGATAATATTAAGAATTTTAGTTAAATATTTTAGAAGTGATAAAGTTATTAAAATTATGGTTTTGTTTGTTCGTTCTTTTTGTTTTCTGTGACACAGCCTCAGGAGGTCCTGACAACATGTGCCTTTTTTTTTTTTTTTTTTTTGAGACAGAGTCTCACTCTGTCGTCCAGGCTGGAGTGCAGTGGCGCGATCTCGGCTCACCGCAAGCTCCATCTCCCAGGGTTCACGCCATTCTCCTGCCTCAGCCTCCGGAGTAGCTGGGACTACAGGCGCCCGCCACCACGCCCAGCTAATTTCTTTTCGTATTTTTAGTAGACATGGGGTTTCACCGTGTTAGCCAGGATGGTCTCGATCTCCTGACCTCCTGATCCGCCCACCTCAGCCTCCCAATGTGCTGGGATTACAGGCATGAGCCACGGCGCCCGGCCACATGTGCCCATTTTTTAAAATGTTCTTTTCTCTTAGACATATACTGAAGTATTTAAACATCAAATTACATAATGCTTAGAAGTAGCTTAAAATACTTCAGTGGAGAAAAGGAGAGATGAATGAAATAAGAATGGTAAATGCTAATTTTTGTTGAACCTGGTTGATATGTGCATGGAAAGTCATTACACCATTCTCTCTAACTTTATGTAAGTTTGAAAGCTTTAATAAACAAAACTAGAAGAGCTTTTTTCGATGCAAGCGTTAGCTGTCAACTACCTGTTTTTGTCAATGATATTCAAAATTACTCTCACTCTTGTTTTGAGGGGAGAAGGGGGACAGGGTCTTGCTCTGTCGCTGAGGCTGAACTGCAGTGGTGTGATCTCAGTTCACTGCAGCCTCCGCCTCTCAGGCTCAAATGATCCTCTCACCTCAGTCTCCCAAGTTGCTGGGACTACAGGCATGCACCACCACACCTGGCTAATGTTTGTGTGTGTATTTTTAGTAGAGATGGGGTTTTGCCATGTTGGTCAGGCTGGTCTTGAACTCCTGAACTTCCGCCCACCTCGGCCTCCCAAAGTGATGGAATTGCAGGCATGGATCACTGCGCCCAGGCAGAATTCTCACTCTTAAGGCTCCACCGATGTTGAGGTGTTTGAGGGAGGGAAAGTTGTTGTTCTGTGGGACCCTGGTGCTGAAGACATGATCTGGGTAACCCCTAGCTCTTTCCTACCCACCCACCCCTCTATGCCCTCCATTTCCCTCTCTCTTCTGACATAATGAAGCATGCAGGCCTGAGTGAAGGAGTACCTTCTGGCAGCTATGGGAACTATGGCTATGCTGATAGTGCAGATAATGCCTGTGAAGAAGAAAGAAAGACTCACTGAAAGTTTGATCTGTATAGGTCCTTTGGTTTATTTTTTAATTTATTTTATTTTTATTTATTTTTTCTGATGGGTTATCTTTTCTTACATATGATGATGATAATTCATGACACTTAAATAGTGATGTTTTGTTTTGTTTTTGACACGGAATCTTGCTCTGTCACCCAGGCTGGAGTGCAGTGGCATGATCTCAGCTCACTGAAACCTTGGCCTCCCGGGTCAAGTGATTCTCCTGCCTTAGCCTCCTGAGTAACTGGGACTACAGGTGCTCACCACTACACCCACCTAGTTTTGTGTTTTTAGTAGAGACAGGGTTTCACTAGGTTGGCCAGGCTGGTCTCAAACTCCTGAGTTCAGGTGATTTGCCCGCCTCAGCCTCCCAAAGTGCTGGGATTACAGGCGTGAGCCACAGTGCCCAGCCTCTTTTTGCCTAAATCTTCCTAATAATTTTTGATGATAATGACCTCTCTTTCTTCTCTGCCCCAATACCTCATTCTTTAAATAAAGCTTATGATTTTGGCATGTTTCTAGTAGGGCCCAATTCATATGTGTATTAGTCTAGTTACTGTTTTATATTAACTTTATAAATTCCATTGACTTGGCTTATAATAGCTTTATGATTTTTGCTACTTAGGTAGGCCATTTGATTATTGTTGGTGACAGAATAATGTAATTACTAAACTCTGAATGGAAATAAAGTATTCAATAAACTCAGATTGAACTTGGAGTATTGTTGCTTTAATCTAGTGTATTTATGGAAAGCAAATCACAAAGGTGGACTGTTGAGTAAAAGAAAATATTAAAATATTGTTAAATACTCTGTATTGCTGCTACTTTGGGATTTACCCATTTATAGCCACCAAAAAAAAATTTTTTTTTTTTTTTTTTTTTTTTTGAGAGGGAGTCTCACTCTGTCGCCCAGGCTGGAGTGCAGTGGCGCGATCTCGGCTCACTGCAAACTCCGCCTCCCGGATTCAAGCCATTCTCCTGCCTCAGCCTCCCGAGTAGCTGGGACTACAGGTGCCCCCACCACGTCCAGCTAAATTTTTTTTGTATTTTTAGTAGAGACGGGGTTTCACCGTGTTAGCCAGGGTGGTCTCCTGACCTCGTGATCTGCCCGCCTCAACCTCCCAAAGTGCTGGGATTACAGGCGTGAGCCACCGTGCCCGCCCAAAATAAATTTTTAAATAAAATTTTAAACACTTTCTCATTCTTAAAGTTTACTTTGATGGGTACACAAGTCTAGATTGGCAATTGTTTTATTTCAACACTTCCAAAATATATCTTATTGTTTCCTGGATTTTATCATGAAGATGCTTGTTAACATTCTAATTGTTCTTTCTTTGCAGAAATCTATACATTCTCTCTGGCTGATTTGAGACATCCTCTTATGTTTGTTATAACACAGTTTCAGTATGAGGTGTGTAGTTATAGTTGTTTCTCTTTAACGTGCTTGTGACACATTTGCTTTCTGACTCTCTAAGGGAAAATTTTCTCTCCAATTTGGGAAATTTTCCAGGTATATTATATCTAAATATTACCTCACTTACATTTTTTTCTCTTCTTTTATTCCTGAACTCTAATCGTATATACTTCAGAATTTTCACATAATCTTCCATTTCTATTATTATTATTTTTTAAATCAGTATTCTGTGGCTGTGTAATAAAGTACTCCAAACTCGGTGGCTTAAAACAACATAGAACTCAGCTGAAATGTATCATCTCATCTCCTTGTAAAATCAGCTGGATTTACAAATTCAATGTGAGTTGGCAGGTCAGCTGGGACTCGCTGCTCCTGGATGCCCTTAATGCCTGGATGTCTGATACTTGGCAAGGGCTATTTTCTGGAGTTCATCAGTTTTCCTTCATGTGATCTCCCCAACAGGACTGCCCAGATTTCTTATACAGTGATAGTGTTCCAAGATGTTGAGAACTGAAGCTGCAAGCTTTCTTGAGACCTGCACTTAGAAGTAGCACAGCATCACTGCCACTGTGTTCCAATGGTCAAAGCAGATCACAAAGGCAGCCCACATTCCAGGGTTAGGGGAAAAAGATTTGGCCCCACCTTCTGATGGGAGGAGATGCAAAGAATTCGCAGTTGTGTTTATCTATCTCAGCTTGCTTCACATGTTCCATGTTCTTAACTATTTTTGTTGTATTCTGGGTTAAGGTTTTGGCTTTATCTTTCAGCTTAGTAATTCCTTCCCCAGCTGTAGCTAATATGCAAAAAAATTAGGAATTTTTTTTTGGCCAGGCACTGTGGCTCACGCCTATAATCTCAGTACTTTGGGAGGCTGAGGCGGGTGGATTACCTAAGGTCAGGAGTTCAAGACCAGCCTGGCCAACAAGGTGAAACCCGTCTCTATTAAAAATACAAAAATTAGCTGGGCGTGGTGGCACACCCCTGTAATCCCAGCTATTCGGGAGGCTGAGGCAGGAGAATTGCTTGAGCCCGGGACGCAGAGGTTGCAGCGAGTCGAGATCATGCCACTGCACTCCAGCGTGGCTGACCGAGCGAGACTCTGTCTCAAAAAAAAAAAAAAAAATTTAACTATTACATATTTATTTCTTGAATCTAAATTTTTACATAATTTTACTCACTCTTTTGCATACTTCATTTGTAATCATATCCTTAATTTATTGATATATGTCAGACATAGCTATTATACATTTTGTACCTTAAAATTTAACATCTACAGTTCTTTAGGTTTCAGTATGACTTTTTGTATCTGTTGAGTCTCAAGCATAGTAATTTACCTTCTTAGGTTTGTAGTAATCTTTATTATTAACCTTATTGTGTGATCTTAACATAAGAGAGTTCTGCAGGCCTAACTCGGGGAAGTTTTCTTTCAGAGAGGATATATTTCTACTTCTGCCAGGAGCTAGGTGACAAATTTGACCCTGAACCACTTGGTCTCACTATAGGTTTTGGCCCATAACAAGAGTGTCAGGCTCAGCTCCTCCAACTCTCTGCTTTTCTGATATTAAATATTCATCCTCACAGTTGTTTTTCGATTGGTATCTGACTTCAGGTTAAACCCACTCCTCTGTTGGTCCAAGTTGGCTTCCAGCAGTTCTTGCTCCCAACTGTTCCAACTCCCAGGAACTTTAGGCAGAGTTCTCACAGCTATGGCTTTGACTACTCACTACCCTGACCTGGGCTCCAGGTGTTTCTAAGTCACTTTAGCGCCCAGAAAATATTCATTTATTTTTGTTTTGAGTGACCTCTAAAGAATTCCTTAATCCTTTGTGAGACCAGAAATGTCACAAAAAGTGTACTATCCAGAGACTTTGTTGGGAAGATTTTTTTAAAGCAAGAACAAAAAAGTACAGACCAATGACTGAAAAATATATAAGCACGCAAGATTATCTATTTAGTATTCCAATGGAGAACGTATATCCTGAGCCTAGTCATGCGAAAGTATCAGTCAGTGAAAGACATTCTATTTTTAAAAATGAAATGAGGCCGGGAGCAGTGGCTCATGCCTGTAATCCCAGCACTTTGGGAGGCTGAGGCGGGCGGATCACGAGGTCAGGAGTTCGAGAACAGCCTGGCCAACATGGTGAAACCCCGCCTCTACTAAAAAATACAAAAAAAAAAAAAAAAAAATTAGCCAGGCATAGTGGCAGGCACCTGTAATCCCAGCTACTCAGGAGGCTGAGGCAAGAGAATCATTTGAACCCGGGAGGCGGAGGTTGCAGTGAGCCGAGATCGCGCCATTGCACTCCAGCTGGGCAACAGGGCGAGACTCTGTCTCAGAAAAAGAAAGAAAGAAAGAAATGAAAATAACACTATTTTTTAAATGACATATCAATGTCAAAAAAAATAAAGACTATGCAAATATTTTTCATTAAAGAAGACTAAAAAAGACAGGACAACTAAATGCAACGCCTGACCCTAGACTAGATCCTATATGAGAGGAAAACATCAGGTCAATTGGTCAACTTGAAATGCAGACTGTAGATTAAATACAGCTATTGTATCAATGTTAAATTTACAAAAGTTCCTAATAGTACTGTGGGTATATAGAAAAGTACTTAAGTAAAGGAAATGGACGTGATGTATGCAACGTACAGGAGAGAGAAGAAGCAACTCATAAGGCAAATGGGGTAAAATATTAATAATATCTAAATCTGAGTAAAGGATAGAAGGGTATTTTTGTATTATTTTTATTTTTTCAACTTTTTAGTGAGTTATAAATTGTTTGAGAAAGAGAGAGGGAGAGATTTCAACGGAGGTGCCTCAGAAGTCAATAGTTGTGAATTTGGGTTGGGCTGGGCCAGCTCTTTAAAATATGAGAAGCTTCCCCCACCTCCCCTCACCATTCGAGAAACCAATAATTTTTCATTGCTCCATGGTTTCCTACAGATTGGTCGCCAAGCAACAGATGCCAGCCCTGCCTTACCTAATTCATCTTTTTTTCAGATAACGCTACTACCCCACCCCAACCCCCACCAGTTTGGCTTAGCAGGGGACCCTCAGAGTTTTGTCGGAGGTAAACTACTCTAGACGTGCGGATCTGGGTGCCTACGTGATGCCTCTCACCCGGGCCCAGATTTCCAGTTTGTCCTTGTGATTGATTCATGACATCTTGAGCTCACAAGAACGTTCCCTGCCATCACCACTAAGTGTTCAGTGGACGTTTTGGGCTTTTGGAAACGGAAGTGATTTGAGGGTCTTTGTTCCAAGAAAGGCGGTGCTGGGCCCGGGGACTGGAACTCGGTAGGCGAGGATCCCCTTTGACGCCCCCCTACAGTTTCCCTTCAAACACGTAGGTCTCAGCTGGTACCCTGGCTGCGCTACTGGCTTTGGCCTCCTGGGGCCTTATGGTTGAAAACAGCAGGAAATGAAGCTGGAAAAAGCGAGAGACAACAGATTGTCTGCTTTCAGGCTCCTTCCTTTGTAATTTCACTGTGTTGCTTTCTTTGGACGCTGCTTGTGCAGGACCCAGCCTAGCTGTTTCACAAATTGCGGAGTTTGCATTCATGATTTCATTGCAATTTACCGAATCTTTGAGAAATACTGATTATAAATCATGAAAGAAATGCAAAGCAACCTGTCTGTGGTTGGGGGTGTAGCTCAGTGGTAGAGCGCGTGCTTAGCATGTACGAGGTCCCGGGTTCAATCCCCGGCACCTCCACCAGTTTTGGGAGTGCGCACTTTCTCCTCTCAATGGACCGCCTTTCCACTTTCCTTTCTCCCTCCCGTTAAATAAACCTAGTCTCATTCATTCAATTTTCTGCTTGTCTGTACAGCCTTTGCAGTGTTAAGTATCTGTATCGATAGCATTGCCACACCAGGAAGGTCATGAACCCTTTGTAAAAGCATTTTCGCAAATTAATCAGCCTGGTTTCTTTGGATTTCATGCTATGGTATTACTGAAAAACAGAAAAAATATAAAAATAATAAAAGACCCTTTGTTTTATTCACTGTTTTTTTTTTCTTTTCTTTTTTGAATTCTGAAGAGTTCTTAGAGCAAAGAACAGCATGGAGGTGGAATAGCAGAAACATATCTTATTGATGTCTTTCTTCTGAGCTTCCAACCACCCTATACCTTACCTTTTCTTGAATCACCAGATATGGAAGCAGTGGGCCCCGTTAGTATTGTGCGGTGATAGGTACATGAAGGACAATAAAATGCTGTCTGTCATAGCATGGGGTGCCTCCCAAGTCTAACCCGAATGAGACAGAATGGATTGGCTGGTTAAATGAAACCAGAACTACTGTCCTTTTGCTGAAATAGCTTAGTGGGAGTGTGAGAGACCAGGCATCCAAATATCTCTTGTTCAAGAAAATTTCAGTAAAAATAAATGACATGTTTTTGGGAAAAGGGCTTGTGGGGTGCCTGCATAAACTGGCCATAAAAATATGAGACAATATGTTGTGGAAAGCCACAAGAGTCCTCTGAGGAGGAAAGCCTCCTAATTGCCATCATGTTCCCATGCTCAGAGCGAGACCCGCTCTCTTATCTGTAAACACTGCGTTCAAGGAGAAAGACACTCCTTTGAAATACTGGAATGTGGACAGACTCCAAGTTAAGCCCGCTCCCACTAGCTACTCTCCCATAAGTTAAAGATATGCTATTTGAGCACAAAGGAGATTCATTTAAACCGCTATTGCTATAGATAACGGCTATGACGCACTGCCACCTTTTCACTGTTTCGCCCTGAACATCTGCTTCTTAGATCTAAGTTATTGTATTCTATAAATAGTGTGGAGACCAGAGGTCTGAGCCTTTTGCAGCCTCCATTTTGCAACTGGCCCCCTGGCTCCCCACCATTACTCTTGTCTCTTCTCAATCCTTTGTCGCCACCGGACTTTGGGTACCCTACGGGTGGTGTTGAGGCTGGTCCCCAACACATGTTGAACTCATTTTACAAACACATTTAACTAGATGACCACCTCCACTGCCCCAACACAAAAAAGTATCCCACGACACCTACACATGTTAATCAATCCAAATCAAAGGTGATTTGCCTACGCCAGAGCTAGTATGAAATATTGATTAAATACATAATATGAGAGGAAAGAAACCAGTTTTTCCCTTTTTAACTTACTGATTTCTAGAAATTATGTTTTATTCTGATAAATTATTCTGTATAATATATAATGTTAATAGATGTTTATGAGGCTGGGCATGGTGGCTTACACCTGTAATCCCAGAAATTTGAAAAGCTGAGGCAGGAGAATTGCTTGAGCCCAGGAGTTCTAGACCAGCCTGGGCAACATAGAGAGATGATGTCTCTTTTAAATTAGCAGGGCATGGTGGTGCATGCCTGTATTCCCAGCTAGCTACTTGGGAGGCTGAGGCAGGAGAATCGCTTGAGCCCAGGAGGTTAAGACTGCAGTGAGCTGTGATTGTGCCACTGCACTCCAGCCTCGGAAAACAGAGCGAAACACTGTCTGAAAAAAAAGCGGGGGTTGGGGGGAGGGCGCTGTTCATGGTATGTATTCCCATTTAAGTCTATTTATGGTATTTTGGGATCAAATACATTTAAATTGTTTTTCATGACAAGACAAGGATATTCATTATCTTCACTACTACTTAACATTGTAATGGAGGTATTAGCTGAAGCATTTAGACATGAAAAAGTAATTAAAGGATTAACTATTGGATAGAATGGGATAAAGCTATCTATGTATCTTGGTAGGATTATATATCTGGAAGCCACCCCTCAAATGAAAAACTTACTATAGAGAATTTGGTAAAGAAGCTGGTTGCAAAGTTAACATAAACATATACACTCATACACACACACAAAATAGCTTTTCCATATTCAACCTTTGGAGGTTTTTGAATATCAGTTTTATTTTGAAAGCTAACACATGAAGGAAAAGAATCAAGCATTTATCCTATCTCTCCTGTATGGAATGTATTTCAGGATAAACATATAGTTGATGAGGGAAAGATTTTTCTTCTCAGGAAATAACAGCTAATGAATGCAGGAGAGATTATAAAACTACAACATTTTGCAACTGGTATTGCTATAACACATCCAGGTCACAATTGGCAATGGCTGCTATAACCATGAGGTGAAATTGGATGAAGGACTCTAGAATGGTTGGATTAGGCTGATGTCACCTAAAACCAAAGCTAAATTTTATATCATCAAATGTGAGACAACCACATATCATGTAACCCATAATAAAGTAAAGTAGAACATACCCAGGACCACAATAAATACTTGTGTTGAAAATTAAATTTCTATAATCAAATAGATAAAAACCATTTGTTTAGAGTAAATATTGGAGATACAGCAATGTGTTTAATAACATTATAATGATGCAATCAGCTAAATCCAGAATGTGGAAAATTCTCCTGGACAAACTGACCTTCAAGAAATAAATGGCATGGAGTCCAGGCACGTTGGCACATGCCTGGAATCCCAGTGCTTTGGGAGGTGAGGTGGGCTGATCACTTGAGTTTGGGAGTTCGAGACCAGCCTAGCAACAGGGTGCAACGCCGTCTTTACTAAAAATACAAAAATTAGCCGGGCATGGTGGCAGGCGCCTGTAATCCCAACTACTCAGGAGGCTGAGGTACAAGAATGGCTTAAAGCCAGTAAGGCTTTTTTCCCCCCAGGTTTTTAAAATAACCTTAATTTTTTTAAACAGGTAATATGTGCATTATAGTAAATTAAAAAACACAAGAGGCCAAGCATGGTGGCTCACGCCTGTAATCCCTGCACTTTGGGAGGCAGAGGTGGGTGGATCACCTGAGGTCAGGAGTTCGAGACCAGCCTGGCCAACATGATGAAACTCCGTCTCTACTAAAAATACAACAAATTAGCTGGGTGTGGTGGCGTGTGCCTGTAATCCCAGCTACTCAGGAGGCTGAGGCAGGAGAATTGCTTGAACCTGGGAGGTGGAGGTTGCAGTGAGCCGAGATCGCACCACTGCACTCCAGCCTGGGCAATAAGAGCAAAACTCTGAAAAAAGAAAGAAAGAGAGAGAGATGGAGGGAAGGAAGGAAGGAAGGAGAAAAAAGTAAAACACAAGAAACAAAGAACAAAGTCATCCACAATCACAAGTAGTTTATACTTTGATGTGTCCTTCTAGGTCCTGTGTGTGTAGACATAACATCCAGTTATATGGGATTGAGATTCTACAGTATATAGTATATATTATGCTTTTTTACACATCATAAATATTTACCAATTCAGAATTGCAAAGCTATATGAGTATTCTGATAACCAAGAATATACAGCACCAACTCAGTCTGTTAGAAAAACAATGTAATCTTGCTTTTTTTGGGACAAAAATTTTATAGAAGGCAAAAATGGAGACATGCCTCTAGATAAAAGCATTAGCAGAGTTCTGATTAAAATACTGCATTCCCTTAGTGCTCAATTTAAAATAAAACATAAAGCAACTGAATACACTAAGTATAATATTTCTAAGAGAATTCATTAACAGATCTATACCATTAAAATATTAGCAAGAAGATATGTTTCCTTTTAATTACTTCATGTATTCCTATAGTACAGCCAAAAGAGATGCACATACACCAATGGCTATCGTCAAAATGGAAATATGGACACATCTGCATTCATCTCTCCCTTTATACTTCCTTCTGCCTCTCTACTGCTAACCTGATGAACAAGTCCTGGTATACACTACCCAGTGGTGGTTTCACAATTCCATGTCCAAGATACATCTTTTCTAAAGATGTTTACTGAAAAGTAAAGTGCTCATATAGACCTATGGTTATCATCTAAAACCATGTTCTAGATAATGGAGATACTAGCAAAGAGCCCTTCCCTTCAACTTTCCTCTTTTCCCTCTTCCACCGTCCAGGTGGCTATGTCCAGCTCCAAGAGGTGGATTAACAAAGGTCACTCCTGGAAGACAGGCCTTCCTAAAAACTAACAAAAGGATATAAATGGATTGTTTTACTACCTCTACTTCCAACACACTTTGAGCAAAAGGACTTGCATTTTAATATACAACAATATTAACTAAAATGCACATATAGAACAATGGTTAGACCATCTGAACTAATCTAACTCACCTGCACAGAACTCTTCCCTCTACATACTTCTTCCCCACAACTTGCCACTACCCAGTGAAAAGTCAGTGTACTCTCCAAAACCTCAAGTTTAACAATTCCATTCCCAAATACAACCACTCCTAGACAATTTTGGTGAAAGGTGTTACTTTAGTATCTACTTTTAACCTATGTTGTGTGCTTTTACACATCTAGAAAGACAAGATGTTTCAAATAGGAGTTGTTTTCCACTGTATATACAGTAGCAGTGAATAAATGGTGCATATACATAACACAGGCTATAATTTAAAAGTGTCTTCTAAATAGGAACATTACGGCCTAGAATCGTTTCCCTTCTCACCTCTAAATTAACCCTGTGGACAGGTATGAGCATCCAGAAGAGGAATAAGCATCCAGTTAGAGATTTTAACAATTTCACTTCTGTGGGGTTTTTCTTGTTTTTTTGTTGTTTTTTTTTTTGAGATGGAGTCTCACTCTGTTTCCCAGGCTGGAGTGCAGTGGCGCGATCTCAGCTCACTGCAACCTCTGCCTCCCAGCTTCAAGCGATTCTCCTGAGTAGCATCCTGAGTAGCTGGGACTACAGGCGTGTGCCACCATGTGCCCGGCTAATTTTTTTTTATTTTTAGTAGAGGCGGGGTTTCATCGTGTTAGCCAGGATGGTCTCGATTTCCTGAGCTCGTGATCTGCCTGCCTCAGCCTCCCAAAGTGCTGGGATTACAGGCGTGAGCCACTGGGCCCTGATCACTTCTGTGTTTTTAAGAACACTCTGTGAATTTTAACATAAGGTGTACTCAATGTATCAGTTTACTAACTCTACTTTTGTCATACACTAGCAACCTCCTTAACATCTGGAAAGACTAGATGTTGTAAATTAGGACTCGTTTGTGCATTTATATACACTATATACACAGCATAGTAAAAGACCATAAACACACTGGTATAAAACCCTTTGCACTTTCTTCTCCTTCCTCCCTGAACCAGCACAAATATAATAATGTGTACTGCTCAGGGAATTAGTTTGATCAGTTTTCAAAAGACAATATTTCATACGAATCAAAACGGTATCTACAATGCATTTTGTGCATTTCTAAACATTTAGAAAGCCTAGATGTTTCAATTAAGGACTTAAGTTTGTCCACTATATACATAGTAGTGTTGAATAAACCACACACATGTAACAGTGGTTATATCTGAAAGTGTCTTCTAAATTGAAACATTCTATTCTAGAATCCTTAATTTCTTCCCACTCCTCTCCACCACAAACTCAGTGGATATAGGCACTTGTGTCACTTAGCTGATGTTATCATTTCACTTCCAAAAGTCCTTTTCAGGAGACAGTCTTTAAATGAATTTTAACACAAAGTGTACAAAATGGGTTAGTTTATTAACACTACTTTTGTCATACACTGGCAATCTCTTTAATATCTAGAGACTAGATGTTACAAAATTGACTAGATATTATAAAATTTAATATATAGAGACTGTATATTATAAAATATACACTCAACAACTCATTTGTCCAGTATATACACAATATGCGCAGTATAGCAAAGTTAAATGAAAAGCACATAACATATAAGGCAATGGATAAGCTGAAATTTTCTAGTACACACTAGCAAAACACCTTTTGCAGTTTCTTTCCTCCTACCTCCCTCAACTCAACGAACAAGTAGAGAGCACACTGTTCAGAGAGGTGGTTTAACAATTCCACTTCCAAATACAGTATTTCCCATCAGTCTTTAAAAGCTATTTACAAAGTGTTATTCAACTACTTCTGCTTTTAAATACATCAAGCACTTCTAAATAGCTGAAAAGACTAGATATTTCATATAACTTTTCCACCATGTATACAGCACTGTTAAATAAAATTGCATACATGTAACAATGGTTATAATCTGAGGTATCTTCCAAATATGATCATTTTAGTCTTGAACCATTCCCTCCTCACTTCCTTCTCTCTGCCTTCAATTCAGTGGACATGTACAGGCACATGTAATGCTTAGAGATGGTTGAACAAATTAGTATCCAAAAGTCATTTACAGAAGACAAGCTTTCCTATGAATTTCAACACAAAGTGTACAAAATGAGCTAATTTTACTGAGTACTTTGTCATACACTGGCAACCTCTAACATCTAAGGGACTAGATGTTGCAAAATTATGACTCATTTGTTTATTATAAACTTTATACACAGCAAAACAAAATCCACAAAACATACAGAAAAATGGTGTCTAAAAAGTCCAAGTATAAGCACACTAGCATATTACCTTTTGCAATATCTTCCCTCCCACTTCCACTAAACCATTAAACAAGTATAGACACTACTATACCACTCACAGGGGCGGTTTAACAATTCCACTTTCTTTTCTTTTCTTTTTTTTTTTTTTAGATGGAGTTTCGCTCTTGTTGCCCAGGATGGAGCGCAATGGCGTGATCTTGGCTCACTGCAACCTCTGCCTCCCAGGTTCAAGCGATTCTCCTGCTTCAGCCTCCCAAGAAGCTGGGAATACAGGCATGTACCACCACGCCCAGCTGATTTTGTATTTTTAGTAGAGACAGAGTTTCACCATGTTGACCATGGCTGGTTTCAAACTCCTGACCTCAGGTGATCCACCCGCCTCGGCCTCCCAAAGTGCTGGGATTACAGGCGTGAGCCACCGCGCCTGGCAACAATTCCACTTTCAAAAGACACTATTTCTTATGAATTTTAGCAAAAAGATATTTTTAAGTGATTATTTTACTCTTACATTAGAGGTTAAATGTTACCTGTACATTTAACATATGCTGGGCACTTCTAAACATCTAGATAGGCTAGATGTTTCAGGTAAGGAGTATATTTGTTGTCCACTATATACAGAGCAGTTTTCTTTTTTCTTTTCTTTTTTTTGGAGGCAGGGTCTTGCTCCATCACCCAGGCTGGAGTGCAGTGGTGTGATCTTGGCTCACTGCAACCTCCGCCTCCCTGGTTCAAGTGATTCTCCTGTCTCAGCCTCCCAAGTAGCTGGGATTACAGGCATGCATCACCACACCCAGCTAATTTTTGTATTTTTAGTAGAGATGGGGTTTCACCATGTTGGCCAGGCTGGTCTTGAACTCCTGGCCTCAAGCAATCCACCCACCTCAGCCTCCCAAAGTGCTGGGATTACAGGTGTGAGCCATCGTGCTGGTCCTGCAAAGCAGTCTTGAATAAACTGTACACATGTAACAATAGTTAAAATCTGAAAGAATCTTCCAAATAAAAATATTCCAGCCTAGAACCCTTCCCATCTCAGTCAACCCAGTGGCCAGTAATGCTCAGATTTTCAGAAGACAATTTTCCCAAGGAATTTTAAAACAATATGTTCAAGATATATTAGTTTACTAACTCTACTTTTGTCATATACTGGAAACCTCTTTAATGTCTAGAAAGTCTAGATGTAAATTAGGACTTGTTTTCCTCTATAAACACTGTATACACAGATAAGGAAAACAAAGTGCACAGACATGAGAGACAATAGTTAATCTTGCCTCACCGTAAGCACACTGGTGGCATAGAGCTCTCTGCACAGCCTCCTTCTCCTCCTGCCCTGAACCAGTGCATAAACACAATGTTTGTTACTGAACTGGTGGTTGGCCATTCCCCTCTCAAAACATTTCATATGAATTTTAACCAAAAGATATTTACAAAATGTAATATTTTACTATCTCTAAATTTAACACGTATTAGACACTTCAGACCATCTAGAAAGACTAGACATTTCCGGGAGCAGTGGCTCAGGCCTGTAATCCCAGCACTTTGAGAGGCCGAGGTGGGCGGATCATTTGAGGTCAGGAGTTCAAAACCAGCCTCGCCAACATGGTGAAACTCGTTTCTACTAAAAATACAAAAATTAGTAGGGCATGGTGGTGCGCGCCTGTAATCTCAGCTACTTGGGAGACTGAGGCAGGAGAATCACTTGTACGTGGGAAGTGAGCCATGATCGCGCCACTGCACTCCAGCCTAGGCAACAGAGAGAGACTCCATCTCAAAAAAAAAAAAAGAAGACTAGACATTTCAAAAAGTACTTGGAGTTGTCAACTACATATACAGTAGTGAGGAATAAAATGCACACGGAAGACAACGATTATAATATGTAAACGTCTTCTAAATATGACCAGTCTGGCATAGGACCTTCTTCTCGTCCTTCTCAGATCTTCTCCATGTCCTAGTCTAACCCACTGAACAAACGTGTATGTGTCTGCTCCAGAGGTGATGCAACATCTCCATTTCAAAAAGTCATCTCCAGAAGATGTTTATTTTCTACGATTTTTTTAAACAAATGGGAATTTACAAGATGTGTGATATTCTTAGTCTATCATACATCGGCAGCTTCTTTACATCTGGAGGGGCTAGATGTGGCAAATGTTTTCTTGTAAAAGTTTTCGGGGAAGCTGAGAGTAGCTTTCTCACCTTATACACTCGGGCCTTCTATAAACGCTGGTACATCTTCCCAAAGCGTGGTGGGCATCTCCAAAGCGCCAAATGTGGCTTGTTACTCCATTTCTCTCTTCCCACATCAAGGTCTGGTAGAAGGAAGGCCAACCGCCCCATGGCCGTTACCGTTCTACTCGTCCTCATCCGGGACTGCGCTGACCTTCTGGCCGTTAAAGCCGTTATCCACTGTTATCAGGACCAGGTAGTCTCGCCCAACTGGGACAGAGCGGTCGCCCGAGGACCGGATCTGCGCGGCGCAGTGGCCTAAAAAGGAGGCCGAGCCAGTCCCTAGCTCCGCCTTCCCGGGCCCTGCGCCCTAGTGGCCTCTGCGCGGTTCTTCCCGACCCGCAAACACGCCGCCACCCAAAGCCTCTGTGTCCCGGCGGCCACCCGGTCACCGAGGTGTGAGGAGAGGTTCCCCGCTGCTTCAAGTCGGGGCCCGACGGGTTGGAGCCGAGGCCCCGGCTCTGCTGGAGCTCCAGAGCCCGAGTCTTTCTTAAGAGGCAAAGCTTTCTTAAGAGGCAAAGCGCGGGAACTGACGTCGGGGTAGGGCGTGCAGGGCGGCATACTTAGTTACTCTGGTTATCTTGAGTTAATGAGCCACCCTGTCGTCTGGCCGGAGGCAAGAGACTGTAAATCGATTGATTGTTCAACATTCCTTCCCAAAGTGGGACACTCGGCAACCTTGGTTGTCTCCTAAGGTCAGTTCCTGGAATTCTTTTAAATGCATAGTTCTAACATTATGGCGTCAGTGAGGCAGTGGGGTAGGTTTTGTGATCAGTGGAGATGCATGAAGGAATGCCCTAGTGGGGGTAGCCTGCAGCCAAGCCCCCTTTCTACTCTGCCTCATTTTATTCTATTTTTATTTCAGGTAGATTTAAGGTAATCATGGTCTTCCCTTCTCTTCCACAGCAGTTTGTAGAAGGCTCCTCTCTTATTTATTTTGTTTGTTTATTTATTTATTTATTTGAGATGGTGTCTCTGTCACCCAGGCATGCAGTGGCACCCAGGCATGCAGTGGCATGCACTGGCATGATCTTGGCTCACTGCAACCTCCGCCTCCCGGGTTCAAGCGATTCTTTTGCTTCTGCTTCCTGAGTAGCTGGGATTACAGGCGCACACCATCACACCCAGCTAATTTTTTATATTTTTAGTAGAGACGGGGTTTCACCATGTTGGCCAGGCTGGCTTCGAACTCCTGACCTAAAGTGATCTGCCCGCCTCAGCCTCCCAAAGTGCTGGGATTACAGGTGTGAGCCACAGCGCCTGGCCTATCTATTTATTTATTTATTTATCTCGGCTCACTGGTGCCCGACCTCTTAGGCGCAGGTGATTCTCCCACCTCAGCCTTCTGAATAGCTGGGACTATAGACGTGCACCACCATGCCCGGCTAATTTTTTTGTATTTGTTGTAGAAATGGGGTTTCCCCATGTTGCCCAGACTGGTCTCCAAGAGCCTCCCACCTGGGCCTCCCAAAGTGTTGGGATTACAGGCATGAGCCACGGGCGCTCCGCCTATTTGTTCCTTTTAAAAAATCTAATTTTCCCTTTCTTGTCTCAGATTTCTCCCATAATTTGAATGTATTTAATGTGCCTTTTTATTTGTATGTCTTATTGTAACTTGTGTTGCTTTTGTGCATATATTTTTATATATGTAAATAATGTGATTTATAGAGTTCAGTATTATTTCTTACTCTTTAAACATGATGTTTTGTATGTTACTACATGTATATTTTCTTCATTGTTTCTAATTGTTTCTGGCCAAACTAAGGGTCTGGCTGCTGTTTCTCTATGCTCAATAACGAGATGCAGATGAACTGGGGAGGAAGAGAGTTTTTATTCCTGTAACTGCTTACAGGAAGAAGGCCTGGAAATTATTGCCAGACCAACTCAAAATGTCAAAGTTTTCCAGAGCTTATATACCTTTTAAGCTATATGTCTATGTGTAAGTGTGCATTCATCTAAAGACATAAGTGATTAACTTCTTTCAATCTATAACTAAGGTCTCAGTCTTGAAGACTTTCCTCTGGAGCCTCAGTAAGATTACTTAATCTAAATGAGTCTAGGTGCTGGGGTGATTACCCTTAGCTTGTCCCCTGCTAAATCAAGGTTTGGGGAGTTCCTTCAGACCTCCAGTAAACTTGTTTGTGGAGGCCTGGTGAGTTTCTTCAGACTCCCAATAAAACTTGTTTAATCCTAAATGCGTCCTGTTAAGAACTCCTTCGTTATTTTGTCATGCTATAAGGCCCACGAAAGTCCTAGGCAAAACTCTGAGGGGCTTTTGTTACATTCCAGCCTTTGTATAAGGGCACTGGCTTGTCTTAGCTTTTAATATTTAACTTAACCAGTCAGTCAGTACTGAAACAGTTGTGATACAGGCCTGAGTTGGTGAAACCTGGCCTGCCACATAGTGGATGCAGAGTAGTTCACGTGTAGGTCTACCACTATGATAATTTGAAATAAGAAATACAGACCAGCACAGTGGCTTACGCCTGTAATCCCAGCACTTTGGGAGGCCGAGGCGGGAGAATTGCTTGAGCCTAGGAGTTCAGAGACCAGCCTAGGCAACTCCGTCTCTACCAAAAATAATTTCTTTAAAAATTAGCCGTGGCTGGCTGTGCGCACCTGTAGTCCCAGCTATTTGGGGGGCTGCAGTGGGACATCGCTTCAGCCTGGGAGATCAAGGCTGCAGTGAGTTACAGTCATACCACTGCACTCCAGGCTGGGTGACAGAGACCCTCTCTCAAAAAAAAAAAAAGAAAAGAAATATATATTTTATAGATATGTGTGTGTGTATATATATATATATAATATGTGTATGTGTATTATGTTCGTGTGTGTGTGTGTATACATATATACACACACACACACAATATGTCTGTGCCCCTGGTTACTGACATAGAACTTCTGAAACCCTTAGGTGGGCAGTAGGAAAATCTTTTGTTCTAATGTTTGATCTTTGCCCCAGTTCCTGACACAGAGCTCCTAAGACCTTTTTTTCTAATGAGGAGACTCTTGGTGGGCTCCTGGATAGCCTCAGGAACTGGTTGTCAGGGAAACCAACCATGTGATCAGAGGGATAGAACTTTCAGCTCCAACCCCAAACCTCCAGGGAGAAGAGAGGCATTAAAGGCTGAGTTGATCACCAATGACCAATGATTTAACCAGTCATGCCTATGTAATGAAGCCTCCATAAAAACCCAGAAGGACAGAGTTTATAATAATATATATAGATGATATATGCTAATATATAAATATGTATATAAATAAAAATGTAATATATAAATATCTGATAATAAATGATGCAATAAAAATATTTCCTCATGTCCCTGTACATGTATGTGTAAGAATTTTCTTACAATTTTCCACATATACACAGGAGCATAGTGGCTTGGTGTCACAGGTTAGATTATCTGTGAAGTAGACCTTGAGATAGAGTTGTTTTGTTTTGTTCTGTTTTGTTTTGTTATTTTTGAGACAAGGTCTCACTCTGTCACCCAGGCTGGAGTGCAATGGCGCGATCCCTGCTTACTACAACCTCTACCTCCCAGATTCAAGCGATTCTCGTGCCTTAGCCTCCTGAGTAGGTAGGATTACAGGCTCACCCCACCATGCCCAGCTAATTTTTTTTTTTTTTTGTATTTTTTTTGGTAGAGACGGAGTTTCACCATGTTGGCCAGGCTGGTCTCGAACTCCTGACCTCAAGTGATCTGCCCGTCTCAGCCTCCCAATAGGCATGAGCCACTGTGCCCAGCGAGATAGAGTTTAATGTGCAGGATGTTTATTACGCAGTTTCTTTGAGATCCACATCTGTGGAAGGCAGAGAGTAGACTCAAGATTGAGAAGAAGTCAAGCTAGGATGCATGCAAGGTAGGATGCATGCCTGACAGCCTCAGCTAACACTATGGGGAGGTCTGAGGCTAAGTGGTCCATCTGCTCCACTTTGGGCCCTTAATACTCTTGCCCCTTCGGCTGGGTGCAGTGGCTCACGCCTGTAATCCCAGCACTTTGGGAGGCCGAGGAGGGCACATCACCTGAGGTGGGGAGTTCGAGACCAGCCTGACCAACATGGAGAAACCCTGTGTCTACAAAATTAGCCAGGCGTGGTGGTGCATGCCTGTAATCCCAGCTACTTGGGAAGCTGAGGCAAGAGAATTGCTTGAACCCAGGAGGCAGAGGTTGCGGTGAGCCAAGATCGCACCATTGCATTTCAGCCTGGGCAACAAGAGTGAAACTCCGTCTCCAAATATATATATATATATTCTTGCCCCTTCACTCATTTGATATGAACAGCCTCAAAAAGGATGTGATCTTGGGCAGGCAGCTCTGCAGCTGAAACAATCCCTGAAAGTCCTGACAGTTGTGGATCGTCTGCTGAATGCACTTGTAATAGCTGAAGCAACAACTAGTCCTTCCTTGCAGGTAGATTTGGGCAGAGCATCTGTGTCTATTACATTTGGTCATAGAGAATGTGTTAACATGATTGCCTAAATACTAGCCGATTTCTCTAAGGATGGCTGTGTATTATTCTGCACTTTACCCAGAAGTGCAAACCAAAAACAAACAAATAGAAAGTCAAATAAGGACATAAACAGGCATTTACAAAAAGAAAAGATACAAGAGGCTAATGAGGATGTGAAGATGCAGTATTCGTTAGTAATCAACAATAAATAACAATAAAACTTCATTTTACACTACTGAAACAAGCAAAAGTTAGAAGTCTCAACAATTTCATAGCAAAAACAAATGAATAAAAAGGTTACCTACAGAATGGGAGGGAATATTTGCACATCATATACCTGTAAAGGAGCTAATTTCCAAAATATATAAAGGACTCATAAAACACAATAGCAAAAAAAGGAGTACAAACAAAAACCAAATAACCTAATTAAACAATGGGCAAAAAACTGGAACACATATTCCTCCAAAAAAGACATACAAATAACCAACAAGTATATAAAAAGATGCTCAACATCATTAATTATCAGGAAAATGCAAAACTACAAAGACATGTCACTTCATACTTGTAGAGATGGCTATTATAAAAAACAACAAAGATAACAAGTGTTGGCAAGGATGTGGAGAAATTGAAACCCCTGTACACTTGTTAGTGGGAATGTAAAATAGTGAAGCAGCAATGGAAAACAATATGAAGGTTCTTCCAAAAATTAAAAATAAGACTACCGGATGGCCAAATAGGAACAGCTCCGGTCTACAGCTCCCAGCGTGAGCGACGCAGAAGACGGGTGATTTCTGCATTTCAATCTGAGGTACCGGGTTCATCTCACTAGGGAGTGCCAGACAGTGGGCGCAGGACAGTGGGTGCAGCGCACCGTGTGCAAGCCGAAGCAGGGCGAGGCATTGCCTCACTGGGGAAGTGCAAGGGGTCAGGGAGTTCCCTTTCCTAGTCAAAGAAAGGGGTGACAGACGGCACCTGGAAAATCGGGTCACTACCACCCCAATACTGCGCTTTTCCGACGGGCTTAAAAAACGGCACACCAGGAGACTATATCCCGCACCTGGCTCGGAGGGTCCTACGCCCACGGAGTCTCGCTGATTGCTAGCACAGCAGTCTGAGATCAAACTGCAAGGTGGCAGCGAGGCTGGGGGAGGGGCGCCCGCCATTGCCCAGGCTTGCTTAGGTAAACAAAGCAGCCGGGAAGCTCCCACTGGGTGGAGCCCACCACAGCTCAAGGAGGCCTGCCTGCCTCTGTAGGCTCCACCTCTGGGGGCAGGACACAGACAAACAAAAAGACAGCAGTAACCTCTGCCGACTTAAATGTCCCTGTCTGACAGCTTTGAAGAGAGCAGTGGTTCTCCCAGCACGCAGCTGGAGATCTGAGAACAGGCAGACTGCCTCCTCAAGTGGGTCCCTGACCCCTGACCCCCGAGCAGCCTAACTGGGAGGCACCCCCCAGTAGGGGCAGACTGACACCTCACACGGCCGGGTACTCCTCTGAGACAAAACTTCCAGAGGAACGATCAGACAGCAGCATTCGCGGTTCATGAAAATCCGCTGTTCTGCAGCCACCGCTGCTGGTACCCAGGCAAACAGGGTCTAGAGTGGACCTTTAGCAAACTCCAACAGACCTGCAGCTGAGGGTCCTGTCTGTTAGAAGGAAAACTAACAAACAGAAAGGACATCCACACCAAAAACCCATCTGTACATCACCATCATCAAAGACCAAAAGTAGATAAAACCACAAAGATGGGGAAAAAACAGAGCAGAAAAACTGGAAACTCTAAAAAGCAGAGCGCCTCTCCTCCTCCAAAGGAACGCAGTTCCTCACCAGCAATGGAACAAAGCTGGACGGAGAATGACTTTGACGAGTTGAGAGAAGAAGGCTTCAGACGATCAAACTACTCCGAGCTACAGGAGGAAATTCAAACCAAAGGCAAAGAAGTTGAAAACTTTGAAAAAAATTTAGAAGAATGTATAACTAGAATAACCAATACAGAGAAGTGCTTAAAGGAGCTGATGGAGCTGAAAGCCAAGGCTCGAGAACTACGTGAAGAATGCAGAAGCCTCAGGAGCTGATGCGATCAACTGGAAGAAAGGGTATCAGTGATGGAAGATGAAATGAATGAAATGAAGGGAGAAGGGAAGTTTAGAGAAAAAAGAATAAAAAGAAACAAACAAAGCCTCCAAGAAATATGGGACTATGTGAAAAGACCAAATCTACGTCTGATTGGTGCACCTGAAAGTGACTGGGAGAATGGAACCAAGTTGGAAAACACTCTTCAGGATATTATCCAGGAGAACTTCCCCAATCTAGCAAGGCAGGCCAACATTCAGATTCAGGAAATACACAGATTCAGAACGCCACAAAGATACTCCACGAGAAGAGCAACTCCAAGACACATAATTGTCAGATTCACCAAAGTTGAAATGAAGGAAAAAATGTTAAGGGCAGCCAGAGAGAAAGGTCAGGTTACCCACAAAGGGAAGCCCATCAGACTAACAGTGGATCTCTCGGCAGAAACTCTACAAGCCAGAAGAGAGTGGGGGCCAATATTCAACATTCTTAAAGAAAAGAAGTTTCAACCCAGAATTTCATATCCAGCCAAATTAAGCTTCATAAGTGAAGGAGAAATAAAATACTTTACAGACAAGCAAATGCTGAGAGATTTTGTCACCACCAGGCCTGCCCTAAAAGAGCTCCTGTAGGAAGCACTAAACATGGAAAGGAACAACCAGTACCAGCCACTGCAAAATCATGCCAAATTGTAAAGACCATCGAGGCTAGGAAGAAACGGCATCAACTAATGAGCAAAATAACCAGCTAACATCATAATGACAGGATCAAATTCACATATAACAATATTAACTTTAAATGTAAATGGACTAAATTCTCCAATTAAAAGACACAGACTGGCAAATTGGATAAAGAATCAAGACCCATCAGTGTGCTGTATTCAGGAAACCCATCTCACGTGCAGAGACACACATAGGCTCAAAATAAAAGGATGGAGGAAGATCTACCAAGCAAGTGGAAAACAAAAAAAGGCAGGGGTTGCAATCCTAGTCTCTGATAAAACAGACTTTAAACCAACAAAGATCAAAAGAGACAAAGAAGGCCATTACATAATGGTAAAGGGATCAATTCAACAAGAAGAGCTAACTATCCTAAATATATATGCACCCAATACAGGAGCACCCAGATTCATAAAGCAAGTCCTGAGTGACCTACAAAGAGACTTAGACTCCCACACAATAATAATGGGAGACTTTAACACCCCCCTGTCAACATTAGACAGATCAATGAGACAGAAAGTTAACAAGGATACCCAGTAATTGAACTCAGCTCTGCACCAAGCGGACCTAATAGACATCTACAGAACTCTCCACCCCGAATCAACAGAATATACATTTTTTCCAGCACCACACCACACCTATTCCAAAATTGACTGCATAGTTGGAAGTAAAGCTCTCGTCAGCAATTGTAAAATATCAGAAATTATAACAAACTGTCTCTCAGACCACAGTGCAATCAAAGTAGAACTCAGGATTAAGAAACTCACTCAAAACCGCTCAACTACATGGAAACTGAACAACCTGCTCCTGAATGACTACTGGGTACATAACGAAATGAACGCAGAAATAAAGATGTTCTTTAAAACCAACAAGAACAAAGACACAACATACCAGAATCTCTGGGACACATTCAAAGCAGTGTGTAGAGGGAAATTTATAGCACTAAATGCCCACAAGAGAAAGCAGGAAAGATCCAAAATTGACACCCTAACATCACAATTAAAAGAACTAGAAAAGCAAGAGCAAACACATTCAAAAGCTAGCAGAAGGCAAGAAATAACTAAAATCAGAGCAGAACTGAAGGAAATAGAGATACAAAAAACCCTTCAAAAAATTAATAAATCCAGGAGCTGGTTTTTTGAAAGGATCAACAAAATTGATAGACTGCTAGCAAGACTAATAAAGAAGAAAAGAGAGAAGAATCAAATAGATGCAATAAAAAATGATAAAGGGGATATCACCACCGATCCCACAGAAATACAAACTACCATCAGAGAATACTACAAACACCTCTATGCAAATAAACTAGAAAACCTAGAAGAAATGGATAAATTCCTCGACACATACACCCTCCCAAGACTAAACCAGGAAGAAGTTGAATCTCTGAATAGACCAATAACAGGAGCTGAAATTGTGGCAATAATCAATAGCTTACCAACCAAAAAGAGTCCAGGACCAGATGGATTCACAGCTGAATTTTACCAGAGGTACAAGGAGGAACTGGTACCATTCCTTCTGAAACTATTCCAATCAATAGAAAAAGAGGGAATCCTCCCTAACTCATTTTATGAGGCCAGCATCATCCTGATACCAAAGCCTGGCAGAGACACAACCAAAAAAGAGAATTTTAGACCAATATCCTTGATGAACATTGATGCAAAAATCCTCAATAGAATACTGGCAAACCGAATCCAGCAGCACATCAAAAAGCTTATCCACCATGATCAAGTGGGCTTCATCCCTGGGATGCAAGGCTGGTTCAATATACGCAAATCAATAAATGTAATCCAGCATATAAACAGAACCAAAGACAAAAACCACATGATTATCTCAATAGATGCAGAAAAGGCCTTTGACGAAATTCAACAACCTTCATGCTAAAAACTCCCAATAAATTAGGTATTGATGGGACGTATCTCAAAATAATGAGAGCTATCTATGACAAACCCACAGCCAGTATCATACTGAATGGGCAAAAACTGGAAGCATTCCCTTTGAAAACTGGCACAAGACAGGGATGCCCTCTCTCACCACTCCTATTCAACATAGTGTTGGAAGTTCTGGCCAGGGCAATTAAGCAGGAGAAGGAAATAAAGGGTATTCAATTAGGAAAAGGGGAAGTCAAATTGTCCCTGTTTGCAGATGACATGATTGTATATCTAGAAAACCCCATTGTCTCAGCCCAAAATCTCCTTAAGCTGATAAGCAACTTCAGCAAAGTCTCAGGATACAAAATCAATGTACAAAAATCACAAGCATTCTTATACACCAATAACAGACAAACAGAGAGCCAAATCATGAGTGAACTCCCATTCACAATTGCTTCAAAGAGAATCAAATACCTAGGAATCCAACTTACAAGGGATGTGAAGGACCTCTTCAAGTAGAACTACAAACCACTGCTCAATGAAATGAAAGAGGATACAAAGAAATGGAAGAACATTCCATGCTCATGGGTAGGAAGAATCAATATCATGAAAAGGGCCATACTGCCCAAGGTAATTGATAGATTCAATGCCATCCCCATCAAGCTACCAATGACTTTCTTCACAGAATTGGAAAAAACTACTTTAAAGTTCATATGGAACCAAAAAAGAGCCTGCATCGCCAAGTCAATCGTAAGCCAAAAGAACAAAGCTGGAGGCATCACGCTACCTGACTTCAAACTATACTATAAGGCTACAGTAACCAAAACAGCATGGTACTGGTACCAAAACAGAGATATAGATCAATGGAACAGAACAGAGCCCTCAGAAATAACGCCGCATAACTACAACTATCTGATCTTTGACAAACCTGAGAAAAACAAGCAATGGGGAAAGGATTCCCTATTTAATAAATGGTGCTGGGAAAACTGGCTAGCCATATGTAGAAAGCTGAAACTGGATCCCTTCCTTACACCTTATACAAAAATTAATTCAAGATGGATTAAAGACTTAAATGTTAGACCTAAAACCATAAAAACCCTAGAAGAAAACCTAGGCATTACCATTCAGGACATAGGCATGGGCAAGGACTTCATGTCTAAAACACCAAAAGCAATGGCAACAAAAGCCAAAATTGACAAATGGGATCTAATTAAACTAAAGAGCTTCTGCACAGCAAAAGAAACTACCATCAGAGTGAACAGGCAACCTACAAAATGGGAGAAAATTTTTGCAACCTACTCATCTGACAAAGGGCTAATATCCAGAATCTACAATGAACTCAAAGAAATTTACAAGAAAAAAAAAACAACCCCACCAAAAATGGGTGAAGGACATGAACAGACACTTCTCAAAAGAAGACCTTTATGCAGCCAAAAAACACATGAAAAAATGCTCACCATCACTGGCCGTCAGAGAAATGCAAATCAAAACCACAATGAGATACCATCTCACACCAGTTAGAATGGCAATCATTAAAAAGTCAGGAAACAACAGGTGCTGGAGAGGATGTGGAGAAATAGGAACACTTTTACACTGTTGGTGGGACTGTAAACTAGTTCAACCATTGTGGAAGTCAGTGTGGCAATTCCTCAGGGATCTAAAACTAGAAATACCATTTGACCCAGCCATCCCATTACTGGGTATATACCCAAAGGACTATAAATCATGCTGCTATAAAGACACATGCACACGTATGTTTATTGCGGCACTATTCACAATAGCAAAGACTTGGAACCAACCCAAATGTCCAACAATGATAGACTGGATTAAGAAAATGTGGCACATATACACCATGGAATACTATGCAGCCATAAAAAATGATGAGTTCATGTCCTTTGTAGGGACATGGATGAAATTGGAAATCATCATTCTCAGTAAACTATCGCAAGAACAAAAAACCAAACACCGCATGTTCTCACTCATAGGTGGGAATTGAACAATGAGAACACATGGACATAGGAAGGAGAACATCACACTCTGGGGCCTGTTGTGGGGTGGGGGGAGGGGGGAGGGATAGCATTAAGAGATATACCTAATGCTAAATGACAAGTTAATGGGTGCAGCACACCAGCATGGCACATGTATACATACGTAACTAACATGCACATTGTGCACATGTACCCTAAAACTTAAAGTATAATAATAATAAAATAAAATAAAAAAAGACTGCCATGTGATCCTGCAATCCCACTTTTGGGTATATTTGCAAAAAAATTGAAATCAGAATCTCAAGGAGATATATGCACTTCCATGTTCATTGTAGCATTATTCACAATAGCCAAGATATGGAAACAACCTGTATCCATTGACAGATGAATGAAAAAACAAAGTGTGGCATATATATCCAACGGAAAATTATTAGGCTTAGAAAAGAAGAAAATCCTGCCATTTGCAACAATATTGATGAACCTGGAGGACATTATGGGAACTGAAATAAGCCAGTCACAGCACAAATACTGCATGATTCCACTTACATGAGGTGTCTGTAACAGTTAAACTCAGAAACAGAGAATGCAATAGTGGTTGCCAGGGGCTGGGAGGCTGAAGAAGATGGGGAATTGTTGCTCAATGGATATATTTCAGTTATGCTACATGAATAAGTTCTAGAGATCTGCTGTACAACATAGCACCTACAGTTAACAATAAGGTATTGTACGCTTCAAAATTTGTTAAGATGACAGCTCTCACTTTAAATGTTTGTACCACATACAAAAAATAAAGACGAAACAAAACCAAAAAAACCCAAAGAGACATAAGGAAACTTTGGTTGGTGGATATGTCTATTACCTTGATTGTGGTGATGGATCATGGGTATTTCCTTGTGCCCGAATTCATCATATTGTACACATTGTGTGCAGTTCTTTGTATATCAGTTATACCTCAATAAATCTGTTTTTTTGTTGTTGTTGTTTTTTGTTTTTTTGTTTTTGAGACAGAGTATCATTCTGTTGCCCAGACTGGAGCGCAGTGGCGCAGTCTCAGCTCAGTGCAATCTCTGCCTCCTGGGTTCGAGTGATTCTCCTGTTTCAGCCTCCTGAGTAGCTGGGATTACAGGCGCCTGCCACTGCGCCCGGCTAATTTTTGTACTTTTAGTAGAAATGGGGTTTCACCATCTTGGCCAGGCTGTTCTCGAACTCCTGACCTTGTGATCCACCTGTCTTGGCCTCCCAAAGTGCTGGGATTACAGGCGTGAGCTACCACACCAGGCCAATAAATTTTTTTTTAAAAGAAATCTAATGTCAAGAGTTGCTAGATTTGTTATTGCTTTGCAATTGTTCTTTGCATATTCTAAGAATTATTTCATTGCTTGTTTTAAATATTGCAAATAACTTCTCTAAATCTGTCGTTGTGTTAGTCCGAGTTCTCCAGAGTAACAGATTATATAGATATATATTATTATACATATAATTTATTATATGTAAATTTTATAACATTGTAGTATAATTGTAATTAGTATATATTATAACATATCCTAATATAATAATACTTATTATGTTACTATAATAAATATTATGCATATTTACTATATATATAAAGAGACTTATTATAAGGTTTTGCTTTACGCAATTCTGGAGGCTGAGAGGTTCCATGATCTACCATCTGCAAGCTGGAGACCCAAAAAAGCTAGTGTTGTATTTGGAAGGCCTAAGAGCTGGAGGGTGGGTGGCATAGATTCTTATCAAATCTAAGGGCCTGAGAACCAGGAGCATCAAGGGCAGAGTGTGAGTGTTCCTGCACAACCTGTCAAGCAGAGAGAAGGTGAATCCAACCTTCCCCTCCTTCTGTTCTATTCAGACCCTCAATGGATTGGATTATGTCCACCCACATTGAGGAAAGCCATCGGCTTTACTCAGTCCAGCAATTCAAATGCTACTGTCTTCTGGAAACACCCTCACAGACATACCCAGAAATGATGTTTAATCACATGTCTGGGCATCCTGTGGCCCAGTAAAGTTGACCCATAAAATTATCAGATTCATCAATGTGTTAATTTTGTTCTAAGGTATTCTTTGTCTCTAAGGTATTTGAAATCTTTAACAATCTCCAATTTCTTTCAAACTAAAGGCTTGGCCAGCCGTGGTGGCTCTTGCCTGTAATCCCAGCACTTTGGGAGGCCGAGGCAGGTGGATCACAAGGTCAGGAGATCGAGACCATCCTGGCTAACACGGTGAAACCCCGTCTCTACTAAAAATACAAAAAATTAGCCGGGCACGGTGGCGGGCGCCTGTAGTCCCAGTTACTCGGGAGGCTGAGGCAGGAGAATGGCGTGAACCCAGGAGGCGAAGCTTGCAGTGAGCTGAGATTGCGCCACTGCACTCCAGCCTGGGAGACAGAGTGAGAGACTCCGTCTCAAAAACAAACAAACAAACAAAACAACAACAACAAAAACTAAAGGCTAAAATTAAATTTTTTAAAATACATTTTTAATTTTGATTTAATTAAATTTATCTCTCCCTTTTTTTGACTTTAGGGACTGTGCTTGTTAGCGTGTGGCATGCCAATGGATAATAATGATAATGAAAACTATGATGATGACAAAAATGATAATGATGATAGCAGGTAATTTACTGTGTGCATAATAGGGAAGAAAGAATTTTTATTACTATTCCTTATTAAATTTATTTCTTTTAAAATTGTTTCTTACTATTTCTTATTAAAACTGGGTTGGCCAGGCACTGTGGCTCACACCTGTAATCCCAGCACTTTGGGAGGCCGAGGTGTGTGGATCACTTGAGATCAGGAGTTCAAGATCAGCCTGGCCAACAAGGTGAAGCCCCATCTCTACTAAAAATACAAAAATTAGCTGGGTGTGGCGACATGCATCTGTAATACCAGCTACTAGTGAGGCTGAGGCAGGAGAATCGCTTGAACCTGTAAGGTGGAGGTTGTGGCGAGCTAAGATCATGCAACTGCACTCCAGCCTGGGTGAAAGAGTGAGACTCTGTCTCAAAAGTAAAAAGTAAAATAAAAATGAAAACAAAACTGGGTCATTATTAGAAGTTATTATGAAGAAACAGAACAAAACCATTAATCACAACAACACAATAATAGCTGGGCATACAATGGCAACCCATGCCTGTAGTCCCAGCTATTCAGGAGGCTGAGGCATGAGGATCACTTGAGCCCAAGAAGTGGAAGGCCAGCCTGGGCAACATAGCAAGGCCACATCTCTAAAATTTAAAAAACAAAAATGACAAAAAGCAATGTAATAACTCCTTTGCCTACTGATAGGGCAACCAGAGTGGAGTGAATATGGAAAGCTAGTTTACATATTGATATGATTCGGCTCTGTGTCACCACCCAAATCTCACCTTGACTTGTAATAATCCTCATGTGTCATGGCAGGCACCTGGTGAGAGGTAATTGAATCATGGGGGCACATTTATCCCCTGCTGTTCTCGTGATAGTGAATAAGTCTCATGAGATCTGATGTTTTTATAAAAGGCAGTTCCCCTGCACACGCCCTCTTACCTGCCACCATGTAAGATATGCCTTTGCTTCTCCTTTGCCTTCTGCCATAATTGTGAGGCCTCTCCAGCCATGTGGAACTGTGAGTCCATTAAACCTCTTTCCTTTATAAATTACCCAGTCTTGGGTATGTCTTTCTTAGCAGCATGAGAACAGACTAATATATATATTCAGTTACCTTTCTCATGAGAAACTTTTTGTTTCCTTCAGAACCATTAAAGTCCTGTTCTAATCTATCATGAGAATCCATTCTACTTCAGCTTATGTGTGTTCCATGGTACATATATTTTAAAAGCAGTTGGCTATAATGGGAAACCAGGAAGAGGAGAAACTAGAGTAAATGACATAGTGGCAACAATCATAGTGTTACTGGAAGACAAATGGCTGAGTGGGATACATACCCATGCACTATTCTCCCCTATCCTGCTCCCTCCACCACCAAGAAGTTGATGGAGCCAGAGGTCCTAGCATTGAAAACAATGTGGCTTTATTTCACCATCTGCATGCACTCCTATTTAAAACTAAGATAAAGAAAGGTGGTAGTGACTTAGTTGCTTTACATTTAAATTACTTGGAAATGTTCCATGTTTACATGTCATAGAACACAAGAACTCACAGACATACAGCGTCAGTGTGATACCAGTAATTTGACAAGTTCTCATCCCTTAGGTCATCAGCCGGTACACCAGAGCAAGTGTGCTATATTGAAAATAAAATAATAGGACAGGCTGGGCACGGTGGCTCACGCCTATAATCCCAGCACTTTGGGAGGCCGAGGTGGGTGGATCACCTGGGGTCAGTCATTTGAGACCACCCTGGCCAATATGGTAAAACCCTGTCTCAACTAAAAATACAAAAAAATTAGCTGGGCGTGGTGGCGGGCACCTGTAATCTCAGCTAGTTGGGAGGCTGAGGCAGGAGAATTGCTTGAACCCAGGAGGCGGAGGTTGCAGTGAGCCAAGATAGCGCCATTGCACTCCAGCCTGGGTGACAGAGTGAGACTCTGTCTAAAAAAAGAAAGAAAGAAATAATAGGACAATAACTGAAAATAAAGAAATTTCTTTGCTGGAACCAAAAGGGAGAAAACATTCATCAAGTGATATTAGACAGGACATAAGGAGATGTTGGGAGCTTTGCAAAAGAATCAATTAAATTCACCACACAAGGCTGGGCGCGGTGGCTCATGCCTATAATTCCAGCACTTTGGGAGGCCAAGGCGGGCAGATCACGAGGTCAGGAGATTGAGACCATCCTGGCTAACACGGTGAAACCCCATCTCTACTAAAAGTACAAAAAATTAGCCAGGAGTGGTGGCCTGCGCCTGTAGTCCTAGCTACTCAGGAGGCTGAGTCAGGAGAATCGCTAGAACCCAGGAGGCAGAGGTTGCAGTGAGCCAAGATCGTGCCACTGCACTCCAGCATGAAGACAGAGCGAGACTTCTTCTCAATAAATAAGTAAATAAATAAATAAATAAATAAATTCACCACACCAAAAAAAGGTCCTTGCAAAGATCAAAAATCCACTCAGTATCAGCATCTAATCTACTAAGCCAGCCAGCACATGGAATGATACATCAATAAAAAACTAAATAAACATTTATGTCTGTATTTAACTGCCTCAACTTCTGGTGTTTTAATCTATTTTCAAAATTGTTAAGGGGAGAAAGACAAAAGCCTTGTTTTGTTTACAGAATACATGCAATGTCTCACTCTTTAAAAAGACAGGTGGGAAGAGGAAGTTCTGCGGAACAAATGTGGGTCCTCCAATCTTTACCACGGAACCACATCCCCACTGTAGGTATTACTGACTATTCTGATTATTGACCAAAATTGCCACAAAAATGGTGTCTTTATATAGTTTCTTGCAGAATAACTACCAGGAAGTGGGAACAAAGATGAAAAGCAAACACTAGCAGTGACCTCGAAAGAGGAATGAAATAACCTATGAACAAACAGAATAGGTCTTGCTTCATTTTGCTCCTTGTGGGGAAGACAAATTGGAGATACCAAGGATCGAACTGGGAACCCTAGGCATGCAAATTGTAAGCTCTAGCACTTATATCCTTGCAACCATCTCTGTTCTCTCCCCAATCTTGAGTCCAAAAAATTTTCGTAAACACAATTTGCATAGCTGTTTCTTCAAGGTTGTATCAATAATTCACGTCTTATTTTTGAGAAGAAAAAGTTACCCTTTAGTTCATTCAAATGACCTTAAATTCAATTGAACCAGACCAGGTCTCATTCAACAAGCAACTGAAAAGATGGCTTACAATACAATATATGCTATATAAACAGATATTATAGATTGTATATATGACAGCCCCCCCCACCAAAAAAAGATAGCATATTGGTGAAAAGACCAGGGTAACAACGGCAGAAAAGGTATCTTAAGGCAAATAGTTCAGACAGTTCCTGATATAAAGCTCAAAGCTAATTTTTTAAAGTGTTTCAGTTATATTTAATACTTAAGCAAAACATTTTTGACTATACATCTCTATAATGCACAATACTAAAAAAGTCCAAAATTTTTATCATAAAGATGGTTATGAAACTGAATACCACAATGGTTGTAATGTGGTATTACAGTTTATGAAGACAGTTTTGTTTTGTGGTTTTTTTTTTTTTCTTAAAGTTTTTTGGACGTTAACAGGCGCTCAACATCTTCTTCCATTTACTCCTTTCTGAACTGGCTCAGACTGCTTAGCACATACGCAGACGGTGTTAAGAAGGTCGTAAAACACCAGAATTCCAACAGCCATATTTCCATGGCATACATGGGCTGGCGCGGAGGCTCAGAATGGGCAAGGCAGGGGTCGGGCTGCAGGGCGAGCAGGGCCACGCAGCGGTGGTGGCAGAGTTGAGGACAGAGCCCGGGTAGGCGAGGCATGGCGCGTCAGGTGAGATAAAGCCAGGCAAGCCAATGGGAGGGACCGCGTGAGTGGGTTGAGGCCAAGCGGCGCGAGCTCCAGAGCTGGTGAGGCAGCTGGTTTGCGCTGGAGCCCCAGCCACGAGGAGGCCCCTGCCCAACCCTTCCGCCTCAAAACTAACTCTTAAGATGATCCTCGTGGCTGAGAGAGGGTAGAATCATCTTCAACTGTGCTCCAAATAACTGTATTTCTGGTTACAAATCATGTACCTTCAGTCATAACAATGTAAACCCAATTTTGTTAATGAGTGGTAAGATTTAAAGGTGTTCTAAAGCAGTTAGCAGTTACAGGATTTTGATAGTTGGAGAAAGTTTGGCACTATGAAAGTGTGCCGTGTTAAATACATCTGACCTTTAAAGCCACCGACCTATTTCCAAGTATTTGAAGACGTCAGGAAGTTCTACCCAAGCCTAAACAAAGAGGAGTAACCAACCAGTATGCTAAAGTGGAAACGCCAGGGATCGAAACCGGGACCTCATACATGCAAAGCGCGCGTTCTACCACTAAACTACATCCACCTATGCACTAAAACCTTCTTTTCCTTTTATTTACTCATATAGCCCTTAACAATATAGAGTAGCACTACCCAATTCCGTCGGCTTTTTCAATTTATATTCATAGAAAATCAAGTCGGTTCAACAAATTGTTATCAATGCCATACATAACTTCCTTGTACTTTCCCTAAATTTCATTTACCACAAACACCTTATAAGAGTAGATTTATGTTAAGTTTGTTCCCTTCTCTAGTAAGGTAGCTTCTGGAGGGCAGAGGCTATTTTTCTTTCATCAGGCTTCCCACACCCTTAGTATAGAGGTGGAGTACAGCAGCCACTCACAGAGCAGTGAGAAATAAATTACAGGTGCCCTCTGTTCAGGATATATTTCACAGTACAGAGACTTGCAATGAAGTGTGAAGGTGGAGGAGGGAGGATTCAAAATTACATAAACAGATCATTCCAATAGCGTATGACAAGTGCTCTGGCAAAGATAAGCATATATAACTATGGCATTAAGCAGAAAGTATACCACTTTCTTGATCAAAAATTGACGACTCCAGGAATTTTGAAAGACTTGACCAAATAAATAAAGGCCGAGAGTTACGCATGAGAACCAACATGGGTTGTGCTTCTCGGATTCAGGCCAAAGTTCTCTGCGCCGGTGGGTGGAGCTTCGTTGCACGAAATGAACACCCAGTAGTGATCTGCCCGGCTAACGCTGGGGCTTTGCGGACCTCAGGTCTTAGGCAGGAGCTTGCGGGCCTAAAATGCATTAGCTGGTTTTTACTGAATTTACGCTTAGCAGAGACCTACAGAAAAATGAGATCCAGCTCGCCGCTGGAGGGAACAGCTCTGGCCTCCCAGTGACGCTGATATAGACGCGAGGCTGGAGTGATTTTTTTGATAATCCTGCTAGAGACAGAATGGGTAAGGATGGGTAAGGGCGACCACCACCGTTAAGCAATGACATGCGAGCTCCAGCACCGCGTCTCCCCGGTAGGATGCTCACTGCGCTAGCGGGAGGGGACCGTTAAGTATTTTCCGGAACCGTTTATCAGCTCGGCCTTGGACATATGTCCTTTTACCCTTCAGCAATAAAAACATGGCCCTTTCTCCCCGCTCTCGGGCGGTTAATTTTAACCCGCAGATCGCAGTTTCAGCGGACTAACATTCCTCGCAGACCAAGCCTCGTCTCTGCCTTCTTAGGATTCAGCTTGGGGTGGTCCATTGACTTCTCCAGGGAGCTCCTAGCGTTTGCGGCCGCGTCACATCTCCAACCTTTGCCTCGCCCTGCCTGTCATCCCGGTTTTCTTTCTTGCCCGCCTAAGTGTGGCGGACAGGGATACTATTCCCCGCCTTCCATACCGCCCCTTCCTCCTTGTCGCGGACTCCTTGTCCTTGCCGGTTCACCTCCCTGTGGAGGACCTCCTCTCTCTGTCATTGGAACAAGCCTTGCTCGGTCGTCAGTGTGGATGTTCCTGGGTCCCCTAGAACACTCGAAATCTCCCCAAAAATACCAGAGAGTAGCGGTGGGTGCCCTGCCCCTTGCTGTACCCCTCTGTCCGCAGCCGTGTTGTGGAGGGAAAGGGAGAATAGAAAACCAATGTGAAAAAAAAAAGGCAAAAGCTAAGATGAAAGCTTTTGAATCAAGTAAAAGAGGCCCCAAAATAAATAAATATAAATCTCTAGAAATAAGCAAAGAGAGCCTAACTGGAGGATAAAACCTTTGGCTCTTTGCTTATTTCTCTTGCTGCGCTTCTCTGCATCCCAGACTAACTCCTTTCCACCCACCACCTGCCGCTCCCCGCTGCCGCAAGTGGTTCCTTAACAGACCGCAACGGGTGGCGGAGAGATCTGGGTGACCTGACTCGGGCGTCCATCCCCCGGCCTGGGCTGCGGGACACGCTGGTAACCAACAGGCCAATGCAGGTTCTAGGGATGTCAATCCCTGTCTACTGCTTAGCCCTGCGTGTTTAGTTAAAGCGGTGCATTTGTTAAAATTGATGACCTAAATTGACACATCAGTATTACTCAAAGTCCACAGTTTACAATAGGGTTTACGCTTGGTGTTGCACATTTTATGGGTTTGGATAAATATATAATGACATACTTCCACCATTATAGTATACAGAGTATTTTCGCTGAGCTAAAAATCCTTTGTGCTCCACCAATTAATCAGTCCCTCCCTCTCCCTCTAACCCTTGGCAACTTCTGATCTTTTACTATCTCCACAGCTTTGCCTTTTCCAGAATACCATATAGTTGGAATCATACAGTATGTAACTTTTTCAGATTGGCTTCTTTCACCTAATAATATGGTACATGTTTCCTCCATGTCTATTCATGGCTTGATAACTCATTTCTTTTTTTTAGCACTGAATGATATTCCATGGTCTGGATGTGCCACAGTTTGTTTATTCACCTACAGAAGGAAATCTTGGTTGTTTCCAAGTTTGGGCAATTATGAATGAAGCTGCTATAGAAATATATGTGTAAGTTTTTATGTGTACATATGTTTTCAACTTCTCTGGATAGATACTAAGGAGTATAATTGCTGGCTTGTATGATAAATGTATGTTTAGTTTTGTAAGAAACTGCTAAAGTCTTCCAAAGACATCATACCATTTTGTATTTCCATCAACAATGAATTAGAGTTCCTATTTTTTGACATCCTCAACAGTATTTGGTGTTGTAAGGGTTCCGGAGTTTGGTCATTCTAATAGGTGTGTGTGTTGTCTCGTTTTAATTTGCACTTATCTGATGGGATATGATGTGGAGCATCTTTTCACAGGCTTAGTTGCTACTTGTTCTGGGTTTGTTTCTTTTCAGTCTTTCTTCTCTTTGCTTTTCGGTTTTGGAAATTTCTACTGATATATCCTTAAGTTCAAAGCTTCTTTCTTCAGCCATGTGAAGTCTACTAATAAGCCCATCAACAGCATTCTTCATTTCTGTTACAGTATTTTATCTCTAGCATTTCTTCGTGGTTGTTTCTTAGAATTTCCATCTCTTTGCTTACATTGCCCATCTGTTCTTGCATGCTGTCTAATTTATCCATTAGAGTCCTTAGCATATTAATCATAGTTGTTTTGAATTCCCCATCTGGTAATCCCAAAATCCCTGCCCATGTCTGTTTCTGATGCTTGCTTTCCATCTTCAAGCTGTTTTTTTTTTTTTTTTGCCTTTTAGTTTGCCTTGTAGCTTTTTTCTTGATAGCTCAACATGATGCACTGGGTTAAAGGAATTGCTGCAAATAGATCTTCAGTAATGTGAGGGCAAGATGCAGGGGGACAGAAGGATTTCTGCATTCTTGCAATTAGGCCTGTCTTTTAGTAAGCCTGCACCTCTGCACTGTGAATCATACAAGTGTTGCTTAGATGTTTTTCTCTTCCCTTAGATGGACAGGATGGCTAGAGTGGGCTGGAGTTAAATATTTCCCTTCCATGACATGGAAGGTTAAAGCTGTCTGGGTTGGGTATTTTCCTCCCCCAAGAGCTGATAAAACCACAGCAGGTTAGGCTCTGATTAGTTTCTCCTGAGGGCAGAATTTATTAAGACAAACAGGTGCTATTCAAAATAGTCCCTTTTCCTCTCCCCATGTGGAAGCACAAGGGGATTTTTCTCTAATATTTACTGCAAGAATCTGGTCAAGTTCCTGTAAGTAAAATACACAAAAGCATGGGGCCTTGCTGTGACTGGGTCCCCCTGGAGTTTTTAACTCTCAGACTTGTCCACACCTAGCCTCCAGCAGTTCATTGATTAGAATTCAGGTTTTCTTATCTATGCAATGGTTCCCACAGATATTTCTGCTCGTGTGCTGTGATTTTCAATGTCTATCTGTCTGTCTCTCCAATTTGGGGGGGGGTGGGCACCAGTTTCCTCTGTGACCTATCTTCTTTTATGAATCTAAAAAGTTAGATTTTTCACTTCCTTCAGCTTCTCAGTTGTTAAAGCAAAGTGGCAACATCCAAGCTACTTACACGCAAAACCCTAAACTGGAAATCCAGACTGTTTTTACTGTCTTATTTTCCTTTTTTAATCCCAATTAATTGTATCTCTATTATATGTACTGTTGTTTCAAAGAAAAAAATAAAACATGGATGGACACAGTGGCTCACACCTGTAGTCCTAGCACTTTGGGAGCCCAAGGCAGGTGGATTGCCTTAACTCAGGAGTTCCATACTAGCCTGGCCAACATGAAACCTCGTCTCCTTTAATACAAAAAGCAGCCCGGTGTGGTGGCACGTGCCTAAAATCCCAGCTACTCCGGAGGCTGAGACAGAAGAATCACTTGAAACCGGAAGGTGCAGGTTGCAGTGAGCTGAAGTCCGGCCACTGCACTCCCACCTGAGTTACAGAACAGAACTCTATCTCCAAAAAAAAAAAAAAAAAAAAAAAGAAAAAACATTAAACAAAATATTTTGAAGTACAAAGGGCTAAAGGGCTATGGGGAAATAGTGATATTTGTATATATTCAGAAATGTGGTTAAAAGAATAAATCTGACAGCCCCTGAAAATTTCAGCATAACACTGGGTCCGGAATTGGCGGGTTCTTGGTTTCACTGACTTCAAGAACAGAGCCGCGGACCCTCACGAAATTACAGTTCTTAAAGGCAGCATGTCCAGAGTTTGTTCCTGCTGATGTTTAGGTGTGTTCGGAGTTTCTTCCTTCTGATGGATTCGTGGTCTCCCTGGCCGAGGAGTGAAGCCGTAAACCTTCGCGGTGAGTTTTACAGCTCTTAAGGCAGGGCGTCTGGAGTTGTTCCCTCCTTCCAGTGGGCTCATCATCTCGCTGGCTTCAGAAATGAAACTGCAGACTCTCCAGACAAGTGTTACAACTGCTAAGGCGACGCTTCTGGAGTTGTTCGTTCCTCTCGGTGGGCTCGTGGCTTCGCTGGCTTCAGAAGTGAGACTACAGATCTTCCCGGTGAGTGTTACAATGTATAAACGCAGTATAGACCAAAGAGTCAGCCATGACAAAATTTATTGCAAACAGCAACAAAAACAAAGCTTCAACACTGTGGGAGGAGACCCCAGTAGGTTGCCGCTGCTGGCTCGGGCAGCCTGCTTTTATTCTCTTATCCGGCCCCCACCCACGTCCTGCTGATTGGTAGAGCCGAGTGGTCTGTTTTGACAAGGCACTGATTGGTGCGTTTACAATCCCTGAGCTAGACACAAAGGTTCTCCACATCCCCACCAGGTTAACTAGATACAGAGTGTCCATACAAAGGTTTTCCAGGGCCCCACCAGAGTAGCTAGATACAGTGACGATTGCTGTATTCACAAACCCTGAGCTAGACACAGGGTGCTGATTGGTGTGTTTACAAACCTTGAGCTGGATACAGACTGCCGATTGGTGTATTTACAATCCCTGAGCTAGACATAAAGGTTCTCCAAGGCCCCACCAGAGTAGCTAGATACAGAGTGTCGATTGGTGCATTCACAAACCCTGAGCTAGACACAGGGTGCTGATTGGTGTGTTTACAAAGCTTGAGCTCGATACAGAGTGCCGATTGGTGGATTTACAATCCCTGAGCTAGACATAAAGGTTCTCCACGACCGCACAAGACTGAGGAGCCCAGCTGGCTTCACCCAGTGAATCCCGCACCAGGGATGCAGGTGGAGCTGCCTGCCAGTCCCGCGCCCTGCGCCCGCACTCCTCAGCCCTTGGGTGGTCGATAGGACTGGCTGCTGTGGAGCAGGGGGCGGCTCTAGTCTGGGAGGCTGGGGCCGCACAGGAGCCCACGGGGGTAGGGGGAGGCTCAGGCATGGCGGGCTGCAGGTCCTGAGCCCTGCCCTGCGGGAAGACAGCTAAGGCCCGGTGAGAAATTGAGCACAGCAGCTGCTGGCCCGGGTGCTAAGCCCCTCACTGCCCGGGGCCGGTGGGGTCGGCCGGCCGCTTTGATCGCGGGGTCCGCCGAGCCCACGCCCACCCGGAACTCACCCTGGCCCGCAAGCACCGCGCGCAGCCCCGGTTCATGTCCGCGCATCTCACTCCACATCTCCCGGCAAGCTGAGGGAGCCGGCTCCGGCCTTGGCTAGCCCAGAAAGGGGCTCCCACAGTGCAGCGGCGGGCTGAAGAGCTCCTTAAGTGCCGCCAAAGTGGGAGCCCCGGCAGAGGAGGCGCCGAGAGCGAGCAAGGGCTGTGAGGACTGCCAGCACGCTGTCACCTCTCAACACAAATTGACTTGTTTTCAAATAGATTTGGTGATTTTTTTAAATGCAGGTTTTAATTTCAGGCTTCTATTATCACATACCTTTTTTTTAAGATTTACAGTTCTAGGCTGGGTGCGGTGGCTCACGCCTGTAATCGCAGCACTTTGGGAGGCCAAGGCAGGGGATCACTTGAGGTCAGGAGTTCGAGATAAGCCTGGCCAACGTGGTGAAACCTCCTCTCTACTAAAAATACAAAAATTAGCCAGGCGCGGTGGTGGGTGCCCGTAATCCCGGCTACTCAGGAGGCTGAGACAGGAGAATTGCTTGAACCCGGGAGGTGGAGATTTCAGTGAGCCGAGATCGTGCCACTGCACTCCAGCCTAGGTGACACAGCAAGACTCCGTCTCAAAAAAAAAAAAAAAAAAAAAAAAAGATTTACAGTTCTAGTTATAGCAAGCTTTCTGTAACACTGATTGGGTTAGGCAAAGATCGTGTCAGTCATTTTGCAAATGTGTTAATCTTCAAAAATAGGCTGTAAAAGTACAAAACTATGAAAACAGAATATAGATTATGTACATGTGGCTCAGCTGTGAACAGAAAAAAAGGTAAATAGTGTACAGTTTGCTGATACAAAGCACTTCATTGCAGTGCCAGCAGACTGATCTCAAATGAGGTGTCCCTTGTAACACAAGAGCGAAGATTAATTAGTCTGTTCACATACTGGAACAAAGAACTACCTGAGACTGGGTAATTTATGAAGAAAAGAGGTTTTTTGTTGTTGTTTTTTTCTTGAGACGTAGTCTGGCTCTGTTGCCCAGGCTGGAGTGCAGTGGCGCGATCTCGGCTCACTGCAAGCTCCGCCTCCCGGGTTCACGCCGTTCTCCTGCCTCAGCCTCCCGCGTAGCTGGGACTACAGGCGCCTGCCACCACGCCCGGCTAAATTTTTTTGTATTTTTAGTAGAGACGGTGTTTCACTGTGTTAGCCAGGATGGTCTCGATCTCCTGACCTCGTGATCCACCCGCCTCGGCCTCCCAAAGTGCTGGGATTACAGGCATGAGCCACCGCGCCCGAAAAGAGGTTTAAATTGATTCACAGTTCAACACGCTTAACAGGAAGCATGACTGGGAAGCCTCAGGAAACTTATAATCATAGCAGCAGGTGAAGGGGAAGCAAGCATATCTTACCGGACGGACCAGGTCAGAGGGGTGGGGGAGGTGCCACACACATTTAAACGATCAGATCCCCAGATCTAATATCACTATCAGGAGAACAGGAAGGTGGAAACTGCACCCATGATCCAATCACCTCCCACCCAGGACCCTGCTCCAATTAGACGTGAGATTTGGGCTGGGACACAGATCAAACCATATCTCAAGACTTCTATCAAGGACACCTTGCATTGCATAATTAAAATAAAAATAGGATTCTTTTACGATGTTATCCTTGCTCTATGGAGAAGAGCAGGGCCAAACTGTTTATTTTTTAAACAGTTTCTTAGTAAAATATTTTGTGGTTGCTAAACCCATGTACTACTGCATAAACTCAGCCATGGACAGCACATTAAAGAAACAAAAGTTTAAACTCTCTAGGAAGCCAGCTGGTGGACATCCTCTCTAAAGCCCAAATTGCATGTGCACTGAGACAAACGTTGCTGCTTCAAAACAACCAAAATTGGGAAAATAACTGAGGTCCAGAAACAAATTTTCTCTCTCCTGACTCCTCCTCTTCTCTTAATATGGTGGATAGATTCTTTAATGCTCAAAGGCTTTCAAATATAAACAGAAATATCTGCTACTGTTTGTCTAATACACAAGTAATTTTTAAAAATTCACATACTATTTTCACAATATATTAAAAATCACTTTTATTTCCCTCACACGTTTAAATATTTTAATACACACTCATAAAAATTCAGGTCTAATATGTCAAATTATTTTATTTTTAAATGCTAGAAACACCTTAGTACTGTGTTATTGTTAGAAAATGAAACAGCAGGCCGGGCGCGGTGGCTCACGCCTGTAATCCCAGCACTTTGGGAGGCCGAGGTGAGTGGATCACCTGAGGTCAGAGGTTCAAGACCAGCCTGGTCCACATGGTGAAACCCCATCTCTACTAAATATACAAAAATTAGCCGGGCATGGTGGCAGTCGCCTGTAATCCTAGCTACTCGGGAGGCTGAGACAGGAGAATTGCTTAAACCCTGGAGGCGGAGGTTGCAGAGAGCCAAGATCGTGCCATTGCACTACAGCCTGGGCAGTAAGAGCAAAAACGTCACCTCAAAAAAAAAAAAAAAAAAATGAAACAGCAATGTTGTATTCATCAATACCTTACATCAGCGGTTCTCAAACATAAGCGTGTACCAGAATCACCCTCAGGGCTTACTAAAACACAGATTATTGAGCCCTACTTCCACAGTCCCTGACTCATAGGTCTGGAGTAGTCCTAGAGAATTTGTATTTTTAGTAAGATCCTAGGTGATGCTGATGCTGTTGTTCTGAGGACCACATTTTGAGATCTACTGCCTGACACTGAATTCTGTTTCTCACATTTTGTAACCCAGATTTATATTTGAATATTCACATTTCTCTTACGCTTTTTATTCAACAAGATACAGATTTACTCACCCAATCTACTGAGTGGGATTTTTCTTCTTAGACGAGGCGGAGGGTTGGTTTGTGGATAATTCCAAGCCCAAAACCTAAGACTGGGTATGCCTTACAAGATCAATCTATCCCAGTACTTTACCCACTGAACTGGCTTCTGATTACAGTTAGACTTTGTATAATACATCAGGAAATTTCCCAGTGGTTTGCTGTAACCATCTATGGTTCTACTTTTCTTTATTCTGGCCATTTCAATTGACTGGATCTGAATGATTTATATACATAGTCCTGCTCAGATAAAAGCCAGTTTTGCAACCCCTTGTTCTGTGTTGGGCCTGGTGAGTTTCCAATTACTCTAAAGGACTTAGTGACATTGATTTAAATCTTCTTTCTCACATTCATGACCTGCAAAATTCACACAATTCTTGCACAACAAACTATTTAAAACTAATTTTGGGGGGAAAAAAAATTGATCGAATACAGTATATTTTTAAAAACTTTTTTTGGAACAACAAGGGTCTATGTGTGGGGATGTAGCTCAGTGGTAGAGCGCATGCTTTGCATGTATGAGGTCCCGGGTTCGATCCCCGGCATCTCCAATAGGTATTAAGGTTTTAGCGCTGATTCTTGTTCAACGTATGTGCTGCTGAGCAAATCTTCCGCTCACTGTTATTGCCAAGGTCTCTCAGGCCCTGGAGCCTTTTCTGGAAAGTGGGAGGGGTAAGAAAGGAGGTTAGGCAGAAAAAGGATTTGTTTGTTTCCACCTCTGCCCTTTGTTTTTTCAACATCTCTTTCATCTTTTCACAGTGCTTCTAGGTTTCCAGGCGAAAACCAAGTATTTTATTTCTCATTCCTTCTATTTTACAAGTGATCATATATATATATCAGATATATATGATATATATGATATAATATATACCTATATATGATATATATATGATATAATATATACCATATATATATATATATTTTTTTTTTTTTTTTTTTGAGATGGAGTCTAGCTCCGTCACCCAGGCTGGAGTGCAGTGGCGCAATCTCGGCTCACCGCAAGCTCCGCCTCCCGGGTTCATGCCATTCTCCTGCCTCAGCCTCCTGAGTAGCTGGCACTACACCACGCCCGGCTAATTTTTTGTATTTTTAGTAGAGACAGGGTTTCACCGTGTTAGCCAGGATGGTCTCGATCTCCTGACCTCGTGATCCACCCGCCTCGGCCTCCCAAAATGCTGGGATTACAGGCGTGAAACACCGCGCCCGGCCACAAGTGATGATATTTAAAGTCAACTGTTGAATAGAAAGTACATTACTGGGCCGGGCCCGGTGGCTGGGAGGGGAAGGAAACATTTTTTTCCTATAGCAGAAAGATAACTTGTAAATGTAAAATAAATGATGGATTTACAAGATCATCATTTGGCAACCATCATACTTCTAACTGATTCAGGCCAGGATCATCAATGGGTGCTAAATTAAGTTGATAAAAGTTGAATGATAACAGGATATTTACATAGTCTCAAAGTCAGGATACTTATTAATGACAGTGGAGAAACCTGGCAAACACTGTCATAACCAGGTGACCAAAATTAATACCACTGGTAATGGGACAACTGCCATTAAATATCTCCTGGTAAAATGCACTGAAAAGGGCACAATGTCAGCTCTCTGGTATTCCTACCCAAAATACATAAACTAAATCCAATCATGAGGAAATAGCAGACTAACCCAAATAGAGGAATACTTTATAAAATAACTGTCCTGTACTATTTTAAAAATACCAATGTTATAAAAGAAAAAGAAAGGCTACAGAACATGACAATTCAACATATGCTCAAAGATTTTCTTTTGCTAAAAAGGACATTTTAGGGACAATTAGCACAGTCTGAATAAGGCCCATATATTGGACAATAGCATTGTATCAATGTTAATTTCTGATTTTGATCATTGTACTGTGGTTATGTAAGAGGGTGTTTTCCTGTTAGGAAACATACATTGAAGTATTTAGGGGTAAAGGATCATTATATCTACAACTTATTCTTCTTTATTTTTATTTATTATTATTATTTTTTTGAGACAGAGTGTCACTCTGTCGCCCAGGCTGGAGTGCAGTGGCGCTATCTTGGCTCACTGCAAACTCTGCCTCCCGGGTTCAAGCGATTCTTCTGCTTCAGCCTCCTGAGTAGCTGGGACTACAGGCACGCGCCACCACGCCCGACTAATTTTTGTATTTTTAGTAGAGATGGGGTTCCTCCATATTGACCAGGCTGGTCTCAAACTTCTGACCTCGTGATCCACCCACCTTGGCCTCCCAAAGTGCTGGGATTACAGGCATGAGCCACCATGCCTGGCAACTTATTCTTAAATGGCAAATGGTTTAGTATGTGTGCGTGTGTGTGTGTCTGTGTGTATACATGTATATAGGAACTTTTAGCTCATATGTATATTTCATATGTATAAAATATATATGTATACATATATACATATGAGATGTGAGATAACAGTATATCTCACACGTATATGAGATAAAGGCATATCTCATATGTATAAGAGATTAAAAGTATATCTCATATGTATAAAATATATATGTATACATATATATATACATAAGAGATATACATATGAGAGAAGGTCCATATTTGGGAAGATTGAGTGAAGGATGCAACTTTTCTGTAAAAATGAAATTATTTTAAAAGTAAAAATTAAAATAAAAAGAAAAGAATGAGATAGACCTTAGGCTAGTCAAGTTGCTTACCAAAGGTCCACATTTGGTAGTGAAGGATCCAGGACATGCATACAGACTTTGTCACTGACAACTCCATGCTCCTTTCACTCCTGTGCACAGTCAGTCACTTTATTGCCAGCCTTTTCTCTGCATTTATATGTGAACAGATTTTTCTCTGGTGTGACTTGATCCATTGAATGAGCATTGCTCTCACTAGAGGGAGGAAAGCATCTTTGGATTGAGTTGAGAGCCACTTCACTTTTCAATCTGTGGTCCAGTACATAAACTTAGAAGTTGTTTGCTAAGTTTGCACAGAGACTGACTCAGCTCTTTGCTGAGTGTGAGGGGACTGCAAAGCTCTTTTAAGGCTCCTTAGATAATTCACCTTGGGGATGAAAAGACCTTAGAGGACTTGACTCCAGCCTCTCTTATTCTGGCAGCTCGGAACTTTATATAAGAAACAGAATAGAAAGCTAAACTTTCGAGAGAACTCCCAGTAAGCACAACTAAATTCTCATTGAAACCTTAGTGAATTCATCACCATTAAGTAAAGAGAAAGAGGATAGGATTATTTCTTATTAATCAAAAATTAAACAAAGGCATTGATGTACTTGTCTGATGAAGTTTTACTCTTAAAACATTTGGAAAAGGAGTCATTTGTGAGCAATAACTCCCCTGAGGTTGCAGATATAGGCTTTTTCTCAATTGGGGGGTTTTCCCCCTAAAACTTGATGCCAATTCCTTTTAAGTATTTCTTACATTTATACTTTCTCCACTTCTGATTATGTTACTGGTTATCTGCTTTTCTAGTTAATTTTAAATTTATTTTCTGAAAAGAACACAATAAATAGGAGAATACATCTGAAACCTTATATTTTTTTCTTCACTCATAATTTTTGAAATGTGTTTATGTTCAATTACACATGGATTTTGGTTGCTCTTAATATAAAATTAAAACTCCTTGGCATGGCCTCTAAAATTCTGACACAGTTTGGTCCTATCCTTCTGCATCCCATCTCTCAGGCTGCTTGCCCATGGCCTTCCCACTGTACTCATACCAGCTTTTTTCCAGTCCAATGCACTTTGTCCAACTTCCTCTGCCTGGGTTTTCCTATGCTCTGTCTCCCTTTCCTATGCTGTCCTCTTTCTTTGCAACTGAAGACTCTCTTCTTATCTCCCTGATGAAACCAAATCCCATCGGTGTGTTCTAAATCACAGTCATTCTTTTTTTGCAGCACTTATCATAGCCACAATGTTATGTTTGTCATTATATAAATAACTTCTATCCATTCACCCACCCCCAACTAAGCTCTTATCTCCTTTGGGATAGAGACCAGGCCTGTTCAGTTTACCTTTCCACACCTTGGTGTGAGTAGGCATAGAATTAATAATTTTGGGAATGAATGAGGGGATGACTAGAGTTCCGTAATTATCACATAAAACAGATGAAGGCATATCTTCCACTGCTTGAAGTTAGCTTTAAGAGGTGTTTATGGACCACATAGAATTCTTTTCAGAATTCACTTCAGTGATCTCACATCCAGAAATATAACTTTTTGAAACTGGCATGCTGGCTCAGAGTCATAACACTCCTGTTGGGAAATCTGCTTCTAATAACCCACTTTAAATCAACCAAGGGAAGGGAGTGATAGTACTATAAAAATCAATGTCAAGAAATAAAATATGACCCCTGTCCCTAAAACAGCTTATTTTTTCTGAACATTCATTTGCGATTTACTGTTTATTGATTTATGAAAGTCATGGATTTTTTTCAGTGGCACATGGACACCCAAGAACTTAAGGAGGTCAGAGAAAATCTCAAAAGAATATGCAAAATTTGTCCGTAAGTCTGTGTGTGTGTGTGTCTGTGTGTTTATAGACAAAAGTTTTTTTTAGATAATGTAATGAGTTCATGTGCCATAAAATTTTAAGAACCATTATTCTAAATCACACTGGATACTGTTTGTTTTTATAAATAATATTATTTGTTACTTAAGACTTTGACTTAAATAACTTTGACTTAAGTAACTGAGAAATATTGGATTTAAATATTAGCTTGATTATCAGCTGTAAGATTTGGGCAAGTTTATTTCCTTCTGATACTTCATTTTTAATCTGTAAAATTGGCATAATAATGTTTACTTCAGTGAATATTCTAGGAATTAAAAGCATGTGAGAAAATACACAAAGTGCAACTTAGTAAATGTTCCATAAATTGCAACCATTTTTCATCCATGTGGACTTTAAGCAAGGTTAACATGGAGTTTGAGAAACCAGAAGAATATATTTTTAATGTTTTGAATTAAAAGTTTTACAATTTTATTTTAGAGATTTTTTATCCGTGATTGAACTTGAACCCCTGAGTTTGGTGAAATTCCAATATAACTGTCTGGGAGATCATCAGAAACTAATAGTCTTTGAGGATGCAGGTGTAATGAAGAGAGATTGGAGAGATTAAAGCTCTATGCAGTGGACTTGATATTGTGATTAAGGATTATAGACTAAAAATTGTGATAAATTTACAAAAACAGACGGCCCTTATTAAAGGGGGAAAGAAAAAAAAACACGCACACCCTAAGGCCCCGCTGGGATTCGAACCCAGGATCTCCTGTTTACGAGACAGGCGCTTTAGCCAACTAAGCCACAGAGCCAGCCGTGCAGATTCTGTGGCTTCTTTTATGACCGAATTGCACTTAATTAGGTGACAAATTCTGTTGCCATTAAGAGTTACTGTGTTTTCGAATACATCAACTTTGCAGTAAAGGCAGACTCCTGAAAGGAACTTCTAGAAATTAGACTCCCTTCAAGTCCAACAAAACACACCCACACTCACACAATCACTTAGAAAATGTGCTTAGAACAATGTCAGCGCGTCCCAGAGGGCAAATAAAACCGTGAAATCGGAGAGTGGAGATGAACCGTGTTCCCAGCGGAGGAAGAGGCATCGGTCTCTAGACGTGGCGAGAGCAGTTTTTACATTCCATGGCATTGCGGTGATTTCGAATCATCAAGTGGTTGGATTCTAAAAGTGGAGTGAAAAGCTTTTCTAGCAAAACAGATCATTCAGAATTTTCATCACATTAATGGCTTTTCTGGCCAATTAGAAGATAGCACACGGATGCGCTGAAAAACAAAAACTGTTAACGCGTTCAGACTCTCCAAACAGCTGCCAGATCACTGCTTTAGAGAAAGCAGGCGACAGCTGGGAGGCGACCTGGTCGGAGCTCACTTAACGGTTTTGTATTTCAAATCCAAAGAGACTTTGCCTGCTCGAGGCTTGTGTTCCCGCGGCTCCTGAGAGGGGGCACAGATGGAAACCAGAAGGGGAGGCGTCACCGGACAGGGTCTTTCCTAATTCTGCCTTCCTCATTTTGGTTCTTCAAGCTTCAATTAGATGTTTCCTAATATCTTCCTTATGGATCCGCACCTTGTAGAAGCTAAACAAACATTAATTGATTGAAAAATCCCCAAATTAAGATCCATTCTGAAACTGTTAACGATTGTATCCTAGTTTTCTGCCTTTGCTTAGTACTGAGGCTGGTGCCAAAGTGAGGGAGTGAGTTCACCAAATAAAGCAAGCGTCTCTGCACATTACCCAGCTTCCCCGCCATGTTAAAAAGACAACAGGGAGGACTACAAAATTCCCTATTTAACCTGGCAAAGGCTGTAAGGGGCTCTGGGCCGGATAATGCCCTTGAATCCTAAAGTCTTTCTTAATTCCTCTCTTGAGCCAAAATTTGGAGCATTGCCATTTCGTATCCCATTCAGAATGTTTTTGTAGTGAATATAAACTTATTTTCCTGTTAACCAAGATAGTCACGTTTTAATTTAATATAGATTAACAAACTGTTATGATTAGACCTGTACTAACAGTTACTGTATTAAGAGTTACTGTATATTTACTGAGTTTGGGAAGCAACATCCCCCAAAATCATAAGGACCAGGAATCATAGCCTTTCTGAATTTGAATCAGCTGAATTGTTTATGATCAGGATTGTACTAACTTCAGTTACTAAAATATAACTGGGATGGCATCATGTCCAGGGAAATATTGTTCAAGTTTTTTCCAACAAGAACGATGTATTGAATACCTACTATGTGTCAGGCATTGAAATAACTTCTGTAGACACAACTAGGCACAAGGTAGCCAGATGATAAAAATCAAACAAGAAACAGTATCACAATAAAAGAAGTACAATGTGATAGTTGAGTGCCTAGCAGGTCCCAGTAATCAAGTTCAAAGCATAATACTTTGTTTTAGGTATATTTCTGACATTGCCCAGTTCAACTAATTTTAAAATTTCTTTTTGACTTTTGCTGGAAAAAGTCCTAATAGATTTTTCCCCCCTAATGTCACAATTAGTACTTGAACACACCTAGAATACGTTCAAGTTAATCCAAGATATTTAAACAAAATAAAGAATATGGCTGGGCGCAGTGGCTCATGCCTATAATCCTAGCACTTTGGGAGGCTGAGGCAGGCAGATCACCTGAGGTCAGGAGCTGGAGACCAGCCTGTCCAACATGGTGAAACCCCGTCTTTACTAAAAATACAAAAATTAGCCGGGCATGGTGGTGGGCGCCTGTAATCCCAGCTACTCAGGAGGCTAAGGCAGGAGAATTTCTTGAACCCGAGAGGTGGAGGATGCAGTGAGTCGAGATCACACCACTGCACTCCAGCCTGGGCGACAGAGTGAGACTCCGTCTCAAAAAAAAAAAAAAAAAAAAAAATTATTGGACCTCGTGAGACTTACTACCACGAGAACAGTATGGGGGAAACAGCCCTTATGATTCTATTATCTCCCACTGGGTCCCTCCCGCAACATGTGGGAATTATGGGAGCTATAATTCAAGATGAAATTTGGGTGAGGACACAGCCAAACCATATCACTAGCCCAGTGGGATCCTCCTCCAAATAGAGTTGCACTCAAAAAGAAAAAAAAAAATATGTGAGTGAATTGAAAGGCTAAATAATTCACATGAGATCTCCAGCCAATTTGATGCAAAAGTGCTCAACTAACATCAGAATCCAAGACAGCTGACTGAGGGATATGAATATCAATACTGGAGCGTGGGGATTTGTCACAACTGCAGTGACTTCATATTACCCTCAGTTATGCTTTCTTTGTTGAGAATAGGGTGATTTACTATACTACTAGTTAGTAGCTGTTAGTCCCCTGAAAATTCATGTTTAAATCCTACCCTCAGTACCTCAGAATGTGATCTTATTTGGAAATAAGGTAATCAAAGAGGTAATTAGTTAACTTGAAGTCATACGGAGTAAAGTGAACCCCTGATTCAATATAACTGGTGTTCTAATAAAAACGGGAAATTTGTCTGGGTGCGGTGGTGGCTCACGCCTGTAATCCCAGGACTTTGGGAGGCGGAGGTGGGTGGATCACCTGAGGTCAGGAGTTCAAGACCAGCCTGGCCAATATGGTGAAACCCCATCTCCACTAAAAATACAAAAATTAGCCGGGCGTGGTGGCAGGGGCCTGTAATCCCATCTACTCGGGATGCTGAGGCAGGAGAATCACTTGAACCTGGGAGGCGGAGGTTGCAGTGAGCCAAGATCACGCCATTGCACTCCAGCCTGGGGACAAGAGCGAGACTTCATCTCAAAAAAAAAAGTAGGGGGATGGAAATTTGAACATACACACACATGCAGGGAGAATACCATGTGAACATGAAGGCAGAGATTTGGTGATGCATCCACAAGGAATTTCAAAGATTGTCAGAAAACCACCAGAAACTAGAGGAGAGGCCTGAAACAGATTCTCCCTCACAACCCTCAGAAAGAACAAACCCCGCTGACACCTCGATCTTGGACTTCTTGCCTCTAGAACTGTGAGATTATAAAGTTCTGTTGTTTGAGCTGCCTAGTTTGTGTTATTTTGTTATAGCAGCCCGAGGAAACTATTGCAGTAAGCAGCATCCTCTGAGAAATGACTAAGTTGTGTCCTAAGATTTTCCCCAAACTTTATTAAAATGAACTTATTTAAAAAGAAAACTAGTAAATAAGAGGTGAGGTGAAGTAAGTATGACAGGTTCATATGCCTAATTAAAAAGCTGAACAAAAATTTGAGTTCAAAGATAGAAGAAAATAAAAGGCACAAGGAAAAGTATGTGTCAGCTTAGCTATCCCAGTCCATAGTTTCTGAGAACAACCAGAGGTGGGGATAAGCAAGGACCACTCAGAAAGGGAGTATCTCACAGGTGTGTGGGAAGAAGAGAGCTTGAATCTGGGAAAAAAAGTTAAGCTAAGAATAGGAATTAGAAAGGATGGAAACCGAAGGATAGAATAGGGATGGTAGAGGAAGAGGCCATCGTAGGAGGTGGTAAAAGCAAAGACTGTGAGCTAGGAGAACAAAGCTGGCTGGATCCTGAGGGTAGTGAGTTACTATAGTGAGTGTAGTGAATGAGTTGAGGTGGGGGAAAGTAAGAGCATCTGGAGAACAGAAGATGGAGATGAATGTGATCTGAGATTAAGGTGGGAAAGTAATTTAGGAATAAGGGATGGAGTGGGTGCACTGGAGAAGGTATTTTGAGGGAGGACACAGAAGTGAGAGGCACAGGTGGTGGCTATAGAAGGGGCCCTACAGAATGGGTGGGCTTAAGGAGAAGCTAGAGAAATGCAAGTTGGGAACACCAAATCAGCTAGAGGAATAAGACTGTCAGTCAGTGGAAAGCAGGCAATTGGCAGGTATCTATGCTAAAGTGTTGGGCATTTTGCCCTAATAAAACTTCGTCATGAGATTGAAGTGCCATTCAGTGTCTAGTGAATAAGGTTGGTATACCATGTGTACACCATCTACATTCACCAGTGATTTTAATACAGCATTTGTGACACTGGGTTACCAGAAAGTCCTTTCAAACTTCTCTAATGGTAGCTTTGACATTAGCAACTCAGCACAGTACCCCAGTGTGGTCCTTTTCCAGCCTGAAAAGGCTATGTTTGAGTGTGGATTTCACCACAATGAGGCAAGAGAAAGTAAAAGTACTTACTAACAGTTAAGCACAGTAGAATTGCTAGTCCTATATCAAATGGATTGGCTTTTGAGAAGAAATTGCATTATGTCAAGTAGCCTAGGAATATGAATATTAGATCATCACACTTTGGATTACTACTCAAGTGAAATAGTTATTTGAACTATAAACATGCATTAAAAATCTTGATGAACAACCAGATATAACTGAAGGAAAGATGAAGTACTTGACATTTAAAGGTAGAAACACAGTTACATGCCACATAAGGACATTGTAGTCGACAATGAGCCACATAGATGACAGTGGTCCCATAAGACTGATTATAATAGAGTTGAAAAATTCTGATCACCTAATGACATTGTAGCTGTGGTAACATAGCCCAGTGCATTATTCACATGTTTATGGTGATGCTGGTTTAAACAAACCTACTGCTCTGCCAGTTGTGTAAAAATATAGTACATACAATTATGTACAGTACATAATACTTGATAATGATAATAAATGACTATGTTACTGGTTTTGTATTTACTATACTATACTTTTTATTGTTATTTTACAGTGTACTCTTTCTACTTATTACAAAATAGTTAACTGTGAAACAGCCTCAGGCAGGCCCTCACAAGGGATTCTTGAAGGCATTGTTATCATAGGAGATGACAGCTTCCTACTTGGTATTGCCTCTGAAGAACTTGCAGTGGAACAAGATTTGGAGGTGGAAGATGGTGATATTGATAATCCTGACCCTGTCTAGGCCTAACCTAATGTGTGTGTTTGTGTCTTCATTTTTTAAAAAAAAAAGTTTTAAAAGTTAAAAAAAAAAAAAAAGCTTTTCAATAGAAAAAAGCTAATGGAATATAGATATAAAGAAAAAATGTTTTTTGTACAGCTTTACAGGTGTTTGTGGTCTTTTGGATTTTTTGTCTGTTTGTTTTTGTTTTTTGAGACGGAGTCTTGCTCTGTCACCCAGGCTGGAGCGCAGTGGCGAGATCTTGGCTCACTGCAACCTCCGCCTCCCGTGTTCAAGCGATTCTCCTGCCTCAGCCTCCCGAGTAGCTGGGATTACAGGCGCCCGCCACCACATCTGGCTAACTTTTGTATTTTTTAAAATTTTTAGTAGAGACAGGGTTTCACCATGTTAGCCAGGCTGGTCTCAAACTCTTGACCTCCAGTGATCAGCATGCCTCAGCCTCCCAAAGTGCTGGGATTACAGGCATAAACCACCATGCCAAGCCAGGTGTTTGTGTTTTAAGCTAAGTGTTATTACAAAAGAGTCAAAAAGTTTTTAAAAATTAAGTTTATAAAGTAAAAAAGTTACAATAAGTTAAGGTTAATTTATTATTGAAGAAATAAATACTTTATAAGTTTCGTGTAGCCTAAGTGTATAGCATTTATAAAATCTACAGTAGTGTACAGTAATGTCCTAGGTCTTCACATTGACTCACCACTCACTCACTGACTCACCAAGAACAACTACTACCAGTCCTGCAAGACACATTCATGGCAAGTGCCCAGTACAAGTGTACCATTTTAATGGAGTGCAATGGCGCAGTCTCAGCTCACTGCAGCCTCGACCTTTGGGCTCACTTGATCTTCCCATCTCAGCCTCTTGAGTAGCTGTGACCACAGGCGTGTGCCACCACACCCAGCTAATTTTTGTATTTTGTAGAGATGCGGTTTCACCATGTTGCCCAGGTTGGTCTACAACTCCTGGGCTCGAGCGATCAACCCGCCTTAGCCTCCCAAAGTGCTGGGATTACTGTCGTGTCCCACTGTTCCTGGCCCCATTTTTATCTTTTATACCACATTTTTACTGTACCTTTCGTATGTTCGGATACACAAATACCACTGTATTGCAATTGCCGACGGTATTCAGTTCAGCAACATTCTGTACAGCTTTGTAGCCTAGGAGCAATAGGCTATACCATACAGCCTAGGTGTATAGTCAGCTATATCATCTAGGTTTGCATAAGTACACTCTGTGACGTTCGCACAATGACGAAATCATCCAACAATGCATTTCTCAGAACATTTGCCCCTTATTGACACACGACTGTATAAAGATTTTTATCTTTGGCCGGGCGCGGGGCTCACGCCTGTAATCCTAGCACTTTGGGAGGCCGAAGCTGGCGGATCACAAGGTCAGGAGATTGAGACCATCCTGGCTAATACGGTGAAACCCTGTCTCTACTAAAAATACAAAAAATTAGCCGGGCGTGGTGGTGTGCCTGTACTCCCAGCTACTCGGGAGGTTGAGGCAGGAGAATGGCGTGAACCCGGGAGGCGGAGCTTGCAGTGAGCTGAGATCGTGCCACTGCACTCCAGCCTGGGCTACAGAGCAAGATTCCATCACAAAAAAAAAAAAAAAGAAGATTTTTATCTTATGAATATCTATTATTGGAGATATCTCTGAGAAAAATTTACCCACTTGAACAACAACAATAGATCCAATATGATTTTAAATGACAACAATATAAATGTAAAATGACATTATAAATATAAAATGACTACAAAATAAATACATAGCCATATCATAAGGGAAATAAAGAGAGGAAGAAATCTCCAAAAAAAAAAAAAAAAAAAACCACCAAACACAACCAAACAAAAACCCACCAGTAATTCAAGTCCAGCATAGTAAGTGCATGAAGTAAAACCATTTAACCCAGAGGCACAGACAGAAGCCTTAGTCAAAGATGGCAGCTCTACCTTAGTGCTTCCAGAGCCAGAACTCATGGCCTGGGGCCTATTTTGGGGCAGAGATACAGAACTGAGTCTCCTGCAGGAGGCTGGGAGACTCCAGAGGCTTTCCCACGGTGGAGACGCTCTTAGCTCTTAGGGAAAATAAGAGTCAAAGCAGTATCTCGGTATCCACTGGCCCTTTAGTCATAGACATATGAGCAGTTCGCAGACATTTTAAAAGTCAAGGGCCGGTGGAGGTGATGTAACTTAATCTCACCAGGTACAGTTCTGCCAAGTAGAGAGAAGCTTCTATTTTATGTTTTGTCTTTCCAAAATTGTCCCAGGACTAAGAAATCAGAATTGCCACTCCTTGAGATCCCTGCTTTGCAAAGCTAGGTATTGGGGAAAAAAGCCGATCCCTTAAGAATTCAGGGCCTTCTGGGATAGAAGAAATAGACCCTTAAACTCTGTTCCCCCATAAAATTTGAGGTTATTTGCCAGTGGTCTGAGATGGCTCTGACCTCATCTTAAAGCAAGGGAAGACAATTGAAATAAACTTATCTCATGGAAAAGGGAAATTGATAACTTGGGACTGTCTTACTAAGGAAAGGCTTGTTTTAATTGATCGTATAACTCTGGGTTCCTGATAGGAAAATTTAAAAAATTTTAAACAATATTTCAAAAGATCGCTATTTTAATTGGTAAAACCAGACCTAATTTTCTGTAGCTTTTCTGCCGAAAGAATATTAAGAGAAGCAAAAGGAAGAAAGAAAAGGGGCAATTTTCTGAAAACATAAAAATAAGCGGACAGCTGAAACCTGGAGAAAAATCTTTTATTTGCTGGTCCTATTCCTTAGCATTGAAAAGCTAAAAAGACTCCTTTTTGTTACCAGAATGAAACTGCTCTGAGCCTCCATTTAGTGGTTGCTACAGTCTTGTGCTAGAGAAAATTAGATGTGAATCAAGGTTATTTAGTGAGGAATATAATTTATTATTTTCATGTTAAAGAGAAATGAGATACAGCAGACCTACAACATAATGTAGGAAAATCTTCACACGGTTTATTCTTAGGCTGTGATCAATAACCTCAGTAATTTGAAATAAAATACATCATGGTGGGTAGACAGAAATTTAACAGTGATTCTCTCTTCTTTCTTGTCTGTATTGGGCAAACCTGGGAAAGTTTAAACATTCAAGGGAGGAAATCTGGCAGTGTTTGGCAAGAATCTCTAAAATACGAAGTAAGTTATAACCTGTGGTCAACTGGGATGAAAGGCAGACTTTGGGTACCGCCCTACCCTGCGACAATATAAAGGACCTAAGAGAAAGATGGTAGATGGGAAGGGGAAGACAGTTACATGTTACGCACTGAAAATTCAAATAAATAAATAAATAACTATAAATCTGTCACTTAAATTATTTGCTGAAGGAATAAATGGAAGACTCAGGCTTTCTGTGACCAAAATAAAAGAATCTATTTTTTTTTCTTGGAGGGGATATAAAGCATGCATAGCTTTAACCTGTGGGTAGCTGAAGTATTAAATCAATGAAATGTGTAACTTCTCCAGGTCTCTTATATGAAATAAATTTAGGGAACTGATGGGGGAAAGAGTGGCACTGAGGGCCACTGGGGGCAGACATTAGGAGCAGAGTGGGGACGGAAATTTCAGTTAAGAAACATTCTCCAAGACCCTCCATTTCTGAATGCTTTTCTCATTTGTAAAAAGATTTTCAGGACAAAGGAAAGATCCTTCCAGAAAAGATAGAAAATGTTTTGCCAACGACTGTTTTTACTTAGGGAAACTACTGAACTGCCCCCCGATTCCTAACCGCATCTCTGCATTGTCCCAAGTTGGAAGTTGAGACTAAAGCACCAAGATACAAGAGACGCGGCATCCCAAAAGGAGATTTTTGTGTATTCTGCGAAATACACAAAAGGGCTAGCCAAAGAAAGTCCTCACACACGTGCATGGTATAAAAGCACCAGCTTTAAAAAGAGAAGTGTTTTTGTTTTTTTGTTTGAGAAGCATAATTGAAGTGAGCAGTTTTAGAATCAGTGCAGCAAATTTAGAGATTTCAAAAGAGATCAATATAGAAGGGATCAAATCCACACAATCATGGGAACGCTATGAACTCACTGGCAAAATGCAGTCACTGAAGGAAAAACGTCAGTGTCAAAATGCTACTATTTCACCTCTTTGTGTACGATTTCTGAGAGAACTGCCACGTTTGGAGATGCTAAATTTACCCAATGCCTTCGTAGCCTCCGGCCTGGGAAGAGTACATTTTCTTTCCTGCGAGCTTGAGGAGAAATCCATATTTTTCCCACTAAGCCCCAAAAGGTGAAACCTGAGACCGGACCTCAGCCTACCGTTGGATCCCCCACCACAAACCCAGCAGCAAAACTCAGTGAAAAGATGAATTCGTTCACAAAACATCCATTTAGGATTTTTATTGATAATTGTCCTTTTATTGGTAAATGTTCCTTCCAGCACCGCCCTAATGGAACAGGGTCCAAAGTCACTCATCATATGTAAATGCGGCTGAGAATGGAGAGGAATAAATTTTTTTTTCTTTTTCTTTTTTTTTTTCGAGGCGAAGTCTCTCTCTTGTCCCCTAGGCTGGAGTGCAATGGCGCGATCTCGGCTCACTGCAACCTCCGCCTCGCAGATTCAAGCGATTCTTCTGCCTCAGCCTCCCAAGTAGCTGGGATTACAGGCGCCTGCCACCACGCCTGGCTAATTTATGTATTTTTAGTAGAGACGGGGTTTCACCGTGTTGGCCAGGCAGGAATGAAATTTTAAAAATGAAAGAGCTACAGGCGTAACCAAAGCAAGATATAAATACGGGAGTGGGGGCAATATGATTAATTTTCCGATTCTACAGAAATAGGCTGTGACTGTATCTGTAAAAGAAAGACGGTTCCGGAGCATAAATACAAAAACACTGGAGATGCTGGGGATCGAACCCGGGACCTCATGCATGCTAAGCATGCGCTCTACCACTGAGCTACATCCCCACCTCGAAAAACATTCGTCTTTAAACTGCTTTTATGAAAGAATATAGAAATTTACCTCAGTTTTTTTTTTTTTTTTAAACATTTATTTATTCTTTCATGAACGAACGTTAAAATTTTCATTTCCCCTTTTTGTAGCCCTCTATCACCAAGAAATTTTGATTAACCAGCATCTTGCAGACATTTGGTAAGGATTAAGAACAGACTAGAGGAGGAAATTTCAGTTAAGAAACATCCTCCCAGACCTTCCTTTTCTGAATGCTTTTCTCATTTGTAAAAAAGATTTTCAGGACACAGGAAAGATCCTTCCAGAAAAGATAGCAAATGTTTTACCAACTACTGTCTTTACTTAGGGAAACTACTGAACTGCCTCCAATTCCTTACCCCATCTCTGCGTCCTATTCCCAAACTCCAGAAACCGCTACACGCCTTTTCTTAGAAAACAAGGAGGTAGTGAAGGAATTTCTGTTATAAAAATAAACTCGTTCCACTCCGTTAGCAACTGGGACGGTTAAAGGCTAAAGATGTTGGATTGCCTCCCGCGGCCCCCTGATCCGCATTTTATCCAGAGAATACAAATAAAATCCAGAGAGTAGGAATCCTCAGATCCTACTCTGATTCTTTGAAATGAAGAGCCCAGAATGAAGTTGGAGACGTGTTACTTCTAAGATCGAGGCTAAATCTCTGCTTCTGTGGCGCATTATTTTCTGTAGAGGGAATGGTTCTCTCTACAGAAAATGTAGAGATGGTTCAGACTCCTGTCTCACCAAGGGAACAGAGAAGGCTTTATACCTGCGTAGAGAGTGCAGAAGTCCTCGGTTACAGTCACCTGTGACCGAATCTGGAAGGATGGATAGGAATGCCAAGTAGAAATGAGGGAAGGGCTGTGCTTGGGAGTGTTCAGAACGGTTGGAGTTGGGAGAAGGAGCAAGGTGGGGAGGAGGCTCTAAAAGGTAGCTTGGCAAGATGACACCAGCAATTCTCACCCTACCTTGCACTTACAGCATCCAGAACTAAATGCTTTTCCAGAGCCGCCAGAACTAAATGCTTGTCCAGAGCCTTCAGAACTAAATGCTTGTCCAGAGCCTCCAGAACTAAATGCTTGCACTTACAGCCTCCAGAAATAAATGCTTGTCATTTAAGCCACCCAGTTTATGGTATTTTGTTATAGCAGCCGGAAGTGACTAAAAGGTGGAGTTTGTTAAAGGAATGGACATGTGTCAATGAATATTATAAAATTCATTAATCTCATGCAACATATTAGAGGATTAAAAGAGGGAAAAACATGTAATAATCACAACACTTTCAGAAAAGTTTTCTCACTGCTGAGTGGAAAATGGAAGTAATAGTACTAAATATCTTTTCCAGATCTGACATTCACATAATTAATCATGCACTACTCTAGACCCCAGTACACACCTGGAAGGTAAGGAACAAATCTAACAAAAGACTCAGACAACCATTAACACCTCTGCTTGGAAACAAGATTTTTTTGGAATCATAGTGTGTCTTCTTGTTTCTTCCAACATGATTCACTTTGAACTTTAAATCTGATAAGTGTGGGAAGTGAAAACCTCTGGCCAGGATAGAGTGACAGGAACCAGAGTTACTATTCCACCTGAATCAACCAAAAATTTCTAAAATGGCAAAATGTGAAACAATGAACATTAGGCAATGAAGGACAGTGATCTCTGAGAAATGCGAAACAAGATGAGCACAACGAATGCCTCAGCTTACTGCCTTCAGAGGTATCTCCAGGCCACCACACAGGTGTTATGGTTAATTTTATGTATCAACTAGACTAGGTTAGAATGCAGAGTTGCTTGGTCAAACTCTTGGTCAAAGTTTCAGAGTTGCTTGGTCAGAGTTGCTTGGTCAAACATCAGTCTAGAAGTTTCTGTGAAGGTGTTAGATGTGATTAAGATTTAAATCAGTAGACTTTGCCTAGGTTGGGCACTATGGCTCAGGCCTGTAATCCCACCACTTTGGGAGGCAGAAGCAGGAGTATCACCTGAGAATAAGACCTGCCTGGCCAACCTGGTGAAACCTGTCTCTACTAAAAATACAAAAATTAGCTAGGCGTGGTGGCACATGCCTGTAATTCCAGCTACTCAGGAGGCTGAGGCATAAAAATCGCTTGAACCCGGGAGGCGGAGGTTGCAGCTAGCTGAGATTGCATCTGTTCCAGCCTGGGCAACAGAGAGAGACTTTGTTTCAAAAAAGAAAGTAGACTTTGAGTATAGCAGATTACCCTCTATTGTGTGGATGGGCCTTACCCAATCAGCTGACTTGAAAGAAAAGGGAAAACAAGAGGACTGAATTCTACCTCCAGGCTGCCTCCAGACTCAAGACCACAACATTTGTTAACTATCGGCATGATGTTCCCTAACAAATCCTAAAAGCAAGACCTTAACAATTTCTTAAAAAGGAATCCATTCACTGCACTGATTTGGGAAATATAAGTTTAAATCATTCTTTCTTTTTAATAGATAGTTGACTATTCTTTGGTAAGAGAGGAAGGCAGGCCTCCCTTTACCACAATCACTTGAAATAATTGTATGGGATAACCAGAATTCCCTATCTCAGAGAGCAAAAAGCAGGACCTTAGAGTGCACTGAGAATACTGATGATGTGAGTTGTTTCAAGAATCAAGAAGGGAATTTCTGGTGGATATATTTTGAGGTGTATTCATTCCATGGTATAGGCATTCTTGTCTTGTCGTAAAAGCTGCCACCAAGACTTTGATGCCAGAATTATTTTGAAAAATATATATCACATCATGTCACATATGTATCAATAGGTTCATATTGTGCCATCATGTCTGGAAAACCGTCTTAGCTACTGAAAAGAATGTTCCCCTGAACTGGAAGGGCAAGGGAGAGAAGGACGCCACTAGGAGTAGATTGAAAAAATATCTGAACAATAAGGAGTCAATCATATAAAGATAAGGAAATGGAACATTCCATGGAGAAAGAAGAGATAAGGTAACAAGCTCTCTGGTAGAAATTAACTTAGTTGGTTCAAAAATTATAAAAAAGGAAAGTGTGATTGAAGTTTGATAAATGATTCTAGAGGCTAGACACTGTAGAACTTTGTAAAGGCAAATAAGAGTTGGAATTTTATGCTAAAGGTAGTGAAATGGAGGGTGCTACTTTGGTTGTTTACCTAACATTCAGTCCTTCTTCCTTGTAAAATTTTAATTGTCTTCAGAGGGTGATGTGCCTCATCACAGGGGATGAATCATAATGTAATTAGGGCATGGTTCTTAACCTTAACTGAACCAATACTCTCTCTTTACAACAAGTTTTTTGCAGCACATCAATTAATATCCTGAAATAAAAGTGATAGTTAATGTAAACTAGCTACAGATACAATTTTTCTTTCAAATTTGTAAGACTCCTTAACTGGTATACATATGAGAAATAAAAAGATAGTAATTCAAAATGGGTAATAAGACAACATATATTTCCTTATGGAAGTGGTAGGGAATTACAATCTTTTTAATACTCTCAGCAAAACCAATAAATGACTATTTTAGAAAACATTATACAGTCAAGTTCTTGTACCTTTCAAAAGAATTAGTTTGAATGAAACAGTAATGAAGGCACAGGTATGTAGTGTTGGATGTTTAAAGCCAAGAGCCATGCTTGCCTTGCCAAACTGATTTGTTAATATGGTAAACAATTTTTTTTTTTTTTGAGATGGAGTTTCACTGTCTCACCCCAGCTGGAGTGCAATGGCATGGTCTTGGCTTACTGCAACCTCCGCCTCCCGGGTTCAAGTGATTCTCCTGCCTCAGCCTCCCGAGTAGCTGGGTGCCATCATACCCGGCGAATTTTTGTAGAGACGGGGTTTCACGATGTTGTCCAGGCTGGTCTCGAACTCCTGACCTCGTGATGCGCCCGCCTCAGCCTCCCAAAGTGCTGGAATTACAGGCGTGAGCCACCGCGCCCAGCAGGTTAACAATTTTTAATAAGTTCCAAACAAAGTACTATGAAACATTTCCACAATTTACAAAGTAGTTACATTCCTGGATTATTTGCTGTATGTGAAAAGTGTGGCCGGGCGCGGTGGCTCACGTCTGTAAGCCCAGCACTTTGGGAAGCCGAGGCAGGTGGATCACCTGATGTCAGGAGTTCGAGACCAGCCTGGCCAATATGGTGAAACCCCGTCTCTACTAAAAATACAAAAAAATTAGCCAGGCATGGTGGCGCACACCTGTAGTCCTGGCTACTCGGGGGGCTGAGGCAGAAGAATCGCTTGAACGCGGGAGGCGGAGGTTGCAGTGAGCCGAGATCTTGCCATTGCACTCCAGCCTGGGCAACAGAGTGAGACTCGGTCTCAAAAAAAAATTAAAAAATTGTTCAGAAATAAATAACTTGTGTTTATACATAAAACAAAGGTTCAGAAACTATAAACGGGTTAGTTGTTTTTTTTCTTACCTGCATGAATTTTCCAGAAACCATATAAAAGTCTTGCAGAATGTACAACCATTTTTGTTATGAGGAATTGCTGTGTTTATTTGTAAGATACTCTTACCCCTTTCCATTAGATGTCTGTAGCAGCCACTAGTCTCTGTGAAAATCAACCCCTCTAAAAATGTCCAAGTAGAACTGTCCTGAGAAACGCTTATTCAATTATTATCATCTATTTCTTGTTTATAGCAATTGATTTAGAAATGAGTATGAGACACTGTTGTGGCTGACGCAATGTAAGTACAGCCTTCCTGAGAGGTTTCTGGGACAAGTATTTCTCTTGTTAGAAGACAAATGTGCTAAGGAAGAATGTTCTTTGCTTTTGCCTTTACTTTCTTGCTTCAGAAACACTACTTTGAAGACAAAACACAGTGTTTGGAGCTACTGTGATCATGAAAGAGACACTCTTGACACTTAAGGATGACAGAATGAAAATGTCGCTGGAAAAAAGAAGGGCCTGATCCAGATCCCAAGAAAGGGTTCTTGGATCTCACCCAGGAACGACTTCAAGATGAGTCTTGGAGCTACTCCATTACCAAGTAGGGTGTCAGAAAGCAGGAGGAGGAACGTACTATCCTTTGTTAGTTTCTTTACTTATAAGAAACTCTGAGGGGCCGGGCGTGGTGCCTCACGCCTGTAATCCTAACGCTTTGGGAGGCCGAGGCGGGCAGATCACCTGAGGTCAGGAGTTCAAGACCAGCCTGACCAATATGGCAAAACCCCATCTCTACTAAAAATACAAAAATTAGCCAGGTGTGGTGGTCTGCGCCTGTATCCCAGCTACTCAGGAGGCTGAGACAGGAGAATTGCTTCAACTTGGGAGGCGGAGGTTGCAGTGAGCAGAGATCATGCCACTGCACTCCAGCCTGGGCGACAAAGTGAGACTCCTTCTCAAAAAAAAAAAAAGCAGACAAAAAACTATGAGGAGCTATAATTAAACTTGTAATATGTAGATGTGCTTACTAAAGGTAGGGGCTATTGTTTCTATCAATGACCATTAATCCTTCAACTCATTAAGCCTGCTCATTAACGTTATCTTTCAGTAAAGTGGGCTGTACTTTTAGGACATCTCGACATTCTGCAGGCTTGGTGGGAGGTGTTCTGTATGACCCATAAATATTCTGCAATTACAATTGGTGGTCAGATTAGAATGTGACTATTTTCAGACCATGAGTATTAACCTTATATGTAACTTTTAAGTGCCTCGCTATTTCATTCTGGTCATGTTTTATTAAACCAGAGGCCTAGTAAGCAGGGGTTCCTCTAACAGAAAGATTCGAGAAGTCTGGGTCCTTGATGACGTTGTTAAGGTGCTTCATCAACCCTTCCTTCTGACCTCTTGTTATGTGGGACCAATAAACCATTCTCATTTAAACGACTGATGGTCAGGTTTTCCGTTAATGGAAGCAAAACATATGCTAGCTGAAGCAGAATTTGAGGTAGGAAATGATACAATGTAATATATATATTTACATTTATTATTATTATTAATTTCGAGACAGAGTCTCTCTGTCACCCAGGCTGGAGTTCAGATCTCAGCTCACTGCAACCTCCGCCTCCCAGGTTCAAGTGATTCTCCTGCCTCAGCCTCCCGAGTAGGCCCGCGCCACCATGCCTGGCTAATTTTTTTTTTTTTTTTTTTTTTTGAGACTGAGTTTCGTTCTTGTTGCCCAGCCTGGAGTGCAATGGCGGAATCTCAGCTCACTGCAGCCTCCTCCTCCCAGGTTCAAGCAATTCTCCTGCATCAGCCTCCCGAGTAGCTGGGATTACAGGTGTCCACGACCACGTCCAGGAAATTTTTTATATCTTTAGTAGAGACGGGGTTTCACCATGTTGGCCAGGCTCAAACTCCTGACCTCAGGTGATCCACCCGCCTTGGCCTCCCAAAGTGCTGGGATTACAGGCGTGAGCCACCACACCCAGTCTAATTTTTGTATTTTTAGTAGAGACTGGGTCTCACTATATTGGCCAGCTGGTCTCAAACTCCTGGGTCTCAAGTGATCTGCCCCCTCGGCCTCCCAAAGTGCTGGGATTTCAGGCATGAGCCACCGTGCCCGGCGGTAAGATATATTTTTCAAAGATAATTCTGGCAACCATGTGGAGCATGAATTTTAGGAAGAATGGAAATGCCAGGGGACTGGTTAGGAGGCTACTGTGGTAATCTTGGCAAGAGAGTGTGACGTCTTCCAGAATGTAAGCTCACTGAGTGGAGGGAATTTGTCTATCTTTGTTCACGATTGTATCTACAGTTTCTAGAAGAGTACTGGCAACTAGGTAGTGCTTAGTCAACATTTATTGAGTGAATGTTTTTGGCTTAGGCAGTTTAAAGTGGAAGAGAGGTGTGGGTGGATTCCAGACACACTTTTGACACAAAATAGATATGGTGTTCTGTTGGACAGCAGAGAAAAGATAACAGCCAGCTGTGAAATGGCCTCAATCTAAAGAACACCTGCTGACAAAATGCACTCCCTGTGGCTAATGGAGACCGCTCAAAATTTAACAGGGTCCAGAGGCCATGGCCCAGGTGAGGGAACAGTCATGTACTCTGGGTTCTCAGAAAACATGACCCATGACAAACATCTGCTTTGCAACCCTAGACCAGAGTAGTTCTTGTAACCAGGGCCAAGATAAACTCTAGCAAGAAATCAGGAGATCGAGACCATCCTGGCTAACAAGGTGAAACCCCGTCTCTACTAAAAATACAAAAAAATTAGCCGGGCGCGGTGGCGGGCGCCTGTAGTCCCAGCTACTTGGGAGGCTGAGGCAGGAGAATGGCGTGAACCTGGGAAGCGGAGCTTGCAGTGAGCCGAGATTGCGCCACTGCACTCCAGCCTGGGAGACAGAGCGAGACTCCCTTTCAAAAAAATAAAATAAAATAAAAAGAAATCCCCAGTCGACCACCTAGAAACATCCAATCAACAAGACTTGTAGTTTTGGGCTTAAAAGTCACCCAACCGGGGCTCAACTGCCTTGTCCAATCAGGGCTCAGCTGTATCAACCAATTGGAACTAAGCAAGTTTGAATCCCTCATTTGCTTAAATGAACCTGATTGAGAATAAACACTGGGAAGATTGAATTTTCCCAGCGTATACATTGTTTCTCAGAAAATAAAAGCTGTCCCTTTGGCCTCCACAGATCTCATGCCTGCTTGACATCTCCGCATGGATATCTAATCAGCATCTCTAACTCAACATGTTCAAAACTAAAACCTTGTTTTTCCTTTACCTCCAAATTTCTTCCCTTCACTCTTTCTTATCTTGGTAAATAAGCACTCCTCTCAACTTAGTTGCTAAACTCTTAACCTGTATTAACTGAAGACTATGAGATCTGCAGAGGCCTCATATGGACAAGGCGCATCATTCGTTTTTTGTTTTTTTCTTGTTGTTTTTGTTTTTTGAGACGGAGTCTCGCTCTGTCGCCCAGACTGGAGTGGAGAAATCTCGGCTCACTGCAACCTCCGCCTCCCGGATTCAAGCGATTCTCCTGCCTCAGCCTCCCGAGTAGCCGGGATTACAGGCTTGTGCCACCACGCCCTGCTAATTTTTTGTATTTTTAGTGGAGACGGGGTTTCACCGTGTTAGCCAGGATGGTCTCGATCTCCTGACCCAGTGATCCGCCCGCCTCGGCCTCCCAAAGTGCTGGGATTACAGGTGTGAGCCACCGCTCCAGGCCTGCATCATTAGTTTTAACCAGGATTGAGGTCCTTACCGGAAAAGGCCATCACAAGGACAGAAGGGAAATTGACTTATGAATATGTACAATAAGTTAGAAGAATTTCTGGAGATGCAAACTAGATTAAATGAGTGGGAAAGTAGTGTATGGTTTTGAGAGATAGTAGAGGGTAGCGTTGAGCGTCTTTGGTGGTTAATTAGATATGTGTGGGAGGAAGGCAGCAAGGTGCCTGTGGAATAATACAGTGGCGACATGCTGTAGGCTATATGGACTTAACATTTAATGAGGGTGGTAGAGACTAAAGATATATATTTAAGAAATAGCAGCATACAGAGGATATGTAGAGCAAGTGTAATATATAAGAATGCTTAGGAAGAATGTGTAGAGCATGAAGAAAGTATGCCTACATTTGAACTCTAAAAAACACTCACATTTAACAACAACAACAGAAATTTTACAAATAACTTACGTGAAATCAATGCAATATATTGTAATGGAAAGACAAGGCTGTTTCAAAGCAAGAATCATTTGTGTCAAATGATAAAATGAGTTTAGTAAAGTGAAGGCTAATAAGTTCATTAGATTTAGAGACATGGGAATCATTGGTGACTCTTGTAAGAGTCATTTCACTGCAATTCTAAGAATCAAGTTTATATTCAGAAGATTGAGAAATGAGAGTAAGATGAGGAATGGAGACACAGAGTAAAAATATCCATTTCAAGAAATGTGGCTGGAATTGGAAGGAAAGAGAAATTGTGCTGGCTGCAGAAGAACGTGGAGCTAGGGGAGATTTTTAATATGAAGAGACTTGAACCATTTTAAATAGTAATAAAAAGAAACCAGCAGAGGACAGGGTGAAGACAGAGACAACAGGAATAATTAACAGCACAAATTCCCTGTGAATGCAGGACAAGATGGCCTGAGGACCTTTGAAGAACTAGCTGTGGACACTTTAAGCTCTCCCCAATAAAAGTATAGCATAGAGACCAGCAGCATCAGCATCAGTTGAGAGCTAGTTATAAATGTAGAATCTCGGCCGGATGCGGTGGCTCACACCTGTAATCCCAGCACTTTGGGAGGCTGAGACGGGTGGATCACGAGGTCAGGAATTCAAGACCAGCGTGGCCAAATGCTGAAACCCTGTTTCTACTAAAAATACAAAAATTAGTTGGGCATGGTGGCACGCGCCTGTAATCCCACCTACTGGAGAGGGTGCGGCAGGAGAATCGCTTGAATCTGGGGAGCAGAGGTTGCAGTGAGCCAAGATCGTGCCACTGCACTCCAGCCTGGGTGACAGAGCAAGACTCTGTCTCAAAATAAACAAATAAATAAAAATAATAAATGTAGAATCTCAGGGGTTACCCCAGACATATGGAATTTTCGTCTTAAAAAAATTCACAGGTGATGCTATATAAACATTAAAGCTTGTGTAGCACTGATACAAGGGATATTTATTCCATTTTAGCAGACAGAAATGAAAAAAAAGGATGCATACAAATATAGGTACATTTATAAGTTAATGAAGGAAGTTAAGATGGTTTTCATTTGACGGCATTTTTAAATTTGAAGTAGGAGGCAAAGTCATCAGCTGAAGGTACAGAAAGTAGGATTAGATATCTTGAGGAAGTCAAGCCTTCTTGAAGTAGCTACTATGAATCCTATTAGGGAAATGCAAGTGAGTGGGATAGCATTGAAGGGAACAAGTAAGTCACCCCTCTTCTCTGTACTTAAGTTTCCTGGCCTCTAAAGTGAAGGGTTGGACTGAACTTCCCAAAAGTCCTGTCTGGACCCAAGGTAACAAAGGCCGTAATTATTTCACTAATCTTGCTCTTTCTCTCCTCTTTGAAGATGATACCAAGTTGAATCCTTATGCAGGAGGAGATGGTGAGTACAGAACTGCCCCTTGAGCCCACCCCTAGAAGAGTGTGCAGCAGCCACCTGGCCTCTTTGCTTTTATTTCAAGTAGGTGGGGTACGAGTAACAGCAGCATGAGCATTCCAGGCCTTGTGGTGGGTGGGAAGGCAGGGGAGGTTGTGGGTACAGGCATCCTGGACTGGAAGGCCTACTCCTTATTTAGAGTGGCACTAATCTTCACCGTGGTGTGATATTCTCTAGGAGCACCAAACAGTCTGTGTGGAGTGAATAAGATCCATATGGAATAATCTACAATTGGAACTCTGAGGGAGGATGTTCACTATGAAACAAAGGAGTGTGAGGACACTGCTGAAATGTGGCTGAAGGGAAAGAACAAGGAATCTAAGCTGGAAATGGAAGAAAGAAAAGGTAGGAACAGAAAGATCCATGGAGAGAAAAAAATGTTAAGGAAATAGAAGTTGCATTTCAGTAGATAAACAGAAGTTGAGGAAGTAACTGGATGAGGTTGCCAGAAAAGAAAGCAGATTAGGGACACTACGGTAGGCAGACTAATGCCCTGCCACCCTCCACAAAGATGACCATATCCTAATTCCTAAACTTGTGAACATGATACCTTACATGACAAAGGGGACGTTGCAGTTTGATTAATTTAAGGGCCTTGAGATGGAGCATTTATTCTGGATTATTTGGATAAGCACAATGTAATCACAATGGTCCTTATGAGTGAAAGAGGGAGGCATGAAGGTCAGAGTCAGAGATTTGAAGATGTTACACTGCTGTCTTTGAAGATGGAGGAAGGAGCCACAATCCAAGCAATCCAGGCAAACGCTAAAGCTAGAAAAGACAAAGGAACTGATTATTCCCTAGAGTCTCCACAAGAAACATAGCCCTGTTGACACCCTTATATTAGCCCAGTGAAACCCATTTCAGACTTTTGAACTCCAGAAATGTAAGATAGTAAATTTGTGTTGTTTTAAGTCATTATATTTGTGGCAGTTTTAAGTCATTATATTTGTGGCAGTTACAGGGAAATAATGCAGATAGTAATAATATTAATAATAATAGCAGCTAACATTTGTTGAGCATGTATATTGTTCTAAGATATTGTCACAAGTCCTCCTATGAGTTTTAACTAAATTTATTCTTTTTCTGTTTTTGTTTTTGTTTGTTTGTTTGTTTTGAGATGAAGTCTCGCTCTTCTCCCCCAGGCTGGAGTTCAATGGCGCGATCTCAGCTCATTGCAACCTCCGCCTCCTGGGTTCAAGTGATTCTTCTGCCTGGGCCTCCCTGAGTAGCTGGGATTACAGGTGCCTGCCACCACGACTGGCTAATTTTGTATTTTTAGTAGAGACAGGGTTTCACCATGTTGGCCAGGCTGGTCTAGAACTTCTGACTTCAGGTGATCCACCAGCCTTGGCCTCCCAAAGTGCTGGGATTACAGGTGTTAGCCACTGCACCCGGCCTTTTTTTTTTTTTTTTTTTTTGAGGTGGAGTTTCGCTCTTGTTGCCTAGGCTGGAGTGCAATGGTGCGATCTCGGCTCAATGCAACCTCTGCCTCCCAGGTTCAAGCGATTCTCCTGCCTCAGCCTCCCAAGTAGCTGGGATTACAGGCATGCACCACCATGCCTGGCTAATTTTGTATTTTTAGTAGAGATGGGGTTTCTCCATGTTGGTCAGGCTGGTCTTGAACTCCTGACCTCAGGTGATCCACCCGCCTCGGCCTCCCAAAGTGCTGGGATTACAGGTGTGAGCCACCACACCCAGCCAATTGATTCTTATATATTTAATTTTCATTGAGTTCTTACCATAGTCAGTTATTAATAAGTAGAAACTATTAAATGTATTATTTTATTTAAAATTCACAAAGTCCTGCGAGTTGGCATCATTTTCTCCCCATTTTACAGATGATAAAACCTAAGTTTAAATAAATTAAATGATCTGCCTTATGTCTCACAGTAGCGGAAAAGCTGAGATTTAAACATGAGTATTCTAATTCCAGAGTCTGTGTTCTTATAAACTACTCTATACTGGATTATATTATTTTGGAGTCATTATTTTGGCATAATACTGATGGATTTATTCTTTTGGCATAATACTGATACATGACAAAGTCCAGAGCATGGCCATTTGTGCTAGTGACTAAATAGAGTGGAAATAAAGATTCCTGGGAAAAGAGAGATCAAATGAATGAGAAGCTGGGGTGCTGGATGATCTGTCCACATGGCCCCTGAAGTCACCAAGGGTGAGTGGAAGAAAAGAGGCACCAGGTCTTCATTAAATTAGGAAGAGTTTTCTTGCTGAGAAATGTGAGATTGTGTTTTTTTGTTTTTTGGGGTTTTTTGGATGGAGTTCGCTTTTGTTCCCCAGGCTGGAGTGCAATGGTGCGATCTTGGCTCACCCCAACCTCCGCCTCCCGGATTCAAGCCATTCTCCTGCCTCAGCCTCCAGAGTAGCTGGGATTACAGGCATGCACCGCCATGCCCAGCTAATTTTGTATTTTCAGTAGAGATAGGATTTCTCCATGTTGGTGAGGCTGGTCTTGAACTCCCGACCTCAGGGTGATCCGCCCACCTCGTCCTCCCAAAGTGCTGGGATTAAAAGTGTGAGCCAGCGCACCTGGCCCAGATTGTGTTTCATAAAGCAAAGCCTCCAAGGAACAGGGTTTTGCTTAGGGGAGAGTGGTTGTTCTAATTTTTTTTTTAGAAATGAGGTCTACCTATATTGCCCAGGCTAGTCTTGAACTCCTGACTCCAAGCAATCCTCCTGCCTTGGCCTCCCAAAGTGTTGGGATTACAGGCATGAACCACTGCACGTGGCCAGAATAGGATTTTTTTGTTTTTGTTTTTGCTTTTGTTTTGAGACAGAGTCTCACTCTGTTGCCTAGGCTGGAGTGCAGTGGTGTAATCACAGCTCATTGCAGTCTTGACCTCCTCAGGCTCAGGCCATCTTCCCTTTTGGGCCTTCCAAGTAGCTGGGATTATAGGCGCATGCCACCACATCTGGCTAATTTTTGTATGTTTTTTATAGGGACAGGGTTTCGCCATGTTGTTGCCCAGGCAAGTCTGAAACTCCTGGGCTCAAGTGATCTGCCTGCCTCGGCCTTTCAAAGTGCTAGGCATGAGCCACTGTGCCCAACCCAGAATAGGGTTTTTAAAATGCAGATAGAAGCCTGGGCACGGTGGCTCACGCCTGTAATCCCAGCACTTTGGGAGGTCGAGGCAGACGGATCACAAAGTCAGGAGGTTGAGACCAGCCTTGCCAATATGGTGAAACCCCATTCTGTACTAAAAATACAAAAAAATTAGCTGGGCATGGTGGCAGGCACCTGCAGTCCCAGCTACTTGGGAGGCTGAGGCAGGAGAATTGCTTGAACCTGGGAGGTGGAGGTTGCAGTGAGCCAGAGGTTGCACTCTAGCCTGGCAACAGAGTGAGACTCAGTCTCAAAAAATAATAAAATAAAATGAAATGCAATGATTTGGAAATTGGAATGTGGCCTCAGAAGGTACTAACCTATTTCCTGATCCTGAGATTGGAGAATGTGTAGTTTCTAATTTAAATAGCAATGCATTAGGGAGATCTAGGTTTAAGTTAATGCAGGAACATTTGGATAAGTAGTTAAGGATTGTGGTTGTTAACATGGAAATGTGAGATACAAAGAGTGGAGTTGAAATATGCAGAGAGACAAATTGCAAGTCTACATTATTGAAACAGAAGAACACAGGGGTATGGAGATGAAGGTATAGGTGGAGAATTAGAGGGACATATATCCAGAGTGGTAACTGGGATAGCAGGAATATGAGACAGTAAGTTTAGCAAATCAAATGTTTTCCAAGTAAATTAAACATTCCCCACAGTCCAAAAGATCCCATTGGAAGTAGAAAACTGAGTGGGAAATGAGGTTAATTGAGAAATTAAGAGATTGAGACAGATAGCTTCATCCTTGAGGTAGATCTTGCTGGATATCAATCTCTTGGGAAAAGTCTACAGTTCAGGCCCCTGGGAAAGTTCCAGCATTTGGCTACTCTTACTCTGTTTCCTAAGGAATGGTCATAGGACAGGTCTTCATGTTCTGACATTTACTTCTCAGTGAAAGTCCCCACCAAAATTCTTCTGGACTCTTCCAGTAATATCTGAACTAGTCTTATTTTCATCTTATTTCACCACCATTCCCAATCCATTTTCCACATTATTTATGGAATTAACTTTGTAAAATTCAAGTCTGATTGTAATCCTCCACCTCCCAGGTTCAAGTGATTCTCCTGCCTCAGCCTCCCAACTAGCTGGGACTACAGGTGCCTGCCACCATGCCTGGCTAATTTTTTTGTAATGTTTTCTTATTATTGTGATCCTTGCTTTTATAATGTTTCATTATTTCCTCTTATAATGTTTCTTGTAATATTTCACTATTATTGTGATCCTCTCTTTTTTATCATGTTTAATTATTTCCTCTTAACAATGGCAGAGAAATACTCATTGGCATTTTTGGTGTATCTTTAAATGTGAACTGAAGCAACAGAACAAATTCATTATCAATATTCCAAAGCACTCAAATGAATCAAAGCATGAACATAAGTGCAATGCAGAAATAACATAAACCTAAAAATTCATTTACTTACAGTTGCCCAGAATGCAACCTCAGTTGGGTTCTCAGTGCTGTCAGGAAATCTGTTATGATTTTCTTTTTTGCCCAGGATGGAGTGCCGTGGCGCCATCTTGGCTCACTTCAACCTCTGCCTACCGGGTTCAAGTGATTCTTCTTCCCCAGCCTCCCGAGTAGCTGGGATTACAGACGTGAGCCACCGCGTTCCACCTGTTGTGAGTTTCTAACCAACTCTGCCTTCCATTTCTACAGGCTATTTCTAACCTTTACTACTTTCCCAAATGTCCCAAATGTTCTATGACCAGCTTTCCCACACAAAAACCTTGAAAAGGTGCAGTGAGAAAATGGTTACCAGGTTAGTAACTGTAGGACAAGATCTACATTATCTTAAGGTGATAGAGTGGACCTTAAGTTGAAAGCAACTCCCACCTGAATACTAAAACTAAAAAAAGCATGCTACTTTCCTCTTTTCCATCCTATTCCACTTTCCCCACCCCGCAAAAAAAAAACTATGATACGGAGACATTTTATTTTTACTGATAGTTTTTCACTGGAGACTGGGAATGGATTAGGGCCTCATTTAGTAGATCTTAAAACATTCTTGGATATTCAGCTCTATTCCCTCTTCCTGGATGCATTCATAGGAACAGTACATTTCTGAATTGTCCCTCTGACTTTGTATTACTCACCACATAATAAAACACCTTGGAAGTTTCCAGGAAACAGGAATATGGAGTGTGGCTAGTCAACCAAATAGAAGAGAAACAAACATAAAGACAGGAAATTGATCGATTTAAAGGAAATGATAATGGCAAAAATGAGAAAGGACTAAAATAGTTTTTTCTTTGTTTTTCTTATATTCTGTTCCAGAGGCTGAATTAAACAAAATCTACGTGATCGCCTTGGAGATGCCGGGGATCGAACCCGGGGCCTCATACATGCGAAGCATGCGCTCTACCACTGAGCTACATCCCCTGGCACAAGTCGGTTGTAACGGAGAATTCCTGTCATGTTAAAAACGCGAAGCATTTTATATTACCTCGTGCTCGACCAGGGAGTGACCAACTCTGAGGATGAATTCCACCTAAAGCCTAACCCAGATTACACCTGAGTAACCTCCTTCCGGGACACACTAACAACATCCAGCTTGTGTCGTTACTGAGAGCAAAGCACACTTTTATAGCTTTAGCACAATTAGTCCTCTTGGCGCAATTGAATCCCAGGCGGAAAGAATTAAGGGATTGTTCAAGATCTTTTGACAGATTTTCTGCTAGCCGAAGGCTCATGGAAAATGCAACCCAAATTCCCTGCATCTGAGTACGTTGAATGATGAAATGTACCTTGGGAGCTGTCGCTCCTCTCGCTCTCGACCCCGCTCGAAGAAGGAACTGTCCAAATAGATGAAAACGTGAAAATCCTGCCTGACCTTTCTCCCCACATGCAATGGCTCGGGCCACACATACCATCTAGCTCACCTGACACCGAAGCTTTATCTGGGAACTCTGGCTTCACCAAGAATTCTAGTTTAAGAAGGTGCGTTTGCTTGTTTCCCTCTTTTCTTGATCCACCCGTCAGCTCTTTCCCCGCACCTCGTTCTGAGTCTCCGCAAGGCTGCTGCGCGGAAGAATGAAGCTGCACGCAACAGCCTTTCCCGGGACCCGGGATAGGCCCTGGCCAGGCGCTCCGGCGGCGGCAGCCGCAACGCCCCCAACCTTTGAAAGCGCTTCTCTGCCCTCAGACCCCCCTGCAGCAGCCGCGGGCACAAAGGTTTTTGTCTCTTGCTTCAGATGTTGTACAGTAAAGAACAGCGACTCTTCAAACCGAAAATGACAACATCAAAGACATGATCCATGGAAGAAGTAATTGATAACTTATACTTCATTAAAAATCTAAAAATCGGATCTGCGAAACGCACTCTCAAAGAGAATGAGAAGACAAGCCACAGACAGAGAAAATATTTGCAAAACACATGTCTGATAAAGGACTGGTACCCAAAATATACAAAGAACTCAATGCATAACAATAAAAGTACAAACAACCTGATTAAAAAGTAGGCAAAACATTTGAACAGATTACTCACCAAAGAAGATGTACAGATGGCAAATAAGCATATAAAAAGTTTCCACATCATATATCATCAGGAAAATGCAAATTAAAACAACAATGATACCACTACACACTTTTTAGAATGGCAAAAATTCAAAACCCTGGCAACACCAAACGCTGATGAGGATGTGGAGCAACAGGAACTCTCATTCATTGCTGGTGGGAATGCAAAATGATACAACTGCTTTGGAAGACAATTTGGCAGTTTCTCACAAAACTAATCATACTCTTATCATACGACCCAGCAGTCACACTGTTTGGTACCTATCCAGAGGAGTTGAAAGCATATCTATGCAAAAACCCTGCACATGCATGTTTATAGCAGCTTTATTTATAATTGCCAAAACTTGGAAACAACGGAGACGTCTTCAGTAGGTGAATGCATAAACAAACTGTGGTATATTCAGGCAATGGGACATTATTCAGTGCTAAAAAGAAATGAATTGTCACACCATTAAAAGACATGGAGGAAACATAACATGGAGGAAACTTAACATGGAGGAAACTTAAATGCATATTACTAAGTTAAATAAGCCAATCTGAAAAGCCAATGTACTATGATTCCAACTATATGATATTCTGGAAAAGGTAAAGCTATGGAGACAGTAAAAACAGTAGTGGTTTCCAGGGGTTAGGGGTAAAGGTGAATAGGCAGAGCACGGGATTTTTAGGGCAGTGAAAATGCTCTGTATAATACTATAGTGGTGGATATATGTCATCACACATTTGTCAAAACCCATAAATTACCCAACACCAAGAGAGAACCCTCCAGTGAACTATGGACTTTGGGTGATAATGGTGTGTCTATATAGGCTTATCAGTTATAACAAATGTACCACTTTGGTGCAGGATGCTGTTGGTGGAAGAGGCTCTGCCTGTGTGAGGGCAGGGATATATAGGAAATTTCAGTACCTTCCACTCAGTTTTTCTGTGAACCTAAAACTGCTCTAAAAAAATAAAGACGCAAAAAAAAAAAAAAAAAAAAAAAGGGAATGAAACCTTCATGGACTCAGGACAGTGACATGGAAGCATGGAAGGTGTGCCATTACATCCGCAGCCTCTGCCTGCTGCCTATTGACGTTAGAGGAAAAGGCAAAAGGAAACTGTTTCCCATTGTGTGCTAGTAAGAACGATTAGGGGCCGAGCGCGGTGGCTCACGCCTGTATTTTGCGGTGCTCCCAGCATTTTGGGAGGCCGAGGCGGGCGGATCACGAGGTCAGGAAATCGAGACCATCCTGGCTAACACGGTGAAACACCATCTCTATTAAAAATACAAAACATTAGCCGGCGTGGTGGCGGGCGCCTGTAGTCCCAGCTACACGGGAGGCTGAGGCAGGAGAATGGCGTGAACTCGGGAGGCGGAGCTTGCAGTGAGCCGAGATCGTGCCACTGCACTGCAGCCTGGGAGACGGAGCAAGACTCCATCTCAAAAAAAAAAAAAAAAAAAAAACAACGATTAGGATTGGCCAGTCCACAAAGCTGCATCTCCTCATAAAAAATGTGAGAGATCCAGTACTGTGTGGCTACTCCTACGGACTCTGCTTCTAGACTGTCAAAAATGCTGCCATAAAACAGGGTCATAATCCAGGTCCAAATCTCAGCTCTGGCTACTTGGGAGATAACTGAGATATTTTAATGTCTTTTGCTCCCTCTGCTTTCACAGCAGCTTCCTTGAAACATAGAAACCTGTTTCAATATTGTCTTTTAAAATGGCGGTGAGGCCAGGTGTGGTGGCTCATGCCTGTAATTCTAGCACTAGGAGGATAAAGCAGAAGAATCGCTTGAGCCCAGGAGTTCAAGACCAGCCTGGGTAACAAAGTGAGACTCCGCCTCATCTCTACAAAATAATAATAATAATAATAATAATAATAATAATAATAGTAATTAGCTGGGAGTGGTGATACATGCCTGTGGTCCCAGCTACCAAAGAGGCTGAGGTGGGACGATGCCCGGGAGGTGGAGGAGCAGTGAGCCATGATCGTGCCACTGCATTCCCACCTGGGCCACAGAGTGAGACCGGGGCTCAAAAACGAAACAAAACAAAAAAATGGTGAGGATGCAGAGACTATGGAAAACTACATGACCACTGACATGGAAACTTCATGTTGCGGGGTGCTCCCATGAGGGAAGGATCTTCTTATTACTGAACAATTTGAGAAGAAAATCTGGCTCTTCAGTAGATGATAAAAACAGCTGGGCTGCCTTAGTTTATTAAATTGGAATATTACACAACACAGAAAATGAGCCTGATATTTGTTAATTTACTTTTTAATACTAATCTTTTTTTTAAAAGAGCAGTTTAAGGTTCACAGCAAAACAGAGGAAGTACAGAGTTCCCCTAAGCCCCCTGACGCCCCAACCGACCTCCTTTTATACTTTATGCTTTCAGTTTGCTAATATTTTGTTGAGGATTTTTGCTTCTATGTTCATGAGAGATATTGCATTGTAGCTTTCTTTTGTAATGTCTTTGTCTGGTTTCAGTATTAGGATATAATGCTGGCTTCATAGAATGAGTTGGAAATTATTGTCTCTGCTTCTATTTTCACTAAATAATGAAAGAGTTGGTAAAGTTTCTTCCTAAAATATTTGTTAGAGTTCACCAATGAACCTACCTGATCCTAATCCTTTCTGTTTTAGAGGGTTATTGATTATAGATTCAATTTCTCTAATTGATATAGGCCTATTTGGATTGGCCGTTTCTTCTTGTGAAGCAATCAGTGTAGTTTTTCCTTTCTTTTCCTCTTTATCGGAGACTATTTTAACATATAAAGGAGCAAAAAGGCTGGGTGCAGTGGCTCACGACTGTATTCCTAGCACATTGGGAGGCCGAGGCGAGCAGACCACTTGAGGTCAGGAGTTCGAGACAAGCCTGGCCAACATGGTGAAACCCCATCTCTACCTAAAATACAAAAATTAGCCAGGCATGGAAGCGCGTGCCTGTGGTCTCAGCTACTAGGGGATTTGAGGAAGGAGAATCGCTTGAACCCGGGAGGCGGAGGTTGCAGTGACCCGAGATGGTGCCACTGCACTTCAGCCTGGGCGAGAGATCAAGACTGTCTCCAAAAAAAAAAGCAAAAAGATATTATAATGAATTCCCATCTATTCATTACTCAGCTTTATTATCAGCTGATGGCCAATCTTGCTTCATAGTCAGTGTTGTTTTAATGTGTAATACTGTTCTTATGAGTGATTGATTAGAATGAGGCAAATGAGTTGTATAACTTCAGAGACTGGCTCACAAAAGACAGGGTAATTTATTATGTAGCAACAGATAACTAATACATTGGTATACATTTATTTCCTACTTAGCCTTTGTATGAACTTTTTAATATGGGTTTTTTGTTACATCTATTTCTTTCTTGATATAGAAAATTATATTATCAGAACATAAATGTAATTTTGCACTTTTTTAACAAAAAAATTGTAATTTTTTTCTATATTGATTCTGCTTTTTTTCCTTTATTATTGCTGTTTGTCCTGACTTTGGGTGGACAAATTATTCTTTTTTTAAATTTCTTTTTTAATTTTTAATTTTTATGGGTATATAATAGGTGGATATATGAGGTATATGTGTTATTTTGATACAGGCATACAATATATGATAATCATTTTGGGGTAATTTGGGTATTCATCACCTCGAACATTTATCATTTGTGTTAGGAACATTCCAATTCCACTCTTTTAATTATTTAAAAATATACAATAAATTATTGTTGACTACAGTCACCTTATTGTGTTATCAAACTATATTTTTGCACCCATTTAACCATCCCTACTTTAGAACCCCCTCCCTACTACCCTTCCCAGCTTCTGCTAATCATCATTCTTCTCTCTATCTCCATGAGTTCAATTGTTTTAATTTTTAGCTCCCACCTATGAGTGAGAATGTTCGAAATTTGTCCTTCTGTGCCTGGCTTATTTCACTTAACATAATGTACTCCAGTTCCATCCATGTTATTGCAAATGACAGGATTTCATTCTTTTTTATAGCTGAATAATATTTCACTATGCATATGTACCACATTTTCTTTTTCCATTTATCCATTGATGGACACTTAGGTTGTAAATAGTGCTGCAATAAACGTGGAAGTACTATTGTAAATAGTGCTGCAATAAACATGGAAGTACAGATATCTTTTTGATATGCTGATTTCCTTTCTTTTGGATATATACCTAGCAGTGAGATTGCCAGATCATGTGGTAGTTCTGTTTTTAGTTTTTCAAAGAATCTTCATAGTGTTCTCCATAGTGGTTGTACTAATTTACATTCCCATCAACAGTGTACAAGGATTTCCCCTTTCTCCACATCTTCACCATCATTCGATATTGCCAGTCTTTTGGATAAAAGCCATTTTAATTGGGGTGAGATGATATCTCATTATAGTTTTGATTTGCATTTCTCTGATGATTAATGATGTTGAGCATTTTTTCATTTTTTAAGAGCACTCCAACATCTGAAGAACATTTTTAATATACCTCGTGGCCATTTGTATGTCTTCTTTTGAGAATTGTCTACTCAGATTTTTGCCCATTTTTCAATCGGATTATTTGATTTTTTCCCCCATTAAGTTATTTGAGCTCACTCTATATTCTGTCTATTAGTCCCAAATTATTATTTTCAGTAAGATAATGACTATGGTTTTAAATGTACATAATTTGCCATGCTAAAGAAATTGTATTATCTTGCTATTTTTCTTAGCTAACATATACAACAGAAATAACTATCAACTTTAAGAAGTGACTTTTTTATCAATTATATAATTATAAAATGTTAGAGTCTCTAAAGTAAGATAAAATCTGATTTCAATCTTGAGCTCAGTATTTACTCATAACTTGTTAGAATTAAATTAGATAATCCATGGAAAATGTATGGATGAATGACACCTCATGACGGGTGGTTATGTGTGTATTTGCATGTGTACATAATTTATATATATACTATAATACATATTATCTATATGAATGTGTGTATGTATATAGGAGCATTTGGAAATATCACCACATTTATTTTCTCTGATTGGTAAATAAGTAGGAGACAGGTTCTGAAATATTTTCCTAAACAAGCCCTAATAAGAAAGTAAACATTGAGTGAATTATCATGAAGAATATAAACAAATTTAATTTCTTATGATAAACCATAGTTCCTGCCTCAGGTTTTTCCACCCCAACTCTCATCACCATGACCAGTGATTTCGGGAAGAGTGAACTTGAAGAACCATATTGCCTTCTCTTCTTTCCCAGTTCATTACTTAAAGATAATCGTTTTCAAATATTTTAGAAGGTGTTTTATTTTTTCCTTCAATATTGGTAAATATTACTTTATTATAAGAGATTCTTGGAAAAAAAAGATTGTTAAAGCAAGTAACAAATTTGTCCTTACACTCTCCACTGTGTAAAAGAAGTGAGAGCAACTCTGGCACAGGACAACCATATGTCTTAATTGAAAAGCCATCATGTTCCTTAGATTTGGTCCCTTCATGATTGCTCTGCTTCTTGTGGTCCTTTTTCATGCCAAATTGCAGAAATGATAGAAGCTACTTAACTTAACTTCTGGCAATTAATCTATGATATATAGTGGAATTTTTTATCAAAGATGCTAAATGAAAAATTGAAACATCCTTAAACAAATAGCCTTTGCAATACCTACAATGGGCCTTGACTAAAATGCTTCTGTAACACTTGTAAAAAAAAATGACCTATAGTATTATATTTATTTTCTGTCTAATTGAATGCTGTCTTCGATATCTAACACAACACTTGAAATTAAGGAAAACCGTTAAATTGTGTATGAGTATGTGTGAGTATAGTATAATGTTATGAGAAAAGGACCCATGATTTGCAGTCTTATAATCTGGGTATGTAATCTAATGCCATTTAAAAGTTGGTGAGATAGGGTAAATTTTGGAGCATATTTCATTATTCTTTTTATATCTGTAAAACAGGACCATGTTGGCCTGGCATGGTGACTCACGCCTGTAATTCCAGCACTTTGGGAGGCCTAGGCAGGCAGATAACTTGAGGTCAGGAGTTTGAGACTAGCCTGGCCAACATGCTGAAACCCTGTCTCTACTGAAAATACAAAAATTAGCTGGGCATGGGGGTGCACACCTGTAGTCCCAGCTACTCAGGAGGCTGAGTCAGGAGAATCACTTGAACCCAAGAGAAGGAGGTTTCAGTGAGCCAAGATCATGCCACTCCAGCCTGGGTGACAGAGTGAGGCTCTATCTGAAAAACAAAACAAAACAAACGAAAACAAAAGCCAGGACCATGTAAAAGGATTTTTATGATATCAAAGAACATCATGCTTGGTGTGTACAATGATATTTCAACACACTCAAATTATATTCTAACATGCTTTCTATGTGACTCCTTCCAAAACAGCACCCAATGGGCTTCTATTTTCTCTTATGACACAGATGGGTTAGACACATGCTACATATGTTTTAGAGTTTTCTGAATACTGTATATTAAGCATGGTTATATTCTGTCTTTTGAGTAAAATATTGGGTTTCTCAGAAAATTCTGTAATTTATGAGTTAATCCCACAACTTCCCATTGAATAGATGTTTCAATAATGCTATTCAAAGACTGGAACTTGCCACAAAAAAATTATTAAATAATTTTGGAGATACAGCTGGAGGCAGACAGGGAAAAAAGTCTTCCATATGAGGAATATACGAGTCTACTTTGAATACAGTTTGCTCTAGTCACAATGGAAAGTAATCATTTACCAGGGACACTAGACATCATGCTAGTTGTGCTCTACACTACAAGCCAAGTTAAAACCTGCTCCATCTCCCCACCCTACACATAGATACCTGTACACCTGTGGGTGTGACACCACCTTAGTTGTCTCCCTTGGTGAGACCTGTCCTTTCTCTATTTTCTATTCTTACATTCTAGCAGTCTGATGAGCCTTTTGGACCAACCAAGAGACCTTGCCAGACAAGTGGGATCCTTTCAGGTTCAAAACCACTTCATGGGATGTCTCTGAACGTGAAGAGTCTTGTAAGGGCTGCGGAGGGCAAAATGCAGATAGCAATAACCTCACCTGAATTTCTAATATTTCCTCGGATTTCTAAATAGGTTCCAAGAACATTATGCTGTCCAGAATGAATACAGAGCCAAGATTACTGTAGCTTACCCTAAGGTTTTCCATGAATACCACGAATGAGCTCCCAATCTTCAAATCACAATTAACCCTTTCAATTCTCACTCTACCTACTGTTCCTCTCCTCTGTGGCTACATAATTAATAAGAATCCCAGTCAGGGATTCCTGCAGAGTTGCAGTCTCAGAGTTGTTAGACTGTGCTTGCCAAATACATTCTCAAGACCGAATCTTAAATTTGTAGGCATCTTAAATTAATCACGTTTAAACCCAGGCTCCTCCCCCCGTTCTGGCCCCATCCAATGCCCACAAAGCAAAAATAAAACCTAACAACAAACAGGAGAGCATTCGTTTCCTGTAGTGTGGTAAAAGATACCACTACCTACACCAGGACAAAGACTGGGTTTATATGTATATATATATATATTAGGGCTATGCAGGATGTGCTTTGTTAAAAAAGTGCTTGAAGGCAGTATGCTTGTTAAAAGACATCACCATTCTCTAATCTCAAGTATCCAGGGACACAATACACTGAAAGTCAGGTATTGTCCAAGGTTTCTCCCCAGTGTGATAGCCTGAGATACGGCCTCCTGGGAAGGGAAAGACCTGACCTTCCCGAGCCCCGACACCCACAAAGGGTCTGTGCTGAGGAGGATTAGTAAAAGAGGGAGGCCTCTTTGCAGTTGTGATAAGAGGAAGGCTTCTGTCTCCTGCTTGTCCCTGGGGAATAGAATGTCTCGGTGTAAAACCCGATTGTATGTTCTATTTACTGAGATAGGAGAAAACAGCCTTAAGGCTGGAGGTGAGACATGCTAGCGGCAATATTGCTCTTTAATGCACTGAGGTGTTTGTGTACCTGCATATCAAAGCACAGCACATTTTCTTAAACTTATTTATGACACAGAGACCTTTGTTCACATGTTTTCCTGCTGACTCTCTCCCCACTATTACCCTATCGTCGTGCCACATCCTCCTCTCTGAGATGGTAGAGATAATGATCAATAAATACTGAGGGAACTCAGAGACCAGTGCCTGCCCTCCTCTCTGAGATGGTAGAGATAATGATCAATAAATACTGAGGGAACTCAGAGACCAGCACCTGCGCGGGTCCTCCCTATGCTGAGCGCCGGTCCCCTGGGCCCACTTTTCTTGCTCTATACTTTGTCTCTGTCTCTTATTTCTTTTCTCAGTCTCTTGTCCCCCCTGACGAGAAACGCCCACAGGTGTGGAGGGGCAGGCCACCCCTTAATCTGGTGCCCAACGTGGGTGCTTTTCTCTAGGGTGAAGGTACACTAGAGCGTAGTCATTGAGGACAAGTCGATGAGAGATTCCCGAGTACGTCTACAGTCAGCCTTGCTGTAAGCTTGTGCGCTCGGAAGAACCTAGGGTAACAATGGGACAAACTGAAAGTAAATATGCCTCTTATCTCAGCTCTATTAAAATTCTTTTAAAAAGAGGGGGAGTTAGAGTCTCTACAAAAAATCTAATCATGCTATTTCAAACAATAGAACAATTCTGCCCATGGTTTCTAGAACAGGGAACCTTAGATCTAAAAGATTGGGAAAAAATTGGCAAAGAATTAAAACAAACAATTAGGGAGGGTAAAATCATCCCACTTACAGTATGGAATGATTGGGTCATTATTAAAGTAGCTTTAGAACTGTTTCAAACAGGAGAAGATAGCGTTTCAGTTTCTGATGCCCCTGAAAGCTGTGTAATCTATTGTGAAGAAGAGGCTGGGATAGAATCTCAGAAAGGAACGGAAAGTTCACATTGTAAATATGTAGCAGAGCCGGTAATGACTCGGTCAATGCAAAATGTAGACTATAATCAATTACAGAAAGTAATATATCCTGAAACATTAAAATTAGAAGAAAAGGGTCCAAAATTAGCGGGGCCGTCAGAGTCTAAACCACAATGGCCAACTCCTCTTCCAGCAGTTCAGATGCCTGTAACATTGCAACCTCAAATGCAGGTTAGACAAGTACAAACCCCAGAAGAATATCAAATAGAAAAAGATAAAGTCTCTGCCATGGCAATGCCAATCCAGATACAGTATCCACAATATCAGCAGGTAGAAAATAAGACCCAACTGCCAGTAGCCTATCAATACTGGCCGCCAGCCGAACTTCAGTATCGGCCGCCCCCAGAAAATCAGTATGGACACCCAGGAATGTTTCCAGCACCACAGGGCAGGGCTCTAGATCCTCAGCCGTCCACTGTGAGACTTAATCCTACAGCACTACCTAGTGGACAGCATAGTGCATTACATAAAATTATTGATAAGGCAAGAAAACAAGGAGATACTGAGGCGTGACAATTCCCAGTAACATTAGAACTGATACCACCTGGAGAAGGGGCCCAAGAGGGAGTGCCTCCCCTAGCTGAGGCCAGATATGAGTCCTTTTCTATAAAAATGCTAAAAGATATGAAAGAGGGAGTAAAACAGTATGGACCCAGCTCCCCTTATATGAAAATATTATTAGATTCCATTGCTCATGGACAGAGACTCATTCCTTATGATTGGGAGATTTTGGCCAAATCATCACTCTCACCCTCTCAATTTTTACAATTTAAGACTTGGTGAATTGATGGGGCACAAGAACAGATCCAAAAAAATAGGGCTGCCAATCCTCCAGTTAACATAGATGCAGATCAACTATTAGGAACAGGTCAAAATTGGAGCACTACCAATCAACAAGCAATAATGCAAAATGAGGCCATTAAGCAAGTTAGAGCTATATGCCTTAGAGCCTGGGAAAAAAATCCAAGACCCAGGAACCGCCTTCCCCTCATTCAATACAATAAAACAAGGCTCTAAAGAGACCTAGCCTGATTTTGCGGCAAGGCTCCAAGTCAATCACCGATGAGAATGCCTGTAAGGTCATAGTGGAGTTGATGGCATAGGAAAACGCCAATCCTGAGTGTCAATCAGCCATTAAGCCATTAAAAGGAAAGGTCCCAGCAGGATCAGATGTAATCTCATAGTATGTAAAAGCCTGTGATGGAATTGGAGGAGCTATGCATAAAGTTATGCTTATGACTCAAGCAACAACGGGAGTTGCTTTAGGACGATAAGTTAGAACATTTGGGGGAAAATGTTATAATTGTGGACAAATTGTTCATCTAAAAAAATTGCCCAGCCTCAAACAAAATATTCAAGCTACTACAACAACAGATAGAGCCACCTGACTTATGTCCAAGATGTAAAAAAGGAAAACATTGGGATAATCCATGTCCTTCTAAATTTGATAAAAGTGGGCAACCATTGTGGGGAAATGAGAAGAGGGGCCAGCCTCAGGCCCCACAACAAACTGAGGCATTCCCAATTCAGCCCTTTTTTCCTCAGGGTTTTCACAGACAACCCCCACTGTCACAAATGCCTCAGCGAATGAGCCAGTTACCACAATACAGCAATTGTCCCCCGCCACAAGTGGCAATGCAGCAGTAGATTTATGTACTATGCAAGCAGTCTCTCTGCTTCCAGGGGAGCCCCCACAAAAAATCTCCACAGGGGTATATGGCCCACTGCCTGAGGGGACTGTAGGACTAATCTTAGGAAGATCCAGTCTAAATCTAAAGGGAGTTCAAATTCATACTGGTGTGGTTGAGTCAAACTATGAAGGTGAAATTCAATTGGCTATTAGCTCCTCAATTCCTTGGAGTGGCAATCCAGGAGACAGGATTGTTAAATTATTACTCCTGCCTTATATTAAAGTTGGAAACAGTGAGATAAAAGAACAGGAGGGTTTGGAAGCACTGATCTGGCAGGAAAGGCTGCATATTGGGCAAGTCAAGTCTCAGAGAGCAGACCTGTGTGTAAGGCCATTATTCAAAAAAAACAGTTTGAAGGGTTAGTAGACACTGGAGCAGATGTCTCTATCATTGCTTTAAATCAGTGGCCAAAAAATTGGCCTAAACAAAAGGCTGTTACAGGACTTGTCAGCATAGGCACTGCCTCAGAAGTGTATCAAATTACTATGATTTTGCATTGTTCAGGGCCGAATAATCAAGAAAGTACTGTTCAGCCAATGATTACTTCATTTCCTGTTAATCCGTGGGGTCATTTATTACAACAATGGGGTGCAGAAATCACTATGCCGGCTCCATTATACAGCCCCACAAGTCAAAAAATCATGACTAAAATGGATATATACCAGGAAAGGGACTAGGAAAAAATGAAAATGGCATTAAAGTCCCAATTCAGAGTGAGAAAAATCGAGAAAGAAAAGGAATAGGGTATCCTTTTTAGGGGCTACCACTGTAGAGCCTCCTAAACGCATTCCATTAACTTGGAAAACAGAAAAACCGGTATGGGTAAATCAGTGGCCACTACGAAAACAAAAACTGGAGGCTTTACATTTATTAGCAAAGGAGCAATTCGAAAGAGGACATATTGAGCCTTCATTCTCTCATTCTCGCCTTGGAATTCTCCTGTGTTTGTAATTCAGAAAACATCCGGCAGATGGCGTATGTTAACTGACTTAAGGGCCGTAAATGCCGTAATTCAACCCAAGGGGCATCTCCAACCCGGGTTGCCCTCTCCGGCCATGATCCCAAAAGACTGGCCTTTAATTATAATTGATCTGAAGGATTGCTTTTTTACCATTCCTCTGGAGGAGCAGGATTTTGAAAAATTTGCCTTTACTATACCAGCTATAAATAATAAAGAACCAGCCACCAGGTTTCAGTGGAAAGTGTTACCTCAGGGAATGCTTAATAGTCCAACAATTTGTCAGACTTTCCTAGATCAAGCTCTTCAACCAGTTAGAGATAAGTTTTCAGACTGTTATATCATTCATTATGTTGATGATATTTTATGTGCTGCAGAAACGAGAGACAAATTAATTGACTGTTACACATTTCTGCAAGCAGAGGTTGCCAACGCAGGACTGGCAATAGCATCTGATAAGATTTAGACCTCTACTCCTTTTCATTATTTAGGTATGCAGATAGAAAATAGAAAAATTAAGCCACAAAAAATAGAAATAAGAAAAGACACATTAAAAACATTAAATGACTTTCAAAAATTGCTAGCAGGTACTAACTGGATTCGGCCAACTCTAGGCATTCCTACTTATGCCATGTCATATTTGTTCTCCATCTTAAGAGGAGACCTAGACTTAAATAGTAAAAGAATACTAACCCCAGAGGCAACAAAAGAAATTAAATAAGTGGAAGAAAAAATTCAGTCAGCGCAAATAAATAGAATAGATCCCTGTGGGGAAAAGAGAGATCAGACTGTGACTGTATCTATGTAAAAAGAAGTAGACATAAGAGACTCCATTTTGTTCCATACTAAGAGAAATTCTTCTGCCTTGAGATGCTGTTAATCTATAACCCTAGCCCCAACCCTGTGCTTGCAGAGACATATGCTGTGTTGACTCAAGGTTTAATGGATTTAGAGCTGTGCAGGATGTGCTTTGTTAAAAAAGTGCTTGAAGGCAGCATGCTTGTTAAAAGTCATCATCATTCTCTAACCTCAAGTACCCATGGACACAATACACTGCAGGCACCTCTGCCTAGGAAAGCCAGGTATTGTCCAAGGTTTCTCCCCATGTGATAGCCTGAGATATGGCCTTGTGGGAAGGGAAAGACCTGACCGTCCCCAAGACACCCATAAAGGGTCTGTGCTGAGGAGGATTAGTAAAAGAGGAAGTCCTCTTTGCAGTTGAGATAAGAGGAAGGCATCTGTCTCCTGCTCCTCCCTGGGAATGGAATGTCTCGGTGTAAAACCCAATCGTACGTTCCAGTTACTGAGATAGAGAAAACCGCCTTATGGCTGGAGGTTAGAAATGCTGGCGGCAATACTGTTCCTTAATGCACCAAGATGTTTGTGTAAAGTCAAACATAAATCTGGCCTATGTGCACATCAAGGCACAGCACTTTTCCTTAAACTTATTTATGACACAGAGATCTTTGTTCACATTTTTTCCTGCTGACCCTCTCCCCACCATTACCCTATAGTCCCGCCACATCCCCTTCTCCGAGATGGTAGAGATAGTGATCAATAAATACTGAGGGAACTCAGAGACCAGTACCGGCGGCACGGGTCCTCCATATGCTGAGCGCCGGTCCCCTGGGCCCACTTTTCTTTCTCTATACTTTGTCTCTGTGTCTTATTTCTTTTCTTAGCTTCTCATCCCACCTGATGAGAAACACCCACAGGAGTGGAGGGGCAGGCCACCCCTTCAGATCCCTTAGCCCCACTCCAACTTTTGATTTTTGCTCCTGCACATTCTCCAACAGGCATCATTGTTCAAAATACTGATCTTGTGGATTGGTCATTCCTTCCTCACAGTACAATGAAGACTTTTACGTTGTACTCGGATCAAATAGCTACATTAATTGGTCAGGCAAGATTACAAATAATAAAATTCTGTGGAAACGACCCAGACAAAATAGTTGTTCCTTTAACCAAGGAACAAGTTAGACAAGCCTTTATTAATTCGGGTGCATGGCAGATTGGTCTTGCTGATTTTATGGGAATTATTGATAATCATTACCCAAAACCAAAAATCTTCCAGTTTTTAAAATTGACTACTTGGAGTTTACCTAAAATTACCAGACATGAATCTTTAAAAAATGCTCTGACAGTGTTTACTGATGGTTCCAGCAATGGGAAAGCGGCTTACACAGGGCCAAAAGAGCAAGTAATCAAAATTCAATATCAATCGGCTCAAAGAGCAGAGTTGGCTGCAGTCATTATAGTGCTATAAGATTTTGATCAACCTATTAATATTGTATCAGATTCTGCATATGTAGTACAGGCTACAAGGGATGTTGAGACAGCTCTAATTAAATATAGCATGGATGATCAGTTAAACTAGCTGTTCAATTTATTACAACAAACTGTAAGAAAAAGAAATTTCCCATTTTATATTACTCATATTCGAGCACACACTAATTTACCAGGGCCTTTAACTAAAGCAAATGAACAAGCTGACTTACTGGTATCATCTGCATTCATAAAAGCACAAGAACTTCATGCTTTGACTCATGTAAATGCAGCAGGATTAAAAAACAAATTTGATGTCACATGGAAACAGGCAAAAAATATTGTACAACATTGCACCCAGTGTCAAATCCTACACCTGCCCACTCAAGAGGTAGGAGTTAATCCCAGAGGTCTGTGTCCCAATGCGTTATGGCAAATGGGTGTCACGCATGTACCTTCATTTGGAAGATTATCATGTGTCCATGTAACAGTTGACACTTATTCACATTTCATATGGGCAACCTGCCAGAGAGGAGAAAGTACTTCCCATGTTAAAAAAAAACAGTTATTATCTCGTTTTGCTGTAATGGGAGTTCCAGAAAAAATTAAAACTGACAATGGACCAGGATACTGTAGTAAAGCTTTCCAAAATCCAAAAAATCTTATATCAGTGGAAAATTACACATACAACAGGAATTCCCTATAATTCCCAAGGACAGGCCATAGTTGAAACAACTAATAGAACACTCAAAACTCAATTAGTTAAACAAAAAGAAGGGGGAGACAGTAAGGAGTGTACCGTTCCTCAGATGCAACTTAATCTAGCACTCTATACTTTAAATGTTTTAAACATTTATAGATATCAGACTACTACTTCTGCAGAACAACATCTTACTGATAAAAAGAACAGCCCACATGAAGGAAAACTGATTTGGTGGAAAGACAACAAAAATTAGACGTGGGAAATAGGGAAGGTGGTAACATGGGGGAGAGGTTTTTCTTGTGTTTCACCAGGAGAAAATCAGCTTCCTGTTTGGATACCCACTAGACATTTGAAGTTCTACAATGAACCCATCGGAGATGCAAAGAAAAGCGCCTCCACGGAGATGGAAACACAGCAATCGAGCACCATCGACTCACAAGATGAACAGAATGGTGATGTCAGAAGAATAGATGAAGTTGCCATCCACCAAGAAGACAAAGCTGCTGACTTGGGCACAATTAAAGAAGCTGACGCAGTTAGCTACAAAATGTCTAGAGAACACAAAGGAGACACAAACTCCAGAGAGTATGCTGCTTGCAGCTTTGATGATTGTATCAACGGTGGTGTCTCCCCATGCCTGCAGGAGTAGCTGCAGCTAATTATACCTACTGGGCCTATGTGCCTTTCCTGCCCTTAATTCAGGAGTCACATGGATGGATAATCCTATTGAATTATATGTTAATAATAGCGTGTGGCTACCTGGCCCCACAGATGATTATTGCCCTGCCAAACCTGAGGAAGAAGGAATGATGATAAATATTTCCACTGGGTATTGTTATCCTCCTATTTGCCTAGGGAGAACACCAGGATGTTTAATGCCTGCAATCCAAAATTGGTTGGTAAACGTACCTACTTTCAGTACCACCAGTAGATTTACTTATCACATGGTAAGTGGAATGTCACTCAGGCCACAGGTAAATTATTTACAGGACTTTTCTTATCAAAGATCATTAAAATTTAGGCCTAAAGGGAAACCTTGCCCCAAGGAAATTCCCAAAGGATCAAAAGACACAGAAGTTTTAGTTTTGGAAGAATGTGTGGCCAATAGAGCAGTGATATTACAAAACGATGAATTTGGAACTGTTATAGATAGGGCACCTCGAGGTCAATTCTACCACAATTGCACAGGACAAACTCAATCATGTCCCAGTGCACAAGTGAGTCCAGATGTTGATAGCGACATAACAGAAAGTCTAGACAAACATAAGCACGAAAAATTATAGTCTTTCTACCCTTGAGAATGAGGAGAAAAAGAAATCTCTACTCCAAGACCAAAAATAATAAGTCCTGTTTCTGGTCCTGAACATCCAGAATTATGGAGGCTTAATGTGGCCTCATTACCATATTAGAATTTGGTCTAGAAATCAAGCTATAAAAACAAGAGATCATAAGCCGTGTTACACTATCAACCTAAATTCCAGTCTAACGGTTCCTTCACAAAGTTGTGTAAAGCCCCCTTATATGCTAGTTGTAGGAAATATAGTTATTAAACCAGACTCCCAAACTATAACCTGTGAAAATTGCAGACTGTTTACTTGCATTGATTCGACTTTTAATTGGCAGCACTGTATTCTGCTAGTGAGAGCAAGAGAAGGCGTGTGGATCCCCGTGTCCATGCACCGACCGTGGGAGGCCTCGCCATCTGTCCATATTTTGACTGAAGTATTAAAAGGCATTTTAAATAGATCCAAAAGATTCGTTTTTACTTTAATTGCAGTGTTATCGGATTAAGTGCAGTCACAGCTACGGCCGCTGTGGCAGGAGTTGCATTGCACTCTTCTGTTCAGACAGTAAACTTTGTTAACGATTGGCAAAAGAATTCTACAAGATTGTGGAATTCACAATCTGGTATTAATCAAAAACTGGCAAATCAAATTAATGATCTTAGACAAACTGTCATTTGGATGGGAGATAGACTCATGAGCTTGGAACATCGTTTCCAGTTACAGTGTGACTGAAATAGGTCAGATTTTTGTATTACACCCCAAGTTTATAATGAGTCTGAGCATCACTGGGACATGGTTAGATGCCATCTACAGGGAAGAGAAGATAACCTCACTTTAGACATTTCCAAATTAAAAGAACAAATTTTTGAAGCATCAAAAGCCCATTTAAATTTGGTACCAGGAACTGAGGCAATCGCGGGAGTTGCTGATGGTCTTGCAAATCTTAACCCTGTCACTTGGGTTAAGACCATCGGAAGTACTACTCTTATAAATTTCATATTAATCCTTGTGTGCCTGTTCTGTCTGTTGTTAGTCTGCAGGTGTACCCAACAGCTCCAAAGAGACAGCGACCATCGAGAACAGGCCATGATGAACGGGCCATGATGACGATGGCGGTTTTGTTGAAAAGAAAAGGGGGAAATGCGGGGAAAAGAGAGATCAGACTGTTACTGTGTCCATGTAGAAAGAAGTAGACATAAGAGACTCCATTTTGTTCTGTACTAAGAGAAATTCTTCTGCCTTGAGATGCTGTTAATCTGTAACCCTATCCCCAACCCTGTGCTTTGCAGAGACATGTGCTGTGTTGACTCAAGGTTTAGTGGATTTAGGGCTGTGCAGGATATGCTTTGTTAAAAAAGTGCTTGAAGGCAGCATGCTTGTTAAAAGTCATCATCATTCTCTAACCTCAAGTACCCAGGGACACAATACACTGCAGGGACCTCTGCCTAGGAAAGCCAGGTATTGTCCAAGGTTTCTCCCCATGTGATAGCCTGAGATAGGGCCTCGTGGGAAGGGAAAGACCTGACTGTCCCCCAGCCTGACACCCATAAAGGGTCTGTGTAGTAAAAGAGGAAGGCCTCTTTGCAGTTATGATAAGAGGAAGGCATCTGTCTCCTGCTCATCCCTGGGCAATAGAATGTCTCAGTGTAAAACCCGATTGTATGTTCTATTTACTGAAATAGGAGAAAACAGCCTTAAGGCTGGAGGTGAGACATGCTAGCAGCAATACTGCTCTTTAATGCACCCAGAGATGTTTGTGTACGAGATGTTTTTGTACATGCACATCAAAGCACAACACGTTTTCTTAAACTTATTTATGACACAGAGACCTTTGTTCACATGTTTTCCTGCTGACCCTCTCCCCACTATTACCCTATCATCTTGCCACATCCCCCTCTCCGAGACGGTAGAGATAATGATCAATAAATACTGAGGGAACTCAGAGACCAGTGCCAGCACGTGAGCGCCAGTCTCCTGGGCCCACTTTTCTTTCTCTATACTTTGTTTCTGTCTCTTATTTCTTTTTTCAGTCTCTCATCCCACCTGACAAGAAACGCCCACAGGTGTGGAGGGGCAGGCCACCCCTTCACCTGGGCTCAAGCGATCTGCCCACCTCGGCGTCCCAAAGTACTGGGATTAGAGGCGTGAGCCACCGCGCCCGGCCTTTCCTTAATTTTTGCCTTTAAACAAAATCCCAAGCACCAGAAACCTCTGATTGATGGCTTCAGCCATTATTTTTCTGGCCTAACAGCTCAAATTCAAATGTCCAGAATAGAGCAAGGTGAATTAAAATCCTTGCTTGGTATATAAAACACTCATCAACAGAAGGCCAAGGCCTTACGCCCCAGCAAGGGATTGAACCCTGAATCCTCAGGCTAAAAGTCTGATAGCTCTACCGACTGAGCTACCCAGGCTCACGACAGCAACCTTCCCTCATAGCTTAAGTACATAGCTTAAGTACAGAGAAATACAGTTATCGTCAGCTTTGTCTTCCATTCCAAACGAAAACAATCGCTTGCAGAACTACCTCACGTGCTCAAACCAAAAGCAGCCGGCAAATCCCATTTCTACACTCACCAACCTACTCCCACCACAACCATCTGGCTTTTTTCGAAAGCCACCAATACCAGCCGCTACTACACCTCAAACAAAACCTAGCTACGCGGGTACGCTCCCGAAGCGTTCAGCTCTGGAAACAGCCCAACGACGCTCTCAAAAGCCGACAGTTGTTTGCGTAAAAAGGAATGGTATCTTACTAGGGGACGAAAGGTTTTGGCCTACTTCCTTTCAAACATACAAGACTGTAATATTTTTTCGTACCTAGAGGACTCAGAGAAAACGTGCAGAGCTTGGACACGTCCTACTTATTCATCCATCCAAATCCTGTACGTGCTGTTTTGCTAACCCCAACCTCGCCTCACCCCCTCTCTCCAACCACCCATCCCTTCACCCTTTCCCTTCTGGTCTCCTCACTGCCTCCTCCTAGGCCACGACTTCCCAATAACTCAGCCCACTCCATCCAGCTTGAATTCTTGATTTTCCAGGCCAGGATTTCCCAAATCTGCCGGATTTCGAATTTAGGGAGCTTTCTAAATGATGTAACTTAACTGCCCGGCCCCGCCTGGACCGTGATTTCGGTCGTCATCCAAAACTCATGTCTGGGTTGACTGTCACACAAAACACTGGCGAGAGGATGACAGCGTCGACCCTTTGAGCTGTGTCAGATCACGTTTGAGACGCTCACCAGGCGTACAAAGTGTTAGTTCCTTGCATAGATCGTGCCCCAGTCCACACACCTTCTCCCTTGCCCTCTCCTGATTCCAGAGAGAATCCCATCTGAAAGAGGCTATGTATCCGACTGCAGCATTCTCCCTCCTCCTCCCTACCCCGCCTCCTCTCTTTCAGATCAGAGCTTCGGCGATGGAAAAGCAGCTGTCGGTCCTGGCCGTGTAACCACCCCAGATTTGCCAGACACACGCTGTCGCTCTGCATTTCAGGCCAGGTTTTGTGAATTCTGTAAGCTTCTGTTTTACATCCTCCATTAGGACCTAGAGTTCGCCAAGCAGCATTTAACTTTACTTCTTTGATTTCCTTTCTGTGTTACCTTTGGTGTCCTTAGGCAGAAGAAGTTGAGGGAAAGGGGCAACTTGAAGAGGCAAGAAAATGCTTCATTCCTGGGGCTTTGTGAATGGAAGTGCCCGCCAGGGAGTCGGTTGTGGAGCGGACCTTGGAGCAAGCTGACAGGTAGGAAGATGTGTGAAGCAGAAACAATGAATCCCAGGGTCCAAAATCGGTCTAAGGCCAAGTTTTATTTTGTTTTCTAGAAATCTATATGAATGCATTTCCAGTCTTCCTGCTACCCTCACTTCAAAGGCCTTCTCCCTAGACACGGGAAAATCCAGAGCTCCAGAAGCAAGTTCTCAGCAGAATTCCAGCTTTTTCACTTTTTGTCCCCCGCTTTGATACATGAACTAGCATTCAAAAGGAAACAAAAATGGAACTGATTTTGGTACATTCCTCCAGTGTAGGACTATGCTTAGAAACAGAGGAGTTCTTCGTCTTATCATTTTTACTGGCCCCTTGTTTATACCGTCAGTGTTTATTTCAGGAAACTCAATAACTTAGGCATCTGTCTATGCTTAAACTGTTCCCCACCCGCCACCACACACACACACACACACACACACATACACACACACACACACACACACACACACACTGCCCCTTTGGCTGCATCTACCGCAGGGATCTTTGGTGTGCTGTTAACTCATGAATTCTACTTTCTGGTTGTACAACTGTAAACACAAGCAACTTGATTTTTCAGAAGGCAAGTGTAAGAGAAGAAATTTTAACCCATCGCCCACTAAGACTCTTGCAATTTTATTTCAACTAAGTATGCGATAACACAGCGTGTCAAAATATTCAATGAGAATCTATTTACTATCTACCAGACTAATCACTCTGCCAAAATCCGGCGTCGAGAAGAAAACTTTTAAGACTTTAAGCCCCCTACCATATCTAATTCTCCCTGCATGCTGATAGCATCTGGCCCTCAAACTTGCAAATGAGTTTTCTTTTTCTGTTTTTTTTTTTTTTTTTTTTTTTTGAGACGGAGTCTTGCTCTGTCACCCCGGCTAGAGTGCAGTGGCACGATTTCGGCTCACTGCAAGCTCTGCATCCCGGGTTCATGCCATTCTCCTGCCTCAGCCTCCCGAGTAGCTGGGACTACAGGCGCCCTCCACCACACCCGGCTCATTTTTTTGTATTTTTAGTAAAGACGGGGTTTCACCGTGTTAGCCAGGATGATGTCGATCTCCTGACCTCGTGATCCACCCGCCTCGGCTTCCCAAAGTGCTGGGATTACAGGAGTGAGACACCGCGTCCGGCCGCAAATGAGTTTTCAAAGTTCACATTGGCAAGCTCCGCATTCCTTAAGAAACGCGGTTTGGGTTATCCAAGTTCTTCCAATCACTCACCCAAACAGACATGAGATCTGCTTCTCCCAAATCAATGGAGGTCCATAATGAGAGGATGGATTGGCTGAAGGAAAAATGGAGGTGCCAGGGATTGAACCAGGGACCTCGTACATGCGAAGCACGCGCTCTACCACTGATCTACACCCCCTGACTCTCAAACTTCCTGGGTTCTTTTATAAAATGTTGTTGCTATTTTTCTTGTTGGTTTTGTTTTGTTATAGTTTTTTAACTTAAGAGTTAGGTAGAGAAAGTCCACTGGATTAAATTTCATTATCTCTGAAATTACAAGACTGGATACTGTGTAGTGGCTTCATTAGACGAGTAACAGATTTTAGTCTGAATAGCACCGTTTTTGATTCTAGGACCTTCCCATTCCTGTTAACTTGCTCCAAGGTCCACTTGCCGGCGACTCGGTGAGAGTTTCTTGCCTCCACCAGGAAGGTCCTGAGACAGTCTCAAGTCTCCAACATATATAGCAGCGATAATGACTCAGAAAAAAGTGTTTTTCAGTCCAGAGGCAGCCGCGGGCTTTCCTTGATCTTCACACCATGCTGGGTCGGAGGCTCTGCCAACATCCATTTTCCAGCTCTTTTCGTGAGTCCCAGGTTCTGAGATTGTCCTGCTCTGATTCCACACCCCATCTCTATTTCTCGCTTGACGATTATTATATCCACAAACGGGTTTTAAAACAGCGACTTCAAAACTCCATCAACTTTAAATGGAGTGACATATTCCCTCCCACCCAGACTTAGGGAATAAACAGGGCAAGGTCAGACGCAGGGCAGCGGAGAGAATTTCCAACTGCCTTCCCTTTGAGAACCCACGGACACAAGGAGGAATTCTGCTATATATGTACATATTTGAAAGAAAAAGTCAAAGAGGCCCGGAAACCTTCAAGCAGTGCCACCGGGGGATTGGAAAATGCGAGCAGGTCCTGGATATGGCAAAGCAAATAGAATTGAATTGTCTGGGAACGAGCAGAGCCCTTTGTTCACGGGGAGCTTTCAGCTTAGCATATAAGGCGAAGGATGTACATATTCACGTCAAAGCCTTGGGCTGCTTCTTTATCCAAGAGCTGTTGTGTAACACTGACGAAAGTTATATCAAGCAAGTTTTCCTTTAAAGCCTCAAAACACTGAAAAAAAAAGTGTTCACTGGCAAAGGCAAGGAACATTTAAGCCACCCAATTTTGATTCTCCTCGCCTTAGCCCTCTAGAAGATTTCCTTGAAAAGTGAGTGCAGGAGGATGTTTGTGATCAGGCAACATGCTGCTGAAACACATCATTGATTTCAAACTCTGAGGAGGGATATGGGAGTTTTAGACCTTTAATCGGGGGCTCTCCCAACTGAGTTATGTCAGCTGCACCTCTACCTTCACTGACACTAGTAATTATCTCAGCTATTGAGTTTCGAAAGCACTGCATTATTTGAGAGATGTCTTTCCCTTGATCCCTCACTCAGAAGTTGGGATCAATAGCCTGCCACATTTGGTAATTGATTGAAACTACTGCCATCTGTGTGCATGGAAGAGCAGTGAGGGGAGAGAAAAATCAGTGGGTGAGTTTTGGCTCCTCAGGCTTCACACAGGAACAACCACAAAAAGAGTTGTTAACAAAGATTGCTTAAGGGCCTCTTTTTCTTTTCCTTGATCATTCTTTTTCATCGTTGTTCCTCAGGAAACTGTGTAATGGAACGAAAAGAATGAGAGCTTACTAATGTGATGGTGACATGATTGTTCCTCTCCTTTTGGGAGATCCTGAGTGAGGGGGATATTTCTCTCTCAATTCTTCTTGTCTTATGCTTATGCAACAGGGTTGTGTTATTTAAGTACAGCTTTGAAGAAGTAAGAGAAAAGCAGTATGAAGGAATAAACCTGGACTCACCTGCATGCTTAGCCGGTGCTCTGCCACCAAGCTATATACCCCAATTGACCCTACATTTCAGTAAATCCTCTAAAACTGATGATTGTCCCAATTTCTGGATATCCAGTGGTTGGTAGGACAGTTTACTGTATTCAACCTCACTATTTCAGAAAATCCTAGACCAGTCCCTTTTTGCAGCTATGCCATGAAAAGTAATGGAATGCTAGACCAAAAAACAGTTTTGTTTACTAAGATCTTCCTCCTCCAATTTTCTCACTCCAGTCAGGCCACTCCAAGGTCTGCTCACCAACATACTACAGAGCATCAGCTTCAACTCATCGAGGAGAATCCCAAGTTGAGATATTTACTTCTTTTCAATATTATTTTCTTTCAACTTCCATGTTGTCTACAAAGTATCAAAAAAGACAAAAGAGTGCAGGCCGGGCCCAATGGCTCATACCTGTAATCCCAGCACTTTGGGATGCCAAGGCAGGCAGATCTCCAGAGGTCAGGAGTTGGAGACTGGCTTGGCCAACGTGGTGAAAACCCACCTCTACTAAAAATACAAAAATTAGTGAGGGGTGTTGGCACATGCCAGTAGTCTCAGCTACTTGGGAGGCTGAGGCATGAGAATCACTTGAACCCAGGAGGCAGAGGTTGCAGTGAGCCGAAACATGCCACTTCTCCCCAGCCTGAGTGACAGAGCAAGACTCCATCTCAAAAAAAAAAAAAAAAAAAAAAAAGACAATGCAGAAGGACAAAAAGAAGAAGACCGTGCAGAAGGACATAAAGAATATTAGCAATGTGTTACCTCAGGGGATTTAGATCCAGGTAAGTGGGAAAGATAGAAGTGAAATAAATTAATAATACTTGCTGAGAAATGAAGTATGACAAAATGAGAGACATGAGTGCCAATCTCAAAATATAGGCTAATGTTGGGTAGATAAGACAGAAGAGGAAAAAATTTATCTCAAAGCCTGGCTATAAATGAAGAGCAACAACAGTGTTTCACAGTCACTGTTCTAGCAAACCCTGGCCTGGACCCAATTAATGGATGCTTCAGCTCTAGTTAAGGAGGCCCCATAGAAGGAAAGGGAAAGAGTAAAAGAAGGGAAAAGCTGCAATGTATTATAAAGCCTCATTTGGATAAAATTCTGTCCAGAATAAAGAAAGTGGAAAAGAAACAATATGTGATCTGGAACATTAAGTCTTTATAACGTCTTTGTAAAAAAACAAACAGATAGATAGATAGATAGATAGATAGATAGATAAATCTGCTGGGCACAGTGGTTCACACCTGTAATCCCAGGACTTTGGGAGGCTGAGGCAGGTGGATTATGAGGTCAGGAGTTGGAGACCAGCCTAGCCAACATGGTGAAACACGATCTCTACTAAAAATACAAAAATTAGCCGGGTGTGGTGGTGCATGCCTGTAATCCCAGCTACTAGGGAGGCTGAGGCAGGAGAATTGCTTGAACCCGGGAGGCAGAGGTTGCAGTGAGCCAAGATCTTGCCACTGCACTCCAGCCTGGGGGACAAGAGTGAAACTCCATCTCAAAAAAAAAAAAAAAAATTCCAGATCCTCGTGAAGCCTCTTTAGGCCTAGAGAAGTCCTCAAACTTTGCCACATAAGACACGAAGAGTAGTCCCTGTGAGTTTTGCCAATATTTTTGTGTGACTGTCAACCCTCACAGGAGCTTTGGAGAAAACCCTAGGGTACCTTCTAGCAGAAGCAGCCAGTAAGGTACATGATTTTAAAGCTTCCCAGATGATTCCAGTAATCAGTCAGCTTTGAGAACCAATAGCCTAGGAAGTCAAGCACCCAGAGCCTGTATTGAATTAATTTTTTAGGAAAATTTCATAGAAGAGGAGGTGAAGTGAACATATAGTAGACAGGATATATCCAAAGGTCTATATCTTTCTTGTTATCACTAGAGTACAAGTTCTTATCTATACAAGTTCCCCTTTCTTCTGGAAGAAAAAACACTAAAGACATTTGTCCCACAGGAAGATCTGACTTGTTTAGTCTAAAATTGTTATGGCTTTGACAATGCCTTGCTGCCCTTTTCTGTCACTGGACAAACACTATGAGCACTTTGGAGGGCATGCGTGTAGCTGATTTGAAGGTGCATGGTGCAGGAGCCACTGTTATTGGTGGCTTCCGTAAGCACCACAGTGTGCAAAGTGTGAGTGGTTACACTGCAATCAATGTTAATTATAGAAGTGGAATTTATGGCTGATTTTGGCTTTAGCATCTCAGGTATGTGTGTAAGCAAAATACAGTGTGGAGGGCCGGGCGCGGTGGCTCGCTCCTGTAATCCCAGCACTTTGAGAGGCCAAGGTGGGCAGATCACCTGAGGTTGGGAGTTCAAGACCAGCCTGACCAACATGGAGAAACCCCGTCTCTACCAAAAATACAAAATGAGCTGGGTGTGGTGGCACATGCCTGTAATCCCAGCTACTCAGGAGGCTGAGGCGGGAGAATCACTTGAACGCAAGAGGTGGAGGTGGTGGTGAGCCGAGATCGCACCACTGCATTCCAGCCTGGGCAACAAAAGGGCAACTCCGACTCAAAAAAAAAAAAAAAAGTGTGGAAACTTGAAATGAAAGAGAAAATATGAGGCAAACAGGTTAGAGTATAATTTTTAAAATATTCACTTGACAAGATTTCAAGAAGCTCTTTAACTATGAAGGGGCATAGCCCATTTGGTGGAGGTTTAGTCTTTTAAGGTGAGATTTCAGGATTTAAACCCTTGGTAAAGCTAATCTTTTATTTCACCTATGTATTTCTAACTTTTTGATAGAGGTAAATTGAAACCTGGATTTCTCTTAGGAAACTAAGTGTTTATAGTGAGCACATCCTTCCATACATCCTCCTGTTTGCTCAACTGGATTCTAAAAGTCGAGAGTTTGAGGGAGCAAAACCAAGGTTGCAGTAAAATAAGAATTCCATGGTTTAAACAGATGCAACCCAGCAATTTTCTGCTCTATTCTACCACTGTAGGCAGAAGCCAACATTGAAGACTTACGAGAATTAAATGGGTTACCAGAAGAGTGACTATAGGCATGAAAGTGGAAAAACAGATTTAAGAGAATGAGGAAGAATGCAGACTGACGGGGGATTTAGAGTTATGGATTTAGTGAGTGAGGGATTTACTTAAGGAGACTTCCAAGTAGCTTGATTAGTCTTCTATCTAGCTAGTAAGTACAGAAAGATAAGCAGAATCTCTGCCAGGTTTTTTGTTGCTGTTAGGTTGATTACCTTTTGAATTAAAAGTAAGAAACAAAATCCCTCCCACTGTTATGTGGCATTAGGTTTTGTATTGGCATTAAGGAAAATTGAGCATGAAGAACCCATGAAGTTAAATGGAAAAACACTTAATTCCCAATCAGAAAACTGACAGCTCACAATGAAAATTGGAACAATACTCAAAAATCTTATTATCTTCTGATAAGAATGGGTAATTTTGAGCCCTCATGCTACCCACTCTCCAGAGGACCTCTCCTTCATAGCCTCATGAAAATGCAAAACTCACGGTAAGAGATGTCATGTCTGCAGAGTTTCTGACTCAGAGATTAGGGTGCCTTCCAAAAACTCTGTATATTGTTACTTAGACATAATCCACTTTAAAATGAAAAGAAGTGGCATGGTTTTGCCATGTGATATGCACGTAATTCACTGATAATGATGGTGAAAATGTCTGACCCACGAGATGAAGTCTGCAATGAAGTTTGTGTAGATAAAAATGGAGAATGACAGCAAAGACAGAAAGGACAGAGGATCAGGAGAGAGTGGCATATTTTCTGCCTATGAGCTTCTTTTTCCTCATTTCACAGTCTTTCTTTCTCTTCAGTACTATTGCTAAATGGTAGACCAGGTAAATTTTTCTTTTCTTTTCTTTTTTTTTTTTTTTGAGATGGAGTCTCTCTTGGTCACCCAGGCTGAAGTGCAGTGGCGGGTTCTCGGCTCACTGCAACCTCCATCTCCTGGGTTCAAGCAATTCTCCCACCTCAGCCTCCCGAGTAGCTGGGATTATAAGAGTCCACCACCATGCCCAGCTAATTTTTGAATTTTTAGTAGAGACAAGATTTCACCATGTTGGCCAGGCTGGTCTTGAACTCCTGACTTCAAGTGATACATCCATCTCGGCCTCCTAAAGTGCTGGGATTACGGGCATGAGCCACCACACCCAGCCTAGACCAGGTAAATTTTAAAAAGCTGATTAATCTGTTGGCTACTTGGTGCTTTGCACTCATGCCTTTCTTGTGTTTTCCCAATAACTCTGTGTAGTGGCAACCCATTACATTTTGTTTTACTTTGCCAGGGAGCAGAAAATAATGAGGGGAAAAGGGGGAGTAAAGGAAGGTGCTGATTCCACATTGTCAGAACTATGGAAAAAGAAAGCAGCACAGGCGCTCCCAGGGATCAAATTTGAGACCTTACACTTGGAAGAGAAAAGCTATACCATCAAGCCACAGCCCCATCACTGTTGCAATTTCTTGTTGCATATTCCCTAGTTTTACATTTTACATGGTTTTGTGAAAGTGTAACATTTAAAAGTAAATGTCTATTCTGTTAAAGTCCATTTCAAAAATCTTTTCCTAGAACCTTTCTCACACCTATGTTAAAGAAAGGATAATAAATTCTAAAGCATATGACACCATTTTTGCTGGGGTTTTTTGACAGAGTCTTGCTCTGCTGCCCAGTCTGGAGTGCAGTGGCACAATCTCAGCTCACTGCAACCTCCACTTTACTGGCTCAAGCAATTCTCCTGCCTCAGCCTCCCAAGTAGCTGGGACTACGGACATGAGCTACCACGCCCAGCTAATTTTTGTATTTTTAGTAGAGACAAAGTTTCACCATGTTGAGTAGGCTGGTCTCGAACTCCTGACCTCAAGTGATCCACCCATCTAGGCCTCCCAGGTGTAAGCCACAGTGCCTGGCCCCTGCTCAATCTTACCTGCCAAGTAAGTCCTCTCCCAGATCCTGTCACTGGTCTAAAGCTTCTTTTTATTTTTAATTTTGAGCCACCTACACATGTGAAAGTGGAAATGGAAGACAATAATTTTTATTTTGCACATGTTGATGTTGAGAAGCTTCTTAATTTTTCAAGAATTTTTTTTGGACTTTGTTGATTGCTGCTGAAGAAAGAAGGGCATGATATAGAAAGCAAAGGTGGAAATTATTTCTAGATAGATAATATTTTTGAACACATGGGTATGGACAAAATGGCCAAGAAGGACTGGATAGCTTGGTCTATACCGTAAAAAAAAAAAAAAAAAAAAAAAAAAAATGAAAAAGAAAGAAAGAGAAAAGAGAAAAAAGAAACAAAAAAGAAATTGCAGTGAGAAAGAGACTGAAGACCCAACAGAATATTCCACCCTGAGACTTTCCATGTGTCAACCTAACTAACAGAGAGAGGTTCTCTAAAAGAAAATATGTTTATTTGTGAACAGAGCATTGCAGTGGGAATAGGCATGCCATAGTAAACGATGTATGTCTTCAGGGAGGTAAAGAAAGACAAAAGTTTTTAAAGAAAAGTTGAGGAGGGCTACATAATTGTTTTTGAAATAATTATCTTTGGCTGCAAATATTAATAACAAGGGTGACACTAGTCCAAGGTTGGACAGGCAGTTGCTAGGCAGATGTCCTTGTAGACATATTTTTTGTGTGTAAGATTGCAAGGTTGTGGTTTTCACAGTCTTTTGTGATAGTTTTTTTTATTAGGCATACAAGCATGAGAATCCTCTCTTCATGGTTTTCCCCTGCTTTATTTGTCAGGGTTTTGTTAACATTAGTGACTCCTTTTTGACTCCCATTTCCAATTGTCTTGTTTGTCTCCATTTCGTATCTTATGAAATGGCTGTACACTGCAGCTGGTAGGACCAGAGAATAGTAAGTTATCAAATAGTCTTGTGGGTTTTGATGTATTTACTTTCTGATCTTCTCCAGTTCTATCTCCTTGAGGTCAGGGATTATTTCATTCACACCTTTGAATCAAGAGATTAACCCAATAATTGCCCCATTATACATTGCTGATACTTATCTTTGATTGAATGAATGGAAGATAATGTGCACAGCTACTGTTTTTTATTCTTCTTGAAGGGAAACAATAGTTGCATGAGATTCCTTTCAAGTAATGCAACAAAAACGTAATTGCAACTAATTTCTTTGGTCTGGATTTATAACTCTCCTTTAGGGACTGAGGAATTAGGGTTTCAAATCTCAAAAATGCTGGGATAATTTCCTTACCATCGGAGCTTCTTTCTTCTGCCTCCAGAGCTTCTTCAGTGTTACCTGGCTTCTTCTAAATCTATTTTCCTTCAGTGGTAAATAATTTTCCCATTTATATTGTGGAGTTCTCCCTGTTCTTTCTTTTTTATTTGTTATTCCTTTTTCTGCTTCTTTTTCTCCTCTTCTTCCTGTGTCTCCAAACTTTCCTGTATTTTCTTTTTTCCTTTCTTTTTTTTTTGTTGTTTTTGTTTGTTTGTTTGTTTTTTTGACTGGACAAGCCTGGGTTCTAATTTCTGTATTTTCTGTTCCTGTTTTCAACCATTGCCTATGCTGACAAAGGCTTATGTATTGCAACTTGCTCAGCACCCCACACACATCTTTAAACCGTACTTACCTTCCAAACAAAAACAAAATCCATGGAACCCTCTTTTGGTGATGTTTATTCCACTCCTCTTTTGATATACAGTTACTTAAATTCAGGGATATAAATGTAACTAGTATTAATATATCTTATGTTAGGTGGTAGTTGTACTGGGTTAATACTGTCCTTCCCCCCAAATCATAAACTTCTTGGAACCTCAGAATGTGACCTTATTTGGAAATAGAGTCTGTGCAGATGTAATCAAGTTAAGACAAGATTATTAAGGTGGACTCTAATCCAATATGACTGATGTCCTTGCAAGAAGAGAGAAATTTGTATACAGAGACACTGTGAGAATGCCATGTGACCAGAAAGGCAGAGATTGGAGTGATGCTGCTACAAGTCAGAGAATACAAAATATTGATGGCCACCACCAGAAGCTAAGACAAGGCAAGGAAGGATTCTACCCAGAGTCTCAGAGAAAATATGACCCTGTTCACACCTTGATTTCACACTTCTTGCCTCCAAAACTATGAAAGAATAAATTTCCATTGTTTTAAGCTACTGAGTTTGTGATAATTTGTTATAGCAGCCCTAGGAAACTAATACAGTGGGTGAGCCAGAAAAGGAAAGAAAAAAGACTGGTTACGATAAACACACAGAAAGAATGCTCATAACTATTAGAGTACTTGTATCTGCAGCTGATTGGTATTTGTAATTATCTCTTTCACTCCATATTCTCTTTGCTTTCGGCAAGTACCTCAGCAGTTAAGGCTCTTTGCCTGATGGGGTAAACCAAACCTTCACTCCTAGAGAGTTTATGACATTTAGCAGTGCCCTGTACAAAAGATTGTTCTAGTTTTTGATTGACTTTAATCACAGTGGATGATATTACTCACTGAAAGGCACTGCTAAAAACCCCCTTAAATTCCAGACATATTCCTTCATAACCCCATTTGTGTAGTAACGTCCCAATTTAAGTTGGTATCAGGATCAATCACCATGAGCAATCACCAAGAGTAAGCCCCTTCCTTGCCTGCTGGTTTATTGGCACAAAAAGGCCAAAGTGGTAAAATGTCATTCTCAACTTCCGGTTTAATGGAACCGTTCCTTTGGTGGCCTCTGGTGAAAGCATTTTTCCCTTGGGAGCTCTAAGAATCAAGCTCAACATTTTAAGAACTAAAAGTAAAACTTTACAAGCAGAAGATTCCAGGTTTTCTATGTTTGCATAATCCCATCACAATATATCTTGCTGATTATAGCAAAAATTATGGGGAGAGGGGACACACACACACACACACCCACCCCCACCAAACTTATCAAGCAACAAAAACAATTAGATTATGGAGGCAATAAAAACTTGGAAGGGTGACCCGCAAGGAATTAAAGATGAGTTTTTTTATTTTTAGTATTTTTCTCACAGCTCTTTACTGAGAGTGAGCCCCAATCATGAAGCAGTTGTGTAGGCAACAGAAACTGTGACAGAAACTCCATATTTCTAGCCAAATTATCAAGGAAAAGTTGAGAAAAGTCTGAAGAGTTAAGGAGAATCCTGAAAGATTGAAGAAAGGATTCCCTAAAATCTGTATATAAAGCCACATACGTCTTGGGCTTAGCTCTGAGCTGTGCATGCTATAGACAGAACCAGAACAGCATAACAAATTCTTTCCAAACTAACAGTATATTTATACGAAGACCTCCATCTCAGACTAACACCAAGTGGGACATGCTCAAGGGAAGACCTGAAACAGCATAACAAAAGCTTTGAAAATAAAACTTTTTTTTTTTTGAGATGGAGTCTCGCTCTGTTGCCCAGGCTGGAGTGCAGTGGTGAAATCTCTGCTTACTGCAAGCTCTGCCTCCCGGGTTCACGCCATTCTCCTGCCTCAGCCTCCCAAGTAGTTGGGCCTACAGGTGCCCGCCACCATGCCCAGCTAATTAATTTTGGTATTTTTGTATTTTTAGTATTTCTAGTAGAGACGGGGTTTCACCGTTTTAGCCAGGATGGTCTTGATCTTCTGACCTTGTGATCTGCCCGCCTCCGCCTCCGCCTCCCAAAGTGCTGGGATTACAGGCGTGAGCCACCATGCCTGGCTGAGACATAAAACTTTCAGTATGAACTAATCAGGTAAGTTATCTGCTAAAAACAAGTAAATAAATCAAGCATTCTCCACAAAATCATCACAATAAAAAATTTCTCAACATACAAAGATCCAGGGGGATATATTCAATCTTCAAGACAAAATACAATCAATAGATGGCAAATCCAAGGTGACTCAGATCTTGAAATTATCAGATGAGGACTTTCAGTGTCTATTTTAACTGTGGTCTATGCCAAGCATACTTTAACGAACTAAAATGTAAAAATTTTTATTAAAAGAAATAGAAACTGTTCAGGCATGGTGGCTCACAACTGTAATCCCAGCACTTTACAGGGGCTCAGGGGAAGGATTGCTTGTGATCAAGAATTTGAGAGCAGCCTGGGCAACACAGCTAGAGATATCTGCTATCAAAGGTTAAAAAAAAAAAAAAAAGCTAGGTGTGGTGGTAAGCACCTATAGTCCCAGCTACTCAGGAGGCTGAGATGGGAGGACCACTTGAGCTCAGGAGTTCAAGGCTGCAGTGAGCTATGAACATACCACTGTACTTCAGCCTGGGCCTTGGAGTAAGACCCTGTCTCAAAAAAAACAAAAAGAAATAGAAAGTATTGAAAAAGAAACCAACTGGAAATTTTAGACCTGAAATATAATATCTGAAATTAAAAGTTCAATGGATAGACTCAGTGGAGATGTAGAGAAAAAAAATCAGTTAACTTAAAGATAGATCAATAGAAACCATTCAATTTAATGGGAAGAGAGAGAAAAAAAAGACTGAAAACAATGAATTCAAGGTCCTGTAGAATAATATCAAATAGTCTAAAATAGATGTCATTGGAGTCTCAGGAGAAAAAAGACTGGTGTAGAGAAATATTTACATAAATAATGACAAAAATAAGATGTAAATTTACAGATTCAAGAAACTTCCAATCAAAATTTAAAAAACTAATTAGACACATTATCATCCAGCTGCTGAAAATAAAAGCTTTTTTAAAAATCTTGGAGCTGGGCATGGTGGCTAACGCCTGTAATCTCAGCACTTTGGGAGGCTGAGGCAAGAGGATCAATGGACTCAGGAGATTGAGACCCGCCTGGGCAACATAGTGAGACTCCATCTCAAAAAAAAAAAAAAAAAAAGAGGAAAGAAGGGAGGGAAAGGAAGGAAGGAAGGAAGGAAGGAAGGAAGGAAGGAAGGAAGGAAGCTATTTTAGCCAGGCACGGTAGTGCACATCTGTAGTCCCAGCTACAGAAGGCAGAGAGGCATGCTGAGGTGGGAGGATGATTTGAGCCCAGAAGATCGAGGCTGGAACGAGCTGTGACCACACCATTGCACTCCAGCCTGAGTGACAAAGTGAGACCCTATCTTAAAAACAAACAAAAAATAATCTTGGAAACAACTACAGAAAATAACACAATTTTAAAACGGAGACCACAATCCAAATATGTGGATTTTTCTTTCAGAAACTATGATAGTCAAAAGACAGTGGAACAACATCTTTAAAATGATAAATGAAATATTAATCCAGAATTCAGTATCTAGAGAGACAATCCAGAAATGAGGAGAAAATAAAGGTATTCTCAAAGAAGGGAAGCTACAAGAATGCATTACCATCAAATCTTCTGTGTAAGAAATATTGAGAAAATTATTCAGGCTGAAAGGAAATGATACCAGAGGGAAACTTGGATCTTCAGGAGTGAAGGAAAAGCCACTGAAATGATAAATATCTGTGACAATATAAAATAATTTTTTTCTCCTAGGTTATTTTAAATATATATGGGTGTTATCTAGTGGAATTGTCCATGTGTCAGTGTAATACATTTGACAACTATAACAAAGTTGGTGAAGGGGTAAAGGATCCTATATTGGTGCTGGACTTTCATGAAGTCTAAGTGGATGGCGTGCATATTGTAATCACTAAATCACAGAGCAATCACTAAAGTAACAAGATATAGAGAAAAAGCCAATGACTAAGTTAAAATGGAATACGAAAAACATCAAAGACATCCAGAAAAAGGTAGAAAAAGGATAACAGAACAACAAATGCTACAACAAAAACACCAGAGAGAACAAATGGAAATCAAATAAGAAAGTGGCAGACATAAATCCACACATTTGATAAGGGCCTAGTATCAATATATAAAGAACTAGAATACAACTTCCAATCTCAACAGTAAAAAACAAAAAATTAATTAGAACATGACATAAAGAAATATTTTACCAAAGAAAATATACAGGTAGCAAAGAAGCACATGGAACGATGTTCAGCATCATTAACCATTAGGAAAATGCAAAATAAAACCATAATGAGATGTCATTACACACCTGTCAGAATGGTCCCTCATCTTCAGCCCATTAATTAATCCCTATGAGATGAGGCAGACAATAGTGTGGTCCTACAACACTATGGCAAACATATTTTCTCTGCTCAAATTGTTTCTCTTCTGACTCCAGCTAAGACAAGTGCAGGATGCAAGTAAAGAATACCGAAAGAGTCCGGGCGTGGCTTTCAAGATGTTCTTTATAAAATTGCCTTTCCCCACGCCTATAATCCCAGCACGATGGGAGGCCGAGGCGGGAGGATTACGAGGTCAGGAGTTCGAGACCAGCCTGACCAACATAGTGAAACCCGTCTCCGCTAAAAAAAAAAAAAAAAAAAAAAAAAGTGAAAAATTAGCCCGGCGTGGTTGTGTGTGCCTGTAATCCCAGCTACTCGGGAGGCTGAGGCAGGAGAATGGCGTGAACCTGGGAGGCGGAGCTTACAGTGAGCCAAGATCGCGCCACTGCACTCCAGCCTGGGCGATAGAGCGAGACTCCGTCTCAAAAAACAAAAACAAACAAACAAAAAAAAAACTGCCATTCCCAGTACCTATTGCACAAAAATTCAGCCACACGAACGCCTGGTGAAGCGCTCAACCTGTTTATCCAGAGAGGAAAAGAGCAACGAATTGCTCTCAACCCGCGACAATCTAGAACAAAACAAACCAAATCTTCGTGCAGGACCTACGTTTTCAGCCTACTTTGTTTAGAAGAGTGAAACCTTCTGTCTTGCCGTGGGCCTGGTGAAAACGCGACAGATAGGGGAACTTGGATACGTCCAGTCTCCCTCCCTATTTAAATGCTGATGGTGTTTCGAGTCCCCTGCCTGAACCCGCTTCCTGTCTTCTCGTCCTCTTGTTCTTCTTCGTCTTTCGCTGCTTCATCTCTTCCACTTTCCCCACTCTCGCCCATAATACCCTCCACTCTCTATCTCCTTCCTTCTTCTCGTCCTCCTCTTCAGTTCTCTTCCGTTCTCAGACATTCCACTTGTAACCGAACCGTGCTGATTTTCAGAGTCACCTGGGGGAGTTCTTAAATTACTTACATTCTTGCCCCCAACCCCCATTGTCTCCAAAACACTTGCCTGGGTTGACTGTGGCACACGCATGTTGAATAAAGACAGGAAACCCTTACCTTTTGTGCTCCAGGAACACAGGGTCTGAGGACCTGTCCAGGCGCAGGGAGGTCTTAAAAAGAGCGAATTCCTTCCTCTTGCTTTCTTTGTGTTCGCCTCACCGTGAAAGGATTTTGCCTGAAAGAGGTGAAAGTCGCCTGGAGCTGTTTTCTTTCTGGTCTTCGCTCTCTAGGGATCTCAGCCAGTGAGCAGCGTCTTGGACAGAATGCCGCTTCCACGCTTCCGTAGACGCTGGGCCCAGCGGCTTGGGAGGGTTGTGACTGACACATGCTTTACACTTCATTTCACGCTGATATTGTGAATTAATTCCCCTCCAGTCTTATCTCCTCTCTTGGACCTCCGTTCCCTGAGTAGCTCTCCTAGTACTGGTCTTAGTATTCCCTAGTAGTACCGTTTATGTTTTTCTGGGAGCACTGCAGACAGAAAAGTAGGAAGTTGACTGTTTAAGATAATATTTCTACCTGGGATTCTCCTTGGTGGTGGACAAAAGCTGCCATTCGGGAAGTTCCCTAGGAACAGTCTTTGGAGGGTCCGCCATTATGAAAGACCCTAATAGCACTAAAGGGATCTTTCGGTCCAGAATGCAACTTGAGGGTTTCAGAAATAGTAGAGTTGGATAGAGTAGACTTTGACCTCGGTTTAAATCGTAGAACACTAGCAGATAACAGTGACAGCCAGTTATAAAATATAGCAAAAAAGCTAGCTTTAAGGGGGTGTAGCTCAGTGGTAGAGCGCGTGCTTAGCATGCACGAGGCCCTGGGTTCAATCCCCAGCACCTCCATGTATTATGCTCATTTGCCTAGCGGCCCAGAGCAGGGACCCTTGGCAGAAAACAGCACGATTTGCTTCATGAGTGGCAACAGACTCAAAAGTAGCCTAAGGTCTACGTTTTGGGTGGTATGTCTAAATAATGCTGCATTGAAGCGTGGGATTAGGAAGAACCAAGGCCCTTGGAATTAAAATGAATAGCAGTAATCCACTTTCATCGTTTGTTTCTTACCCACAGTCAACCGCGATCTGAGATTACTACATGAAAAATTCCAGAAATAAACAATTCATAAGTTTTCAATTTCTCTGTTGTGAGCAGCATGATGAAATGTCGCCTCATGTGCTCCATCCCGCCTGGGAAGTAAACCATCTATTTGTCCAGCATATCCACGCTGTGTAGTAAGCCACCCACTAGTTAGTCAGTCAGTAGCCATCTGAGTTATCTGAGCTACTGTCCTCACGTTGCTTGTGTTCAAATAACCCTTATTTTACTCAATAAAGGCCCCAAAGTGCAAGAGTAGTGATGCTGGCAGTTTGGGTATGCCAAAGAGAAGCCCTAAAGTGCTACCTTTAAGTGAAAAGGGGAAAGTTTTCTACTTAATAAGGAAACAGAAACAAATTCATATCAGAGGTTGCTAAGAGCTATGGTAAGAATAAATCTTCTATCCATGAAATTGTAAAGAGAAAAGAAATTTGTGCTAGTTTTGCAGAAGTTACTGCTACAGTGTGTGATAAGTGCATAGTTAACATTTAAAAGACAGTAAATATGTGGGTGAAACACGTGAACAGAACACTTAATCTACTTGAGGGCAACACGTTATACCAGAAAACACTGAGCCCATATGAAGACTTCATCAAGGGATCCTCTGAAATGATTGACACCAACCCATATATTGCAAGTAGGGGATGGTTACACAGATTCAGGAATAGGTTTGGACTGAAAAATATAAAAATTATTGGAGAGGCTACGTCTGCCAATGAAGAAATCACATTTTACGAATCCAATGATTACACTCTAAAGAGTTCAGAAGAACATATTGCTAGATGTGTTATTCTACATTTATGCTATTAAATTTCAAATAGTAAATTTAACTTGACTGAAAAAGTTAACCTAGCCAGGCGCTGTGACTCATGCCTGTAATCCTAGCACTTTGGGAGGCCAACGCAGGTGGATCACCTGAGGTCAGGAGTTCAAGACCAGGCTGGCCAACATGGCGAAACCCTGTCCCTACTAAAAATACAAAAAAAATAGGCAGGCATGGGGTGCACAGCTGTACTCCCAGCTACTCTAGAGGCTGAGTCAGGAGAATCACCTGAACCCGGGAGGCAGAGGCTGCAGTGAACTGAGATTGCATCACTGCACTCCAGCCTGGGTGACAGAGACTCTGTCTCAAAAAAAAAAAAAAAAAAAAATGTTAACCTGTACACATTTTCCTACATACTGTGGATATGACTTACATTTGTGGTCATTATTAACATAGTCATAGTAATAACCTTCTAAAGAGAAGTTGGAAGCCAGCATTTACAGGTGGAAAGAAAGCTGATGCAGCTTCATGAGTAAGGATGCAGTCAGCATCCAACAAAAGGCATTTGGGAACTGTACAAGCAGGAAGATCCATATTGTTTCAACACAAAAGAGTTCCAAAGAGCCGCGGTATTGTGAGTAATAACAATGTTGCTACCTTTTACTCATGGTAGGAAACATAGAATTAGCCAGAAACAGTGTGATTAACAATAAATAACATGAACAGATAGTTTCTGGACTGAAAAGGATGAGTTGGTGCCAGAAAACTACGAAAAATGTTTCTGAGTATTGATTAGGCTGTAAACAAATATGTAAGTACCCATTATTCTAAATCTCTATTAATACACAACAAGATCCTCACAGGATCCCCTAAATTTTGTAAAACATTTTTTAATCAAATTATATACTCGTTAGCCAGATGTGGTGGCTTTTGCCTGTAGTCCCAGCTAGTCAGGAGTCCAAGGTGGGAGAATCACTTGAACCCAAGAGGCAGAGGTTGCAGTGAGCCAAGATCCAGCCACTGCACTCCAGCCTGAGCGACAGAGTGATACGCTGTGTCAAATATATACGTATATATTTATAAATATATTTATATATATATAATATTTTTATAGATATATATAATTTTTATATAATATTTATATAACTTTATATTAATTTATATATAAATATATATTATATATTTAATATACATTTATATATATAATCTATATATTTATATATTTAATATACATTTATATATATATTTATATATTTATATATATTTATATATTTATATATATTTATGTATATATTCATATATTTATATATATTTATATATAAAGATTCATATAAAAATATTTATATCTATATATATTTATATATAAAGAGTCATATATAAATCTTCATATTTTTATATATTTATATATAAAGATTCATATATAAATCTTTATATTTTTATATATTTATATATAAAGATTCATATATAAATATATTTATATATAAAGATTCATATATAAATATATTTATATATAAAGATTCATATATAAATATATTTATATATAAAGATTCATATATAAATATATTTATATATAAAGATTCATATATAAATATATTTATATATAAAGATTCATATATAAATATATTTATATATAAAGATTCATATATAAATATATTTATATATAAAGATTCATATATAAATATATTTATATATATTTATATATAAAGATTTATATTTATATTTATTTATATATAAGGATTTATATTTATATTTATTTATATATATTTATATATTTATGTATTTATATTTATTTATATATATTTATATATTTATGTATTTATATTTATTTATATATATTTATATATTTATATATATATATTTATATTTATAAACATATATATTATATATATTTATATTTATAAACATATATATTATATATATTTATATTTATAAACATATATATTATATATATTTATATTTATAAACATATATATTATATATATTTATATTTATAAATATATATATTATATATATTTATATTTATAAATATATATAATATATATATTTATATTTATAAATATATATAATATATATATTTATATTTATAAATATATATAATATATATATTTATATTTATAAATATATATATTTATATATTTATATATAATATATTAATATATCATATATATTTATATATATGATATTAATATATTATATATAAATGTATGTTATTCACATTATATAAATAAAAATATATATATTAATTATTCACTTTATATATATATAAATATATATATTATTCACATTATATATATATAAATATATATATATTATTCACATGGACAGGGGCCCCACAAAAAACAAATATGTTTGTCTGGGTTACTCAACATCCTAGGGGTGGCTCTGCCCCATTTTTATTCTGTGAGTCTTGGCACCATCCAAACAACTGTCATCACGAAAGAAGGAGGATAGAAATTAGTAACAGATCTGATTTACACAGGTTCTTTTGACATCAAGATGTACTATCACAATAATGAGGATATTCAGTTTGTCTTCTATTTTTCCCTATTATTGAAGAAAAGGAGAAATAGAAGAGGCTCATGAAAATTTTCCTTTACTTCTCATTATTTCTTTTTTCTTTTTTTTTTTGAGATGGAATTTCGTTCTTGTTGCCCAGGCTGGAGTGCAATGGCACGATCTCAGCTCACTGCAACCTCTACCTCTCGGGTTCAAGTGATTCTCCTGCCTCAGCCTCCCGAGTAGCTGAGATTACAGGCATGTGCCACCACGCCGGGCTAATTTTGTATTTTTGGTTGAGACAGGGTTTCCCTATGTTGGTCAGGCTAGTCTCGAACTCCTGACCTCAGGTGATCCACCTGCCTCGGCCTCCCAAAGTTCTGGGATTACAGGTGTGAGCCACCGCACCCGGCCCCCCTCTTTTTTTTTTTTTAGACAAAGCGTCACCCAGGCTGGAGTGCGATGGCGTACTCTCATCTCACTGCAATCTCCGCCTCCCGGGTACAAGCGATTCTCCTGCCTCAGCCTCCCAAGTAGCTGGGACTACACGTGTGTGCTACCACACCCATCTAATTTTGTATTTTTAGTAAAGACGGGGTTTCACCATTTTGGCCAGGCTGGTCTCGAACTCCTGACCTTGTGATCCGCCCTCCTTGGCCTCCCAAAGTGCTGAGCTTACAGTCATGAGCCACCACGCCCGGCTTACTTCTCATTATTTCTAGTGCAAATTTTAGACTTTTACATTTACAACTAACTTTGGATTTACAGAAAGGTTACAAAACAAATACAGAGTTTTTATATTTCCCACCTAGATTCTTCTAATCTTTTTATACTTTTTGTATACATAGTGGTTATCTTTTATCGGGCATTAATTATCAATTAGAATATGAAAGGATTAAGCAAAAATCATGTTCCTCAAGGAGAGGTGCCAGGTTCCTCAAGGAGAGGCGCCAGGACAAAGAAGGCCATAGTCAGGAATGCAGGGTACTCCCTCTACACAGGCTTTTTTTTTCCTCCCCAGTGATATTTTCATAGCTATTCATGTTTCATCTCCTCGTAAGAATGAGAGAAGCTGAAAAACACGTAAGCTGCCACCACCGTAGAAACCCCGTCAAGTGGAACACGTGTTCTGTTCACGTATTTCACCCACAAATTTAGTGCCTTTTCCATGCACTTATCACACACTGTAGCAGTAGCTTTCGCAAAACTAACAAGAATTTATTTTCCCTTCTTTACAATTTCACGGAAAGAGGATTTATTCTTACCATAGCTCTTAGCAACCTCGGATACGAATTATTTTTCTCTTTTCTTATTAAGTAGAGAACTTTCCCCTTCTTTACAATTTCAAGGATAGATTTATTCTTACCATAGCTCTTAGCAACGTTGGATACGAATTTTTTCTCTTTCCGTATTAAGTAGAGAACTTTCCCCTTTTCACTTACAGGCAGCACTTTATGGCTTCTCTTTGGCATACCCAAACTGTCTGCTGTCTTCCTCTAATCTTAATATCTATGTGAACACAGTGTGATGATCAAAACCAGGAAAGCATCAATGAATATATGAGAAGGTGGAAGAACAGAGCATTTTCTCATTGATCATCCTACTAGTCTCCTCCCTTCACCTCAATCTTCACAGTACCTGCCATCAAAAGTTTGGTCTAACAATGCGAACAGATGGCCGTAGATAACAGCAATTTCTAGGTGAGTGGGTGGATGGACATTGGACAACAGAACAATGGCTTTCAATGAACTACAATACTGCCAAGAATAATAGGTGAAAAAATAAACAAGTCTGCATTAAATGAATTAGATAACCTACCATGCCAAAATATTTTATCCTATCCAGTTCTCTGTATTTCTTCACTCATCTCATTTTTTCTTCTTTTTGAATAGATAAATGAAATATTTTCTGCAAACATCCATTATCATCAGAAGACACCCCATGTGGAAGAAGCAAATTATTTTTGTGTTAAAATGGATATTATCAACTGCAAAGAAAAAGGTGAATATTTCACAAGTGAGCCAGAACATTTACAGTGTAAACAAGAGCAGTTGCTACCTTTGCTTTTTTTTTCCCACTTCTTCAATATGATCACCATGCTTTTCATTACCCTGCTACTCAGTATTTCTAGTCAACTGACTGATATTTTTAAAGGTTTTCAAAGGTATGAATATGAATACACTTTTTTTATATTGAATTAGCCAGAGGAAAGCAATTTCTATCTGCCAACTTTACTTTTTTCTTTTCACCTGGCAGCCTCTCTTCACATTCTAGCCCCAAGAAGGAAATTCCATTTCTTTACTCAATGGCTGCATTCTTAGATCTTGTTTTAAATATCTTTGGTTAATGAGTTCTAAAGCAAGGAGTATGAGAAAACTGGTGCAAAACCTCCACTAACTTATATGAGTTCGGAAGTTTGTTTCTTTGTCTCTGATTTTTAAGAGCTTTAATAAAATAAAATCAACCTGAGACACATTCATACTACAAATCCTGAAAACAGGATTTGTGGAGGGCAAGATCTGCCCTTTCCTCACCAACCTCTTGGCAAATCTTCAGCAAACATTATATAAGACCGCACTGCCGGGCGCGGTGGCTCACGCCTATAATCCCAGCACTTTGGGAGGCCGAGGAGGGCGGATCACGAGGTCAGGAGATCGAGACCATCCTGGCTAACACGGTGAAACCCTGTCTCTACTAAAAATACAAAAAATTAGCCGGGCGTGGTGGCGGGCGCCTGTTGTCCCAGCTACTGGGGAGGCTGAGGCAGGAGAATGGCGTGAACCCGAGAGGCGGAGCTTGCAGTGAGCCGAGATGGTGTCACTGCACTCCAGCCTAGGCGACAGAGCAAGACTCCGTCTCAAAAAAAAAAAAAAAAAAAAGAAAAGAAAAGAAAAAAAGACTTCACTAGGGCACAGTGGCTCACGCCTGTGATCCCAGAACTTTGGGAGGCCGGGACGGGTGGATCACTTGAGGTCAGGAGTTGGAGACCAGCCTGGCCAACATGGCGAAACCGCATTTCTACTAAAAAATGCAAAAATTGGCTGGGCATGGTAGTGGGTGCCTGTAATCCCAGCCACTCAGAAGGCTGAGGCAGGAGAACAGCTTGAACCCAGGAGGCGGAAGTTTCAGTGAGCCGAGACCACCCCATTGCACTCCAGCCTGGGTAACAGAGCAAGACTTTGTCTCCAAACAAACAAATAAAAACTTACTGAATGGATCAGATGATGAAATTTCAAGTTTCCTAGTGGACATCTAGAATTATTGACTGAAGGATTGGATGAGAACTGAGAACTGTTCAACATTGAAGACAACATGTCTTCCTATGAGTGATACTGACATTGTCAAAGAGAAAATGAATCCAAAAGTCACTCTTTTTCAAACTGTCTTTTGAATTCAGGATTTTTGTCTCTAAAGAAAATATCTGGAGCAAGTGCTTTGGAGGAAATCTGTCTGGCTTTGAAACCTGTCCTGCTACATGTTGGCTGTGAGCTATGTGGCCAATTATTTCACCTCTGAAAAAGTTGGTTTATCAAAGGAGTGATGTGCTCATTTAATGCAACCCGTTGTTATGACATTATCCACGTGTTATCTCCAGCTACCTCAAGCATTCAGGGTCATATTGACCACAGTCAGAACTCGACCTTGGATTCTATAAGTAGGATTCAAAGTTGCCCTTGAGAAGCCTTCAAAATTCAAGCTTCCCTACACCTGGTAGTAAATGTACCTCATTTACTACCTTCAAAATTCAGTGCCTTCAAAATTCAGTGCCTTCAAAATTCAAACTTCCCTGCACCTGGTAGTAAATGTACCTCAACTATCACTCACCTGGAGAAGACATTATGATTCAGTTTAAGAGCACTAAATCTTGGATTTGGGAAAAACTATAAAACCAATAAAAGCCTATAAAACAAAATAAAACAAAAAAATGGAAATGCCCATTTCCAATTTCTCTAGTTTAGGGAGGAAAGCAATATACAGCCCCTATAATGAAGAAAAGAAGATGTTCAGGTAATGTCAATTAAATGAAAGCTCATCTGTACTAAAAACATGAGACACATTTTTGTTTCCTCAGCTTTTGTCTGCCATACTCTGGAAGCCTTAGAAGTGGATGATCAGTGCTTGATGTGTGCTACAGAAGAAGGAGCTGTCCCCAAGTCTCCCTGCTAATCCAAGTAACGAAGCCAGGGAAGAAAGCAAGAAAGAAAGGGGAAAGAGAGAGAGCGTACTACATTTGCCCTATTTCAAGAGTTTGTAGTTTCTTACATCTTTTTTTCTTTTTTTTTTTTTTTGAAACGGAGTTTCGCTTTTGTTGCCCAGACTGGAGTGCAATGGCATGATCTTGGCTCACCGCAACCTCCGTCTCCCGGGGTTCAAGCGATTCTCCTGCCTCAGCCTCCCAAGTAGCTGGGATTACAGGCATGTGCCACCACCCGGGCTAATTTTGTGTTTTTAGTAGAGATGGGGTTTCCCCATGTTGGTCAGGCTGGTCTTGAACTCCCGAGCTCAGGTGATCCGCTCGCCTCAGCCTCCCAAAGTGCTGGGATTACAAGCGTGAGCCACCGCGCCCGGCTGGTTTCTTGCATCTTATAGCCCACCAATCTTTTAGGCAACATTGAAAGTCACACAAAATGACCCTAGACTTTTGTGTAAATGAACTCACAATAAACTTATTGGGGTCCCACTCTAGCCAAAATACATGGAGTTTTAGATATTTAATCCAAGTGTCTGATTGACCTGTTTTGGCCACTGGGCTCTCAGTTTAAACTTAAGTTTGGAAGCCCCAAGTTCCACAACAGATAACACATTCTTTTCACCCTCAGAGAAAAAGTTAGGGGTACTCTCACCTTGGCCACCTCTTCACTCACTCACCTCTTTAGTAATTCAGTTAATTTTTTGGTCGAGGATCAAGTTGCTAAAACTTCTTTTAGATCAATAAATGAGATAGACAAACTGCACATTGGAAAGCATGCATAGAGTTTAATTTTTGTTTTTGACAAAGTAGCCACTGATATTGGTGGCTTCAAAGAAAACAGAAGGAAAGCCACTCCCTGACTCCATTGTGGCTGTGGTGGAACCTATTTGAATGAGAAGGAGGATCTGTTGGCAGTTTTGAGCTTGGGTACCTAAGTTTTGGCTAGGAGTGACTACTAGCACACTGGCTCATAAGGCAAGGGAAAGCATTAAAAAATATAGGTTAGGGCTCACACCCATAATCCCAGCACTTTGGGAGGCCGAGGCAGGTGGCTCACCTGTCAGGAGTTTGAGACCATCATGGCCAACATGGTGAAACCCCATCTCTACTAAAAATACAAAAATTACCCAGGAGTGGTGGTGGGCACCTGTAATCCAAGCTACTCAGGAGGCTGAAGCAGGGAGAATTGCTTGAATCTGGGAGGGGGAGGTTGCAGTGAGCCGAGGTCATGCCACTGCACTCCAGCCTGGGTGACAGAGCGAGGCTCTGTCTCAAAAATAAATAAATAGAATAATTTTTAAATATATATATGTGTATGTATGTTATATATACACATATTTAAAAAAATATATGTTAGGATGGTAACCAAATATTTTTTAATTGAAGAGATTTTGAAAATCAAAATGTCTTTAACCCTGAATAATTTGTTAGAAAATTAAACTTTCAATTTGATGGTCCAGTGTTTGAGCTCCTTTTCAGATCCTGATAATGTTTTTTGTTTCCCTTACTCAGTTCTAATAGAATCCTAGTAAAACCCAGCTTTCTCCTGGATAAACTTGTCTATGTTTCATTCTCCTTGCGTGTGTTATTTTGGCTCAGCAGAAGTAAGAAAAGCCAGTGTAACTGTATGACTTGAGGCTGTCTATTCTGTTCTACTGTAGGGGAGATCATCTATTTGCAGTTCTTTTGTATCTAGAATGTAGTTATAAGGTCAAACTACCGTGTAAAACATTTACCTGGATTGGTTCTCTTTTTAAATTCCGATATTATTCATTTGAAATGATTTTATTTTTTTCAATTTGTTTTCAAATTTAAAGTACTTTTTCTCTATAGTTGCTAGTTTTGTTTTTAAATTTGACTGTGTAAACCATTAACATGATTCTAAGAAACAAAACTATACAGAGAAGTATCACTCAAGAGAAATTTTCAAGCTGCTGGAGATTGTTACATCATGGGACCCTCTCAGGTGGAGGAATGGAAGTGCCCTTCAGGCCTCTTCTTGGGAACCAAATTTGGGGTGGGCTGACAAGACTGGAATGGTAATATTTTTGTGTAGCATCAAATTACTCTTCTCCTGATGTACCTGTAAGATAGAAAGAAAAACCTAGAGGTTTCAGAAATAGAGTCATACATAAGGGATCTTTGTATTAAATTTCAGATTCTCAAAACTCACAAGCAAAGAGAAAGATTAAATTATAATGTTTAGAACAAAAAAAAGGCTATTGCAACGGGGGTGTAGCTCAGTGGTAGAGCGCGTGCTTAGCATGCACGAGGCCCCGGGTTCAATCCCCGGCACCTCCAGTAGTTGATACCACGTTGTGTATCACCACCAATGAAGACGGCGGGTTTCATTGCCACGAGTCTCGGATTTTCCTGGGGTTTTCAAAACCATCTTGATTTACCAGAAGATAATCTGTGCTACTATCCTATCCTAAAAAAATGTGCTATGTAACATTTTTTATTTGTATTTAAAATTTTAAATTGACAAGTAAAATTACGTTTTTATTATCTACAACATACTATTTTGAGATACATATCTCATATGATAAAAACAATTTTACTTGTCAATTTAAAATTTAAAATACAAATAAAAAATAAAATGTTACACGCATGCATTGTGGAGTAGCTAAATCGAGCTAATTACCATATGCATTACCTCACATAGTTATCATTTTTGTAGTGACAACACTTTAAAATCTCTTCATGTTTCAATACATTGTATTGTTTTTACCTATAGTCATCATGTTGTACAATAGATTTCTTGCACTTCTTCTAACTGTAATTTTGTATTCTTTTACCAACATCTTCCCAAGGCTTCCCCGACCCTACCAAAGTTACTTGTTGACATTTTTGTTACTCACTTACTCTCTCTAGCCACTCTGAGCAATCACTGCTATGTTGGCTACAGTCTTATACTTCACAAAAATTTAGTGGGAAAAATTAAAGTTCTGAGGGCAGAAAAATCACCTTAACTTGAAAAGGATCTCCTTAGACACTTAACCACACTTCCACCTCATCTTTCATGCACCTCAGACTAGCATCAGGAATTAATTCAAGAGGGTTCGTTCTTGGATTTGGGGGAAAGTTTAATATTAATATTAGGATGTTGTAGTTTTGTTTTGTTTTGTTTTGTTTGTTTGTTTTACGGAGTTTCGCTCTTGTTACCCAGGCTGGAGTGCAATGGAGCGATCTCGGCTCCCGGCAACCTCCGCCTCCCGGGTTCATGCGATTCTCCTGCCTTAGCCTACCGAGTAGCTGGGACCACAGGCGCGTGCCACCACGGCCAGCTGAATTTTTGTATTTTTAGTAGAGACAGGGTTTCACTGTGTTAGCCAGGATGGTCTCGATCTCCTGACCTCATGATCCGCCCTCCTCGGCCTCCCAGAGTGCTGGGATTGCAGGCGTGAGCCGCCCCGTCCGGCAAGGCTGGAGCATTTTTAAAAAGTCAGCCTGCTCGCGTACTTTGGAAAAAGCAGCATCCTGTGGGATGAAGAACCCAGTAATGAAAAGCAAGACTTCGTTACACAATGTGTGGAGCCCAAAGTCCTGTGAACCGCACTGGTCACAGACCCATGAAGCTGGCCCTGATGAGAGGTGTAGAAGAGATCATCCCCAACAAAGAAACAAGCCGTTTTCTTGTTTCTTTACCTTCTCCTAAGAGATAGAAAAGTAGGTGTTCAACAATGCCAGTTTTGAACTGAGGAAGCAGGAGATGCTTATTCACCACAAAGACTTGCTACCCTGTCCTGCCCGGTTTGAATCCTGAAGTGAAAGAAGTGAGAGTGCAGAAAAACTCCTTTGTCTTCTACCAGTGCTGAGCTCAGACTCTGGGTATTGTTGAGAGAGCATCCCCTTTTGAAAAGGCTGCAAAAAAAGAAATGGAGTGGAAGTCCTAAGCATTTATGGAGACATCAGAGGAGGGCACAGACACATCACCACATGAACAGGTGTCACAGACACACCATCACATGAACAGGGGGCGCAGACACACCCTCTGCACTGAGTTAGGACAATCGCCTTATGTTTGTGGGATATTTCTACATTTTCCCTCCCAGTAGTCTAAATTTGTAGTCCTAATAATAACTTTGATGAATCAACATAAATTTGATCACACAATCCAGTTTATGACAGAAAATAGTTTTTGTGTTTCACTTAAACCAGGAGAAAATATTATAGAGGGAGACCTAAATGCATAAGGCAAGAGGTTTGAAGGAAAGATAAAGGCTATTGTATCTGTTGAATAAAATATCTAGGAGGCCATTGATTTGGACTGGCCTCCTCCACTAAGCCTAACAGATCAAACTAATATGGAGTTGAATTACAGTAGCTGAGCTTTAATTACTTGCTGGAGGCTCTGTAACCAATTAACAAAGTAAGCTGTAACCAATGAGGTTGTCTCCACTGTACTTATGTTTCCCACCTATGCTGTTAGGCCATGTTATTGGTTGGCATTCTCTGAACCTGCTCTGGTTTGTAGGGTTGCCTGATTCTTCAATCGTTTTTGTTGTGTTTTGCTATGTTTCATTTTGTTGTTCTTTGCTCAAATAAGCCCAGTTAAAATTTAAACTTGTCTAAGGATATTTCCATGAAACATGAGAAAAGGACATTGGTCACAGAAAAGATGATTGGTCTGGTTTGTGTTAATTTAGTGCTTGTTGCAAATAATTCGCCACTTTTTAGAAGAAACCAAGTGGTCACATAAAGTCAGAGGCCACTGCAAATGTTTCAATAAAGGAGTTTAGGAAACCTACATCTCAGGCCAGGCGCAGTGGCTCCCACCCATAATCCCAGCACTTTGGGAGGCTGAAACAGGCGGATCACCTGAGGTCAGGAGTTCGAGACCAGCCTGACCAATATGGAGAAACCCCGTCTCTACTAAAAATACAAAATTAGCCAGGTGTGGTGGTGCATGCCTGTAATCCTAGCTACTCGGGAGGCTGAGACAGAAGAATTGCCTGGGAGGCAGAGGTTGTGGTGAGCTGAGATCGTGCCACTGCACTCCAGCCAGGGCAACAAGAGCGAAACTCCATCTAAAAAAAAAAAAAAGAAAGAAACCTGCATCTCTCCTACCTCACAAATTTGGACAACTTTGAGTCACAAAAAGTCACCAGCTGTTCTGTGAACTAAATTACACAAGCTCTAGAACACATGCTCCATCCAAAGTAAGTGGGAATTGTCTTTTCCATGCAAAAAGTGCCACACCAAGCCATTCCATGCCACCAGCTTTATGTAGCATCAAAATTACATTTTCCACAGAAAACACTCCTTCCACTTTCCCAGAAAGACCATCCACCCTAATGTCTGGTAATTCAGCCAAGCACATATTATAGGAGCATGTTCCTGAAATCTACAGCATAAATGAATTGTATTAAAGACTTCTCCCCTCTCTAGTAGAGATGTCAGTTGCTGCTTACAGGTCCTTTTGGAGTGAATGCTGTTGTCATTCCCCTGAGACTCAAGCCTGCCAAATAAACCAGACTCTCTCTCTTCTGTTCCTATCATCTCCCATTGTCATTTTCTTTTTTTTCACTGCAGATTCAATCTCTGGATCTTCTCCACCCCAAGTGCTGTCATTATCATCAAATGACTTAGGCAGGGTTTTTGTGCTCTATTTTGAATATATATTTGTGTGTGTACATATATTTAAAATTGCTTACATATCTATATAAAAAATGGCTTATATACACCTATTATTATAGATTATAATAATGTATGTATATAAATAATATAAACAATATATTGTATGTTTTTATATACATATTTATGTAATTATGGGAGTGGCATCCCTTTACCTTTGCCATATTCTATTGGTTAGAAGTAAATCACAAGTCCCATTCACACTCAAGGGAAGAGTATTACACAAATACTTGAACACTAGGAGATAGAAATTATTGGAGATCAACCTAGGGAATCTTTGTCAAAGTAAGCTTGTGCAAAATTAATTGTGTTTTCCAGGCTTTTAAATATACTCCTACTGTAATCTGAATATTTGTGACTGCCCCATCACTGAAAATTCATATGTTGAAACCTAATCACCAATATTATTAGGTTAGGCTTTAGGGCCTTTGGAAGGTGATTAGGTGATAAAGGTGGAATCTTCATGAATGGGATTAGTGCTCTTATAAAATATGCCTGAGAGAGACCTTTTTCTGTAAATGGCCAAGTAGTAAATATTTTAGGATTTGCAAGTCAAATGGCCAAATCAAGGATATTATGTAGGTACTTATATAACAAGGGAGAAAAAAAGTCTACTCATATTTATTGATGCAATTCAAAACACAATACTAATTGAGTATAATTATTGATAACGAGAAAAATTAAATAATAATAATAATTATTATTATTACAGATGGGGGCTCAAAGTTAGCCTTTCCTATCATCAAAGTCATTTGCTAATGCTCATCTGTTAATGACCTGTAGTGCAATTTTATTTATTTCATCTTTGAAAATATCTTTTCATAAAGATAGGAGATGCCAAATGGCTAATATTAATCTGTGAGTATATAATTTGGGGCATATTCATTGCATGGAAGACATTTATGGATTCTAGTAGGTTCATCTCTTTATGTTTGCTTTTAGCATGTCATTACATTGCAAATTAGTCACTTCAAAGTGAGGCTTAGTGTGAAGCTCCTCAATTGCACAATTAAGTAGATTTTGAAATATGAAAATTGCTTTTGCACTTGCATTAAGTTTTTAACATACTGTTGGTACTGTAGTTCGAGTTAGGAGAATATATCTGCTGAAAATTTCTGTGGGATTGGAGAATTGCTTCTTTTAACTTTTGACAGCACAAGCAGTGCACAGGGCAGCTTGATATTACTATGATTCTAGCAGTGTTAGCTGTCATCAAAATGACTTTACTGCAGTACAAGTTTTATACATAAACATTGTTTTACCTTGTAATTTTGGGCTGAATTTATTAAAAAGCATTATCCAATCTGAAACAAAAGCTAACTTCCAAAGCCAGTCAGTGTTTGATCATAGTAATTGAGGGCAGTTCTTCCCCTTCAAAAAAAAATTTCCATCTCATCCCTGAGTTAAACACACACACACACACACACACACACACACACATACAACTTGTCAGCGTTAAGTCATTAAACTGCTGTGTGATCCATCTTGTCAGGACCTTCAGCTTCTAATTTCTGTCAAAAATTTGTAAAAGTGATGCCTGGTCCACCAGAGCAAATTAAGTCTACTGTTCAATAACACCTGATACCATCAAATTTTTTCCACAAATTATCTGTTAATGAATAATATAATAGATAACAATAGGTTTACATTTATCACAAGTTATTTAAACTTTTTCATCTAAGCCTCTTCCTCTCCTTCTCATAATTTTGCCATCACTAGCTGTAACATATCTTAGCAGATTTAGCTGCAGGTTGCAGTGAATTATTGTTTTTCAACTTCTTAGAAAATACTGTACTTCTAGGCCGTGCGTTGTCGCTCATGCCTGTAATCCCAGTACTTTGGGAGACCGAAGCAGGTGGATCACCTGAGGTCAGGAGTTCGAGACCAGCCTGGCCAACATAGTGAAACCCCCGTCTCTACTAAAAACACAAAAATTAGCAGGGTGTCATGGTGCATGCCTGTAATCCCAGTTACTCGGTAGGCTGAGGCAGGAGAATTGCTTGAACCCGGGAGGCGGAGGTTGCAATGAGCCGGGATTGTGCGACTGTTCTCCAGCCTGGGCAGCAGAGTGAGACTCCGTCTCAAAAAAAAAAAAAAAAAAAAAAAAAAATACTGGTGACAGAGACTCGAGTCTTCATTCCTTACATTAATAGTTTGAATGCTTATCAACTGAACTGCATGAATCTATCAATCTAGCTGGGACACACATATATATTCCACTAACTCATTTGGTAGCTGTTGTCCTAATCTGTGAATCTCCTTTGAATTTTCCTCTTGGCAGAGAAAGTTCCATTTTAAAGGGACAGTATAGTCGCTAAAGCTCCAGAACACTCTGTTTTCCTCCCTCCTGTCTTCCTTGTCTTCCATCTCTTTATGAGTCTAGATAAAGAGTTGTAATGTTCCCTAGAAAAAGTCACTGAGGTTATTAACTCCTTCACTCATTTTCCTTCCTTTTCAAACTTAGTAAACCATAGGAATTGCTTGAGCTCATTTCCAGGGGTTGACTTTTAAAGTGAAAGAACTTGTGGCATTTCCCTTCTGTCACAGATGCACAATCTGAACATTAAGTCAAATGCCTTAGAAAGCCTAAAATGATCCTGAAATAAAAATATTTACTCATAGTTCCTTCTTTGATCTTGCTTGAATTTTTCCCTCGGCTTGTGTTCCCATGAGGCAACAAGGCTCCAAGACAACTACAGTGAGGTTATGAAGAGCAAAAGAAAAAGACTGGCAAATCAGTGCTTCCATTAAAGCTGTTATTCACTGTCTTGAGTGGCTGTGAGTGGAATCAAAGGCCAAATAAAAATCCAAGAAATGAACAACTTTTTTTAATAAAAAGGAAAATCTAAATTCTACCACAAATACCAAGGTATACTCTGATAGAAGGAAACCAAAAACAGTCTCCGTGGGCTCCGTAGCTTAGTTGGTTAAAGCGCCTGTCTAGTAAACAGGAGATCCTGGGTTCGACTCCCAGCGGGGCCTTGGTTGGCAAGGTCAGTGTGCCTTTCTGCCAACTCTCTTAAAACTTGAGATTTTTCTATCGTTCCTGTCTACCTTCGAAGATCCTCCACCCCTGATTTTGGACATAACAGGTGGCATCCAAAGGCTTTGGAAACAAACTGAAACTGTACATCCTCCCAACATAAGACTACATAAAAATAGCAAAGATCAGGACAATAATTATAATATACTGCCCATTTTTTTGTTTGCTTTAAAAAAAAATTCAAGCCATATCTTCCATTGGGATTTTCTGTGCAATGTCGTTTCAAGTATTCCAATTTATATAAAGAGTTAAGAACAACAAATTGAAGTTTAGAGAGGGAACGTATACTGTAGGCGTGGATTTTAATACAGTACTGGCCAGTGCTCTTGGGATTATAATTCAACTATAGGCATGCGAAGAGTTAGAATGTCTTCAATTCTCCAAATTTGTAAAATGTCAACTATGAATTAATAATCTGTAATTATGAATGCCGATTATAGATACTACAATTACATGTACTGTGAATGTCGATTTAATATTGAAGAAGGCCAGCTACATAATTTACAGGCCCAGTGTAAAATGAAAATACAGGGTCCCTTATTCAAAAAGCAGGGGCAACTGCCATCAAAAGTGCTAAAATACAAAGCTTTTCCCTTTCAGTCGCTCTTTTTTCGGCCTGTCATGGTATTTTTCATTTTCTGTCTAATGTCACTCTAATTAAGAAAAAATAAAATAAAATTGTGAGTATCAAAATGAATTTTACAGTTCATCTTTATTTCACACATCAAAATTCACGGGGCATCGCGATTGCTTTATTATATATGGAGAAGCAAAGGAAGTCAGACACGAAATTCCTTTGCTTATGTGCCATGCTCTTTTGCTCCCCCGAATATCAATTACGAAATATAAATTAAGAGATGCAGTTCATATGAAATTTTAAGACTGCAAAGGCAGATCGCTGGTAGAGTCTCTGAAAAGGAAAAGTTGCCAAAACCCAGAATTGAACCAGTCTCCTTTAGATCTTCAGGCTGATGCCCTCCCAACCGAGCTATCTCAGCTTACTGTAGACTGAAAATTTTATTCAATTTCTCTTTCAATACTTCGATTGTTTCCAACTTTTTAGCTTTCAGGTTTCTTAAGTACTTTTATTATACAATGTATTTACCCACTAAGAAAGACTTGGAACTTATTGACTCCTACATATGATGGCTGAATCCAATTCCCTGGCAGTGTGGAATGGATAGGTGGAGGAGGGAGATAGAAGAAAAGTAACAGGAATTAAAAAACAAACAAAAAACTTTCTGCTCTTCCACATCCTGTTGGTTGAGCCAGACACAGCAAAGAAAATTTAAAAATAAAAATAAAAAATAAAATGTGGTGGCGTTCTTTGTTTTTCTTTTCTTTTTGTCTTTAATAATCTTCGAAGATGTGGAGAATTGGAACCCAAGGTTAATTTCTGTTAATGTGGGGTCAGGTTTCTGTCTCCTAGCGATGATTTTGAATGAGCTATTAATCCTTTGTTTTATCCTCTTTCATCTAGTCTTTGTCATAGTCTTTTGCACTGGGTGGTGCAGAAGTTTATGGCGTACAAATGGAGTAGCACTAAAGGGAGTACTTTGGATCATGTATGCGAGTAAAGCGTATGAGAAAAGAAGGGGTGGCTGTTGGTGAGTAGCTAAAGAACAGCAACATTTTCAGGAAATGAAACCAAGACAGCACACATTTTAAGTATGCATTCTACCACCGAGCAACATTCTTGTGATAGCCAAGCTCTCTTGGAGATACATCTTGATATATCTGTGTCAGTATTTCTAATTTTCAAAACATAATGGTTGGCGGGAGAAAATCCACTGAGATAAATCCCACTATTTCTGAAATCACTAAACTGGATCTCGTTTAATCGCTATACCACGAGAAAGGTTACTGAATTGCAGACTAAATGACAATGCATCTGCTTCTAGGACATTCCCAGTCCAACCTGAAAAGGGTAGACAATTGCTGAAACATGTTTATATGAATATTGTTTTACTTGCACATAATTAACCTAGGGTGAATAAGTTTCTTTCTTTTGAACTGATAGAGCTTTGTTTTCTTTTGTTTTTCACATTGTGAGATTTGTCACAGACAATTGTCACAATTGTTTTGACCTAATTAAAGTGTGGAGCACATTACTGCTAATTATTTTCAATATTCACCTTTTTATTAAGAGCTAGAACAAGTCTTTATTGTGGATCGGAAGCTGATTGGGAAACTAGGAGCTAGTTTTAATGTAAGAAACATCATACATTTTTTATTATTAAAAATGTAGAACTTAAATTTAGGAAAGACAATATCAAAAAGAACTGCCAAATACAATTGTATTACATCAGGATACTAGATGTGTAATGTAAAAAAAGTTTTTTTTTGCTGTAAAAATTATTAGTTGATCAGGAATGGTGAGAAGGGAAAAAATTTATTAGGTTTCTTTGTTTTGTTTTGTTTTGTTTTGTTTTGTTTTGTTTTGTTTGTGTGTGTGTGTGTGTGTGTGTGAGACGGAGTCTCGCTCTGTCGCCCAGGCTGGAGTGCAGTGGCTTGATCTCGGCTCACTGCAAGCTCCGCCTCCCGGGTTCATGCCATTCTCCTGCCTCAGCCTCCCGAGCAGCTGGGACTGCAGCTATTAGGATGCATTAACGAGGATTGAGAGTCAGCTGGAAAATGGATGTTGTCACACTGTCCGACAAATACAGTGTGAATTCAGCTCGCCGACGGCTGCCTCTGGACTGAGGAGCACTTCATTTGAGTTAGTATTGCGGGAGAAAATAGAAGTGTGGCAAACATAGCTCAATTGGAAGAGCTCTGGACTAAAGGTCTAGACTAAAATCAGGGATCCTTCTCCATGACTGAACAGTCCTCAATGTTGGAAGTTTGTGCTTTTTGCTGGTGGAGGAAAGTAGCTTTCATGCAGTTTGCTTGTGAATGGAGCTTGAAGCAGGCTAACAGGAACTGGAAAGTCCGAGGATAAGAAACTGCGTCATTTGGACTATAATCTTAGTGTCTTAGTATACTGTTATAAGTATATTAGGATACTGTTAGCTGCCAAACAGTATCCAGTTCAGTGATTTCACGAAAGTAGTGGAATTTAATCCAGCGATCTTTCTCCAACCAACAGAAAATGAAACCAACAAACTGAAAACAAGTGATATTTTATATATAAGCCAACAGAACTCTCATGTGGTCAGGGGGTGTAGCTCAGTGGTAGAGCGCGTGCTTCGCATGTACGAGGCCCCGGGTTCGACCCCCGGCTCCTCCAGTTGTCCATTTTCTTCATTCTCCTTTCTGGTTCTTTGCATGCGTTTGTCACTTTTTCTCCTACTCCTATAAAAAGAGGACAGTGTCAAATGTGTTGCTTTTAATACTATGCTATTTATTCTGGCACTCATCTGTGGCTTTTTATAAAACTTAGCTTGAGAAGAATGTCTTGCTAACGTGAGTGAAACAAGCAGACATTGAAAGGGGGACACAAATTACCCCACAAGGAGTTCTTCTTTATATTTTTTCCAGACGCAAATATCTTTTAAATTATGTTGATTAAGGTTAAAACTTTCTAGGCTTACATCAAAGCTGTGTGTGGGTCATGGCATCATTTCTAACTGTATGTAGATATCGACTTGTAGCCCAGCGTAAAAAAAAAAAAAAAAAAAAAAAAAAAAAACCTAAATAGATAAATTTTCCATCAAGATCTCCTTGGCAGGAAGCACGAACCCTGCAATCTCATTACGGACCCATGCACTTTGAGTTCCGTTTGGCGGTATCGCTAAAGAGATAGACTAAAAAAGAATGGAAATAAGAAAAAATAGGCAGCTCAGAGAAAATTTTCCGTGCATCTCTGCTTTAGGGGCATTAGGTCGTCCAAGGATGAGGAGCAGAAAATCTTCCCACTGGTTGCCTTCCGCCTCTCTCCTCGGGGCTTCTCCACCAGCCGCCTCTGCCGCTGATAATTGAATTGTGAGCAGCAGAGGGGCTGGGCATTAGGTCCCAAGTTTTTCTGGGTGAGTTAGTGTGTAAAGGTTGTCTAAATGTAAGGTGGCACTCAGCGCTTTGCCTCGCGAACGCTTAAAACATCATTTGGGTGACTGAAAACAGCCAGCTCTCGTTCGCTGCAATAGCTTACAGCCTACAGCAAGCGATCTACCAACAGGTTTTAAAAGTTAGGTCTTGGCTGGGCACGCTGGTTCACGCCTGTAATCCCAGCACTTTGGGAGGCCTAGGTGGGTGGATCACCTCAGGTCAGGAGTTCAAGACCAGCCTGGCCAACATGGTGTAAACCTCTTCTCTACTATTAGCCGGGCGTGGTGGCCGGCGCCTGTAATCCCAGCTACTCGGGAGGCTGAGGCGGGAGAATCGCTTGAACCCGGGAGGCGGAGGTTGCGGTGAGCCGAGATCGCACCTCTCCAGCCTCGGCGACAGAGAGAGACTCCGTCTCAAAAAAAAAAAAAAGAAAAGAAAAAAAAGTTAGGTCTTGGGTTTTGGCAGCAGTTATTTTTATTGCATATTAAATCGACTTTCACAGGAAATGTACACAAAATATGTAATAGAAGACACCGAATAACTCCCCCCATTCCTCAAACCAAAACATCTAGCTGCAGTAAAAATCTCAGAAGCATTGCCAAATAGCGTATTTAAATTATTTGCCTTCTACATTTCCTCGATGAATTTCAGGGTTGTTTGTTCTTGAATCTTTAAATGAATTAATAATACTTCACATATCACTGTACCAAAGGCCCCAAAGGCAGGTGTGGCCAAAGGTGTGTGGATGAGGAATAGGACTAGATAAAGTTGCTTGAATTTCTAGAAAGAAACACTTGTTAAAGAGTAAGTAAAAACTATGGTATATCATTGTTCTGCACTTTCTTTTCCATACAAATCGTGTATTGGTGAATGTATCAAAATCGATACCAGTTTTCTTTGTCAAAGCTTTTGCATGCTACCTTTTGTATTAAAAAAGGATGTTTTAAATGTGAAGTTGAAATTCCAAATATAGCGTCAAATTTCCTTTGTTTGAAAAAACTAAGAGCGTGCTCCTCCTAGTTCCTTAAGGAGCAGGAGAGGGAGCAAGGATGAATCACTAGCTCAGTTATCTCTGAGACCCAAACCCAGGACAGAGGTTTTAACCAGCTAAGTCACAGAGTCCCCTGGCAGGGCTATCCCCATCAGGTATATTATGGTCATGCTGCTGTCTGAATTATTTCTGGGCAAAGAAAAAATGATAGACCTTCTTTCTCTTTGACCCTCATTTCATTGACTCCTGATTGGCCCGCAGAGTTGCCAAATCAGTGAAAAACAGCTTGGACCACCTTCCATTTTGCCAAGCATGGATTCTCAGGGCATCTTTTACCTCTTGCTGTTTATAACCCTACAGTATTTGGTGTGGAGCCCTCAACACATCTCTCAGGCAGCTATCAAGAACGATGAAAGACAAAACATCCCCATGAAGCAGTAGAACTCTGGCCATTGTAATCCATGAGGGAATCCATATTTTGGAGACCCCTTTCCAGGAAAAGGGAATAGCTAAGACCCACGACCTCAAAGCTTCACACACAAACAAGCCTGGCCAACGTTAACACACTTGGCTTCAGGTTGGAACTCCAGTGTGTTTCTCTTTCTCCAGGTAGTCTCCACCCTATCACAGATTTCCTACACCGTTGCACCAGAGCCCCTGAATTTTCACTGCTTCTGGCTGTCTGCACAATTAGAAATACTAGGAGGAGGGTACAAAAGAGCAGAACTCAGAAAGTTGTCTGGGGAAATCTAGATTCAGATGGAAGAAGAAAACAGGTCCCAAATGAAAACCTATGTGTGCTTTTCCGCGCTACCCACAGAGGGGTCCATAGGGCGTTGTTTTGGATTCCCGTTGTGACTTGAAGGGAAACTTTCACAATGTTCGGAGCCCTTGATGTACTGCAGATGAATGAGGAGGATGTCCTTAAGTTCCTTGCCGCAAGAACCCACTCAGGTGGCACCAATCTTTACTTCCAAATGGAACAGTACATTTATAAAAGTAAAAGCGATGGCATCTACATCATAAATCTGAAAAGGACCTGAGAGAAGCTTCTGCTGGCAGCTCGTGCCATTGCTGCCATTGAAAACCTTGCTGATGTCAGTGTTATATCCTCCAGGAATACTGGCCAGAGGGCAGTGCTGAAATTTGCTGCTGCCACTGGAGCCACTCCAATTGCTGGCTGCTTCACTCCTGGAACCTTCACTAGCCAGATCCAGGCAGCCTTCCGAGAGCCACGGCTTCCTGTGGTTACTGACCCCAGGGTTGACCACCAGCCTTTAATGGAGGCATCTTATGTTAACCTACCTACCATTGCTCTGTGTAACACAGATTCTCCTCTGTGCTATGTGGATATTGCCATTCCATGCAACAACAAAGGAGCTCACTCAGTGGGTGTGATGTGGTGGATGTTGGTCCCAGAAGTTCGGCGCATAAGTTGCACCATTTCCCGTGAACACCCGTGGGAGGTCATGACTGATCCCTGCTTCTACAGAGATCCCGAAGAGATTGAAAAAGAAAAGCAAGCTGCTGCTGAAAAGGCTGTGACCAACGAGGAATTTCAGGGTGAATGGACTGCACCAGCTCCTCAGTTCACTGCTACCCAGCCTGAGGTTGCAGACAGGTCTGAAGGCCTGCAGGTGCCGTCTGTGCCTATCCAGCAGTTACCTACTGAAGACTGGAGCGCTCAGCCTGACACAGAAGACTGATCTGCAGCTCAAACTGCTCAGGCCACTGAATGGGTAGAAGCAACCACTGAATGGTCTTAAGCTATTCTTGCACAGGCTCTTAGACAACATGGAAATAACATTGACGGGAAATAAACATCAGTTTCAAAAAAAAAAAAAAAGGAGAGAGAGAGAGAAAGAAAGAACGAACGAAAGAAAGAAACAAAGAAAGAGTAAGAAAGAAAAGAAAAGAAAGAAAAAAGAAAAAAAAACCTAAGTGTATGCTGTCACAGTCACTGCTCTAGCAAACTCTTCAGTGGATCATCATGATCAGGAAACTCAGCAGTGGCTTCGTCTCAGGGACGCTGCAGTTCCGTTCCTGAGACCTACAAAGAAACACATAGGAGGCATTTAAGTTTAAGGGACTTAAACTTCTGTTACAACCTCTTTACTCTTACCCCGTGCTCCTGGAGAGATTCTGAAACCTCAACCATCACAATGGCACAAATAACAGACACTTTCCTCCTGTTGTTAAATTTTGGGGTGTCCAACTATGTCCACATAAATTTTAGGAGGTAATCCTAAACCATTGTGTCTTCTCTTACTTTTACCTTTCTCTCTAATATTTTTCCTATTTGTGCAAAATCTGTATCTTCCTGAATATGTGAATAAATTATGTATCAACTTCTTGGTTCCTTCCCAACTTTTGTCTCCTGTCCCCACCCCCGCTAGAATTAACGGAGTGAGGCTCAGTTGTGGCTGGAAAGTCACTGAGATGGGCGTTTAGAGGCAAGGCGCCATTTATAACATAGCCAACCAGAAACAACCTCCAATAAAGAGTCAAAAGGTTTTAGACTGGAATGCAGTGTTTCCTGAGCCTGAGGAACCGCCCTGAGAACTTCAATGGTATACCGGTTTGTAACTTACAGCTCCATAGTGGACCGATAATCACCGGATAGGGAGAAAGATGGGAATCTTCACAATTGAAAGGTCTCCCTCAGACGATTATCATTCAGGCTTGAGAACGCCAACCTAGAAAGTGGAGCTGCAGAAACTGTAGTGAGCTGAGCTGCTGGAGGACATTTAGGTAGGAGGAAGCCGTGGAACTGAATCAACGGGAATGGGAGAAAGTGGAAGTGAAGGTGACAAGAGGTGGTGAAGAAAACGAGTCGGGAGATAGGTGGAGGCAGGTGGTTGCAGAAGAGGAAGGGACGAAGGAGAGAGCTTCAAGCCAGATCTTTACGGAGGCCTAAGATTTGGATGGCCCTGAAATTGTCCGCATTGCCAATGTCTCCTAGGCTCCTCTATAATGTTTTGTTTTGAGACGGAATATCGCTCTATCGCCCAGGCTGCAGTGCAGTGGCGCAATCTCGAATCACTGCAACCTCTGCCTCCCGGGTTCAAGCGATTCTCTTGCCTCAGCCTCCCAAGTAGCTGGGATTACAGGCGAGCGCCACCGCGCCCAGCTAATTTTCCTGTTTGTAGTAGAGACAGGGTTTCCGCCATGATCTCGAGCTCCTGAACTCAGCTGATCCGCCTACCTCGGCCTCCCAATGTGCTGGGATTACAGGCATGAGCCACCGAGCCCGGCCCCTCGGCTCCTCTTTGGCTGTAGGAAACCAGGTCTTTCCCTCCCAAGGGAGGTGAACTACAAGCTTCTGTTCCACAGGAAAACATAACCCTTTTTGTCCAAAACTGACACCGCTTTGAGAGCGACCAGCGGCTTTTTCCATCTCTGAAAATAATTTTCTCAACTGTGTATTTTGAAAGTCTCGGAGTTTCGCCAGAAGCGTCTTTCGTTCGGAAAAAATTCTAAACATTCCTTCTTTAGAGAAAGCTGAGATCACAGCGCTCCCATGACTAATGATTGGACCCACTTTTGCCGCCCAACCAAGATTCTATGAGTGGTGGAAATGTAGGGGAGAATGAGGAAAGGTCTGTAGTCTGTCAGATATGGGTGGAGTGGGGGTGGGGGGGGGAGGAGAGAAATCTAATGGATGTTTTCCAAGGGCGATTTTTTTTTCTTCTCTTTCTGTTTTTTATTCCCCCCCGATTTCTTAATAGTAATGAGAAACGGCAGCAAAGGAGAACGAGTCTTTTTTTTTTTTTTTTTTTTTTTTTGTGATGGAGTCTTGCTCAGTCGCCCAGGCTGGAGTGCAGTGGCGCGATCTCGGCTCACTGCAAGCTCAGCCTCCCGGGTTTATGCAATTCTCCTGTCTCAGCCTCTGGAGTAGCTGGGACTACAGGTGCCCGCCACCACGCCCGGCTAATTTTTATTTTTTTTTTTTTTTGTATTTTTAGTAGAGATGGGGTTTCACCATGTTAGCCAGGATGGTCTAGGAGAACGAGTCTTCTATGACCGGCATGCCTGTTGCTTCACTCTCAGGGGATCTTGAATAAGCAGCTTCTCTATTTCAGTAAATAACTATAAAGCTGTGCTGAAGCAGTCAGGTTGGGAGGCTGAAGGAGTGTTAGGACCCATAGTACAAATGAATGAGTACCAAATGGCTTACCTTCGCTGTGAGTAGGAAAAACACAAGCTAGTGTATGCACAAAGAAAAAAGAAAAGACTGGAACTAAGTATTCAAAGACTGAAACGAAATGTTCAACGATAGATATAAGGAAATGTACTTGTGGAAGTGCTGGGGATCGAACCCAGAGCCTCATGAATGCTAAGCATACGCTCTACCACTGAGCTACACCCCCACTTACAATGCCGTTTTCTTACTGATTTATTATATGCTATTATCTAAAGGTGAGGGCTTAAGGCATGATAGGTTAAAGTCCGCTATGTTTTAACTCCTGTTTCTGAAACTTCTGAATGGAATCTTGTCTTGACGCTGTGTCAAGAGGAGAAAGGCATTCTGGACCGAAAGACCCTTGGATCCTCTCACAGCCGTCATCTATTTCAAGGACTGCTGTTAGCCAACTTTCTTTGTCAGTTTCCGTCCACCTGGAGCGAAGTTCCAAGATTGAATCTTCTGGTATGTCTTCAGATTCTCTCCTTTTTAAAAAAACCTCCTCTATGGAGCTGCCAACACACACACACACACACACGCGCGCGCGCGATAGTGCCAGAGAATATAAAGACGAGTTCTGTGAGTGCTGCAGAGGAAACGTAGATCCAGGTGAGGAGACAAGACAAGATGTTAATGCACAAAAGTCAACTAAAAACGAATTTAAATCTTAAACTTAAGCCCCTAAACTGTAAAATTCCTTGAAGAAAACAGGGGGGAATATTCTTGACATTGGTTTAGGCAATGGTTTCTTGAGTATGACACCAAAAGCACAGGCAACAAAAGCAAAAATGGATAAGCGAGACTATAGCAAACTAAAAAGCTTCTTCACAGGAAAGAAAACAATCAACAAAGGAAAAAGGCAAGCTATGGAATGGGAGAAAATATTTGCAAATCATTTATCTGATAAGGGGTTAATATACAAAATAAATTTTTTAAACCGCTACAAGTCAATAGCCACACACACACACACACACACACACACATACACACACACACCCCTTAGAATCCCAAATAACCTGATTTTTAAAACGAGCATAGGACTTGAATAGACATGTCTCCAAAGAAGACATACAAATAGCCACTAGGTATGTGAAGAGGTGCTCTTAACATCACTAATCATCAAGGAAATGCAAATCAAAATCACAATAGATACCACCTCACACCTATTAGGATGTCTGTTATTAAAAAGAAAAAACTCAAAAGGTAAGTGTTAGCAAAGATGTAGAGAAATTGGAACCCTTCTACACTGTTGGTGTGTAAAATGATGACACCACTATGGAAAATAGTAAGGGGTCGCCTCAAAAGATAAAAATAGAACTACCATATGATCCAGCAATCCCACTTCTGGGTATATGTCCCCAAAAAATCGAAATTAGAATTTCAAAGAAACATATGCACTCCCATGTTCACTGCAGCATTATTTACAATAACCAAGATAAGGGAACAATCCAAGTGTCCATTGAGAGATGAGTGGACAAAGAAAATGTGGTATATACATACAATGGAATATTATTCAGCCTTTTATAAAAAAGAAATTCTGCCATTTGCACCAGCATCAATGATTAACCTGGAGGACATTATGCTAAGTGAAATAAGCCAGTCACAGAAGGACAAATATTTCATAATTCCACTTATATGAGGTATCTAAAATAGTCAAACTCATAAATGCAGAGAACAGAATGGTGATTGTCAGGGACCAGAGGCAGAGGGAAATGGGGAGTTGTTGCTCGGTGAGTTAAAATTTTAGTTATGAAACATGAATAAGTTCTAGAGATCTATTGCACAACCTAGTGCCTTCAGTTAACAATACCATAATGTACACTTAAAATTTTGTTAAAAAGATAACTCGGCCGGGAGCGGTGGCTCACGCCTGTAATCTCAGCACTTTGGGAGGCCGAGGCGGGCGGATCACGAGGTCAGGAGATCGAGACCATCCTGGCTAACGCGGTGAAACCCCGTCTCTACTAAAAATGTTTTAAAAAATTAGCCGGGCGCTGTGGCGGGCGCCTGTAGTCCCAGCTACTCGAGAGGCTGAGGCAGGAGAATGGCGTGAACCCGGAAGTCGGAGGTTGCAGTGAGCCGAGATCGCACCACTGCACTCTAGCCTGGGCGACAGGCGAGACTCAGTCTCAAAATAAAAAAAAAAAAAAAAAAGATAACTCTGATGTTTAAGTCTTCTTACCACCCATGAACATGAAAGAACACAAAGAAACTTTTGGAGTTGATAAGTGTGTTTATTACCGATTGTGGAAATAGCATTATAAATGTATGCATATGTCCTCACTCATATGCTTACCTTCAACGTGTAGGGGTTTTGCATATATCAACTGTACTTCAATAAAGTTGTTAATAACTCCTGAAAAACAACCAAACAAGCAAAGACAAGAGGTTAATTCACAACATTGACAAAAACAAAGAGTGACAAAGGTAGCAGTTTTGCACAAGGTTGCGTCCAACATCTGGATTTGGAAATGTGGCAGCGGCTTCATCGGCGACTCTACAGCTATAGGTTTTTTTGTTTTTGATTTTTTATAGAGACGGGATGGGGGAAGGGGGCGGGTCGGTCTTCTCCCTGTGTTGCCCAGGCTGGTCTTGAATTCCTGGGCTTAAGCAATACTCCCGCCTCCGCCTCCAAAAGTGCTCGGATTACTGGTGTTTGCCGCCAAGCCTGACTAGCTCTGGTTTTAAAGACAACACAAACGAAGCCGAAGACAGAGGACTCTTTCAGAGCAAATTTTTTTGAGCAAGGAGGAAAGCACAAAGGAAGCTGGTCTCAACCTGAGAAAACCAATTCACCCTTTGTAAAACCCTCCCTACACCCCCACAAGTGAGAAAATTTCATCAGTCCCTGAAGTGCAGAAAGTAGACCCTTCCCATCTGTAGCCAAAATGTGGTGCGACTGTTTAATCCAGATACGAATTTTGGAGAACATTGTAAACCCAGCAGGGGCGTAAGGGAGAGTAGGGAGAAGTTTGTCCCTAATGTACAGGTTATGTTCTTACTATACTAGAAAGGCAAGTGGCTGGGAACTGAAATGAGCTGAGGAGTGGACGCAAGGGAAGGCTTTGAAAAGGAAGGAAGGGCTCTTGGAGCCGGGAGGGATAACACTGAGTGGAGGAGAGAAGAAGCAGCGGAGAAGAAGGCAGAAGAAAAATCGGGGACGCGTCTTTAAAGACGGATAGTATTGAGACAAGCGTGGAGGAAGAAAGCAGCCAAGCGCCGCGTCTCTGCCAAGCTTTCTCTAGGCCCTGGGGAAGAGAGAAGGCTCTAGGTGAGTGGTTTCAAAGTGTATATCCCACAGAAGGGTACGGCTCGTGTTGCCCAAGATTTTGTGACTCTGAGAGTGCCTCACTGCACTGCACTCTCCATCGCAGGAAACAGGCTGAGCATTTTCGAGGGCGTGTGGTTGAGTATTCGTGGAGCAGTAGCCCCTGGTATTGGAGGTTTGAGGAAAGTGACGTTGTGTCAGTTCTCATGTGGAAGCAGCCTGCAGCTTTGATGCAGGCAGCAACTGTTTAGTTTGTGTTTCTTTTTGTTTGTTTGTTTATTTTCGCGTGTTTGGGTTTAAAATACAAGAGAAAGAATGAGGAAGAAAGGTTAAGTAGTGACTGAACGTTTTGGGTTAGAGTAGATACCCACTAAAACCATCGTACTTCTGGCTAGCTCAGCTGGAAATGCATCAGGCCACTAGTCCGGAAATTTAGGAATCACGATCCTGTTCTGATGTAGATACTTTTCATTTTCCCATACTTCTTTTTGATTCATACTCAACAGGCTACTGAACCCAGCTTTCTCCTGGAGCAACCGGGAGGGTATTTGCGGTGCGTTTTGCTACTTATATTCTCTCTAGTCTCAGCGGAAGAGACAAGATTTGAACGGGGAAAGTCGGATTTGCAGAGAGGTATTCATTCAAGGCTCTTTTCTGCCCTACTGTCAAGTGGATGAACAAAACGCTGACTTAAGATATGAGGAGGATTGCAGTGTTGAGAGTGCAAAAAGTGTCAAGTCAAAACATGGACATATTTTGCTCATAATGTAGATAAATTATTTTGGTAGACATAAATTTTATTATTATTATTTATTTATTTTTTGAGACGGACTCTCGCTCTGTCGCCCAGGCTGGACTGCAGTGGCGCGATCGCGGCTCTCTGCAACTTCCGCCTACCGGGATCAAGCGATTGTCCTGCCTCAGCCTCCCGAGTAGCTGGGAGTACAGGCGCCCGCCACCACACCCGTTTAATTTTTGTATTTTTAGTAGAGACAGGGTTTCACCATATTATTCGGGCTGGTCTCGAACTCCTGACCCCAGGTGATCCGCCCGCCTCGGTCTCCCAAAGTGCTGGGATTACAGGCGTGAGCCACAGCACCCGGCCATAAATTTATTAATATAAAAAATTATTGGTCAGGAGCAGTGGCTTACACCTCAAATCCCAGCACTTTGGGAGACCAAAGCAGGAGGATCAATTGAGTTCAGGAGTTGGAGACCAGCCTGGCTAACATAGTGAGAGCCTGTCTCTACAAAAAAATAGAAAAATTAGCCAGGTATGGTGGTGCACACCTGTGGTCCCAGCTACACCAGAGGCCAAGGCAGGAGGATTGCCTGGGCCTAGGAGTTTGAGGTAGCAGTGAGCCATGCTTGCAGTGCCACTGCACTCCAGCCTGGGTGACAGGGCGAGACCTCAACTCAAAAAATAAATAAAATAAACTTTACTTAAAAAAAATTACTGAGGGGACAGCCAGAGTGGCTCACGCCTGTAATCCTAGCATTTTCGGAGACCAAGACAAGAGAACTGAGTCCAGGAGTTTGTGCTCAAGTAATAACAATACTATCAGCACTCAATCTTGGTATCTTAAAACTTGACATTTAAATGAAATTTTAATTTGAGTCAATTAAGAATAGAATATTCCACTTTTGCATAATTAACCATGAATTCACACAACAAATCAGAATTTATTTATTTCATTTTTATTATTATTATTTTTTGAGATGGTGTCTCACTCTGCCACCCAGGCTGGGGTGCCAGTGGCGTGATCTCAGTTCACTGCAACCTCCACCTCCCGGGTTCAAGTGATTCTCGTGTCTCAGCCTCCCTAGCAGCTGGGATTACAGGCGCACGCCACCAAACCCAGCTAATTCTTGTGTTTTTAGTAGAGATGGATTTCGCCATGTTGGCCAGGCTGGTCTTGACCTCCTGACCTGAGATGATCCGCCCATCTCGGCCTCCCAAAATGCTGGGATTACAGGCATGAGCCACCATGCCCGGGCCAAATTGGAATTTAGCACCCACATTTATCTTAACTCAGTAGTTCCTAAGTAAAAGAGATTTGTAAGGCCAGGCGCGGTGGCTCACGCCTGTAATCCCAGCACTTTGGGAAGCCGAGGCGGGCGGATCACGCAGGAGATCAAGAACATCCTAGCTAACATGGTGAAACCCCGTCTCTACTAAAATTACAAAAAAATTAGCCGGGCTTGGTGGCATGCGCCTGTAGTCCCAGCTACTCAGGAGGCTGAGGCAGGAGAATCGCTTGAATCCGGGAGGCGGAGTTTGCAGTGAGCCGAGATCGCAGTTCACACCACCGCACTCCAGCCTGAGCGATAGAGCGACACTCCGTCTCAAAAAATTAAATAAATAAATAAATAAATAAGTATTTGTTTGTATGTCAATCTAGGAACAATTCACAGCCGTCTCTACTTTGAACCACCCAAAAGGCTGATTTATGTGAATTTAATTTCACTTGACAATTAATTAAACTCCTCTGCATATCCTGCCTTTTGTTTTGTTTCTTGTTTTGTTTGTTTACTAAGAGACTGCAATCTGCTTGTAGTTCACCCCTGCTCAAGCAAGACATACATTCAGTTTTGTTTTTTCAGTTGTGAGTAAATACCTCTTTTCCTCAGCAATATGTGGGTCCTGTGAGTTTCTTAGAGGGCCCTGGCTCATTTTGCTGATAGGGTTGCCAAACTCTTAGTGTGATAATAGTGCATTCTTTGACCACTTTGTTTCTAAATTCTGGCCATCCTTCAAAACTATGAGCTCGAGCGAGTGTCCCAACCACATGAGTTCCAGGTTGTAATTGAGCCTTTATCAGTACATTTTGATGAAAGCTTTTCCTATTAGGATTTGGATTTGTGACCTTCAGATTTTTGTGGAAATTTATTAACAATGTTTGACTCTCGAGTTTTGAGAGCCCAAAGAAAGTTTTTGATAGAAACTTTCTTTTCTTGGTGATATACTCTCCTTGATTGTGACTTCTTCCTCTTCTTCCTCTTTTTGTTCTTTTCTTTCTCCTTCACCTTCTCCTCCTCGTTCTCCTCCTTGTTTCTGCTTTTGTTAACCAAGGTCTGGAAAGATTTTACTTTTCTGTTTACTGTTTTATTTAAGCTTGTGTTGAGAGTAATAAGGAAATCGTAGAAATCAGAGAGAATGGCATAGGCCCTGTAAGTCACCATCATCTTTAATGCGGATGTTAACCAGTACAAGAACCCCGTTAGAGTTGCATTTGCTTTCTAGGGCAAGATCTTTGCTCTAAGTTTTTTTAAACACATGGCTGTCTATCTTTAAAAAAACAAATCATTTTTATTTTATAGAGTATAATTGTCGAACAGTCTTAGCTTTACAGAAAAATTTAGAAGATATTAGAGTTCCCATATACCCTGCACCCAATACCCCTACTATTATGATAGTCCTTACTATTAAGATGGTACTTTTCTGCCGCGCGCGATGACTCACGCCTGTAATCCCAGCACTTTGGGACGTCAAGGCGGGCAGATCACCTGAGGTCAGGAGTTCGAGACCAGCCTGGCCAACATGGTGAAACCCCTTCTCTACCAACAATACAAAAATCAGCCAGGCATGGTGGCGGGCACCTGTAATCCTAGCTACTCGGGAGGCTGAGGCAGGAGAATAGCTTGAACCCTGGAGGTGGAGATTGCAATGAGCAGAGATTGTGCCACTGCACTCCAGCCAGGGCGACAAAGTGAGACTCAAAAATAAATAAATAAATAAATAAAATGCCGGGCACGGTGGTTCACGCCTGTAATCCCAGCACTTTGGGAGGCCGAGGCGGGCGGATCACCTGAGGTCAGGAGTTTGAGACCAACCTGGCCAACATGATGAAACCTCGTCTCTACTAAAAAAACACAAAAATTAGCCGGGTGTGATGGCGGGCGCCTGTAATCCCAGCTACTCGGGAGGCTGAGGCAGGAGAATCGCTTGACCCGGAGAGGCGGAGTTTTCAGTGAGCCGAGATCGTGCCACTGCACTCCTGCCTGGGTGACAGAGCGAGACTCCGTCTCAAAAAAAAAAAAAAAAAAAAAAAAAAAAAGAAAAGGGTGATTTTGTGTTGTGTTTGTTAAATTCATGAAACAAGTAGGACAAGACCATAAATTGAAAAACCAAGCCCATTCCAAATTACGAATGCCTCCGGTAGTACCTATGCCAGGGACAAAGTGCACTTTAATAGTCAATACACAGGTTGCTTACCGGGTTCTTGTTTTTTTTGTCAATAGTCTTCTTTCATTTCAAGTTCCCAAAGTCTTGGGAACAAGCCGGTTTTTTTTTTTTTTTAACTGGCTTGCAGAAAGCTCAAGGAGATGTGCAGAAAGTAAAGATATTTCCTGACAATAGTAAGAACACGACCACGAAGGGACTCGAACCCTCAATCTTCTGATCCGGAATCAGACGCCTTATCCATTAGGCCACGCGGCCGCACGCGGGTGCTAATTTGCACACATCAAGACTGAAGTGTAGTGAGGAAACGTTGAGTTTCTGTTTTCAAACCTTTAACTTCGTAATTAGAGATTTAACAACTTGAAGGGGGGCGGGGAGAGGCGGGGGAGGAGGTGGGCAGAAGGAATAAAACTCCATCTAAAATTCCTAATAGCAATTCCTTAGAATTATAAACTGCGAGATGATCAGAAGTGACATCTTTGCCTTCTTTGAAGGCTCTCTTCTCTAAGTTACTAATAATGATAATGCACGTTCGGGTACAGAAATATGAGCCAAGAACTCAAGTCTGCAATGAAGGAGTGGACATGACAGCGTAAGAGGGAGCATCATTGTTTGATCTATTTTAACCTTTTCCGTCTCAAAGATACGATGGTGCTTCCTCCAGGAAGAAAAGCCTGTAAGCTCAAACAAGAGCTCCCCTGGAACAGAAGACACTGGAGACCGTAAGAGGTGGGAGGTTGGAAGGGGGAAAAGGATAGAAAAACTGCCTGTTGGGTATTATGCTCACCACATGGGTGACGGGTTCAATCGTACTCCAGACATCAGCAACACGCAATACACCCTTGTCCCAAACCTGCACTGTACTCCCTGAATCTAAAATAAAAGTTGAAATTAAAAAAAAAAAAAAAGCTCCCCCTTGTCAGAAAAGCCCCAAGTATTTTGCCTAAAGGTTGATTGCTCTAAGCTCACCTTTGGATTGATCCAGAAAACAGTCTGGGGCGATTTTTTGTTACCCTTTCCCCAGCTATGTCCCCTATGTTGATAGGGTAGGAAAGATTAAAAAAAAAAACAACAACCAAGTTTGTAAAGTAAACCAATCACAGATTCCCTCAGTTTTCGCATCGTCTTGGCTTCATGGAAATGACGAGTTACTGGGAAGAAACTATTTCATTTTTCCAGTGCCCAGTCCTATCTCCTTTCCCCAGAGAGATGCATCTCTCAGCCCTAAACTTTTCCTGGATCCCTTGTACACCATTTTCTCCAGGTTTCTCCAGTCAAAACTCAAGAATTGTTTTAGGCCATATTTTGGATGGTGTATCCTATGTACACTAATTTATTAAGTAATGACCCATGTTTGAGACCACGGAACGCTAGTTCTGGGGCCGGACTAGATGAGTCTGGGTAGACAAAAGAAAGGTCTTCTGCTGTTCCCTATGAAACTGATTTAGTTAAGTCCCTTTCTTTCTCAGAAAGCGTCCTATGAGGAGCATTAGATTGAATAAGGGTTTCTGGTGTGATCCAGTTTGGGGAGGCTACTTGCTCTAGTCAGTGCTGAAGAATCCATCTCCATTTTGGGCAAGATGCACTACCATGACTTATGTTTCAACAGACTCAAACTTATTCACATGTTTTGAAATTGTTCTCAGTTTTGCTTCCTCACCTTCTCACTAGTGGATTTTGTGCCCAAAGAATAGCAATCCAAAGTCTCAAAATCTAACAAATTTAAATAAAAGGGCATTTTTTGTTCAGTCTGGAGGAGGAAAAGTTAACTGGCAGACGTAGGCAGCAGATAGTAAAGTTGGCACAGTTAGTAAGGTTGGTAGACTGAGCCAAACCATCGAAATCTATTTATTTATTGTTATATTTATTTATTTATTTATTTATTCCTGCTGTTTGCAGAGCAGGGGTACCCTATAGAAAGTGTGTCCAAAGTAGCCTGAAATTTCTTTCTTCAGGAAGATGCTAAAAAGGATTGGCACTGAGATTTGAAAGAATAATGCTAAGAAACTATTAAATTGTATGAAATGTTTGTTTATACCAGTGATACCATTTCCTTTCCAAAGCCTTTCAGTGTTTTCTCTGATGCCTTTTGATTTTTATCTGATGGGTTCCAGGCAAGGTTCCTTTAAAATGTTTAAATATTTCTAACAAAAGTATTTTGGGAGGAATCCAAGAGAGATTTGAAAGTATGACATTCTTAATCTCTCTATAACAATCTGTCTAGATAATTTCACTGAAGAAATGAATGGAGGAGGGTGTCTGTAGATAAAGGTTTCTATAATTGAGATTTGAAAAAAATAGAATTTATTTATTTGTTTAGATGAAACCAGACAACTTTCCAAGCCCTGAATCAAATTGGGGGATGTATTGCACCTTTAGACAAAGAATCTCCCAATGTAGCTACTTTAGCCATTTTACAAAAACCCATAATGCATGACCCTAATAATGTTCTTAACTTTAGAATTTGGAAAACTCAGCATTTCCTGTGAGGTGTGATCCAGTGTACAACAAACGTTCACTCACACACACAGAAAGAACTAAGATTTGCAGCACTTATGGTCTGGTTATTGACCTGACACGTGTGTGTGTGTGTGTGTGTGTGTGTGTGTGTGTGTGTGTGTGTGTGTTGGGGATGGGGGCTACTGTGAAAGGAAAGGATAAAGAAAACTCAGCCAAGTAAAGATTTTCTACTCACATATCTATTTACCATTCTTTTGTCTATATGTCTTTTAAAAGAAGACATACAAATGGCAAATATATGAAAAGGTGCTCAACACCATTGATCATCAAATAAATGCAAATCAAAACTAAAATGAAATGTTATCTCACCCAAGTTAAAATGACTTTCATCCAAAAGACAGGCAAGGACGTGGAGAAAGGAGAACCCTAGTACACTCTTGGTGGGAATTTAAATTAGTACAACCGCTTTGGAGAATAGTATGGAGGTTCCTCAGAAAACTAAAAATATTACCATATATTCCAGCAATCCCCCTATTAGGCCTATACCCAAAAGAAAGGAAATTAGTATATCGAAAAGATATCTACACTGTCATCTTTATTGCAGCACTATTCACAATAGCCAAGATTGGGAAGCATCCTAAGTACCCATCAACAGATAAATGAATAAAGTAAATGTGGTACGTATACACAACGGGGTACTATTCGGCCATGAAAACAATGAGGTCTTGTCATTTGCAAAGCGGATGGAACTATGTTCTGTGCGGGAAATGCGAGAGGGGAGAAGAAAAGACACACACACAATACCTTTAAGGGTAAATAACCTTTATCCCACGTAAATGGCAATGCAGATATAATAAACAAATGATACAATAAGCAAATTGCAATGGGAAGGGGAGAAGGGAAAAGATATATATATATATATATACACACACTCACCAAATATATATATATATATAAATATATATATTTATATATATGTACACTCACAAGACTATGAAGGATTCATCACCACACCGGGAAGCAACAGCCCGGGCTCCAGAGTCGGCCACTCGTCCATGCACAGAGAAGGAGAGGTCTCATGAAGCTCACGAGAGCCCTTCGCGACTGAGCTCAAGGAACAAGAAAAGGTCAACTTGTTTTTGCGATTGTCTGTTGTTTTTCAATAACTAACGTATAGGAATAGATTGAAATAGAGATTTCTCCAAAACAGCACTGGATGAACACCTCAAGGGGTTCATACAACCTGTTCAGGATTTGGTGACCATTGTTTGTGTCCACGTTCAATTGAGTTCAAATTTAATACGTAACTTTTCCTCCACAAACTAGAGGACATTAAGTTAAGCTATACACAGAAAGTAAAACTTCACATATTCTCTCTCATTTGTGGAAGCCAAAAATAAAACAATTGAACTCATGGAGACAGAGAGTAGAATGATGGTTACCAGATGCTGGGAAGGGTATTGGAGGGGGCAGTGAGATGGTTAATGGATACAAAAATATAGTTAGCATGAATAAGATCTATCATTTGATAGCACAACAGGGTGATTATAGTCAACAAAAATGTATTGTACATTTAAAAATAACTTAAAGATTATAACTGGAATGTCTGTAACAAAGAAATGATAAGGTGTTGAGGCGATGGATGAGGTGATGGATGCTTCGTTTATCCCAATATGATTATTACACATTGTATGCCTGCATCAAAATATCCCATGTATCATATATATACATATATATACTATGCAGCAGTAAAAATTAAAAATTAAAAAAAGATCCATAGACGAAGAAAAAATATCTTCAAAAATAAAACAAGAAAAAAACAAAGAAAAGATCCATTATTAATTACTGCCTTTGTCTGTCTGTGTTTGGAGAACGAATATCTGGCAGAAAAATGCTTGCTGTGTTTAACATCACTATTTCTAAAACCTTTAGACTGTGACCAGCAAAAGCGGCACTAAATACTAAACCAAAAGACACTGTTACACGCGGTTTTCCTCTCTGGCCAGCCAGACCGCCGGTCTGAGGTCCACTTGCCAAAGTGATGCCTGGCTGGCAGTTTCATCCACCAACAGAAAGGGGTCCATTATGGAATGTTCTCTTGCATCTTCAAATTCTTCCTCCTTCGTCTCTCTTACCCTCTGCCTACAAAGGCTTCAAGAAAGAGATGCAAGACAATACTGAGGGATACGAACAAAAGTAGCTCCACAGTTGCCTCGAGAAGTTTAGGTTGCAGGTAATTGGCGAGAATGAAACCCTCTGTATCTAGCAACTCCGCAGTGCTTTGTGTAGAAGACGCTCCATCTCAGGTTACGAAAATCTACAGAAAGGAAATGTTTAAAAAGAGAAAAGGAAAATATTCCTAGGGATTATAATGTCTCTCTTAAGCAGGGTCTTCGAAAAGAGGATAATTCAAGTAATATGATTTACAAATTGCAACATGAAACAAAATGAACTGAACAAATGGAGAAATCTAGATTACATACTCCGTGGGTTGCGTCTACCCAGGGCCTGGATAGCTCAGTTGGTAGAACATCAGACTTTTAATCTGACGATGCAGGGTTCAAGTCCCTGTTCAGGCGAAATATTTGTCTGTTTTACTCTAGCTCCGGAGTCCCCAACCTCCAGTAAACGTAACCGCGTATCAGGCAGCGCGGCAGGCGAGCCAGAGAAGTTTCATCTGTCCTTATACAGCAACTCCCCAACGCTCCTGCGACCGCCTGAGCTACTCTTCCTCCCAGATAAGCGGGGGCGTCAGATTCTCACAGAAGTCCAAACCCTATTGTGAACTGCGTATGAAAGGGATCTAGATTGTGGGCTCCTTATGAGAATCTAATGCTTGATAATCCGTCACTGTTTTCCATCAGTGCCAGATGGGACTGTCTAGTTGCAGGAAAACAAACTCAAGGCTTCCAGTGATTCTACATTATGGTGAGTTGGATACTTATTTCATTATATATTACAATATAATAACAATATTAAAAAAGTGCACAATAAATCTAATGTGCTTGAATCATCCCAAAATCATCCCCCCCAACCCCTGCTCCCTCATCCATGGAAAAAACTGTCTTTCATGAAACGGTCTCTGGTGCCAAAAAGGTGGGGAACTGCCGCCCAAGATAGTTTATACCAATTAAGCACAGGAAGAAGTTCAGATACTTGTTTGTACAGTGACTAAAACTTTGCTACTTTATGCTTTACAAATGTGGAATGATTTACATCATGAAATTACCAGCCCTAAGGGATTGCCTTAGTGAAGTTGTTTTCCAAACACCAGAATACAGAAATCTAAACTATTTTAGAGACTGTTGACCTGGAGATTTGCATTTTTACGTATTTTTTAGAGAATCTCCTTCAACGGTTAACTGAAAACAAAATCAATCAAAATTTCTAAACTCTAAAAACAGAGAAAGAGATATTGAAAGCAAGAAAAGAGACAAAACACCTTACCTACAGAGAAAACCAATTTGCATAACAGTGGGTATCTTATCAGAAATCACAGAAGTCAGAAAGAGTGGCACAACAGTTTTCAAGGACCGAAAGAAAAGAATTGTTAATTCTGAATTCTATATCCACAGAAAATATCCTTTAGAACTGAAGAAGAAATCAAGACATTTTCAGAGCAAAGAAAACTAAGATAATTAGCTTCTAGCAGAATTATCCTTTAAAAAATAGTTAAATTTCTCCAGATGGAAAGAAATGATAAAAGAAGAAATAATTGACACCAGGAAAGAAGAAAGAACATGGTAAGCAAAAAAAAAGAAAAAAAAAAAAAAAAAAGGTAAAAACAATACATTTTCCTTTTCCTCTTGAGCTTTCTAAATTATGTTTAACAGTTGAAGCAAAAAGTGTAACATGTCCGGGCACGGTGGCTCAGGCATGTAATCCTACCACTTTGGGAGGCCAAGGTGGGCAGATCATGAGATGAGGAGATCAAGACCAGCCTGACTAACATGGTGAAACCCCGTCTCTACTAAAAATACAAAAAATTAGCTGGGCATGGTGGCACACACCTGTAGTCCCAGCTACTCGAGAGGCTGAGGAGGGAGAATCACTTGAACCAGGGAAACGGAGGTTGCAGCGAGCCAAGATCACGCCACTACACTCAGGCCTGGGCAACAGAGTGAGACAATGTCTCAAAAAAAAAAAAAAAAGAAAGAAAGAAAGAAAGAAAAAAGTATAACATCGTTCGATGTGGTTCGAAATGTATGTAGAAGAAATAATTTAAGACAATTATATTACAAGTAGGAGAGGCAAAGTGACAAAAAGGTAAAGATGACACACATCACTTTAACTGATAAAATAATGATACCAGTACACAGTGATAAATTAAATAAATATGTAATACTCAGACAAATCACTAAAAGAGTTATATAAAGAGATCATTTAAAAACACTACAGATAGGCTGGGCACAGTGGCTCACACCTGTAATGCCAGCACTTTGGGAGGCTGAGGGGGATCACCTGTGGTCAGGAATTCGAGACCAGCCTGGCCAACATGGTGAAACCCTGTCTCTACTAAAACTACAAAAATTAGCTGGGCATGGTGGCGCATGCCTGTAATCCCAGCTACTTGGGAGGCTGAGGCAGGAGAAAAAAAAAATCAAAAAAACAAAACCACACACACACAAAAACGCTACAGATAAATGACAATGAAATTCTAAAAAAGTATACTAGTAGTCCACAAAGAAGGCTTTAATAAATAAATACATACATACATACATATCCCCAGAAAATGGCAGTAACAGGGTACAAATAGAAAACAAACTGCTAGATTTCAGCCCTAACATATCAATAATTACATTAAATGTAAATGGTCGAAAGGTACCAATTAAAAGACAGAGATTAACAGAGTAGATTAGAAAATATAATCCAACTACATGCTGTCTACAAGAAACTTATTTCAAATATAATTATACATACAGGTTGAAATTAAGCATATAAAAATATATAACATTCAAATGTTAATTAAAAGAAAGCAAAAGTGAGTATATTAATATAATATGAACTTTATTTATTTATCTTTTTTCTTTGAGATGGAGTTTCACTCTTGTCACTCAGACTGGAGTGCAATGGCGCGATCTCTGCTCACTGCAACCTCTGCCTCCAGGGTTCCAGTGATTCTCTTGCCTCAGCCTCCCAAGCAGCTGGAATTACAGGCACGTACCACCATGACTGGCTAATTTTTGTATTTTTAGTAGAGATGGGGTTTCACTATGTTGGCCAGGCTGGTCTCAAACTCCTGACCTCAGGTGATCTACCCACCTCAGCATCCCACGGTGCTGGGATTACAGGCGTGAGCTACCACGTCTGGCCTAATATAAGCTTTAGAACAAAGAAAAATTTTAAAAATCCACCAAGAAGGCATAACAATCCTAAATATGTATAAACCAAACAGAGTTGAAAATATGTAAAGAAAAAAAGAATTTTTAAAAAATAGACAAATCCACAATTACATTAGAGACTTCAACACTTCTCTCATAATAATCGATAGAACAACTAAACAGAAAATCAGCAAGGATGTTGAAGAACTCAAAATCATCTTCAGCTAACAGAATTCAGTCAACATTTAAAGAAGACTCCACACAAGAAAAGCAGAACACACAGAACACAGGTCAAGATGGAACATATTCTGGGCCATAAAACAAACCTCAAATTTAAAAGAATTAACTCACACAGTATGATCCCTGACCACAATGAAATCAAACTAAAAGTCAATCACAGAAAGACAACAGAAGAACATCCAAACACTTGGAAAATGAACAACACACTACTAAATAGTACACAGGACAAAGAGAAAGACTTAGTAGATATCAAAAAATAAATTAACCTGAATAAAAATGAAAGCACAATATACCAAAATTTTCAAGACAACCTAAAAAAACACTGAGAGAGAAATGTATACCACTAACTGCATACATTAGAAAAAGAAAAAAGTCTCAAGTCAGTCATCTAAACTTTTATTTGAAGAACCCAGGTGGGGAAAAAAGCAAAATAAACCCAAAGCAAATAGACAAAAGATAACAATAAAAATAAGAACAAAATTCAGTGAAACGGAACACAAACAAAAAAAGAAAAACAAACAAAAAGCTAGTTCCTTTAGATCAATAAAAGAAGACCTCTAGTAAGACAGAAATTTTAGGAAGAGAGATGACACAAATTACCAATATCAGGAATAAAAAGAGGATATCACTGTAGACTCTGCTGACATCAAAAGGATATGTTTTTGGATGATTTCCTTTAAAAAATTTAGCCGGGCTCGGTGGCTCACACCTGTAATCCCAGCATTTAAAAAATAACTAGCCATGCATGGTGGCGGGTGCCTGTAATCCCAGCTACTCGGGAGACTGAGGTAGGAGAATCGCTTGAACCGGGAGGTGGAGGGTGCAATGGGCCGAGATAGCACCATTTCACTCCAGCCTGGGCAACAAGAGCGAAACTCCGTCGCAGACTTTTTCTCCCCCTTGTAAGGTCGGAGCGTTCCCACTCAGGAAACAACATTTCTCTACTCTAGGTTTATCTGGCCTCGCATCTCTCCCCAGCTGGGCCCAGCCTCAGCCTATGCTGCAGAAATGTTTAAAGTCAAGCATGTAGAGAAGGAAAAAAAAAAAGGAAAGTGATGTGGAAATTAAAATAGCAGCTGCATAGGAATCTCAACATAGTGCTTAAAATGTGCATAAACGAGACTAGGAGTGCCCTGCGCTTTTGTGAAAACTTCATTTAGAAATAAATGAGAAAGAAGGTGGAGAGGAGCCGAGAACCAGCTGGTGGGGAAAGGGAAGAGGCAGGCTAGAGTTAAAAAATGAAGGAGGAAAAGCATCCTCAAGATTATTCAGAATATATATATATATAATATACATAGTATATACTAATAATATATAAGGATATATTATATCCTAATAATATAAGTAAATAATAATATATAACTTGTTAAATAATCATATAAATAAATATATTTTATAATTATGTTATTTATTATATAATATCAACATAACATATTATCAATATAATATTTTATATAACATATGTAGTATGATATATCCTAATATATAAAAATAATATTAGGATAAGGGAATACTATTGTGGTGGTAAACTGAGGAACGGAAAGACTGATACAGGAGAACAGGAGGATATTTATTTTAAGGTAAGCAGCCACTGAGTGGATTCACATCCAAAAAGTTGAGCACTGGCCGGGCCTGGTGGCTCACGCCCATAATCCCAGCACTTTGAGAGGCCAAGGCTGGCAGATTACCTGAGGTCAGGAGTTCGAGACCAGCCTGGCCAACGTGGTGAAACCCCGTCTCTACTAAAAATACAAAAATTAGCCAGGCGTGGTTGCACATGCTTGTAATCCCAGCTACTCGGGAGGCTGAGGCAGAATTGCTTGAGCCCAGGAGGCGGAGGTGACATTGAGCCAATATCGTGCCACTGCACTCCAGCCTGGCCGACAGAGCAAGACTCTGTCTCAAAACAAAACAAACAAACAAAAAATGCTGAGCGTTGAACAAAGACAGAGCAGGAGTTTTTATAAGCAAAACAAAGGCAGTTAATCATACAGTGCTTAATTTGTGGCCTTGCAGCTGCGTCAAAAGAAAAACAAGAACTGACTAAATACAGACATTTGTAAAAACAGTTATGCTTAAGAAGCCAGGGAAAGGAGTAACAGTATAGGAATTTGCCTTTCCTTTTTTTCCCTTCAACCTTGTTCTTGGGTGGGGTGGGGGAAGGGCGTGTCTGGAAGCCGTTCCTTTGGCCTTGGCTTTTCGGAAAGTGTTATCTTGTAACTGTCCTTGAAGTGAGCTGCTAGGCAAACGAAAACTTGTTTCTTTTCTTTTTAACCCTTTCCTGTTACTTTTCTTGGAGTGAATGAATGCATATTTATTTTTAAATTTCTGCCTTACTATGAATAACTCTTTACACACAAACTTGACAATTTAGATGAGATAGACTAATTCCTTGAAAAACACAAATTAACACAACTAACTCAATATGCAATACATTTTTTATAACCCTGTAACTATTAAGGGAATTAAATTTGTAACATAATTTAAAAAAAAAATCAAGAATCTGGCCGGGCGTGGTGGCTCATGGCTGTAATCCCAGCACTTTGGGAGGCCAAGGCGGGCTGATCACCTGAGGTCAGAAGTTCGAGACCAGCCTGGCTAACATGCTGAAACCCCGTCTCTACTAAAGATACAAAAATTAGCCGGATGTGGTGGCAGGCACCTGTAATCCCAGCTACTTGGGAGGCTGAGGCAGGAGAATCGTTTGAACCTGGGAGGCAGAGGTTGCAGTGAGCCAAGATCGCACCATTGCACTCCAGCCTGGAGGCCAAGAGCAAGACTTCGTTTAAAAAAAAAAAATCAGGAATCTTCGAATCCAAGAAAATTTCACTGAAGAATTCTAAGAAGTTCTTAAGGAGGCCAGGGGCGGTGGCTCATGCCTGTAATCCCAGCACTTTGGGAGGCCGAGGTGGGCGAATCATGAGGTCAGAAGACCGAGACCATCCTGGCTAACACGGTGAAACCCCGTCTCTACTGAAAATACAAAAAATTAGCTGGGCGTGGTGGCAGGGAGCCTGTAGTCCCAACTACTCGCTGGAGAATGGCGTGAACCCGGGAGGCGGAGCTTGCAGTGACACTCCAACCTGGGCGACAGAGCGCGACTCCGTCTCAAAAAAAAAAAAAAAATGGTTAAAGAATTAAAACAAGGTCTACACAATCTATTCTGAAAAAAACAGAAGAGGACAAAAAACTTTCCATTTATTTATGAAGTTAATAGTATCCTGATGCTAAAACCAGGTAAATACAGTACAAAATAATGAGTATTGGTGCATAAATACTTACCAAAATATTATCAAATAGAATTCAGGAATATATAAGAAGCATTATACACCATGATCAAGTGGGGTTTATTCCAGAGACGTAAGACTAGGTAAATTTAGAAACAATCACTGCAATCCACCATATTAACAGGCTAAAAAATAAAATCACGTGATCATATCACAGTAGAAAAAGAATTTGTCAAACTTCAATAGCTACTCATGACAAAAAGTCTCAGAAAAATAGGAATAGAGAACAGCTAACACTGTACATCACGGTAAAAGACAGAATGTGTATTAGTCCGTTTTCACACTGCTATGAAGACACTACCTGAGACTGGGTAATTTTTTTTTTTTTTTAAGATGGAGTCTTGCTCTGTCGCCCAGGCTGGAGGGCAGTGGCCTCCTCTCGGCTCATTTCAACCTCCGCCTCCTGGGTTCAAGCAATTCTTCTGCCTCAGTCTCCCGAGTGGCTGGGACTACAGGCGCAGGCCACCATGCCCGGCTAATTTTTGTATTTTTAGTAGAGACAGGGTTTCACCGTATTGGTCAGGCTGGTCTGGAACTCCTGAACTCATGATCCGCCCGCCTCTGCCTCCCAAAGTGCTGGGATTCCCGGCGTGAGCCACTGTGTCTGGGTAATTGATAAAGGAAATAGGTTTAATTGAGTCACATAGCTGAGGAGGCTTCGGGAAACTTACAATCATGGCGGAAGGGAAATGGGAAGCAAGGACCTTCTTTACATGACAGCAGAAGAAAGAAGTATGAGCAAAAGAGGAACTTGCCAAACACTTATGAAACCATCAGATCTCATGAGAACTCACTCACTATCACCAGAACAGCATGGGGGAAGCCACCCCCATGATCCAACTACCTCCCACCAGGTTTCTCCCACAAAGTCAAAGGAATTAGAATAATTATTTAAAATCTAGGAGGGAAAAACAGTCTACCTGATTTCAAGACTATTTCATTACATTGTTGTATTCTTGTATTATTGTATTATTACTACAGTAATTAAGACTGTATAGTATTGGCAAGGAGATAGGCACGTGGTTAATAGAGAGAATGGAAAAATAAACCTACACAAATATTCTCAACTGGTTTTTGACAAAGTTGCCTAAGTAGTAATTCCATGGAAGAAAAATAAGTCTCATGCCTTCACAAAAGTGAACTTAAAATGGATCGCAGATATGAATATAAAATGTAAAACTATAAAACTTTGAGGAAAATATATGGAAGATAATATTTCCAATCTAGGGCTAGACAAATAATTTTACAGTTGACAGTGAAACATGATCCAGAGATCTTGTAAAAGCTGGTTCTTTTTTCCTCCTTTCCTCTCCTGCTATGTCAGTTGCTTTGGCTGGTACAGAGGCTGACCAAATAGAAATAGAAATAAGAGAGCAGTAAAGGCAATGAATTGGGTCATGTTTTTACTTTTTATGTGACAAAGAAATGACAGAATTGGTGGCCAGGTGCAGTGGCTCATGCCTGTAATCCCAGCACTTTGGGAGGCCAAGGAGGGCAGATCACCTGAGGTCAGGAATTCAAGACCAGCCTGGTCAACATGGTGAAACCCCACCTCTACTAAAAATTAGCTGGGCATGGTGATGCGCGCCTGAAATCCCAGCTACTTGGGAGGCTGAGTCAGGAGAATCACCTGAACCCAGGAGGCAGAGGCTGCAGTGAGCCAAGATCACGCCACTGCGCTCCAGCCTGGGTGATAGAGTGAGACCCTGTCTCAAAAAAAAAAGAAAAGAAAAGAAAAGAAAGAAATGAGAGAAAAGGAAAGAAAAGGAGAAAGAGAGAAAGAAAGAAAGAAAAAGAAAGAAAGAAAGAAAGAAAGAAAGAAAGAAAGAAAGAAAGAAAGAAAGAAAGAAAAGAAAGAAAGGAAAAAGAGAAAGAAAGAGAAGGGAGGGTAGAATGATAAGAAAGGAAAGAAATAAAGAAAATTGGCTCAAAAGAGTCTCCTGGCTGACAAGAACTCTGGTGAGTTCTTCTACAGGAAAATCAGTCTCTTGTGTGTGACCACCAACATCATCTAAAATGTTGACGGTGTCAAAGAGATAATAAATGCATCCCCACCCCTGATGTAAGGCAAATACAAACCTCACTGGCTTTCCTAGGTGGTTTGAGTTTTTGACTGAGAATAGGTAGGGAACCCCGGGAACAACTCTTCCTCCTCAGCAGGCGCCTGGCCCTGGACCACCTTCTTAAACCTCTAGAACAGTGCTTCTCAAACTTTAGCATCAGCGGCTGGGCGGGTGGCTCACGCCTGTAATCCCAGCACTTTGGGAGGCCGAGGCGGGCGGATCACGGGGTCAAGAGTTCGAGACAAGCCTGACCAACATAGTGAAACCCCGTCTCGACTAAAAATACAAAAATTAGCTGGGCATAGCGGCGCGCGCCTGTAATCCCAGCTACTTGGGAGGTTGGGGCAGAAGAATCGCTTGAACCCGGGAGGCAGAGATTGCAGTGAGCCGAGGTTGCACCACTGCATTCCAGCCTGGGCGAGAGGGCGAGACTCCGTCTCAAAAAACAAAACAAAACAAAACAACTTTAACATCAGAGTCACTTGAGGGCTTATTCAAACACAGGCGGCTGGACGCCACCCTCAGCAATTCTGACTCAATAGATCTGAGGTTGGGCCTGGAATTTGGCATTCCTCTTGTAGCACCCTGATCCCTCACCCCTTATTCTCCTGTGCAGTGTCCACTGTGACTAACATGCCACTATTTGCTTAAAGTGCCTGGAGAGAACCAGTGGATAGAAGGGAAAACAAGTATGAAACGAAAAGAAAATGTCTGCATTACCTTCCTTCAAACAAAAAAAAAAAATGTATCTTATAACGAACATATGGTTTGTCCCTGGGGCACACAACCAGTCTTCAGCTAAGCAGGTTTCACTAGACAATATCTCTCCTGTAGGCTGGTTATGGATATTTTCACTGAACAAAAGAATCGAGAAGTAAGGACAGCCTACCCTGACAGAGTGTTAGACTGGTGGACTGATGACAAACATCGTACTCTGTTGCCTCTCAAAGACACTTTTGATTCAACGGCAAACATATACACAGAGGACAGCAGTTTTGAAACATGCAGCATTGGAAACCCCTAAAAGGTGTCATCAGTAGATAGGATTTCCTGGAGTTCCCTCGTCATACAAAGCAGATGTGATAGGATTGACAAAGAAAAAAGAATTTTTTTTTTTTTAATTAGAAGTGCCAACACACCTGCAATTTACTCACCTTTACTTTGCATCTATTTTCCATTGTGGCAGAAAAGCTTTCTCTACTTTTTCATATGGGGCCTCTGTTTGCTGTTAACAGAGGTTTCCAGGCAATGTTTTATGTTATGTTATATTTTATTTTATTTTGAGACGGAGGTTCTCTCTTGCTGCCCAGGTTGGAGTGCAATGGTGGGATCTCAGCAAACTGCAACCTCCGCCTCCCGGGTTCAAACGATTCTCCTGACTCAGCCTTTTGAGTAGCTGGGATTACAGGCGTGCGTCACCACGCCCGGCTAATTTTGTATTTTTAATAGAGACGGAGTTTCTCCATGTTAGTCAGGCTGGTCTCGAACTCCCGACCTCAGGTGATCGCCCCGCCTCGGCCTTCCAAAGTGCTGGGATTACAGACGTGAGCCACCGCGCCCGGACCTCAGTGTTTTATTTTAACGAGGAGAATGGAGTGACTGATGCAATACAGGAAAATGAATCAATCGTATGGACTATCAGTAGGGAATGTGTTGATCCTTATTGATTTCGCTCCTTCCGTGTTGAAGACCTCTAATTCCCCGACAGTCTTCGTTCGGTTGTCCAGCGTCCTGCCACTCTCATCTCAAGCGGCTGGAGAGCCACATTTTCTCAGCTTTGGATCGCACTTGTGGCTGTGCTCTCTGCGCAGTTCGACAGGGAGAGAAATCAGTGGACAGATGCTTTGACTCTGGATTTGGCTCAGAAAACAAAAACAACGACCAAAACGAAATGCCCGGGGGGCGGGGGGGCGCTTTTCTGCCTTTCTTCTTCTCAGCCTTTCCTTCTCTTTAATCATAGTACAAAACCGAAGCCAAAGTGAGCCGCCTGTTGATGTGCACGCTTTTGTTTGCTTTCAAGAGACCCTGTTGCGACCTCATTCTTCTTTCTCCTCTTCCTTCTGCCGTCGCAATCGCCTTAGGTGATGTTGAGGCTTACATTATAGAGATGGGAGATAAGTGAAGGCAATCCATTGGGTTACGTTTTTACTCTCTATACGTGCAGAAATAGGATAGAAAAAGGTGAGGAGGCAGAAGGCTATGTTGCTTGAGAATTACATTTAAGCACTGCCAGAGCAAAACCACCATTTGGAGGTGCCGGGGATCGAACCCGGGGCCTCACACATGCAAAGCATGTGCTCTACCACTGAGCTACACCCCCCTCCTGAAAGACTGTTTTGTAATAATTTTCAGGAGGTAACTTTCATTTTCTGAGACTGGCTCCGTGAGCATGCTGGTAGTAGTGGTTAGTATCATGGAGCGCCTTCAGCTGCTCTGAGTAGAAGATACTCGGTACTAATGAGGGGATACAGATTCTTTAGTATACTGTACAGGACTTGAAATGGAAAGCAAAGTATTAGAAAAGTGTCAGATAACCGCCAAAAGAAGTTTCCAATGTGGCTTTAAAACGTTGAGTTGTCAGGATCTCCTTCTTCTGTTATGCTTGGCAAGGAATCAAATTCTGGTTTTTCATTCTTTCGATTTCTTTCAGAGATGACGCAAAGTTATTGAAATTCAGCTTTTTCTTACCTAAAATGCTTCATATTTGTTGTTTACTCAGCCGGAATATTAAAGGTTAGATTTGATTGAGGAAAATCACAGTCAGAAGAAAACCTGAGAGCGATGCACTCAGCATTTCATCTTAAGGGTCTTTAGCTGGTGTGTTGTCCTGCGCCTGTACTCACAGCTATTCCAGAGGCTGAAGCAGGAGGATCACTTGACCTTGGGAGCTGGAGGCTGCAGGGAGCTATGATCACGCCACTGTACTCCAGCTTGGGTGATGGAGTGAGACCCTGTATCAAAATCAAAAAGAAAAGAAAAGAAAAATTTATAAGGTGTGAGTGAAACAACACCTCTAGGGATGACGAGAAGAGTTGAATTATGAGGGTGAGATAAAAAATAAGTAGAAACAGGATTTAAGAGGTACGGGGGAAAGTGGTTTAGAAAAACAAACAGGCTATTGCCAAACAGAAGGAGGTGTAGAAAAGGGGAGTTTTTAACAACTCTTTAAGGAATGGGAGAAAGATTGGAAGATGGAGAAGATAAGTTAGCTTGGCTCATGCTAAATTCAGTGTATCTGTGGGGCACACTGTGAGGATGTTACATGGAGAACTCAGGCAATTGACTCTCCAGCCTGGGGTTTGTGAGCATTAGTAGTAGTAGACATATTGCATAGAGGGTGGATAAAGACTAAAAAGGGTCCTTTTAGATTTGGGAATTACAAACCTATTCACGATATTTGTTTAAAAGAAAAAAAAGCCGGGTGTGGTGGCTCACGCCTGTAATCCCAGCGCTTTGGGAGGCCAAGGCGGGTGGATCACCTGAGGTTGCAAGTTCGAGACCAGGCTGGCCAACATGGTGAAACCCTGTCTCTACTAAAAATACAAAAATTAGCTGGGTGTGGTGGTGCATTCCTGTAATCCCAGCTTCTCGGGAGGCTGAGGCAGGAGAATTGCTTGAACCTAGGAGGTGGAGGTTGCAGTGAGTGAGATCATGCCATTGCTCTCCAGCCTGGGCAACAAGAGTGAAACTCTCTCTCAAAAAATAATAATAATAATAATAAAGTAAAAAAAAATTTTTTTTAAAGTTTGCTCCTCTATGTTCTTGAACCCTGGTATTTATCATTATTTATCATGATTAGGGCTGTGTTCTTTGAACTACATAAGAAGATGAGAAGAAAATCCATTTCCTGACACCAAATTTCTAGTGACTGTTAACTCTTTCTCATTCTGATTTACTCATATATGAGCCTTTGCCAACACTCATGAAATAACATTGATCCCTTGTAGAACTGGCAGAAAACAGCAGGTTATATGGCAGACTTGTCTTTTCGGTTGGCTGATGGAATTTCTAGAACAAAAATAGGAAGCACTGAATGCTAGGTTTCACTGAATAAGAAACAAGAGAAGTGTTACACACAAAACTAGTGTTTGTGTGTGTGTTTGACTGTCTGTGTGTGCATGTAAATGCTAGGGAGATAATCTTAGCTCTTTGATGCTGCAGAAGTAATATTAGGACAATTTGCAGAAACACTCCTTCATCATTATGTCATGTTGCACCCAGAGAAACCTGGATGTCTACTGGATTCTTGGGAATTCATCATAATATGAAGGTCTGCTTTTTTGTTTGCCTCTTGAAAAGGAGAGAATTTTAAATAATTAAATATCTGTAGCTCTCTTCTGACTAACAACAACACGACTGAAACACAGTTTTTTTTGTAAAAACTGTGGGATGAGCTTATTTAACACAGAATTCCTCTGAGGAATTAAACATTTAATTCTGAAGACAGAACACCCTCATGTGATACATACTCAATTCAGAAAACCTAAAAATATATAAAGTATCTGTTTAAACCTGCACTGTCCAATATGGTTACCATTAGCCACACTGGCTATTGAATGCTTGAAATTGCCCAGTCCAAGTTAAGAGTGTTGTAAGTGTAAAATACATATCAGATTTGGCCAGGCACAGTAGCTTGCGTCTGTAATCCCAGTACTTTGGGTGGCTGAGGTGGGTGGATCACAAGGTCAGGAGTTCGAGACCAGCCTGACCAACATGGTGAAACCCCATCTCTACTAAAAATACAAAAATTAGCCTGGCTTGGTGACACACACCTGAAATCCCAGCTACTTGGGAGGCTGAGGCAGGAGAATTGCTTGAACCTGGGAGGCAGAGGTTGCAGTGAGCCGACATCGGGCCACTGCACTCCAGCCTGGGTGACAGAGCGAGAATCCTTCGCAAAAAAAAAAAAAAATATATATATATATATATGTAAATATATATATACATACACACACCAGATTTCAAAGATGTGTAATACTATTTTTTAAATATAAAATATCTCACTAATAATTTTATAATTGATAGCTTCTTAAAATAAGTTTTTGGATATACAAAGTGATTTAAATATATTATTGAAACTGGACATAAAAGATAGCAACAACAAACACTGGGGACTATGGGGAGGGGTGGGAGGGAGGGCAGAAAGATTTGAAAAGCTACCTCTTGGGTACTATGCCTACTACCTGGGTGATGGGATCAATTGCACTCAAAACCTCATGCAATTTACCCAGCATCATGTAGTATACCCATGTAACAAACCTGCACGTGTACCCCCAAATCTAAAATAAAAATTGAAATTACATAAAAATATAAATATTGACTTTTTTTAATGCAACTACTGCAAAAGGTAACACTACAAAATGGCTGTCATTTAAAACTTGTATTATCTCTTGATTGGACAGAATTGTCTAAAGACAATGTTATCCATTTAGGTGCTGTTCTGGGAGAATCCCAGAAGCAGAGAACACGGAGCATGATCTGCCAGTAATTAAGTTTCATGCTGTGAGTGGACTTGACAGAATGCATTTCTATGCATGATCTCCTTTGATCTTTACAACATCCCATTTTACAAAATCATTATTAACATCATTTTTAAGCCATTGAATGGCAGACAAATCATGCTTGGAATTGCCCTAGGCCTTCCATTTCAACAGAATGTAAAGGAATCTTTACTGCGTTAGGCACAAAACATTCAATGTTACTGTTTGTCTAGTCAAATATTTCTTAATGGAGTAAAACACAAGCTTCTGAGTTGAGAAAGCCTCAGTGAAAGGATAAAGTACCTGATTCCCAGTTTCTGTACAGTCAATGTCCCTAACCCAAGGTTACTTCTCATTTGGTACTAATTTTCCTTTTGCAACTTGCTGCAGTTCTGATAGTGGAGTATTGTAGATTATTGTCTCCTCACAGGGTATGCAGAAGTTAGAGAAAAACAACACTGAAACTGAAGCAGTAATTTGAAAGAAAAAAAATCAAAATGACCAAAAAAAGACCTATTATCCCAACAGAGAATTTCAAGAGAGGAGTTGAAGTGAAAAAGGGAAAATGGGGCACATGCACCTGAGTCTTGACTTTGCTGCCCATTTGCTTTCATTTTCAGTATTCTAGAGCCCCTCATGAATGTTTGATAAAATAATTCATATAGAAATACATATATTTCTTTTTTCCTGGATACAAACATGGAAACAGCTTAAGATTTGGAAATTCTAGACAAGGTTGCCAGGCTAAAGAAATGTCTTCTCAGCAAGAAAATTTAGAATGTTCTTGTAATTGGGCCTGGTGCGATGGCTCCTGCCTGTAATCCAAGCACTCTGGGAGGCCTACCTAGGCAGGTGGATTGCTTAAACCTAGGATTTAAAGACCAGCCTGGGCAACACGGTGAAACCCACAGTCTACAAAAAAATACAAAAAAAAAAAAAAAAAAAAAATTTAGCCAGGCATGGTGGTGCTCGCCTGTAGTCCCATCTACTCAGGGTGCTGACATGTGGAGTCACTTCAGCCTAGAGAGGTTGAGGCTGTAGTGAGCTCTGATTGTATAACTGTACTCCAGCCTGGATGACAGAGTGAGACCCTGCTTAAAAGAAAGAAAAGAAAGAAGAAAGAAAGAAAGAAAGAAAGAAGAAAGAAAGAAAGAAAGAAAGAAAGAAAGAAAGAAAGAGAGAGAAAGAAAGAAAGAAAGAGAAAGAAAGAAAAAAAAAGTTCTTACAGCACTTTAATAATGGAGTTGACTCAAGATACAAACCCGGGTTTTTCTAATTTCAAAATGTTTCTTGCATACACCACACCCCCATATATATGCTCATACAGTATAATAGTTACTTCACTGTATGTTTCTTTTTTTCATATTTCTTGTGATTTAAAAATAACCCTCGCCCAATACATATAAATAATATCAAATCAAAAATGACTTGTAAATGCCACAGCATATAGCACGTTGGAATTTCTTAGGTTTTAAAACTAATAACTTCCTAAGTTTAAGACTTTAAATAAGGACGGGCTTAGTGGCTCACGCCTGAAATCCCAGCACTTTGAGAGGCCGAGGCAGGTGGATCACCTGAGGTCAGGAGGTCGAGACCAACCTGATCAACATGGCGAAACCCTGTCTCTACTAAAAATACAAAAATTAGCCGGGCATGGTTGCGGGGGCCTGTAATCTCAGCTTACTTGGGAGGCTGAGATATGAGAACAGCTTGAACTCAGGAGGCGGAGGTTGCAGTGAGCCGAGATCGCGCCGTTGCACTCCAGCCTGGGCGACGGAGTGAGACTCCGTCCAAAAACTTTAAATAATGTATGTAATGAGAGCACTTCATGGAAGACTTCAGTGGAATATACAAAGGAGAGAGTGATACAAACATGTACATTACCTTTATCAGACTTTCAAAAACTCCCAAAAATTGGAGATATGTAAGCTTCTGGGATTGGCGTATAAGTGCTGTATAAGGGAGTGATAATTAGGCAGAACTCAAAAGATGCTGGCTGAAACCCAGGGTTGAACCAGGGAACTTTAAGATCTTCAGTCTAACGCTCTCCCAACTGAGCTATTTCAGCTACTCTAAGCACACACCCTTAGTCATTTCTTCAAAATATAAAAACGTCATTTGTAGAGTGAGTGTATTTTCTAATGCCTAATTCTGTTTTGTTCAATATCAATACAAAAATTAGCCAGGGGTGGTGGTGCGCGCCTGTAATCCCAGCTACTAGGGAGGCTGAGGCAGGAGAATTGCTTGAACCCGGGAGGTGGCGGTTGCAGTAAGCCGAGATCACGCCACTGCACTCCAGACTGGGCGATAGAGGGAGATTGTCTAAAAAAAATAAATTAAATAAATAAAATAAGTGACAGGAAAAGAAAGAAAAGAAGGATCTCTTATGTCCTCCAGTACATTCTATCTCTTCCTTAGAGTTTTTAAAATTGTGGTCTCCACACTGGTGCATAACAACTCTTTTTTGTTGTTGTTTTCGAGACAGGGTCCCGCTCTGTTGCGTGGGCTGGAGTGCAGTGGTGCAATCTCGGCTCGCGGCAACTTCTGCCTCCCCGGCTCAGTGGATCCTCCCACTTCAACGGAGGGAGAGGGAGTCTCGCTCTGTCGCCCAGGCTGGAGTACAGCGGCGCGGAGTAGCTGGGATTACAGGCGCGCGCCACCACCCCTGGCTAATTTTTGTGTTGATATTGAACAAAAAAGAATTAGGCATTAGGAAATACGCCCACTTTACAAATGAAGATTTTTATATTTTGAAGAAATTGCTAACGGCACGTGCTTAGAGTAGCCAAAATTGCTCAGTTGGGAGAGCGTTAGACTGAAGATCTAAAGGTCCCTGGTTCGATCCCGGGTTTCACCAGGTTTGTTTGGTTTTTTTAGTTCTGCCTAATTATCACTCCCTTATACAACACTTGCACGCCAATCCCAGAAGTGTATATATCTCAATATAAATTCTTACGTTAAGTCAAAAGTGTAAAAACATTGAACTTCTCTGGTTAGACATAGGAACAAATTCAGATGTTTACAGAATTTCGGAAACAACCCTCTCTGGAATGAGAAAATTGCTGAGGCCGACGATGATTTGCAAACTGAATTTTAATAAAACCTTTTCTATGTCTTAACAGTTTTCAAACTCAGTCTCCTGAGAGTCGAGGCTTTCTATTTTTAGCCAAAATACGGTGGGAGGGTCAATTAGGATATATTTTTCAATTATTTCCTCAAAAAAAGTTTTAGATTCTCTTACAGACTTTTTTCTCCCCTTGTAAGGTCTGAGCCTTCTCAGACAGGAAACAACATTCCTCTACTCTAGTTTTATCCCCGCCACGCGTCTCTCCCCAGCTGAGTGCAGCCTCAGCCTATGGTGCAAAAATGTTTAAAGCTGAGCATACAGAGAAGGAAAAGAAGAAAAAAAAAATAGAAAGTGATGTGGAAAGATCTACATATGAATCACAACACAGTGTTTAAAATGTGCGTAAACGGGTCTAGGAGTGCGCTGCACTATTGTGAAAAGTTCATTCTGAAAGCTGGGCGCAGTGGCTCATGCCTATAATCTCAGAACTTCGGGAGGCCGAGGCGGACGGATCACTTGAGATCAGAAGTTGGAGACTATCCTGGTGAAAATGGTGAAACCCCGTCCCTACTAAAAATACAAAAATTAGCCGGGCGTGGTGGGGGGCTCCTGTAATCTCAGCTAATCGGGAGACTGAGGCAGGAGAATCGCTTGATCCCAGGAGGTGGAGGTTGCAGTGAACCGAGATCGCGCCACTGCACTGCAGCCTGGGCGACAGAGCGAGACTCCGTCTCAAAAAAACAAAAACAAAAAACAAAAACAAAAACAAACAAAAAACAAAAACAAACAAACAAAAAGTAAACGGGAGGAGCCGAGCGCCAGCTTGCGGGGAGACGGAAGAGGCGGGGTGCCGTGAAGTGGAGGAAGCAAAGGACAAAAGGGAGAGAGGTAGAGGGCAAGGAAAAGCATCCTCAAGATTATTAGTACTTGGATAGACTGGATGGTAGAGTGAGTCTAATCGCCACATCTCTCCGTCCCTTCCTCTGGATAGGAGGGAAGAGAGGTTCCTTTTTGTCCCTAGGGGGGTAGGCTCGACCAGGAAGGGGACCTGGTTCGTTTCGCCCAGGCTGGCACGGCTTCAAGAGCGCCTCACCTCTCTTTACGTTGCTGGACAGACCAGTTGAGCTCTTTGGGTATGCACGTAATGTCGCATTTTTATTTTCAGTTCAGGAAATGCTGATATTGGAGCTTCTGAGGGAGCTGCAGTGATTTCCCGATTTCCTGCGCGCCTGTGTGGAAAGTTAGAAGCGGAATCTACCGGCAGCTTTGAGACTAAGCATGACGGTGGAAACAGCTAATTTTATTAGCTTTTGTCTGAAATGCAAAAGATGAGAAAGAAAATTCCCGTTTGTTTGCTCCACATACTTCTCTTAGAAGCCTATGGAAAGCCAACTTTCCCCCTGAAGAAACTCCTCCTGGCATTTGCAAAGAGCTCCTTTACTCCTCTTGTCCAGCTCTTCTCTCAAAAGGACTCTGCAGAGCTGGACAGCGGCTGCGGAAAGGCGAAGTTGTTGTACCCGAGCGAGTTAGAGAAATGCCACACTTTGAGACGAATTTAAGAGTCCTTTATTAGCCGGCGACCAAGAGAGGACTAACGCTCGATATTCTCTCGGCCCCGAGGAAGGGGCTTGATTTTCCTTTATACTTTGGTTTAGAAAGGGGAGGGGGAGCTTAGTTGCAGCAATTCTACAGAAGTAAAAGCATGCAAAAAAATTAAAAAGACAAATGGTTACAGGTAAACAAACAGTTCCAGGTGCAGGGGCTCTAAATCTATCATAAGGCATTAGGTATGGGGGTTCTGCCAGACACAAACTCAAGGCTTTATGGTGTTATCTCTTGAGTGAAATCCTGGGAACTTCGTGCATTGTTTGCTTCAGTACCTTATCAGTTAATTGGACTCTGATATGTTGAGAGTCAGCTTACACAAGTTAACTGCTTGAGGAAGGGGGTGGGTAAGGAGTCCTTGATGTTTTGTAAATGAAGGAGCCAAATGGAGTTCGTCCAGCTTTCTCAGCTAAGGGACAGCCTATTCATGTGGAAATAAGGCTAGGTGATTAACGGAGAGTCTAAAAACAACGTTAGGTATTACATTCCCCACTTGTGTTTTTGGGGAATCAAATCGTTGATTCCTCAGTTATAATAAGGGGGTCATATTGAGTTCTAAGATACATAAATTTGACAGAAGCTATGCGTTGTTTTACAAAGTTAAGAAACTAATTTAATATACACAGCCTGAAAATTAAGCTTAATAGTAGGATGAGGAGGGGTCCAACTAACCTAGTGACTAGAGTAGTTAGCCATGGATTCCAGTTAAACATGCTTTGATACCAGGGGATGTTATTTTCTCTTTCTTGTTGGCGTCTATCTAGATTTTCTCGAACCTTTTGGAGAGTATCTTTTATGACTCCAGACTGATTGGCATAGAAGCAACAACTTTCTCCTAGAGCTGCGCATAAACCTCCTTGAGAGAGGAATAGTAGATCTAAGCCTCAGCGGTTTTGAAGAACTACTTCAGCTAGAGACTCTACCTGGGAATGTAACATCTACGACAGACTGGAGGTTACTTAAATTAGCATCTACCTGTTGAGATAGGGCCATTATTCCAGTTTCTCCTTGAACTAGGGCTGCTGATCTGGCTATGCTAAGGCTGGCCAAGAAGGGAACTAGGAGCAGGGCAGCTAGCGAAACCTGGGATCTAACTCAGGGGGAGAAATGAGAAGTTGTCCTTCTGGTCCACTGTACACGTATACCCAGGGAAGTACATGAACTTACATGCACAGGAGAGGTCCTGGTTCAGTTCCATTAATGCAGTGAGTGAGACTTGAAGTGCAGGCCAACCAGGTATTGTTAGGCACTTGGTAAGAGACTGAGGTGCTTATGGAAGTAAGCAGGGACTGATTACAAGTAGTCTGAAAGGGAGAAGCAGATAAGTTATACCCGGTACTAATTAGACAAGAAGCGTTTCCAGACACATCCCTTAGTGTGAGGGCACAGGGTCGTGCACGACAAGATAAAGGGCCACTTTTAAGTGTGGCCTCTACTCCTAAGCCTACATAATAAGGGGGTTTTGCTTTTAGACATAGCCAACAATCTTGGGCTAGTTTAGGCTGGGTGAGGTTAAGAAGGTGATGTACCCTGCCTAGTATGGACATCAGGCTGTGTTGAAGATATTGTTGCTGCAGCTGGGGTTTAGGAACTAGGAATGGTGGCGGAACAGTTAAATCGACCTTGTCAGGGTGTTTTTGGAACATAGGGTCGCCTAGATCAGTTAAAGGCCTGATTGGCTTGGGTGGGCTCCATGAGACCAGGATTTTCTTCTGGATGGCGAACATAGTCTTAACATCAAATCCTGGGATATAAAGCCTTAATCCTTATGACATGCCATAATACCATTGAGCTGAATTAGGGTCATGGACAGTTATAGTAAGAGGATTACAATTTTTTCTAGTACACAATCTAGGATGGGAAGCACGACTTATGGAAAGAGTTGAAGATCCGGTTGATCTCCCAGAGTTAAGTGTCTAAAGTTACACGTGTCCAATCAGGGCAGAAAAACTGGTAAATATCTCAACAGCTAGAGTCAGGGTGATTTCCAGGACAGAGGTAAAAGTCAACATTCTGAAGTCCTTTTTCCGCACCTTTGGAGCTCCCACATCCAGTCTGGCTCCCGGAGTGTCCAAATCCTGCCAAAAGGTCAACGCTTCCTGCCCCCTTGACTGTCAGATTGTGTTACTCTTTGTGGGTACGGGCTGATTCTGGGAACAGTGCACATAAATCAACTGCAAAGGAGACTTCCTTGGAGGTTCCTGCCCTCCAAGTACTGTTTGCGAATATACGTCTTGTCATGAAATAGGTGAGAAGAAGGGAATAGGAAGGTGCAGAGGACATGACAGGCAAAAACCAAAAAGAGAAGTAAATAAAAAGAATTAATCTAATGGCTTCACCCGACTTAGGCACAGTTTTAAGGGGCCTGACCCAGGCTTGGGGACCTATGTTTCTTGCTGGGCTTTGTTGGCCTTTTTGATGCGGGAGTGACGAATCCAAGCAGGAATGCCATCCACCTTCAGAGCTGTTGGCATGGTGAGGATGACAGTATGAGGTCCTATGTAAGCAGGAGTGAGTCCTTCTCTCTGGAACTTTTTAACAAACACCAGGTCACCTGGCTGGAATGAGTGGCAGGGCCCCATCTGGTCAGGAACCGGATTGGGATGGGCTCCTCGGAAAAGTGGCTGGATGATATCTTGTACCTGTTGGAGAGACTTTAGCTACTGTAATAAATTAGCTTGTGATATTTCTGCCAAATTGGTATCCCTTAGCTTAGGCAAGATAGGTGGAGCCTTCCTATACATGATTTCAAAATGTGAAAACCTAGCCCAGTAAGGAGTGCACCTTACTCTAAGAAAGGCTAAAGGAAGGAGCCTTACTCAGTTCTCACCGGTCTCTAAGATTAACTTTGTAAGAGTGCTTTTTAGGGTGCGGTTCATGCGTTCTACCTGCCCAGAGCTCTGGGGTCGATAGGCACAATGGAGCTTCCATTGAGTGTGTAATGCCTTACTGACTGACTGAGCTATGGACGAGGTGAAGGCCAGTCCGTTATCAGACCCTGTGGCAGCAGGCAGCCCATGTCGAGGGATGATTTCATTGAGTAAAAACCTAACTACCATGGTGGCAGTCTCATTCTTGGTGGCAAATGCCTCAGTCCATACGGAGAAGGTGTCTACTAGTACTAGAAGGTATTTGTACCTAGCCCGGTGTGGTTTTATTTCTGTAAAGTCAACTTCCCACCTTTCTCCTGGCAAGTTTCCTCAAAGACGGTGGCCTGGGCTGGGTTTAGCACCTTGCTTGGCGTTTACCTGGGCACAAGTTGTACACCGGAGAGCTGCTTGATCTGCTAAGCTTTGAAGATAGGGAATCTTAAAATGGCTCTAGAGGAGCCGGGCCAGTTTTGCTCCTCCTAAATGGGTGGTAGAATGCAGGCGACTGATTAAAGTTTCCCCGAGAGAGCTCGGGGTATGAAGATTCTGGAGTCAGGAAGAATCCACCAACCTTCCTGATTTTTATTGGCCCTGAGATCTGAAGCTAGTTTTTTTTCTTCCGTTGAGTACGCGGGATTGTAGGGCAGATCTGGCTGTGGAAAGGAGACTGTGGGTAATAAGTTTAGAGGCATGACTGGAAGTCTGGCTGCATCCCGGGCCGCTGAGTCAGCTTTCTGGTTACCACGGGCAATGGCCGTGTTTTCTCCTGGATGTCCTTTGCAGTGGATTACAGCCACCTGCTGAGGGAGCCATACGGCTTCAAGCAGGGCTAGAATTTCTTCTTTGTTTTTGATAGTCTTTCCTGCTGAGGTGCCCACGCTCCTGATAGATGGCTCCATGTACATGTACAGTAGTTAAAGCATACCTGCTGTCAGTGTAAATGTTAATAAGTTTATCCTTACCCCATCGGAGAGCCTGAGTGAGGGCGATCAATTCAGCTTTTTGTGCCGAGGTATTTGCCGGTAAAGCCTGGGCCCATAGCACATCTGTCTTTGTAGTAATGGCTGCACCAGCCTTTCGTACTCCCTGTTTTGAGAAAGCTGCTACCGCCTGTAAACATGGCGGCGTCCACCTTCTTTAGGGGCACATCTTGGAGATCAGGTGGGCCAGTTTCTGTAGTTTCTAACAGTTCCTGGCAGTCATGGACAGGTGTAGTGAAGTCTGGATCAGGGAGTAAAGTAGCTGGATTTAAACACCTTCTGGGAGAGAAAGTCAAACGAGGCTGATCTAACAGTAAACTCTGATACTGCAGGATGCGAGCATTTGACATCCATTTGCCAGAAGCACTTCGTAATAAAGTCTCTACGGCATGAGGAGCGGTAAAGGTTAAATTTTGACCTAGAGTTAACTTATCAGCCTCTTAGACTAGGCTTGCTGTTGCCACTATGACTCGCAGACAAGTTGGCCATCCAGAGGCCACAGGATCCAGCCTCTTAGACAAATAGTCCACTGGGCATCTCCAGGGTCCTAAAGTCTGAGTAAGCACCCCCTTAGCAACTCCCTGGCTTTCGTGGACAAACAGGTGAAACGGCTCTGGGATATTTGGGAGGGCTGGAGCAGGGGCTTCAGTTAATGCCTTTTTCAGATTTTGAAAAGCCTGTTCTTCTGTGTCCATCTAAACTAGCGGGCTATTCCCTCCTGTAGCAGTGTACAGGGGCTTCGCAATCTCCGCGAACCCCGACATCCATAGGCGACAGTATCCTACGGCCCCCAGGAATTCACGTACCTGTCTCTTGGTGGTGGGAGTGGGGATTCGTAGGATGGCTTCTTTCCGGGCACTGGTGAGTGCCCTTTTTCCTTGGCTTATGTCGTATCCTAGGTAGGACACTGTGGGAAGACAAAGCTGGACCTTCTTGGCTGAGACTCGATACCCGAGCTCCTGAAGGAGGTAAAGTAGGTCCCTAGTATGTTGCAGGCAACTGTCTTTAGTTTCAGTAGCTAATAAAAGGTTGTCCACCTACTGAAGAAGAGTACAGTTAAGGTGACTAGCTTGGAATGGTATAGGATCCTGCTGGAGGGCCTCTCCAAAAAGGGTGGGGGAATTTTTAAAACCTTGAGGTAACTGAGTCCAAGTCAATTGGGTAGTGTCTCCTGAGCTAGGATCTGTCCATTCAAAAGCAAAGATCAGTTGGCTCTTGGGGGCCAGAGAAATAGCAAGGAAGGCATCCTTTAGGTCAAGGACAGTGTATATACTGTAAGTTCTGGCGGGAGCAGGTTGAGTAGAGTATAAGGATTGGGGACAGTTGGATGGACAGTAACAGTCTGTTTGTTAACTTCCCTTAAGTCCTGTACCGGCTGGTAATCATTCGTTCCGGGTTTCTGGACCGGCAAAAATGGAGTATTCCAGGCGGACTGACACGGTGTGAGTATGCCAGCTTGTAACAGTCATTGAATATGGGGATTAATCTCCTGTCTAGCCTGCTGACTCATAGGATATTGCTTTACCTGGACAGGCAAGGCAGTGGCCAGGAGTTCTACAACCACTGGTGGATGGTGTTTAGCCAGTCCTGGGGGGTTTGACTGGCCCAAACTCTGGGAAAGAGTGTCTGTAAGTCCAACAGGAGAGGATTAGTATTATTTTCCAGTGGTTGTGATGGTGAAACTAAAAGATTTTCCTCTGACAGAGGGGTAGTTAGCAGGAGTTGGGCAGTGGGGGGCGCTGTATTTCCTAGCATGACGTTAGCCTGCTGGGCTGAGAAGGAGATAGAGGCCTGTAACTTATGGAGCAGATCTCCTCCGAGGAGAGGAAAAGGACACTCTGGAACCACAAGAAATGACTGTCTCACTCTTTTCTGTCCCAAGCTCACTTCTCGTGAGTGTGTGACAGGATATTCCTGAATAGCTCCAGTAGACCTTTGTACAGCCACTCTTTTATTAGAGACACTGCCCAAGGGGGTCTGCAGTACCGAGTGCTCCGCCCCGGTAGCTACTAGGAAGCGTACAGGCTGGCCCCTCACTGTAGCGGTCACCGTGGGCTCCTGGGGGCCAAGAGAGAGGGAGTCCTGGCTCCATCAGTCATCAGACTCTTCCGTTGCGGGGAGGGTGAGGGCCTTTTTCTTTTCTGATTTTTCCTCTGGCCGTAGTGGGCATTCCTTTTTCCAGTGCCCAGTCTGCTTGCAATAAGCACATTTGTCCTTTTCTAGGGGAGCCTGTTCTCCTCTTTTGCCCTTCTGGTAGGGACCTGAGGTTCCCTGGCTATTCCTCTGTGATGGGGGCCTTCCCTTCTTGACCTCTCCGATGGCCGCAGCTAAGATTTTTGCTTGTCTTTTGTATGCTTTATCAGCTGCTGCCTGTGCTGTTTGTTTTCTTTTTTCAAACTCTCGATTGTCAAAAACTTTTTGGGCTATCTCTAAAAGCTGAGTGATATTCATCCCAGGAAATCCCTCCAGTTTTTGGAGTTTTCTTTTAATATCAGGGGCTGCCTGAGCCACAAATGCCAAATTAAGAGCACGGCTATTTTCGGGAGCCGCCGGGTCAAAAGAGGTGTAAGTCCGATAGGCCTCCTGGAGGCGTTCTAAAAACGCTCCCGGTGACTCATCAGGCCCTGTGCGACTTCAGTCATCTTAGACAAGTTTATGGGTTTCTGAGCAGCTCCTTTGATACCTGCAAGGAGATACCGGTGAAAATCGTCCAAAGCTTTCTTCCTACCCGAGGAATTCGTGTGCCAGTTAGGCCGGGTAGAGGGAAAGACCTCCTCAAGAAAGTCTCTAGCTTCCTCCTCTGGCCTATTGGCTGATGTGAGGAAATACTTTCTGGCCTCTCTTCGGATATGTTCCCTCTCTTCAGAGGTAAAAAGGGTCAAAAGGAGCTGCTGACAGTCATCCCAGGTGGGCCGATGGGTCCGGAGCACAGACTCCATCAGTGAGATCAAGACCTGGGGCTTTTCAGAGAAGGGAGGATTATGAGCCTTCCAGTTACAGAGGTCAGAAGGAGAAAAAGGGACATAAACCAAGAATGGGGCTGAGCGCTCATCACCCGGAGGGACTTGTGCTTCTTTCCGCGGTAGAGGGGGGGCTACTTCCTCCTGCCGCGGCCGCAATCGAGAGGCAATAGGCGGCGAGCCTACAGGGGATGTAGTCGAGGAGACAAGGGAAGATTCTAAGGGAGCAGGACGGTTATAAGGCGGCGGAACTGAGTGGGGGAGACTCTCCTCTTCTTCAGAGGGAGGCAGTACAGGGGGAGCCGAACAGACTGAGGGTCCAGGCGGAAGTGCGGTCTGGCTCAAAACGACCTTGGAGGCAGAATTATGAATGGCGCATGAGCGGAGCCATGGTGGGGAGCTTCTGACCAAACTCAGCCATTGATCAATGTGGGGAAACTGATCGGGGTGGCCGGGAGTTCCAGCAACAACCCGCCACACAGCCTGAACAATTGCTAGGTTCAGTGACCCTACTGGGGGCCATCCGACTCCAAACTTTGGCCATTCTACTTCGCAGAGTGTCCGGAGTTTGCCTTTTTAAAGGCGGACCCCATAATCCTCTGAGAAGCCTAGAGAAAAATTCTGCAGCATACATTGGAGGGGGCTCCAATCCTTACAGGGCCGGGAAGAGGAGTTTCCCATTTTTGGAGGCAGTTTGACAAGGTTTGAGCAGGGATATCAAACCCAGCACGGACAGAAAAACTCATTCCCTAGGGGGCTGGAGTATCGGAAGAACAGAATTAACATAACCAGAAGGAGCCGAAAGACAACAATAGCTCACACTACTTGCCACAGGACGGTTAACTAGCTTTAAGATTGAGGGAGGTCGGGAGCAGTGGCTCACGCCTGTAATCCCAGCACTTTGGGAGGCTGAGGCGGGCGAATCACGAGGTCAGGAGATCGAGACCATCCTGGCTAACACGGTGAAACCCCGTCTCTACTAAAAATACAAAAAATTAGCTGGGTGTGGTGACGGGTGTCTGTAGTCCCAGCTACTTGGGAGGCTGAGGCAGAAGAGTGGCCTGAACCTGGGAGGCGGAGCTTGCAGTGAGCTGAGATCGCGCCACTGCACTCCAGCCTGGGCGACAGAGAAGACTGTCTCAAAAAAAAAAAAAAAAAAAAAAAGAATAATTATCCAAGATTGAGGGAGGAGGACTAGAGGCCAACCTTAGGTCTCCTTGGCTGGATGGACCTACGCGTCCTCCCTCTTTCCCTGGACCTGTAGCCTAAATACTTTTGGTGTCTCCACGACTCAAAGGCAAATAGCTCAAATTCGGCCTTTTCTTTTAAGAGTTTGAGGAGTGAGAGCAGAGCCAAGTCCTGGAGACGCTGAACTTGCTGTGACACGGGAAAACGAGATGTACGGGGTAAGTGGTAGGGATGAGGAGGAAAAAGGGCCACTCGGATCTTTCCTAGGGTAGGAGAGTAGCCACAGAGGAATAGAATAAGAGTTTAAACGAAGTAAAGTGGTACGGGCGTAGGTTTCTCTGCACAGTGCCGTATTTAAGGGCACAGAAAAAGTTACGGGATGACAAAAGAGGTGAGCAAGGAGGTCTGCAGGGTGGCTATTTTGAACCTACCACCGGTTTAGTCTGGAGGTGGCCCAGTCACTTGGACATGGGGTATGACAATCTAAATGCCAGCAATCTTCATGGTGCCAGAAATCCCAAACAGGCGAATGTTCCTCACACTCGTTCCCGTTCCCGTAACAACACCTGATTTGTTTCTGACAGAAAAGGCAGGACTGGGATGGCCAGCCTAAGCGATTGATGAGAAATTTAACCTCCTGTGATAAAAAATCAACACTAAAGACCTTGAAGAAGTTCCTGCCCAGACGTCTTGGGCAGTATCGATGACCTGACATACGAAACTTTGACAACCACTAAACAGGACAATAGACACCGAGCAGGACAACAAACACAAAACAAACAATAGACCCTTGGGTATATAAACAATTATAGTAGGTTTTTATTAGACAGACAAGGGGAGGGGGTCCCATGATGGGATCAGTCAGATGCCTGCCTGGCCGCTCCCCCTGAGGGGACTTGGGCTTCTCTTAGCATTGGCAGGCAGGTATAAACCCCCGGCTCGGATGGAGCTATGCCCGATGCTGCCTTAAGCCTTATGAGGTCGCCACGGAACGGCAGGTGAGGGCCCACTCGAACTCCGTAGCTTTCGCCGTGGAGCTACAAACTGGGGATCCAGAGGCAGGCCCCTGGACTCCTCAGTCGTGCACACATTCACAAAGAGTTTATAACAATTTTTGTTATTTCCCGTTCTAAACAAAGGTCCCAGAAGACCTGAACGAGAGGAGGAGAAGAGATAGAGCAAGGGGGAGAGAAAGAAAAAGAGGAGGAGAGAGTGAGAGACTAGTCTTAATGGAGAGGCCGGCCTGCCAGAAACCAGGGCTCTATCCTCCAGCGTCCTGGAGTATGGATAGAGTCAAAGAGAGGGACACCGTCGTCAGGGCTGCCTCCCTCTCACCAAACCAGAACCAAAAGGCGCCTAACAGAAAAACCAGGGCTCTGTCCTCCAGCGCCCTGGAAAAGCGGGCAGTGTCAAAGACAGGGATGCCCTCGTCAGGGCTGCCTCCCTCTCACCAAACAGAAGTCAAATCTAACTTACCTGACCCCGGGGTCAGAAGCTGAGGACTCAGAGGTTGAATTTTGTGGGCACACACACACGGTAGTCGATCCGCTGTCCTCCGGAAGACGGTCGCCTTTCGGGGACCTGGAAAATTTTTTTTCAGGTGGCTCCTCGCCTATAAGCCGGCCGTCCCTCCGGGGGAGCCCGGAGCTAGCCCGGCTCTCGCCCAGTGGCGAATATATCTCGCTGGGGCTTCCAAATGTTGTACCCGAGCGAGTTAGAGAAACGCCACACTTCGAGACGAATTTAAGAGTCCTTCATTAGCCGGCGACCGACAGACGACTAACGCTCGAAATTCTCTCGGCCCCGAGGAAGGGGCTTGATTTTCCTTTATACTTTGGTTTAGAAAGGGGAGGGGGAGCTTAGTTGCAGCAATTCTACAGAAGTAAAAGCATGCAAAAAAATTAAAAAGACAAATGGTTACAAGGAAACAAACAGTTCCAGGTGCAGGGGCTCTAAATCTATCATAAGGCGTTAGGTATGGGGGCTCTCCCGGACACAAACTCAAAGCTTTATGGTGTTATCTCTTGAGCGAAATCCTGGTAACTTCGTAAATTGCTTGCTTCAGTACCTTATCAGTTAATTGGACTCTTTGATATGTAAGAGTCAGCTTACACAAGTTAACTGCTTGAGGAAGGGGGTGGGTAAGGAGTCTTTGACGTCTTGTAAATGAAGGAGCCAAAAGGAGTACTTCCGGCTTTCTCAGCTAAGGAAGAGCCTATTCATGTGGAAACAAGGCTAGGCGATTAAGGGAGAGTCTAAAAACAAGGTTAGGTACTACAAAGTCGCGGTAAAATCGGTGTTAACTACGTGTGCAGCCACCTTTTCCTTAGTGCTATTCCTGAAGGAAATAATGTATACAGTGATCTATTTCCAAGACAAAGTGCCTTAAATTGGCTTAGGTCAGCAAAGTACAGAAGAAACAGGGTATACTAGGTCCCTGCTTGGATAGCGGATGCCTGCTTGTCGCCCCCCTCTTTCCTCCCCCTTCCCATCCCCCATCCTTGGTGGCCTTCACCCAAACAAAAACAGTTTAGTCTAAGATATAAGTTTACTAGTCTGCAAAATAGCTCACTTTGTCTGTTCTTATCAGCCTGCCCAGCTACTTAGGTCATAAGTCAAACACTTAAAGAGCCCTTGAGCTAACCAGGATTGCAATGCATTGTGGGCTGCAACAAAATGCAGCAAGACAACCCTAAAAAAGAGACACCTAAAGCCTTTGCCTAACAATCAGTAGGCAAACGCCGAGAAAATTGTAACCCCATAGCACTCAGCCTATGAGGAACCTGGGGAGGGACTTGCGCACTAGGGGACAAATTGCTTGTTGAAACTGTTCTGGGTGTGCCTGCACGCCAGACACCCGATCTTGATCTCTCAAGACCGTCATTAAAAGTCTCACTTTCGCTGTTCTCCGGGTCTCTGAGTCCATTCTTTGGGTTTAGATGGATGAGTTTATTTCTCACATAACAGCTGCAGAGGTGGTACAGGTGAATCCCTCTCAAGTCAAGTGGGTTAACCTCAAAATTGACTTAAGGGGTGGTTTGTGATCGCCTGGTAGATGGTGGACGGTTACAGCTTTTAGAAAGTGAGTAAAAGAGATGATGCATACAGAAGCCCCACTGGGTTGCTTAGCTTCTGCACATGGAGAAAGAGGCTGCTTTTCTGCCTTCTAGGTGTTTAGTAACTTAATTTTTAATCCTTTGATGAAATAGAGTGGAAAATAAAAGGAGATTTTCTTTTAACAAAATAGTGTTAAGATGCTTGCCAAGTATCCCCCTGTGAATTTCTGCTTAGCACTGTGATATCAGAATTAGAAATTGTGCAGGGTTCTAATCTGGAGATATGGGATGTTCAGTAGCTAAGAAGGAAGTTATTCCTTGAAAGTAAGTACAGTGAGGTAGAAAAGGATCCATTAGGATTGGGAGAATAAAAGTTCATTATTTTTATTTATTAAAAAAAACAAAACAAAACAAAGAAATGAGGTTTTGGCTGGGTGCAGTGGCTCACGCCTGTAATCCCGGCACTTTGGGAGGCCAAGGTGGGCAGATCACGAGGTCAGGAGATTGAGACCAGCTTGGCCAACATGGTGAAACCCCATCTCTACTAAAAATACAAAAAATTAGCCAGGCGAGGTGGCAAGTGCCTGTATTTCCAGCTATTCAGGAGGCTGAGGCAGGAGAATTGCTTGAACCCAGAAGGCGGAGCTTGCAGTGAGCCAAGATCGCTCCACTGCAGTCCAGCCTGGGCAACAGAGTGAGACTTCATCTCAAAAAAAAAAAAAAAAAAAAAAAGAAAGAAAGAAAAAAGAAAAAAAAAAGAAGAAACGAGCTTCTACCCTAGATGGATCTTGGACTCTGGAGTTCAGAGAGCTTGCCATTTCAGACCAGAAACTTCCTTAAAGAACCAAGAGAAGTAATTTTCTCCCTGCTAAATTTCAGCTGAGGTGATTGAGATCTTTTCCTCATTTGTCATTATATTTGTCATTTGTCCTTATGTTTGTAGTTAAATAGCTTGGATTAAGTTTCAGAATTTGTCGGTCTCTAATGGAAAAAGTGACCACCAGCACATCACCAGCAATCATCAGCCACTTGTAGTGGAATCTTTTAGTGAAAGCTTACAGGACTTTTGCAACCTGGGTGAGGAAGCAGTTAGAAGAAAGTAAGAAACGCAAAAGAACTTGAGCCTTAACCTTCTGATCTGAAATCAGACTTAGGTCACAGAATTCAATGGTTTCTGACTATTTTATTTAAACTGGAAATCGGCGGGATGGCAAGGAATACTACTTGCTTCTATAGTGTGTGATCCACATTAGTGATTTGTGGAACTAATTAGGACAGGGGGATAATTCTAAGCAACAAAGAACTGTAAGTGAATGAACACGAATTATCTCCCTGTATGAGAGAGAAATGCAGAGGCCAACACAATTCCCTTGAATAGGTGGGGAATATCATGGAGAACTTCCTAAGGTGGCTCATAGGAAAAAAAAGAGTGGAAATACTGGAAGTTGAACGCAGGACCTCACGCATGCTAACCACGTGCTCTGTCCCTGAGCTATACCCCCGCAGGAGATCAGGAGCTTGGGAAAATGTTTTGGTGATCTCCGTTGCCTGAGTCTGTGCTCTGTGTCATCAAGACAATCACTGTATGTTTCCAATTCCACTGTTTATGAATTCCCGACACTAAGCGCCCTCTCTCTCTCTCTCTCTCTCTCTCTCTCTCTCTCTCTCTCTCTCTCTCTCTCTCTCTCGGGCATGGCTACACCAGGAGAAAGATATCTTGTGGTAAAAACAAAGGCATTGTTCCTGATGTTCCTGATTTGTGGTCAGTCCAAGATCAACTCACCCCAAAGTGGTCTCCCCATCATATTAGACTTTCTGGAGCATAATTCCATTCTATCCCTTGAGTGACCTCCGGCATACAACATTCTCTTGCAAATTTTCTGATTATAACTTTTTTCTTTTGACTCTGGGAAGCATCTTAGTGTTTCCCATAGTCAAAAAATAAAACTCAGGTATGTGTGAAAATACCCTAAAATTCAGTACAAATAGAGGCAAATTAACTGCATTTCAAAAGAATAACATAACCACATTGAAGAGGAAAGAACTGATATAAGAAAATGGTTTACACAGATTGTTGTTCTAATTGTGAGATCAAAAAGAACATCGAACAAATCTTAAACTCTATGTATCAGGATTATTTTTTGTAGAGTGAGGGCTGTAGCAATTCTGATATTTTGTGTGAATTTTAGGATTGGGAAATCGAGTGTCTGTTGTTGGAAACAGACTCTCACTGTGGGAGAAGAAGGAAGGTAAAGAATAGTCCTGTTGATACTGATGGGAATTAGAGGCATCAGTATGAAATTGTACATATGAAATTGTAAAATTTCCCCACAGATCTATCTGCTAACTGGGCCTAGAAGAAATGATACCTCAGAAGCAATGAGCAAAGATAACTCTGTATCTTGATTTTCAAATACCATTCCCTACTAAAAGGAACCAGAGATACTAATAGAAAGTAGCTATTAGTGTCAACTACACAGACTCCAGGACTGTGCCAGGGAAACTGCAAAATGAACCTAAGATATCTTGCCCTGCCAGAATGTAAGTGCTCAGAAATGACGGGGGTGATTTAAAAGGACACAGAAGCCAGCTTGAAGGGAATCTCACTGGCCAAATCTGACACACTTTTAGCATCAGTGATGACAATAACTGATTATCATTCTTGGGAACTTAAACAAATAAATATGGAGGACGGGACGATTTTCCTTACAGTGGTTTGCCAAATGATAAATGTGAAAGTGAGTGCCGGGCGCAGTGGCTCACGCCTTTAATCCCAGCACTTTGGGAGGCCGAGGCGGGTGGATCACGAGGTCAGGAGATCGACACTATCCTGGCTAACACGGTGAAGCCCCCTCTCCACTAAAAATACAAAACCTTGGCCGGGCGTGGTGGCGGGTGCCTGTAGTCCCAGCTACTCGGGAGGCTGAGGCAGGAGAATGGCGTGAACCCGGGAGGCGGAGCTTGCAGTGAGCCAAGATTGCGCCACTGCACTCCAGCCTGGGCGACAGAGCGAGACTCCGTCTCAAAAAAATGAACAAAGAAACAAAGTGAGGATAAAATTTAAAAATCCCCATTTAAACAATACCATCAGAATGATGATAGATGCAGGCAAAATTTGTAAGTTAATGTTAAAGTATAGGTAAAAATTTGATGAGGATCAGGATATTTATGTAGTCTCAGAGTATTTCCCTGTAGATTATTTATTAATTACAATGAGGAAAATGATAATTTTTCAGGGAAGAAACAGTAATTACAAACTTAAAATCAAGTGATCAAGCTAACTTCAGTCAGCTCATGCCTCTTGGTGTGAGAGAGGGTAATAACGTGATTTCTGTGACATTTCTCCCAAATTCCATAACCCGATGTAATCTTATCATGGCTAATACAGATTAAGAAACGTTGCACAAAACCACTGGAAAAACTCTTCAAAAACATGTCGGTGTTGTGAAAGACAAGAAGATTAAGAAACTGTTCCAAATTAAAGGGCACTAAAGAGTCAAGACAACTAGATTCATATGTGATTCTGAAATGGATCCTAGCTTGGAAGAGAAATTTCTATAAAAGTTTTTATTGGTACAATTAGACAATTTTTAATAGACTTTATATTAGACTATATTCACATTTATCAATGTCAAATTTACTGAACTTGATAATTGTGTTGTGTTAAGGAATTGACCTTTTTCTTAAGAAATACACATTGAAGTATTTAAGAATAAAAAGATATGATGTCTGAAAATCATTATCAAATAGTTTAGAGAAATAATCTTTGTCTGATATATATATATAATACATACTACATATATATGATATGTATTCCAGTATTGTTGATTTGTCATTGAGGAAAAGATGTTTTGAAATTATCCCAAGATTTGAACAATATATGCTTCTCAGATGGTCCCACTTTATTTTAAATGTTGCAAGGCAGAGACAAAGGTACAAATTTCTCAATTTGTATTAGAATTTAGAAGGTGTTTTATTCTATTTTCCTTGTCACACTCCTTGCTTGTGAGTCAATCAACTAAGGACATCTGAAAGAGACAGAGTTTCTTTCTCAGAGTCAGGAGGTAATGAGGGGCTGCTCTGGTAGGGAAAGAAATAGTGAAGTTCTTTTTTGGAGAAAAGCAGCAAAAAAAAAAGAGAGTGACAGGAGAAAAAGAAAGAAAGAATGGAAGGAAGGGAAGGAGGAAAAGAAACAGTAAAGTTGACAAACAGAACTCCCTTCCCTCTTTATTAGTCTTCAGGAAATATAGAGTTTGAAACTATCATAGCCCAGGAAACCCTTTAAATAGGGCCATCAGTAGGCCAGAAATTTTGATTAGTGCCTTGAAAATAAAAGCATAGCCGGGCGCGGTGGCTCACGCCTGTAGTCCCAGCACTTTGGGAGGCCGAGGCGGGCGGATCACGAGGTCAGGAGATCGAGACCATCCTGGCTAACACAGTGAAACCCCGTCTCTGCTAGAAATGCAAAAAATTAGCCTGGCGTGGTGGCGGGCGCCTGTGGTCCCAGCTGCTCGAGGAGGCTGAGGCAGAGAATGGCGTGAACCCGAGAGGCGGAGCTTGCAGTGAGCTGAGATCGCGCCACTGCACTCCAGCCTGGGAGAGAGAGCGAGACTACGTCTTAAAAAAAAAAAAAGAAAAAAGAAAGAAAGTAAAAGCAGAAGTGATTAGACGGACAGGAAACAGCAGAGGAAATGGCTGCTGTTTCACTACAGTTAAAATGTCTTACACATCTGTGAACTATTTGTCCTCTTCTCAGAGGAGGGACACTTTTTTAGGTACTAAAAAAGAATTGTCTGGCACTTCATGGCAGCAACATGTTTGATGTTAACTGACATTTCCAGACATCCAGGTATGATTTTTATTTAGCGACTTTAAAAGAAGGATGAGAAAAAAAACAAAAAAACAAAAACAAACCATGAGCCAGGCGTGGTGGCCTGCATCTATAGTCCCAGCTACACCTACTCAGGAGGCTGAAGAGGAGGCAGGAAAACAGCTTGAGGTCAGGAGTTGGAAGCCCCAGTGCTCTACGATTGCCCTGGTGAATAGCCACTGCACTCTAGTCTGGTCATCAAAACAAGATCCCGTCTATTAAAAATAGAAAGAAAATAAAGGAAGAAAGAAAAGAAAGGAAGGAAGAAAGAAGGAAGGAGCGACAGAGAAAGAAAGGAAGGAGAGAGGGCAAAAGGAAGAAAGGAATGGAGGGAGGGAGAGATTGACAGAACAGATTAGAAAACATAATCCAACTATACACTATCTAAAAGAAACTCATTTCAAATATAATTATATAAGCAGGCTGAAATTAAGGGGATAAAATATATTACATGCAAAAGTTAATCAAAAGAAAGCAAAAGTGACTATATTAATATAAACTTAAGAACAAAGAAAATCCACCAAGAAGGCATAACAATCCTAAATATGTATACACCAAACAGCAGAGCTGCAACATGTAAAGAAAAAAAAAAAAAAAAAACAGGACCGGGCGCGCTGGCTCACGACTGTAATCCCAGCACTTTGGAAGGCCGAGGCGGGCGGATCACAAAGTCAGGAGATTGAGACCATCCTGACCAACATGGTGAAACCCCGTCTCTACTAAAAAAAAAAAAAAAAAAAAAAAAAAAAAAAAAAAAAAAAGCTGGGCGTGGTCGTGCGCCCTGTAGTCCCAGCTACTCGGGAGGCTGAAGCAGGAGAATTGCTTGAACCTGGGAGGCGGAGGTTGCAGTGAGCCAAGATCGTGCCACTGCACTCCAGCCTGGGCAACAAAGTAAGGCTCCGTCTCAAAACAAAACAAAACAAAACACCCAGACAGGGCGCAGTGGCTCACGCCTGTAATCCCAGCACTTTGGGAGGCCGAGGTGGGCGGATCACCTGAGGCCAGGAGTTGGAAAGTAGCCTGGCCAACATGGTGAAACCCGTCTCTACTAAAAATACATACATTAGCCTGGCATGGTGGTGCAGTGGCGTGCACCTGCAGTCCCAGCTACTAGGGAGGCTGAGGCTCGAGAATTGCTTGAACCCGGGAGGTGGAGGTTGCAGTGAGCCGAGATGGTGCCACTACACTCCAGCCTGGGTGACAGAGCGAGACTCTGACTCATAAATAAATAAATAAATAAATGTAATACATAAATAAATATTTTAAAAAACAAAAAAGATAGAATTAAAAAAATCGACAAATGCAGTTACATTAGAGACTTCACTTCTCTCTCTCTCTTTTTTGTGAATTTGTTCTTATTGGGGAAGACGGCACAGGGTGGGAAATGTCGCCTTGGGCTATGGTATGCCCCACCTCCCAGAGAATGTCCATTTGCATTCTAATCTTCCTGGGATGCTTTATGGAACTTTTTCTTCTTCTTGGAGCTGCTCTTGCCAGCCGCCTCTTCAGGCCCACTGCTGACCAGCTCCTCTTTGGAGAATTTCCTCGTTTTCTTGGAGCCACTTCTGTGGCCTGACTCTTCGGTGTCATTAACTGTTTCCTCCTTGGGTGAAGACTTCTTCCTCTTGGGAAGACTGGTGCTGCCAGCGGTCTCTTCAAGATCGCTACTCATCAACTCCTCCTTGGAAAAAGATTTCTTTTTCTTGGGTTTGGAGAAAGAGATAGATGGGTCTTCCATTCCATTCTCCTGATGAACCTCCTGGGGCTTTTGCTTTTTCTTCTTTTTGGGTTTTTCAATCGTCTCCTCACACGCTCTGTCGCCCAGTCTGGAGTGCAGTAGCGCAATCTTGGCTCACTGCAAGCTCCGCCTCCCGGGTTCACGCCATTCTCCTGCCTCAGCCTCTGCGTAGCTGGGACTACAGGCGCCCGCCACCACGCCCGGCTAATTTTTTGTATTTTTAGTAGAGACGGCGTTTCACCATGTTAGGCAGGGTGGTGTCCATCTCCTGACCTGGTGATCCACCCGCCTCGGCCTCCCAAAATGCTGGGATTACAGACGTGAGCCACCACGCCCGCGCCATTTCTCTCATAATAACAGAAAAACTACACAGAAAATCTGCAAGGATATTGAAGAACCCCAAATCATCTTCAGGCAACAGAATTCAGTCACCATGTATAGAACAGTCCACACAAGAAAAGCAGAACACGCATTCATTTCAAATTCATACGTAACGTAGATCAAGATAGAACATACCTCATACCTTGGGCCTCAACAAATTTAAAAGAATTGACTGACATAGTATGATCCCTAACCACAATGAAATCAAACTAAAAATCAGTCACAGAAAGACAACAAAAATATCCAAACACTTGGAAAATGAACAACACACTACTAAATATTCCATAGGACAAAGAGAAAGCCTTAGTAGAGATCAAAAAAATAAATTAACCTGAATAAAAATGAAAACACAATGTATCAAAATTTCCAAGACAACTTAATCTCTGAGAGAGAAATTTACAGCACTAAGTGCATACATTAGAAAAGAAAAAAGTCGGCCAGGCGCGTGGCTCACGCCTGTAATCCCAGCACTTTGGGAGGCCGAGGCGCGTGGATTACAAGGTCAGGAGTTGGAGACCAGCCCGGCCAAAAAAAAAAAAAAAAAAAAAAAAAAGAAAGAAAAGAAAAAAGTCTCAAATCAGTCCTTTAAGCTCTTACTTGAAGAACTCAGGTGGGGGAAAATAACCCAAAGCAAATAGAAGAAAGGAAATGAGCAGAAATAAACGGAACTGAACACACACGCACAAAATAGAAAAACAAACAAAAAGCTAGTTCCTTTAAAAGATCAATAAAAGAAGACCTCTAGGAGGACTGATAATTTTTTAAGAAGAGAGATGACACAAATTGCCAATATCAAGAATAAAAAGAAGAGTATATCACTATAGACTCTGCTGACATCAAAAGGGTAAATGAATACTATGAACAACACTTTACACACAAATTTGAAAACTTAGATGAGATGGACTAATTCCTTGAAAATCACAAACTATCACAACTCACTCAATATGAAATATATTTTTCTATAACCTTGTAACTACTAAGGAAATTAAATTTGTGATATAAAAACTTTAAAAAAAAAACAGACTCTTCAGGTTCAAGAAAGTTTCACTGTATAATTCGTCGCCCCCGCCCTCCACCCCCTCCCCCAGAAGGAGTCTTGCTGTGTTGCCCAGGCTGGAATGCAGTAGTGCAATCTGGGCTCACTGCAACCTCCACCTTCCAGGTTCAAGCGATTCTCCTGCCTCAGCCTCCCAGGTAGCTAGGATTACAGGCACGTGCCAGCACGCCCGGCTAATTTTTGTATTTTTAGTAGAGATGGGGTTTCACCATGTTGGCCAGGCTGGTTTCCAACTCCTGGCCTCAGGTGATCCGCCTGCCCCGGCCTCTCAAAGTGCTGGGATTGCAGGCATGAGCCACCGCCTATGCCAATGTAGGCATATCTTAAAAGGATACATGACCTGGGGATACTTTGAGTATTCAGATTAATTAATTTTTAAAGTGTTTTTTAAATTCTCCCTTCTTACATCTTCTTTTCCTTCTGCCTTCAAGGGCTGTCACACGAAGAGTAGCGTAGGTGGATAAAAAAACAGAATGGTCAGTACTGCCTGGGGGATTTAGGTCCAGGTGAGGAGGTGAGAAGGTGGAATTCCCAGCTCTTAGAAATGAAGACCCAGGAAGTGGGTCGCTGCCTGTCCTTACCCTCGCCAGCCCCTGGGCCGGCACCGTGGCTGAAACCCAGCATGGATTTCATCTTGGGGACGTTGTGGCTCCAGTTTTGAGACTCAAGTAACGATGGATGGAGAGGAGAACAAGGACCACCTGAGCTCGACCACAAGAGCTCGAGGAGGGAAGCAGGGACGCGGTGGGGTGCGCACCTGCGGCTGCGGCAGCAAAGGCGGAGGAGGAGCGAAGTGGACGAGCACCCGAGGCTGCCAGAGGATCTGGGCAGCCTGGGTGCCCATCTCTGCTGCGTTTCCTCGGTGTCCACGATAGGTGAGAGGGCTCATTCCCTGTAGGAGAAGTGAGCTGAAAACACTTTCCCCGCAAGATCTCCCTCGTTTTACTCAAGGTAGTCGCGGCGTTGAGAACGCCTCGCAGCTCCTTTACTGGCTGGGGTACTGGGGAGCAGGGGTACCCTTGAGTTTTGGTACAGGCGGGTGGTATTGGTGGCTTCCGAGGAAAGGACAGAGAAGCCGCCTATTTCCAATCCCTACTGTTCGTCAGGGGGAGAGTGTTGAACCAGGTCTCTCTAGACCCTCCTGCTTAAGCCCCTTTGTTATAGGTAGGAGAGTGTGTTCTGTTTTGGTATTTGAGTGTGTGTGTGTGTGTTTAGCTTCTTGAGCTTGGAATATGTCATGAAATACAAGAAAGATCAGGGAGTCTCAGTAATTTTAAACTTAAATTGGTTTTCAGAAGTACTTATACCTTGTTCCTAAGGAATTCAGGGTGTCCAGATTTCAACCTGCCTAGCAGTGCGAAGCTCTATGAGTCGAATATCCTAGGCTTTCTTCCATATCAGCAAGCCTCTGAAATTTAGGTTTCTTTCTGGAGAATATCACCCACACTTTGGCAGTGGGCTCCTACATTGCCTACATCCAACTCTTGGAAGCAAGAAGAGTGGGCAAAACCAAGGTCACCACACAAAAGTATATCCCTACACGAGATAAGTGGAAATAAAGCACTGGCTTAGGTGTGGAGAGGAAGAGACAAATGTGAAAACGCAGAAGGTAGACAGACAGAGAACATCTTCCAAGGAGGAAGAGTCTCCTAACAACAAGGAACTCTCTACTTAATGCTGCGAAGATATTTTAATTACATTTTATGCATTAGATTGCTTTTTTTGTTTGTTTTTGTTTTTTGTTTTTGATGGAGTCTCGTTGTGTCACCAAGCTTGAGTGCAGTGGTGCCATCTCGGCTCACTGCAATCTCCGCTTCCCAGGTTCAAGGGATTCTCCTGCCTCAGCCTCCCCGTAGCTGGGACTACAGGCATGGCCATCATGCCCAGCTAATTTTTTATTCTCCTGCCTCAGCCTCCCCGGCCACCATGCCCAGCTAATTTTTGTATTTTTGGTAGAGACGGGTTTCACCATGTTGGCCAGGAATGTCTCGATCTCTTGACCTCGTGATTCACCCGACTTGGCCTCCCAAAGTGCTGGGATTACAAGCATGAGCCACCGCCCCCAGCCACATAGACTGGGTTTTTAACAACTGGATCTTAGACCAGAATATTGGCAGAATTGGTGGGGGCTTGACAGAGAGCAGGGTGAATTCCAACCCTGAGGGTGGAGCAAGAATGATTACAGTGTCTTCCTCAGAGCTTAGAAACTTCCAAGCTCTAAGGAAAGGCCTTAGGTTTCAAATTGAAAGGCCAAAATAGCTTGAGATGGCTCCAGGTATTTTGGCTGGAAAGAGTCTCCTGGCTCTAAAGAACCCCTGTGAGTTCTTCTACAGGAAAATCAGAGGCTCTTGTGTGTGATCTCTAGTCATCTAAAATATTGAAGGTCTCAAAGAGGTAATAAATCCACTCTCATCCTGATGTAATGCAAATACGTCACTGGCTTTCCTACGTGGTTTGAGTTTTTTATTGAAAATAGGCAGGGAACCCCGGGAGCAACTCTTTCTCCTTAGCAAGCATCTGGCCCTGGGAACTCCTTCTGAAACTTCTAGAGCAGTGCTTCTCAAACTTTAGCATCAGAGTCACTTGAGGGCTTATTCAACACAGGTGGCTGGGTCCCACTCTCATCAATTCTGATTCTGTAGATCTGAGGTTGGGCCTGGAATTTGACATTCCACTAGTAGCACCCTAATCCCTCATGCCTTGCTCTCCTGTGCAGCATCCTTTGTGGCAAACATGACACTATTTCCTTAAAGTGCCTGGAGAGAACCAGTAGATAGTAGGGGGGAAATATTAAGAAATGAAAAGAAAATATATGGCATCTCTTCGTTACCTGTCTCCAAAAAATGCTTCTTGAAACAAACATATGATTGGCCTGGGGGCACACAGCCAATCCTCAGCTAAGCAGGTTTCACCAGACAGTATCCCTCTTGGATACTGGTTATGGATATTTTCACCGGATAAAAGAATCAAGAAGTGAGGACATCCCAGCCTGATAGAGTGTTAGACTGGTGGATGGTGACAAACATCATACTCTGTTGCCTCTCAAAGATGCTTTGATTCAACAGCAAACATGTACAGAGGACAGCAATTTTGAAACATACAACATTGGAAACCCCTAAAAGGTATCATCAGTGAATAGGATTTCCTGGGAGTTCCCTGGTCATGCAATGCAATTGTGATGGGATTGACAGAGAAAGAACAAAAAAAATTTGTTTTCTTTTGTTTTTACCTGAGGAAGTGCTCAACACACCTGCGATCCACTCACCTTTTACTTTGCGTCTATTTTCCATTGTGACAGAAAAACTTTTCCTACTTTTTCACATGAGTCCTCCGTTGGCTGTTAACAGAGGTTTCCAGGCAATGTTTTATTTTAACAAGGAAAATGGAATGGCTGAGGAAATACAGGAAAATGAATCAATTGTATCAGTAGGGAATGTTGATCCGTATTGGTTTCTGCTCCTCTCATGTTGAAGGTCTCTTATTCCCTGACAGTCTTTGTTCGGTCATCCAGCGTCCTTCCACTCCCATCTCAAGCGGCTGGAGAGCCACAGCAGTCCTTGTCTCAGTATTGGATTACACTTGTGGCTGTGCTTTCTGCGCAGGTTGACAGGGAGAGACTGGAGGAGAAATCAGTGGACAGATGCTTTCGCTCTGTTCTTTGGCCCAGAAAACAAAACTAAAGTAAAAAAAAACAAAAAACAAACAAACAAAAAAGATGATGCTGGGAGCGGTGGCTCACGCTTGTAATCCCAGCACTTTGGGAAACTGTGGCGGGTGGATCACCTGAGGTCTGGGGTTCGAGACCAGTGTGGCCAACATGGTGAAACCCCGTCTCTACTAAAAATACAAAAATTACCCGGGCCTGATGGCACGCACCTGTAAACCCACCTGCCGAGGCAGAAGAATCGCTTGAACCCGGGAGGCAGCGGTTGTAATGAGCCAAGATTAAGCCACTGCACTCCAGCCTGGGCTACAGAGCGAGACTCTGTCTCCAAAAAAAAAAAAAAAAAAAAAAAAAAAAAGAATGGCCGCGGGGCGCTTTTCTCCCTTCTTCTTTGTCTTTCCTTCTCTTTAATCATAGCACAAAATGAGAGCAAATGTGAACCTCCCGTGGATGTGCACACTTTTGTTTGGGTTCAAGAGACCCTGTTGGGATCCCATTCTTCTTTCTTCCTCATTTCTTTTTCACCTTCCTTCTGCCGTCACAATCGCCTTCAGTGATGTCGAAGCTCACGGCATAGAAATGGGTTATAAATGGAGGCAACCCATTGGGTTACGTCTTTACTCTCTATATGTGCAGAAATAGGACAGAAAAAGGTGCGGAGGCAGAAGCAAGTCTATGTTGCTTGAGAATTAGGTTTGAGCACTACCAGAGCAAAAAGTCACCGTTTGGAGGTGGCGGGGATCGAACCCGGGACCTCATACATGCAAAGCATGCGCTCTACCACTGAGCTACACCCCCTTCCTGAAAAAAATCCTTCTTGTAATAATTTCCAGGAGGTAACTTTCTTTTTCTGAGTATTGTGGAGCGTCTGCAGCTGCTGTGAGTAGAAGATACTAGGTACTAACGGGGGATACAAATTATTTAGAATACAGTATACGACTTGAAATGGAAGGCGCCTGTAATCCCAGCTACTGGGGAGGCTGAGCCAGGAGAATCCTTGAACCCGGGAGGCGGAGATTGCACTGAGCCGACATCGCGCCACTGCACTCCAGCCTGGGCATCGGAGCGAAACTCAATCTCAAAAAAAAAAAAATCACTTCCTAGGTTTCAGACTGTAAATAATTTATTTAATGTCAGCGCTTCATGGAAGACTTCACTGGAATATGCAACCAAAGCAGAGAGTGATGCATATATATATATATGCGTGTGTGTGTGTGTGTGTGTGTGTGTGTGTGTATTACCTTTATCGGATTTTCAACAGCAAAAAATTGGAGTTCTATACACCTTTCTGGGATTGGCATGCAAGTGTTGTATAAGGGTTGTATCAGCCGAGCGCTGTGTCTTACGCCTGTAATCCCAGCACTTTGGGAGGCCGAGGCGGGCCGATCACCTGAGGTCGGGAGTTCGAGACCAGCCTGACCAACATGGAGAAACTCCGTCTCTACTAAAAATACAAAATTAGCCAGGCGTGGTGGCGCATGCCTGTAATCCCAGCTACTCGGGAGGCTGAGGCAGGAGAATCGCTTGAACTCAGGAGGCGGAGGTTGCGGTGAGCCGAGTTCGCTCCATTGCACTCAGCCTGGGCAACAAGAGTGAAACTCCGTCAAAAAATAAATAAATAAACAAAATAAGGGTTCTATTAGGCAAAACTGAAAGAAAGAAAGAAAAAAAAAAAACCCTGCCGAAACCCGGGATCGAACCAGGGACCTTTAGATCTTCAGTCTAACGCTCTCCCAACTGAGCTATTTCGGCTTCCCGAATTTGTTGTTTTAGGTGTTTCTTCAAAATATAAAAACTCATTTGTAGGGTCAGTATATCTTCCAATTCTGTTGTCTTCAATATCACCTGTCATTCACTCACCCCTTCACCCCCAAAATATAGATTCTTCCCCAATTTATGTCTGAAAACAGGACCCAATTTTAAGGACAATGAATGGGTTAGCAAAAGCCAGGGAAAGAAAAGGCAAAAATGAAGAATAGAGCAAAGTAAGAACATGCTCCCCTACATGGTCACTGCTCAGAATACCAAGGGAATTCAAAAGAAAATTTTCTAGGCTTTTCCTTTTCTCTGGGCTCTTGTTTTTCTGTCTTGCTCTTCAACGATATGGCAAAAAGGAACAGAGGATTATTGGGCACGTTAATGTGGTGGCAGGTTTATAGCTTCTGACTAAGGAAATCCTGAGCGAGAAAATTCATTTTCGCTATTCCCTTCCTTTCACTCGTCTTGTGCTGACACATCCACCTTGGGTGGTACAGAGACCCAGGGAGTGGAAATGGAAAGTATAATATGTTTATTTTAGTGTGACCACGCAAGGCATGTTTTTAAAAGGAGAAAAGTACAGAGTGGCGAGAATTGTGAAAAACAGATGAACATGTATGCTTTTGAACTCTGTGCAAGGCAAGGACACACTACCACTGAGCCACACCTCTCTCGCTACAGAAACATCGTGAAGATCTTTTTTGACGCATTAGTCATATTTCTGAGAGGTCTTCAAAAATATGGTAAGTTGGCCGGATAGAAAATCCACTGTCTCATATCTCACTATTTCTTACCTCTAAACTATATCCCCTGAAGCTGCTAGGAGAAATGTAAGAGAATCACAGACCAGAACACAGTTTCTGCTTTTGGAACATTTCATCCCATCAGTTTATTCTGAGGTTTCCTCTCCAGCAAACTGCCTGGGGGCATTTTCTCCCACAGCCAACAGGTAAGATGTCCAGATGGAACTTCCTCTGGGGTCTTCAACCTGTCTGTCTCCATTTCTTCTCTTTCATCTGCTTACAAAGTTTTTCAAGCCCCATCCTCCTTAAGAAAAGATGATGAGCCACAGTCTAGGAGAAGATATTCCAATACTTATATTTTACTAAGGATCTTTATCTGGAATATGTTAAGAACTTCTACAAAGCACTAAGAAAAAGACTAAAACTTCAATAAGAAAGAGCAAATTAATATGAACTTCACAAAAAATCGCTATTGAGTAAAATAAAATATGCTCGACATCTTTTGCTATAAAGGAAATGCAAATTAAAAACACAACAATGCTGGACACAGTGGCTCACGCCTATACTCCCAGCAGTTTGGGAGGTCGAGGCGGGTGGATCACTTGAGGTTAGGAGTTCAAGACCAGCTGGCCAACATGGCGAAACCCGGTCTCTACTACAAATACAAAAATTTAGACGGCCACATGCCCCTGTAGTCCCAACTACTCAGGAGGCTGAGGCATGAGAATCTCTTGATCCTGGGAGGCAAAGGCTACAGTGAGCCAAGATTGTGCCGCTGCACTCCAGCCTGGGCAGCACAGCAAGACACTGTCGAAAAAAAAAAACACAAAATAATATTGCTCTTCATTGGAATCATTTAACCCAAAAAGTGGATAATATCAAGTGTTGCTGAGTATGTGAAGCAATTGGAACGTGCATACATGGCTGATGAGACTGTAAACTGCTATATCTACACTGGGAAACTATCTGAAAATATCAACTAAATATATATATATATATATATATGCTATGACCCCAAAACTAGACGGTTACATTTATACCCAAGAGAAGTGCATGAGCATCTCCCTTGAAGGACATGTATCAGAATGTTTACAGCAGCATTAGACATTTCAACCAAAAACGAGGGGTGCTGCAAATGTACTTGGACAGTAAAATGAATTAATAAATCATGATGTACAGTATTCAGACAATAGAATACTCGAGAGCAACAGAAAATAACTACTGTTACTAGCAACAATATATAGAAAATGAAGGCTGGGCACGGAGGCTCACGCCTGTAATCCCAGCACTTTGGAAAGCTGAGGCGGGCAGATCACGAAGTCAGGAGATCGAGACCATCCTGGCTAAAACAGTGAAACCCTGTCTCTACTAAAAATACAAAAAATTAGCTGGGCGTGGTGGATGGCACCTGTAGTCCCAGCTACTCGGGAGGCTGAGGCAGGAGAATGGCGTGAACCTGGTAGGCAGAGCTTGCAGTAAGCCAAGATCGCGCCACTGCACTCCAGCCTGGGCGACAGAGCAAGTCTCCACCTTGAAAAAAAAAAAAAGAAGAAAAAAGAAAAGAAAATGAATCTAATTTTTTTTAACAAAAATTAAGTGAAAGAATCCATACTCAAATGAGTACAGATTTGCTGTGGTTTGAAAGTGTCCCCTCCAAAGCTTAGGTGTCACCATGTGATAATTATCAAGACATAGGGCCTTTAAGAAGATTAAGCCATGAGGGTTCCTTCCTCATGAATAATATTAGGTACCCTTATAATAAGAGTTGACAAAGGAAGTTCATCTCTCTATTGCCTTCAGTTTTCTGCCATGTGAGAACACAACAAAAAGGCCATCACCAGACATGAGAGCCAGTGACTTGATCTTGAACTTCCCAGCCTCCAGAACTGTGAGAAAATGTTTCTGGGCCTGGTGCAGTGGCTGTCTCCTGTAATCCCAGGGTTTTGGGAGGCCAAGGTGGATGGATCACCTGAGGTCAGGAGTTCGAGACCAGCCTGGCAAACATGGTGAAACCCCATCTCTACTAAAAATACAGAAAAATTAGCTGGGCGTGGTAGCATTCGCCTGTAATCCCAGCTACCCAGGAAGCTGAGACAGGAGAATTGCTTGAATCCGGGAGGCAGAGGTTGCAGTGAGCCAAGACTGAGCCACTGCACTCCAACCTGGGCAACAAGAGTGAAACTCTGTCAGGAAGTGAAGGGAAGGGAAGGTAAGGGAAGGGAAGGGAAGGGTTCTGTTCGTTACAAATTACCAGTCTTGAGTGATTTTGTAGCAGCCCAAAATAGACTACGATGATATTATATGATCCCATTTATATTATTTAAAACATAAGAAAAATAATCTATGGAGGTGGAGGTCAGAGAGTTAGGATAATTGAAATGAGGCAAAAGGCAGCTGTTGGTTGCTGAAAAATTCAGTATCTTGGCCTGAATTTTGGTTATATATAATAAGCCGTAAGCTGAATAGGTTTCATGTGTTTTATTTTATATAAATGAAGGCTTAAATTTAAATACAAGAAAAAAAAAGGTTTTCCTAAGTACTTCCTATCCTCCAGTACATTCTCTCTCTTCCTTAGGGTTGTTTTGTTTTGTTTTGTTGAGACGGAGTCTCGCTCTGTCGCATCCTCATGATTATTAGGACTTGGATGGACGGGATGGTACAGTGAGTCTAAGCGCCACATCCCTCCGTCGCTTCCTCTGGATATGAGGGAAGAAAGGTACTTTTTTTGTCCTTAGGGAGGAAGACTCGACCAGGAAGGGGACCTGGTTCGTTTCGGCTTCAAGAGCGCCTCTCCGCTATTTCCGTCGCTCAGCAGACCGGCTGAACTCTTTGGAGGAGAGAGTGATACTGGGTTTTGGTTTGCCCTTCAGGAACCGCTGATACTGTAGCTTCTGAGGGAGCTGCAGGGATTTCCCGATTTCCTGCGTGCCTGTGTTAAAAGTTAGAAGCGGGATCTGCTGGCAGCTTCGAAACTGAGCATGACGGTGGAAACATCTAATTTTATTAGTTTTTGCTTGAAATGCAAAAGATGAGAAAGAAAGTTTCCGTTTGTTTGCTCCACATATTTCTCTTAGAATGAAGCCGATTGAAAGTTAACTTCACCCTGAAGAAACTCCTCCTGGCGTTTGCAACGATCTCCTGTATGTCTCACGTCCAGCTTGACTCAAAAGGACTCTAAAGAGCTGGAGAGCGGCTGCGGAAAGGCGGAGTCACGGTACAATCGGTGTTAACTACTTGTGCAACCACCGCCTCCTTAGTCCTATTAGAGGCGCAGAGGCAGTATAGCTGAATCCCTCACAAGTCGAGTGGGTTGACCTCAGATTGACTTTAGCGATGGCTTGTGACCACCTGATAGATAGTGGCCGTTACAGCGTTTAGAAAGTGAGTAAAAGAAAGGATGCATAGGGAAGCCCACAAGTTTGCTTGGCTTCTGCAGATGGAGAGAGGTCGCTTTTCTGCCTTCTGGATGTTTAGTAACTTATTTTTTATTTCCTTTGTTGGCATGAAATAGAGCTGAAAATAAAAGCAGATTTTCTTTTAACAAGATAGTATTAAGATGCTTGCAGAGTATTTCTCTGTGGATTTCTGCTTGGCACTGTGATACCACAAAGAGCTCTAATCTGGAGGTATGGGTTGTTCCCTAGCTTAGAAGGAGGTCAATCCTGGAGAGTAAGTACTGTGAGGTACAAAAGGATCCTTTGGGATTGGAAAAATAAACGTTCATTACTTTTATTTATGTAAAACAGCAAAATGAGCTTTCTCCTATACTGATCTTGGTCCCTGGAGTTCAGAGTGTTTGCATCTCAGACCAGAAGCTTCCTCAGAGGACCCAGAGAAGTGCTTTTTACTTCCACCAAATTTCAGCTGAGGTGAATGCTGTCTTTTCGTCATTTGTTGTGTGTTTGTAGTTAAGTAGTTTAAGTTTCAGAGTTTGTGGGTCTCCAATGGAAAAGGTTACCACCACACATCAAACCATCAACCCCTGGCAGTGTAATCTTTTAGTGAAAGCTTGTAGGGCTTCTGCAACCTGGTTAGGAGGAGTTAGAAAAAGAAACAGAAAAAGACTTGAGCCTTTTAGCTTCTGATCTGAAATCAGACTTGGGCCACACAGGTCTATGGTTTCTGATGATTTCATTTACAGCTAGAAATTGGCTGGATGGCCAGGAATACTACTTGCTTCCCCCGTGCGTGGTCCATGTTAATGATTGATGGGACTGCTTAGAAAGAATAGGCGGATAATCCTAGGCAGCAAATAACCTCAAGTGAATGAACACGCATCACCCTCTGTATGAGAGAGAAATGCAGAGGCCAACACAATTCACCTTGACAGACAGAAAAATTTAAAGTTGGGGAATATCATGGACCGCTTCTTACTGGTGTCCCGGGGAAGAAAACACGGCCTGGAGGTACTGGGGATCGAACCCAGGACCTCGTGCATGCTAAGCACGCGCTCTACCACTGAGCTATACCCCCTCTGGACTCAGGGCCTTCGGAAAACGCTTTGGTGACGGCCAATATGTGAGCCTGCCCTCTGTGTCAGGATAATCACTATATGTTTCCAATTCCATTGTTAATTCCCTACATGAAGCGCTTCCTCTTTTAGGCACGGCTGGGCCAAAAGAAGAGTAGCTTAGCCGGGTGCAGTGGCTTATGCCTGTAATCCCAGCACTTTGGGAGGCTGAGGCGGGTGGATCACGAGGTCAGGAGTTCAAGACCAGCCTGGGCAAGATAGTGAAACCCTGTCTCTACTAAAAATAGAAAAAATAGCCGGGCGTGGTGACAGGCGCCTGTAATCCCAGCTACTCTGAAGTAGAGAATTGCTTGAACCCGGGAGGCAGAGGTTGCAGTGAGCCGAGATCGGGCCACTGCACTCCAGCTTGAGCGACAGAGCGAGACTCCGTCTCAAAAAAAGAAAGAAAGAAGAAAGAGAGAGAGAGAGAGAGAGAGAGACAGAAACAAAGAAAGAAAGAGAGAAATAAAGAGAAAGAAAGAAAGAGAAAAGAAAGGAAAGTAGCTTAGTGGTAAAAATAAAGGCACTGTTCCTGATTTGTGGTCAACCCAAGATCAACTCACCCCAAGGTGGACTCTCCATCACGTTAGACTTCCTGGAGCATACTTGCATTCTATCATTTGAGTGTGTCCCGGTATACAACATTCTCTTGCAAATTTTCTGATTATAACTTTCTGTATTCTTTTGACTCTTGGAAGCATGTTGGTGTTTCACATAGTCAAAAAATAAAACTGACTCAAGTGCGTGTGAAAATACCTTAAAATTCAATACGAATAGAGGCAAATTCAAATGGCGTTGTCTATCGCTTCTCGGCCTTTTGGCTAAGATCAAGTGTAAAATTGCATTGTGAAACAATAACATACTCCTACTTGAAAAGGAAAGAACTGATCTATGAAAATGGTTTATACAGTTTGTTGTTCTAATTGTAAGATTAAAAAGAATTGCAAACAAATCTTGAACTCTGTATCAGGGTTATTTTTGTAGAGCTAGGGCTGTAAGAATTCTGAGATTTTGTGTGAATTTTAGGATTGGGAAAATGAGTGTGTGTGACCGGGTGTGTTGGAACCAGGCTGTCACTGTAAGAGAAAGAAGGTAAAGAATAGTCCTGTTGGTGTTGATGGGAATTGGAGGCGTCAGTATGAAATTATACATATGTAATTTTATAGGCTGGGCGCAGTGGCTCACGTTTGTAATCTCAACACTTTGGCAGGCCAAGACGGGCAGCTCACTTGAGGTCAGGAGTTGGAGAACAGCCTGGCCAACATGGTGAAACCCCCGTCTCTACTAAAAATACAAAAATTAGCCGGATGTGGTTGTGCGTGCCTGTAGTCCCAGCTACTCGGAAGTCTGAGGCAGGAGAATCGCTTGAACTCAGGAGGCAGACGTTGCAGTGAGCCAAGATCCTGCCACCGCACTCTGGCCTGGGTGACTTAGACTTTGTCTCAAAAAAAAAAAAAGTAAAATTTCCCTGCAGATCTGTCTGCTAACTGGCCCTGGAAGAAATACCTCAGAAACAATAAGCAAAGATAACAATATTTTGATTCACAAATACCATTCCCTACTAAAAGGCACCAGAGATACTAATAGAAAGTAGCTACTAGTGTCAACTACACTGACTCCAGGACTCATGCCACTGCACTACAGCCTGGGCGACAAAGCGAGACTCTGTCTCAAATAAATAAATAAATATGGAAGATGGGAAGATTTTCTTTACAGTGGTATGCCAGCTAATAAATGTGGAAAGAAGGATAAAATTTGCAAATCCCCATTAGAAAATTAGAAAATCTGGACACCATCAGAATGCTGATAGGTGCAGGCAAAATTATAAGTCAATGCTAAAAGTATAGGTAAAATTTTGATGAGGATCAGGATATTTATATAGTCTCAGAGTATTTCTCTAGAGCTTACTTATTGATTACAATGAGGAAGATGATACTTTTGCAGGGAAGAAATAGTAGTTACAAACTTAACCAAATGATGAAAGCTAACTTCACTAATAATGGGGAAAATTGGCATCACATGCTTCTTGGTGTGATAGAGGATAATATGATTTTTTGTGACATTTCTTCCAATTTCCATAAACTTAATCTTACCATGAGTAGGACAAATTAAGAAATATTCCACAAACCACTGGCATATACTCTTCAAAAACATTATCAAAGTTGTGAAAGACACAATTGAGCAACTGTTCTAAATTAAAGGAGACTAAAGAGTCAAGACAATTAGATTCATATGTGTCTGTGAAATGGATCCTAGCTTGGGAGAGAAATTTCTATAAAAGATTGTATTGATACAATTAGTTAAATTTTTATAGATTGTATATTAGATAATGCTATTTTATCAATGTTAAGTTTACTGAATTTGATAATTGTGCTGTGTTAAGGAACTGATCTTGTTTTAAGAAATACACATTGATGAATTTAGGGATTAAAAAGATATAATGTCTGAAAATCATCAAATAGTTTAGAGAAATAATCTTTGAGATCTCTCTCTGTGTCTCTCTCCATATATATATATATGGAGTGTATATATATATATATATATATGGAGTATATATATATATATATGGAGTATATATATATATGGAGTATATATATATATGGAGTATATATATATATATGGAGTATATATGTATATATATATATGGAGTATATATATATATATGAGTATATATATATATATATATGGAGTATATATATATATATATGGAGTATATATATATATATATTCCATTGTTGCTGATTGTTTGGTTGAAGAGGCAAGATGGTCTGAAATGATCCCAAGATGTGGACAATATGTGCTTCTCATGTGGTTCCCATTCCATTTTAAATGTTTCCAGGCAGAAACAAAGATACAAATTTCTCAATTTGTATTCAAATCTAACAGGTGTTTTATTCTATTTTCCTGTTCACACTCCCTGTTTGGGAGTCAATCAACTAAGGACATCTGAAGGAAACAGAATTTAATTCTCAGAGTCAGGAGGTGATGAGAGACTGCTTTGGTAGGGAAAGTAATAGTAAATTTGTTCTTTCTTGGTTAAATAAAGAAGAAAAAGAAAGAAGAGAGGGAGGCAGGGAAAGAAATAGAAGACATAACAATCCTAAATATGTATCCACCAAACAGGAGAGCTGCAACATATGTAAAGATAAAAAAACAGAACTTTAAAAAAAAATAGACAAATCCACAATTACTTTGGAGACTTCAAAACTTCTCTCATAATGATTGATAGAACAACTAAACAGAAAATCAGCAAGAATGTTGAAGAACTAGGCCGGGCGTGGTGGCTCACACCTGTAATCCCAGCACTTTGGGAGGCCGAGGCGGGCGAATCATGAGGTCAGGAGATCAAGACCACCCTGGCTAACACGGTGAAACCCCATCTCTACTAAAAAATACAAAAAAATTAGCCGGGCGTGGTGGCGGGTGCCTGTAGTCCCAGCTACTCTGGAGGCTGAGGCAGGAGAATGGCGTGAACCCGGGAGGCTGAGCTTGCAGTGAGCCGAGATAGCGCCACTGCACTCCAGCCTGGGCAACAGAGCAAGACTCTGCTTCAAAAAAAAAAAAGAGTGTTGAAGAACTCAAACATCTTCAGCCACCAGAATTCAGTTAACATTTATAAAACAGTCCACACAGGAAGAGCAGAACACACTAGTCAAATCCACACTGAATATAGGTAAAGGTAAAACATATCCTGGGCCATAAAACAAACCTCAACAAATTTAAAAGAATTAACTAATATGGTATAATCCCTGACCAAAATGAAATTAAAGTAAAAATCAGTCACAAAAAGACAGAAAAATGTCCAAACGCTTGGAAAATGAACAACACACTACTAAACAGTTCATACAACAAAGAGAAAACCTTAGTAGATATCAAAAAATAAGGTAGCATGAATAAAAATGAAAATACAATATATTAAAAATTCCAAGATATCCTAAAGGAGTGCTGAGAGAGAAATATACAGCACTAAGTGCATACATTAGAAAAGAAAAAAGTCCCAAATCAGTCCTCTAAGCTCTTACTTGTAGAAATCAGGTGGGAAAAAGAGCAAAATAACCCAAAGCAAATAGAAGAAAGGAAATAATAAAAAATAAAAGCAGAAATCAGTGAAATGGAACACACGCACACACACACACAAAAAAATAGAAAAACAAACAAAAAGCTAGTTCCTTTCAAGGATCAATAAAAGAAGAACTCTAGCAAGATAGAAATTTTCAGCAGAGAGATGACACAGTTTACCAACATCAGGAATAAAAAGAGGACATCACTGTAGACTCAGCTGACATCAAAAAGATGAAGGAGGCTGGGAATGGTGGCCCACGCCTGTAATCCCAGCACTTTGGGAGGCCGAGGTGGGTAGATCACTTGAGGTCAGGAGTTTGAGACCAGCCTGACCAATATGTCAAAACCCCGTCTCTACTAAAAAACAAAAATTAGCTGGGCATGGTGGCAGGCGCCTGTGATCCCAGCTACTCAGGAGACTGAGGCAGGAGAATCGCTTGAACTCAATAGGCGGAGGTTGCAGTGAGCCAAGATTGCACCACTGCACTTCAGCCTGGGTGACAGAGCAAGACTCCCTCTCACAAAAACAGAACAAAACAAAACAAAAACAAACAAAAAAGAAATGGTAAATCCAACCCCACCCCTGACATAATGCAACTACAAACCCCACTGGCTGTCCTACGTGGTTTAAGTTTTTGATTGAGAATAGGCAAGGAACCCTAGGAAAAAATCTTCCCCCTCAGCAGCCACCTGATCCTGGGACCTCCTTCTTAAACTTCTAGAACAGTGCTTCTCAAACTTTAGCATCAGAGTCACTTGAGGGCTTATTCAAACACAAGAGGCTGAGCCCCATGCTCAGCAGTTCTGATTCAATAGATCTGAGGTTAGGCCTGGAATTTAGCATTCTGCTTGCAGCACCCTAATTCCCCACCCCTTGCTCTCCTGTGCAGTGTCTGCTGTGGCTGACATGCCGCTGTTTGCCTGGAGAGAACCAATAGATGCCAGGAAATTAAAAAAGAAAAAGTATGAAACAAAAAGAAAATACATGACACGTGGGTATTACCTTCCTCCAAAAAATGTATCTCAAAACAAACATGTGATTGGCCTGGGGGCACACACACAGCCAGTCCTCAGCTAAGCAGGTTTCACTAGACCGTATCCCTCCTGGATGCTAGTTATAGATACTTTCACTGGACAAAAGAATCAAGAAGTAAAGACATGCCAGCCTGATAGAGTGTTAGGCTGGTGGACTGGGAATAAACATTGTAGTTTCTTGTCTCTCAAAGACACTTTAATTCAACAATAAATAAATAAATATGTACAGAGAGAACAGCAGTTTTGAAACTGTATACCATTGGAAACCTTTAACAGGTACCATGAGTGCATAGAATTTCTTGGGAGTTCCCTTTTCAAAAAAAGCAGTTGTAATCAGATGGATCGAGAAAGAACATGAAATGTTTGTTTGGTTTTTTCCAAGGCAGAAAGCGCCCACACAATTGCGATCTACTTACCTTTTACTCTGCATGTATTTTCCATTGTGACAGAAAACCTTTCCCTGGTTTTTTCTTATGGGCCTCTGTTTGCTGTTACCAGAAGTTCCCAGGCAATATTACAGTGACTGAGGAAATGCAGGAATATGAATATGAATCAGTCTTATGGAATATCAGTAGGGAATGTTGATCCGTATTAGTTTCTGCTTCTTGCATGTTGAAGGCCTCTAATTCCCGGACAGTCTTCGTTTGGCCGTCCAGCGTCCTGCCACTCCTATCTCAAGTGGCTAGAGAGCCACAGCAGTCCTTGTCTCAGTATTGGATCGCACTTATGTCCCTATGTAGGTTGACAGGGAGAGACTGGTGTAGAAATGAGTGGACAGATGCTTTCGCTCTGTTCTTTGGCCCAGAAAACAAAAATAACTTAAAAAAAAAAAGATGCCCACTGGCATTTTTCTCTCTTCTTGGTCTTTGCGTCTCTTTAATCATAGTACAAAATGGAAGGCCGGGCGCGGTGGCTCACGCCTGTAATCCCAGCACTTTGGGAGGCCGAGGCGGGTGGCTCACGAGGTCGGCAGTTCAAGACCAGCCTGACTAACATGGTGAAACCCCGTCTCTACTAAAAATACAAAAAAATTAGCTGGGCGTGGTGGCGGGCGCCTGTAATCCCAGCTACTTGGGAGGCTGAGGCAGGAGAATCTCTTGAAACCGGAAGGCGGAGGTTGCAGTGAGCCGAGGTGGTGCGACTGCACTCTAGCCTGGGCAACGAGAGCAAAACTCCGTCTCAAAAAACAAAACAAACAAACAAAAACAAAACAAAACAAAACAAAATGGGAGCGAACGCAAGCCGCCTGTGAATGTTCATGCTTTTGTTTGGGTCAAGAGACCACTGTTGCGATCCTGTTCTTTCCCCCTCGTTACTTTTTTGTCTTCCTTCTGCTGTCGCAATCGCCTTATGTGATGTTGAGGCTCACAGCATAGAGGTTGGAGATAGTTCAAGGCAATGCATTGGAGTACATTTTTACTTACTATATGTGCAGAAATAGAATAGAAAAATGTGAGGAGGCAGAGGTCTGTCGCTTGAGAACTGCCAGAGGGAAACCATCACTTGGAGGTGTCGGGGATCGAACCCGAGGCCTCATACATGCAAAGCATGCGCTCTACCACTGAGCTACACCCCCTTACTATAACACCCATTTGTAATAATTTTCAGGAGTTAACTTTCATTTCCTGAGACTCCGTGAGCATGCTGGTAATAGTGGTCAGTACCATAGAGCGTGGAGAGCTACTCTGAGCAGGAGATACTTGGTACTAATGGGGGATACAGATTCTTTAGAATACTGTGTAGGACTTGAAACGAAAAACGAAAGATTAGAAAAGTGTCAGATAATAACCACAAGAAGTTTCCTTTGTGGCCTGAAGACGTTGAGTTCTTAGGGTCTGCTTCTATTATGCTTGGCAAGAATCAAGTTCTGATTTTCGTTTCTTTTGATTTCTTCCAGATATAACACAAAGCCATTGAAATTCAGCCTTTTCCTGCCTAAAACGCTTCATAATTGTTGTTTGCTCAGTCGGAATATCAAAGGTAAGATTTGATAGAGGAAAGCCATGATCAGAAGAAAACCTGAGAGCGGTGCACTCAACATTTTTTCACAGGGGTCCTTAGCTGGCGTGGTGTCTTACTCCTGTACTCACAACTCCAGAGGCTGAGGCACGAGGATCGCTTGAACTCGGGAGTTAGCGATTGTAGGGAGCTATGATTGCACCACTACCCTCGAGCCCGGACAATGGAGTGAGAAAAGCAAGCAAGCAAGCAAGCAAGAGAAAGTGGGAGTGAGGGACGGAGGGAGGGAAAGAGGGAAGGAAGTGGGGAAGGAAGGGAGAAAGGAAGGAAGGAAGGAGAAAGAGGGAGGAAGGGAAGGAAGGAAAGGAGAGAGAGAGAGAAGAAGACGGGAGGTGAGGGGAGGGAATTCATAAGGCATAAATGAAAACCAGCTTTGGGGGTGGAGATGAGGGTTGAATTATGAGAGTAAGACGAAAGATAAATAGAAACAGGATTGAAGAGTAGTTCAGAAAAACAAACATGCTATTGCCAAAGACAAGCAGGCACAGAAAAGGGGAGGTTTTAACAACTCTTTCAGGAATGGGAGAAAGATTGAAAGATGGAGAAGATGAGTTAGTTTGGCTCATGCTAAATTTAAAATATCTGTGGGGCACGCCTGTGAGGATATTACACAGAGAACTCAGGCAATTAACTCCGTCTCCAGCCTGGGGTTTGTAAGCATTAGTAGTAGTAGACACATTACATGGAGGTGGATAAAGACTAAAAAGTGTACTTTGAGATATGGAAATTACAAACCTATTCGTGATATTTGTAGGCAACAAACAAGTTTTCTTCTAACTAGTTCTCGAATCTTGGGACTTATCACGGTGAGACTGGATTCTTTGAACTATATAAGAAGATGAGAAGAAAACCCATTTCTCGGAACCAAATTTCTGGTGACGATTAACTCTTTCTCATTCTGGTTTGCCCATATATGAGCCTTTGCCAATGTTAATAAAATAACATTGATCCATTTTAAAATTGGCAGATTGCAAGTTGTATGGCAGACTTGGCTTTTCAGTTGGCTGACGGGATTTCTAGAATAAAAATAGGAAACTGAGTAATAGGTTTCACTGAATGAGAGACTAGAGAAGCGTTACACACAAAATTCATATGTATTCATGTGTGTGCGTGTCTGCCTGTCTGTGTCTGTTTGTGTGTGCATGTAAATGCTTGGGAGGATTATCTTGACTCTTTGATGCTGTAAAAGCAATATTAGGACAGTTTGCAGAAACACTCCTTCATCCTTATGTCATGTCACAGCCAGAGAAACCTGGCTGTCTATCAGATTCTTGGGAATTCATAATAAGAAGATATGCTTTTTTGTTTGCCACATGAAAGGGGGGAATTTAAAATAATTAAATATCCATATCTATCTTCAGGCTATCTACCAACAACATGATTGAAACACTTTTTTTTTTGCGTATAATGTGTAGGATGAGCTTATTTATCACAGCATTCTTCTGAGGAATTAAACATTTAATTTTGAAGACAGAACACCCTCACGTCATACATACTCAGTTCTGAAAACCTAAAAATATATAAAGTACCTGTTTAAATCTGCACTTTCCAATATGGTTACCATTAGCCACATTGGCTATTGAATGCTTGAAATTGCCCAGTCCAAGGTAAGATGTGTTGTAAGTATAAAATATATACCAGATTTCAAAGATGCAATATCATTTTTAATATAAAATAACTCACTTATAATTTTAAGATGGATTACTTAAAATAATGTTGTTATACAAGGCCATTTACGTATATTATTAAAACTGGACATAAAAGACGGAAACAGTAAACATCGGGGACTACTAGGGAGTAGCTGGGAAGGGGAAAGGCTTGAAAAGCTAACTATTGGATACTATGCTCACTACCCGGGTGACAGGATTAATCCCACCCCAACCCCAGCATCATGCAATATACCCATGTAAGAATCCTGCACATGTACCCCCTGAATCTAACATAAAAGTTGAAATTATTTTTAAAATAATATAGAGACCGGGCTCGGTGGCTCACGCCTGTAATACCAGCACTTTGGGAGACCGAGGTGGGCGGATCACCTGAGATCGGGAGTTCAAGACCAGCCTGACCAACATGGAGAAACCTCGTATCTACTAAAAGTACAAAATTGGGGCCGGGCGCGGGGTCTCACGCATGTAATCCCAGCACTTTGGGAGGCCGAGGCGGGCGTATCACGGGGTCAGGAGATCGAGACCATCCTGGTTAACACGGTGAAACCCCAATTCTACTAAAAAATACAAAAAATTAGCCAGGCGTGGTGGCAGTCGCCTGTAGTCCCAGCTACTCGGGAGGCTGAGGCAGGAGAATGGCGTGAACCCGGGAGGCGGAGCTTGCAGCGCGCGCCACTGCACTCCAGCCTGGGCGACAGAGCGAGACTCCGTCACACACACAAAAAAAAAATTAGCCGGGGTGGTGGCGCGTGCCTGTAATCCCAGCTACTCGGGAAGCTGAGGCGGCAGGAGAATCGCTTGAACCCTGGAGGCAGAGGTTGCGGTGAGCCGAGATCGCGCCATTGCACTCCAGCCTGGGCAACAAGAGCGAAACTCCATCTACAAAAAAAAAAAAAAAAAAAAAAAAAAAGATATAGAATAAATATTGCCTGTTTTTTTTAATGTGACTACTAGAAAATTTAGAACTACAAAAGTGACTCGCATTTATGACTTGTGTTTTTTTAATTATTTTTATTCCGGAAGATAAAGTAGAAGACTTGTATTATCTTTTAATTGGACAGCATTGTCTAGAGATGATGTTATCTCTTTAAATGCTGTTCTGGGAGATTCCCAGAGCCAGAGAACATGGAGCATGGTCTCCCAGTAATTAAGTTTCATGCCTTGAGTGTTCTCGACAGAATGCATTTCTATGCATAATCTCCTTAGATCTTTACAACATCCCATTTAACATAATTATTATTAGCTACATTTTTAAGCTATTGAATAGAAGACAAATCATGCTTGGAATTACCCTAGACCTTCCCTTTCAACAGAATGTAAAGGAATCATTACCGTGTTAGGCAAGAAAACATTCAGTGCTACCATTTGACTAATCAAATATTTCTTAATGAAATGAAACACAAGCTTCTGAGTTGAGAAAGCCTCAGTGACCTAAAGGATAAAGTATCTGATTTACAGTTTCTGTAGAGTCAGTGTCCTCACCCTGAGGTTTCTTCTCATTTGGTACTAATTTTCCTTTTTCAACTTGCTGCAGTTCTGATGTTGAAGTACTGTAGATTGTTTAGTCTCCTCACACAGTATGCAGGAGTTAGGGGAAAATAACTCTCAAAATGAAACAGCAATTTGAAAGAAAAAAGGAGGGAAAAAAAAGACCCATTACCCCCAACACAGTATTTCAACAGAGAAGTTGAAGTGGAAAAGGGAAAATGAGGCACATGCACCTGAATCTTGATGACTTTGCTGCCCATTTGCTTTCATTTTCAGTATTCTAAGGCCCCTCATGAATGTCTGACAGAATAATTCATATACAAGTACTTATTTTTGTTCTTTCCTGGATTCCAACACAGAAATTAGTTAAGATTTGGAAATTCTGGACAAGGGTGCCAGGCTTCCTGTCAGTAAGAAAACTTAGAATATTCCTGTAATTAGGCCTGGTGTGGTGGCTCAAGCCTGTAATCCCAGCATGGTGAGAGGCAGAGGTGAGCCAGGATTTCCAGAAGAGCCAGGGCAACATGGTGAAACCCAGTCTCTACCAAAAAAATTAAAAAAAAAAACAAAACCAAAAAACAAACAAACAAACAAAAAGCCAGGCTTGTTGTTGCATTTCTGTAGTCTCAGCTACTCAGGAGGTTGACATAGGAGGATCGCTTGAGTCCAGGGAGGCTGAGGCTGCAGTGAGCTGTGATCATACCACTGCATTCCAGCATGGGTGACAGAGTGAGACCCTGCCTCAGAAAAACAAAACAAAGCAAAAGTTATTTTTCCAGCAGTTTAACTGCGGAGCTATGGAGTTGACTCAAGGTACAAACCCGGTTTTTTCTAATTGCAAAATGTTTCTTGAATATACCACCACCACATATATACACTCATACAGTATAATAGTTCTTCTTCTACAGGTTTCTTCACATTTCTTGTGATTTAAAAACACCCCCGCCCAACACACATAAATAACATCAGATCAGAAATGAATTGTAAGTGCCGCAGCATATAGCATATTGGAATTTCTTAGGTTTTAAAAGTAATAACTTGCTAGGTTTAAGACTTTAAATAATTTACGTCCTATCAGTTAACACTTCATGGAAGTCTTCAGTGGAGAGAGTGTTACAAATATATATATATATATGTGTTTGTGTGTAAATATATATATATAGATGTGTGTGTGTGTGTGTGTGTGTGTGTGTGTGTGTATACATTACCTTTATGGAATTTTCAGAAAACAGCCAAAAAAAAGAAAAAAGAAAAAAGAAACAAAAAAACCACAAACACCTGGAGTTATATATAGACCTCTGGGATTGGTGCGCAAACGCTGTGTTGAAGGAGTGACAATTATGCTAAAACCAAAATGCAACTGCCGAAACCCGGGATTGAACCAGGGACCTTTAGATCTTCAGTCTAACGCTCTCCCAACTGAGCTATCTCGGCCACCGTGATCCTACTGCTTTTGTCATTTCTTCAAAATACAGAAACTGCCATTTGTAGGGTCAGTGTATCTTCCAACGCCTAATTCTGTTGTCTTCAATATCACCCGTCATTCACTCACCTCCCCTCCACCCAAGAAATATAAGTTCTGCTGCAATTTATGTGTGAAATAGGATCCAATTTTCCCCAGCAAAAGATGGGAAAGAAAAGGCGAGGAATAGGTCAAATGAGGAAGATACTCCCATGCTTGGTCACCGTATAAAACACTGCTCAGAAAACTAAGGAATTCAAAATGAAATTATCTAGGCATTTCCTTTTCTCTTTTTTCGGATTTTCTTTTTCTGGCTTGCTCTTCAATGGCATGTCATAAAGGAACAGAAGATTAGTGGACACTTTAACACGGTAGTGGGCTTATAGCTTCCGAAAAAAGACATCCTAAGCGAGGTAGTTCTTTTTTTCTATTTTCTTCCTTTTACCAGTCTTGTGCTCACACATCCACCTTGGGTGGTACGGAGACCCAGGGAGTGAAAATGGAAAGTATAATATGTTTGTTTGTTTGTTTCTTTGTTTCTTTGTTTTGAGATGGAGTCCCGCTCTGTCTCCCAGGCTGGAGTGCAGTGGCACGATCTGGACTTAGCGCAACCTCCGTCTTTCAGGTTCAAGCGATTCTCCTGACTCAGTCTCTTCCAGTAGGTGGGATTACAGGCGCGCCCCACCACGCCCAGCTAATTTTTTTGTATTATTAGTAGAGACGAAGTTTCACCATGTTGATCAGTCTGGTCTCGCCTCGGCCTCCCAAAGTGCTAGGATTACAGGCTTGAGCCACCGTTCCCGGCCTATTCCTTGGAGTTCAGAGAATTGTGGTCTGCACATTGATGCATAAGAATTGTTTTTTTTTTTCCAGCTGGGTGCAGTGGCTCACGCCTGTAATCCCAGCACTTTGGGAGGCCAAGGCGAGCAGATCGCCTGAGGTCAGGAGTTGGAGACCAGCCTGTCCAACATAGTGAAACCCCATGTTGTCTCTACTGAAAACACAAAAATTAGCCCCGCGTCGAGGCGCGCCCCTGTAGTCCCAGCTACAGAATCTCTTGAACCCAGGAGGCAGAGGTTGCAGTGAGCCGAGATCACACCACTACACTCCAGCCTGGGTGACAGAGCAAGACTCCATCTCAAAAAAAAAAAAAAAAAAAATTGCTTTTTACATACACATCTGTAATCATGAGATTGTATTTATTTATTTTTATTTTGACAGTGTCCCACTCTGCCAGACTGGAGTGCAGTGGCAATCTCCTCTCACTGCAACTTTCACCTCCTGGCTCAATCAGTTCTTCCACCTCAGCCTAGAAGTTTTATATCAATTCAAAAGTGTCAAGACATTGGACTCCTCTTGATAAATAACTTAAGAACAATTTAAGACGTTTACAGAATTTCAGAAACAGTTCTCTCTGGAATGAGGGAATTGCTATGGCCAATAATTACTTGCAAACTGAATTTTAATAAAACCCTCTCTATGTCTGGACAGTTTTCAAACTGAGTCTCCTATTCTGAAAGAGTCAAGGCTTTCAGTTTTAGCCAAAATTTGATGGAAGGGTCGATAAGAAATTGTTCTTGAAGCCAGGAGTGGTGGCTCACGCCTGTAATCCCAGCACTTTGGGAGGCAGAGGCGGGTGGATCACCTGAGGTCAGAAGTTCGAGACCAGCCTAGTCAACATGGTGAAACCCCGTCTCTACTAAATGCACATAAATTAGCCAGGCATGGTGGCGGGCGCCTATAATCCCAGCTACTCAGGAGGCTGAGGCAGGAGAATCGCTTGAACCCGGGAAGCAGAGGTTGCAGTGACCCGAGATCGCACCACTGCGCTCCAGCCTGGGCAACAAGAGCGAAACTTCGTTTCCCCCCCCAAAAAATTGTTTCTGGATGATTAGATGATTTCCTAAAAATTAAATAAATAAAATTTATAAAATTATGTTCGCTTTCAGTCTTTGTCTTGTCCTCCCGCTTGTAAGGTCCGAGCCTTCTCAGACAGGAAACAACATTCCTCTGGGTTTATCCCCTCCGCCTCACGTCTCTCCCCAGCTGGGCGCAGCCTCAGCCTATGCTGCAGAAATGTTAAAAGTTGAACATACAGAGAGGAAAAAAATGGAACGTGATGCGGAAATTAAAACAGCAGCTACATATAAATCTCAACACAGTGCTTAAAATGTGTGTAAATGGTTCTAGGACTGCGCTGCACTATTGTGAAAAGTTCATTCAGAAGTAAATGGGAGGGAAGGTGGAGAGGAGCTGAGCGCCAGCTGGCGGAGAGAGGGAAAAGGAGGGGTGCCGTGAAGTGGAGGAAGAAAAACACAAATGGGAGAGAGATAGAGGGCAAGGAAAAGCATCCTTAAGATGATTCGGACTTGGATGGACGGGACCGTAGAGTGAATCTAAGCGCCACATCTCTCCGTCGCTTCCTCTGGCCGTGAGGGAAGAGAGGTGTCCCTAGGGAGGTAGGCTGGACCAGGAAGGAGACCTGGTTCGTTTCGCCCAGGCTGTCACGGCTTCAAGAGCGCCTCTCCGCTATTTCCGTCGCTCGACAGACGGGCTGAGCTCTTTGGAGTGATGTTGGGTTTTGGTTTGCGCCTCAGGAACCGCTGATACCGTAGCTTCTGAGGGAGCTTCAGGGATTGCCTGGCTTCCTAAGTGCCCGTGTTGAGAGTTAGAAGCGGGATCTGCCGGCAGCTAAGAGACTGAGCATGACGGTGGAAACATCTAATTTTATTAGTTTTTGCTTAAAATGCAAAAGATGAGAAAAAGTTCCCGTTTCTTTGCTCCATATATATCTCCTAGAATAAAGCCAATCGAAAGCCAACTTCACCCTAAAGAAACTCTTCCTGGCGTTTGCAACGAGCTCCTTTACTCCTAACGTCCAGCTCTTGGCTCAGGACCTGCAGAGCGTCACAGCTGTTGCAGAAAGGCGAAGTCGAGGTACAATCGGTGTTAACTACGTGTGCAGCCACCGTCTTCTTAGTCCTGTTACAGGTGCAGAGGCAATATAAGTGAACCATTCACAAGTCGTGTGGGCTGACCTCAGATTGAGTTTAGCGATGACTTGTGACCACCTGGTAGATGGTGGACCGTTACAGCATTTAGAAAGTGAGTAAAAGAAAGGATGCATACGGAAGCCCACACGCTTGCTTGGCTCCTGCAGATGGATAGAGGTCACTTTTCTGCCTTCTGGGTGTTTAGTAACTTATTTTTTTTTTTTGCTTTGTTGGCATGAAATAAAGATGAAAATAAAAGCAGATTTTCTTTTAACAAGTTAGTATTAACATGCTTGCAGAGTATTTCCCTGTGGATTTCTGCTTAGTACTGTAATACCAGAATCAGAAACTCTACAAAGAGCTCTCTAATCTGGAGGTATGGGTTGTTCCCTAGCTTAGAAGGAGGTTATTTCTGGAGAGTAAGTACAATCAGGTAGAAAAGGATCCGTTGGGCTTGGGAGAATAAACGTTCATTACTTTTATTTATGAAAAACAACAAAATGAGCTTTCTCCTATACTGATCTTGTTTCCTGGAGTTCAGAGTATTTGCATCTCAGACCAGAAACTTCCTTGAGGACCCAGAGAAGTACTTTTTACTTCCACCAAATTTCAGCTGAGGTGACTGCTATCTTTTCATCATTTGCCTTGTGTTTGTAGTTAAATAGTTTAAGTTTCAAACTATGTGGGTCTCTAATGGAAAAAGTGACCACCAGCACATCAAATCGTCAACCACCGGCAGTGTAATCTTTTAGTGAAAGCTTGTAGGGCTTCTCAACCTGGTTAGAGGGAGTTAGAAGAAGAAACAGAAAAGGACGTGAGCCTTTTTAGCTTCTGATCTGAAATCAGACTTGGGCCACACAGTTCTATGGTTTCTGATGATTTCATTTACAACTAGAAATTGGTTGCATGGCCAGGAATACTGCTTGCTTCCCTCGTGCGTGGTTCATGTTAGTGATTGGTGGACTGCTTAGAAAATATAAGTGGATAATCCTAAGCAGCAAATAGATTCAAAGGAATAAACACGAGTCACCTCTGTGTATGAGAGAGAAATGCAGAGGCCAACACAATTCACCTTGACAGACAGAAAAATTTAAAGTTGGGGAATATCATGGACCGCTTCTCACTAGTGCCCGGGGAAGAAAACAAAACCTGGAGGTATTGGGGATTGAACCCAGGACCGCGTGCATGCTAAGCACGCGCTCTACCGCTGAGCTATACCCCCTCTGGAAGACTTGCCTTTTAGAGAATATTTTGATGACTATTATTGTCTGAGTCTGGGCTCTGTGTCATGATAATCTTTATGTTTTCAATTCCACTCTCAATTTCCTACAGGAAGTGTTTCCTCTCTTAGGCCCTGCTACACCAAAAGAAAGGTAGCTTAATAGTACAAATAAAGGCACTGTTCCTGATTTGTGGTCAGTCCAAGATCAACTCACCCCACGGTGGGCTCCCCATCGCGTTAGATTTCCTGGAGCATACTTGCATTCAATCATTTGAGTGTGTCCTGGCATACAACATTCTCTTGCAAATTTTCTGATTATAATGTTCTGTATTCTTTTGACTCTTGGAAGCGTGTTAGTCTCACATGGTCAAAAAATAAAACTGACTCAAGTGTGTGTGAAAATACCCTAAAATTCAACACAAATAGAGGCAAATTAAAACTGCATTGTGAAAGAATAACATAACCCCATTGAAATAACTGATTTAAGAAAATGCTTGACAAAGTTCGTTGTTCTAATTGTAAGTACAAAAAGAAGAGGAAACAAATCTTAAACTCTATGTATGAGGGTTTTTTTTTTAGAGCTAAGGCTGCAGGAATTCTGAGATTTTGTGTGAATTTTAGGATTGGGAAAATGAGTGTGTGTGAGCGCGTGTGTTGTTGGAAACAGGCTGTCACTGTAAGAGAAAGCAGGTAAAGAATAGTCCTGTTGGTGTTGATGGGAATTGGAGGCATCAGTATGAAATTATACATATGTAATTGTATAGGCCGGGCGCGGTGGCTCACGCTTGTAGTCTCAGCACTTTGGGAGGTTGAGACGTGTGGATCGCTTCAGGTCAGAAATCGAGAACAGCCTGGCCAACATGGCAAAACGCCGTTTCTCCTAAAAATACAAAAATTTGACGGGTGTGGTGGCCGCCCCTGTAGTCCCAGCTATTCGGGAGGCTGAGGCAGGATAATCGCTTGAATTCGGGAGGCGGACGTTGCAGCGAGCCAAGATCGCACCACCGCACTCCAGCCTGGGCGACTAAGACTCTGTCTCAAAAAATAAAAATAGTACATTTTCCCTACAGATCTGTCTGCTAACTGAGCCTGGAAGAAATACCTTAGAAACAATGAGCAAGATGACTCTATATTTTGATTTTCAAATACCATTCTCTACTAAAAGGAACCAGAGATACTAATAGAAAGTAGCTACTAGTGTCAACTACACTGACTCCAGGACTGTGCCAGGGAAACTACAAGATGAACCTAAAATATCTTGCTGTGCCAGAATGATGGGGATGATTTAAAAGAACACAGAAGCTCCGGGGTGGCTCACGCCTGTAAACCCAGCACTTTGGGAGACCGAGGCGGGCGGATCACCAGAGGTTAGGAGTTCCAGACCCGCCTGGCCAACATGGTGAAGTCCCGTCTCTACTAAAAATACAAAAAATGGCCTGGCATGGTGGCTCATGCCTCTAATCCCAACTACTTGGGAAGCAGAGGTAGGAGAATCGCATGAACCCGGGAGGCGGAGGTTGCAGTGAGCCGAGATCGCACCACTGCACTCCAGCCTGGACGACAGGGCAAGACCTGTCTCAATAAATAAATAAATAATAAAGTACATGAGAAAAATAATAGTGTGTGTGTGTGTTTAGCCGTAAAGAGAGAGGAGAATCATTGTGGCAAAATATCGGGAATTGGTAAATATGAGTAACTTGTGTGTGGCAGTTCTTTGTATCATTTTTGCAACTTTTCTGTAGGTTTGAAATAATTTCAAACTAAAAAGGTTTTTCTAAATTCTCCCTTCTCAAATTTCTTTTCCCTCTTCCTTCAAGGGCTGTACTCTTCTATCAAGAGTAACGTAGATGGATACTAAAACAGAAGGGTCAGTACCGTCTCGGGGGATTTAGGTGCAGGTGAGGAGGTGAGAAAGTGGAATTCCCAGCTCTTAGAAACGAAGACCCAGGAGCGTGGGTCGCTGCCCGTCCTTACCCTGCCAGCGCCTGGGCCAGCACCATGGTCGCGAAACCCAGCATGGATTTCGTCTTGGGGACGCTATGGCTCCAGTTCTGACACTCAAGAAACGATGGATGGAGAGGAGAACGAGGACCACCTTCGAAAAGAGTTCGAGAGGGAAGCAGGGACGCGGTGGGGTGCGCACCTGCGGCGGCGGCGGCAAAGGCGGAGGAGAAGCGAAGTGGGCGAGCGCCCGAGGCTGCCAGAGGATCTGGGTGGGCCGGAAGGCGGAGTGCAGCCCAGAAGCCCATCTCCGCTGCTTTTCCTCGCTGTCCGCGATAAGCGAGAGGGCTCATTCCCTGTTGGAGAAGTGAGCTGAAAACACTTTCCTCGCAAGATCTCCCTCGTTTTGCTCAAGGCAGTCGCGGCGTTGAGAACGCCTCGCAGCTCCCTTACTGGCTGGGGCACTGGGGAGAACGGGTACCCTTGAGTTTTGGTACAGGCGGGTGGTATTAGTGGCTTCCAAGGAAACGACAGAGAAGCCGCCTATTTCCAATCCCTACTGTTAGCGAGGGGGAGAGTGTTTAACCGGGAAGAGAGACCCTCCCGCTGAAGCATAGGGTCCTTTGTTATAGATAGGAAGAGTGTTCTTTGCTTTTGTTTTTGTTATAGCTTGTCAAGCTTGGAATACAAGGCATGAAAAACAAGAAAGGTAAGGCAGTCCCAGTATATTTTAAACTTACGAGGGTTTTCAGAAGGAGTACTACCTTGTTTTTATGGAATTCAGGGTGTCCAGATTTCAACCTACCTAGCAGAGTGAAGCTCTATGAGTCTAATATCTTGGCTTTCTTCCACATCAGCAAGCCTCTGAAATTCGGGTTTCTTTCTGGACAATATCACCTACATTTTGCAGTCGGCTCCTATATTGCCTGCATCCAACTCGTGGAAGCAAGAACAGTGGGAAAAGCCAAGGTTACCACATAAAAGAAGATCCTTACATGAGACAAGTGTAAATAAAGCAGCAGCTGAGGTGTGTGTAGAGGAAGAGACAAACGTGAAAATGTAGAAAGTGGATACAGAATTTTTTCCAAGGAGGAAGAGGAATGGTCTGCTCACAACGAGGAACTCTCTACTTACTGCTGCAAAGATACTTTTATTACATTTCATGCATATGCTGGATTTTAACAACCAGAACATTGGTAGACTTGGTGGGGGCTGGAGAGACAGCAGTCACTCCCAACCCTGAGGATGAGTCCTCACCCTGAGGGTGGAGAGAAAATGATTACTCTCTGCCACAGGGCTTAGAATCGTCCAAGCCTGGGTTTCAAATTGCAAGGCCCAAATAGCTTGAGAGAGCTCCAGGTATTTCAGCTCAAAAGAGTCTCCTGGTTCAAGAGAATTCCTGTGAGTTCCTCCACAGGAAAATCAGTCTGTTGTGTGTGACCTGAAAAGTTGCATAAATATTCAAAGGGTCAAAGAAATGGTAAATTCAACCCCATCCCTGACATAAGACGAATACAAACCTCACTGGCTTTCCTAGGTTTGTGTTTTTGATTGAGAATAGGCAGGGAACCCCAGGACCAACTCTTCCTCCTCAGCAGGTGCCTGACCCTGGGACTTCCTGAAACTTCTAGAGCAGTGCTTCACAAACTTTAGCATCAGAGTCACTTGAAGGCTTATTCAAACACAGGAGGCTGAGCCCCATCCATACTCAGCAGTTCTGATTCAATAGACCTAAGGTTGGGCCTGAAATTTATTATTCTGATTGCAGCACCCTAATCCTCCACCCCTTGCTCTCCTATGCAGTGTCCACTGTGGCTAACATGCCACTGTTTGCCTGGAGAGAACCAATGGATACCAGGAAATTAAAGAAGAAAAAGTATGAAACAAAAAGAAAATACATGGCATGTGTGTATTACCTTCCTCCAAAAAATGTGTCTCAAAACAAACATATGATTGGTCTGGAGGCACACACACAGCCAGTCCTCAGCTAAGCAGGTTTCATCAGACAGTATCCCTCCTGGATGCTGGTTATAGATATTCTCACTGGACAAAAGAATCAAGTAAGGTCATGTTAGCCTCATAGAGTGTATCTATCATGCCAGCCTGATAGGCTGGTGGACTAGGAACAAACATCATACTCTCTTGCCTCTCAAAGACACTTTAATTCAATAGGAAATATGTACAGAGAGAACAGCAGTTTTGAAACCATACACCGTTGGAAACCATAAAAGGTTTCATGAGTGCATAGGATTTCTTGGGAGTTCCCTCTCCAAAAAAAGCGATGTAATCAGGTGGATCGAGAAAGAACATGAAATGTTTGTTTGTTTTTTCCCAAGGCAGGAAGTGCCCAACACACCTGCGATCTACTTATCTTTTAGTCTGCATGTATTTTGCATTGTGACAGAAAACCTTTTCCTAGTTTTTCATATGGGGCCTCCGTTTGCTCTTACCAGAAGTTCCCAGGCAATATTTTATTGTAAAGAGGAAAATGGAGTGACTGAGGAAATACAGGAATACAAATCAGTCTTATGGAATATCAGTAGGGAATGTTGATCCGTATTGGTTTCTGCTTCTCGCACGTTGAAGGCCTCTAATTCCCCGACAGTCTTCGTGTGGTTATCCAGCGCCCTGCCACTCCCATCTCAAGCGACTGGAGAGCCACAGCCCTTGTCTCAGTACTGGATCACACTGGTAGCTGTGTTCTCCGCGCAGGTAGACAGGGAGAGACTGGTGGAGAAATCAGTGAACAGAGGCTTTCGCTCTGTTCTTTGGCCCAGAAAACAAAAATAACTTAAAAAAAAATAGATGCCTTCAGGGCGCTTTTCTCCCTTCTCCTTTGTCTTTGCGTCTCATTAATCATAGTACAAAATGGGAGTGAACGCGAGCCGCCTGTGAATGTGCACGCTTTTGTTTGGGTTCAAGAGACCGTGTTGCGATCCCGTTCTTCTTTCCCCCTCATTTCTTGTTTGTCTCCCTTCTGCTGTGGCAATCGCCTTTGGTGATGTCGAGGTTCACAGCATAACCAGTGGAGATAGTTCAAGGCTGAACATTGGGCTACACTTTTACTGTCTATATGTGCAGAAATAGGATAGAAAAACGTGAGGAGGCAGAAGTCTGTCGCTTGAAAACTACCAGAGCAAAACCATCGCTTGGAGGTGTCGGGGATCGAACCCGAGGCCTCATACATGCAAAGCATGCGCTCTACCACTGAGCTACACCCCCTTACTATAAGGTCTCTTTGTAATAATTTTCAGGAGGTAACTTTCATTTCCTGAGACTCCGTGAGCATGCTGGTAGTAGTGGTCAGTATTATGGAGTGCGGAGAGCTGTTCTGAGCAGGAGATACTTGGTACTAATGGGGGATACAGATTCTTTAGAATACTGTGTAGGACTTGAAACGAAAAACGAAAGATTAGAAAAGTGTCAGATAATAACCACAAGAAGTTTCCATTGTGGCCTCAAGACGTTGAGTTCTTAGGGTCTCCTTCTATTATGCTTGGCAAGAATCAAGTTCAGGTTTTCGTTTCTTTTAATTTCTCCCAGATACGACACAAAGCCATTGAAATTCAGCCTTTTCCTGCCTAAAACGCTTCATAATTGTTGTTTGCTCAATCGGAATATTAAAGATAAGATTTGATGGAGGAAAGCCACAATCAGAAGAAAACCTGACAGCGATGCACTTAGCATTTTTTCATAAGGGTCCTTAGCTGGCGTGGTGTCTTACGCCTGTACTCCCAGCTACTCTAGAGGCTGAGGCACGAGGATCGCTTGAGCTCGGGAGTTAGTTGTTGTAGGGAGCTATGACTGTGCCACTGTCCTCCAGCCTGGGCAACAGAGAGAGAAGGGAAGGGGAGGGGAGGGAAAGGGGGAGAAGAGGGGAGACGAGGGGAGAAGAGGGGAGGGGAGGGGAAGGGATTCATAAGGCGTGAATGAAAAACAGCTATGGGGATGGAGAGAAGGGTTGAATTATGAGAATAAGACCGAAGATAAATACAAACAGGGTTGAAGAATGCTTTAGAAAAACAAACACAGCAGGTGCAGAAAAGGGGAGAGGTTTTAACAGCTCTTTTAGGAATGAGAGATAGACTGGAAGATGGAGAAGATGAGTTAGTTTGGCTCATACTCAATTTAAAGTATCTGTGGGGCACACTTGTGAGGATGTTTCTCAGAGAATTCAGGCAATTAACTCTGTCTCTAGCCTGGGATTTGTAAGCATTAATAGTAGTAGACACATTACATGGAGGATGGATAAAGACTAAAAAAGTGTACTTTGAGATATGGAAATTACAAACCTATTCGTGATATTTGTAGTGAACAAACAAGTTTGTTTGTTCTTGAATTCAAAAGTTCTTGAATCTTGGGACTTATCGTGTGTCCTTTGAATTACATAAGAAGATGAGAAGAAAACCTATTTCTCAGCACCAAATTTCTAGTGACTATTAACTCTTTCTCATTCTGGTTTGCCTATATAAGAGCCTTTGCCAATGTTAATAAAGTAACATTGATGGCTTTCAAAATTGCCAAATTGCAAGTTGTATGTCAGACTTGGCTTTTCAGTTGGCTGATGGGATTTCTAGAATAAAAATAGGAAACACTGAGTGATAGACTTCACTGAAGGAGAAACTAGAGAATTGTTATAGACAAAATTGATGTGTATTCATGTGTGTTTGCCTGCCTGACTGTGTCTGTGTGTGTGCATGTAAATGATGGGAAGGATTATCTTGGCTCTTTGATGCTGTAAAAGCAATATTAGGACAGTTTGCAGAAACTCTCCTTCATCTTTATGTTGTGTTACACCCAGAGAAACTTGGCTGTCTATTGGATTCTTGGGAATTCATAATAAGAAGGTTGCCTCATAAAAATGGGAGAATTTTAAATAATTAAATATCTGTAGCTATCTTCAGACTATCTACCAGCAACACGATTGAAACATGTTTTTTGTGTGAAATCTGTAGGATGAGCTCATTTAACATAGCATTCTTCTGAGAAATTAAACATTTAATTTTGAAGACAGAACACCCTGTCATACACACTCAATTTCGAAAACCTAAAAATATATAAAGTATATGTTTAAATCTGCACTGTCCAATATGGTTACCATTAGCCACATTGGGTATTGAGTACTGAAAATTGCCTAGTCTAAGTTAAGATGTGTTGAAAGTGAGAAATATATACCAGATTTCAAAGATGTAATTTTTTTTTCATGGAGTCTCGCTCTGCCACCTAACCTGGAGTGCAGTGGTGCAATCTTGGCTCACAGCAACCTCCACCTGTTGGGTTCAATCCATTCTCCTGCCTCAGCCTCCTGAGTAACTGGGACTACAGGCGCGCGCCACCATGCCTGGCAATTTTTCTTTTTCTTTTTTTTTTTTTTTAGTAGAGACAGGGTTTCACCATGCTGGCCAGGCTGGTCCCAAACTCCTGACCTTGTCATCTGCCCTCCTCGGCCTCCCAAAGTGCTGGGATTACAGGCATGGGCCGCCGCACCTGGCCAGATGTAATATCATTTTTTAAACATAAAACGTCTCACTGATAATTTTAAGATTGATTACTTGTTAAAATAATATTTTGGACATGCAAGGTGATTTACATATATTAGTAAAACTGGACATAAAAGATGGAAACAATAGACACTGGGGACTACTAGAGGGGGAGGCGAGAAGGGGAAAGGCTTGAAAAGCTAACTATTGGATACTATGTTCACCACCCAGGTGATGGGATTAATCTCACCCCAACCCCAGCATCATGCACTATACCCATGTAACAAACCTGGACATGTACCCCCTGAATCTAAAATAAAAGTTGAAATTATTATTATTAGTATTATTATTTTGAGACAGAGTCTTGCTCTGTCTCTCAGGCTAGAGTACAGTGGCGCTATCTGGGCTCACTGCAAACTCCTCCTCCAGGTTTCAAGTGATTCTCCTATCTCAGACTCCCAAGTAGCTGAAATTACAGGCATGCACCACCACACCCAGCTAATTTTTGTATTTTTATTAGAGACAGGGTTTCACCATATTGGTCAGGTTGGTCTTGAACCCCTGACCTCAGGTGTTCCGCGCACCTCGGCCTCCCAAAGGGCTGGGATTACAGGTATGACCCACCTTGCCTATCTAAAAGTTGAAATTGTTAAAAAATTATATAAAATAAGTATTGCCTGTTTATTTTTTAAATGTGACTACTAGAAAATTTAAAACTACAGAAGTGGCTCTCATTTAAGATTTGTATTAACTTTTTTAAAAATTCTTTTTATCCCAGAAGCTAAAGCAGAAGACTTGTAGTATCTTTTGATTGGACAGCATTGTCTAGAGACGATGTTATCTATTTAGGTGCTGTTCTGGGAGAATCCCAGAGCCAAAGGACATGGAGCATGGTCTGCCAGTAATTAGGTTTCATGCCGCGAGTGGACTTGACTAAATGCATTTCCATGCATGATCTCCTTAGACCTTTGCAACATCCCATTTTACATAATCATTATTAGCCTCATTTTTAAGGTATTGAATGAGAGACGAATCATGCTTAGAATTACCCTAGGCGTTTCATTTCAACAAAATGTAAAGGAATCACTACTGTGCTAGGCAAGAAAACATTCAATCCTGCCATTTGTCTAATCAAATGTTTCCTTTTTTTTTTCTTTTTTTAAGACAGAGTCTTGCTCTTGTTGCCTAGGGTGGAGTGCAATGTTGCGATCTTGGCTCACTGCAACCTCCGCTTCCCGGGTTCAAGGGATTCTCCTGCCTCAGCCTCTCGAGTAGCTGGGATTACAGGCATCCACCACCACACCCAGCTAATTTATTATTATTATTATTATTATTGTTATTATTATTATTTTGTATTTTTAGTAGTGACAGGGTATCACCATGTTGGCCAGGCAGGTCTTAAACTTCTGATCTCAGGTGATCTACCCACCTCAGCCTCCCAAAGTGCTGAGATTACAGGCGTGAGCCACCACGCCCAGCCTATCAAATATTTCTTAATGAAATAAAACACAGGCTTCTGAGTTGAGAAAGCCTCAGTGACTTAAAGGGTAAAGTATCTGATTCCTAGTTCCTGTACAGTCAATGTCCCCACCCTGAGGTTGGTCTCTCATTTGGTACCAATTTTCCTTTCACAATTTGATGCAGTTCTGATGTTGGAGTACTGTAGTTTATTGTCTCCTCACACAGTATGCAGGTGTTAGGGGAAAATAACACTGAAAATGAAACACCAATTTGAAAGAAGAAAAGATATTAAAAATGACCAAAAAAAATCAGACAAAAAAAAAAAAAAAACAGGACAAAAAAGGCCCATTATCCCAACACAAAATTTCAAGAGAGGAGTTGAAGTAAAAAAAAGGAAAATGGGGCACATCCACCTGAGTCTTGACAGAATAATTAATTTAGAAATACTTATTTTTGACCGGACGCAGTGGCTCACATCTATAATCCCAGCACTTTGGGAGGCCGAGGCAGGTAGATCACGAGGTCAGGAGTTGGAGACCAGGCTGGCCAACATGGTGAAATCCCGTCTTTACTAAAAATACAAAAATTAGTCAGGCATGGTGGTGGACGCCTGTAATCCCAGCTGCTTGGGAGGCTGCAGCAGGAGAATTGCTTGTGCCGGGGAGGCGGAGGTTGCAGTGAGCTGAGATCGTTCCACTGCACTCTAGCATGGGTAACATAGCAAGATTCTGTCTCAAAAAAAAAAAAAAAAAGAAAAAAGAAAGAAAGACTTATTTTTGTTCTTTCCTGGATACCAATGAGGAAATAACTTAAGATTTGGAAATTCTAGGCAAGGTTTCCAGGCTAAAGAAATGTCCTGTCAGTAAGAAACTTAAAAATATTCCTGTAATTAGGACTGGTGCGGTGGTTCCCACCTGTAATCCCAGCACGTAGGGAGGCAGAAGCGGGCAGGTTGCTTGAGCCCAGGATTTCAAGAACAGCTGGGGGAACATGGTGAAACCCAGTTTCTACAAAAAAAAAGTACAAAAGAGAGAGAGAGAAAGCCAGGCTTGTTGTTGCATTTCTGTAGTCTCAGCTACCCAGGAGGCTGACATGGGAGGATCGCTTGAGTCCAGGGAGGCTGAGGCTGCAGTGAGCTGTGATCATACCACTGCACTCCAGCATGGGTGACAGAGTGAGACCCTGCCTCAAAAAAACAAAACAGGGCCGGGCGCGGTGGTTCACACTGTAATCCCAGCACTTTGGGAGGCCGAGGTGGGTGGATCACGAGGTCAGTAGATCGAGACCATCCCAGCTAACATGGTGAAACCCCGTCTCTACTAAAAATACAAAAAATTAGCTGGGCGTGGTGGTGGGCGCCTGTAGTCCCAGCTACTCGGGAGCCTGAGGCAGGAGAATGGCGTGGACCCGGGAGGCGGCGCTTGCAGTAAGCCGAGATCGTGCCACTGCACTACAGCCTGGGCGACAGAGCGAGACTCCGTCTCAAAAAAAAGAAAGTTATTTTCCCAGCAGTTTAACTGCAGAGCTATGGAGTTGACTCAAGATACAAACCGAGGTGTTTCTTTCTTTTTTTTTTTTTTGAGACGGAGTCTCGCTCTGTCACCCAGGCTGGATTGCAGTGGTGCGATCTCAGCTCACTGCAAGCTCCGCCTCCCGGGTTCACGCCATTCTCCTGCCTCAGCCTCCTGAGTAGCTGAGACTACAGGCGCCCGCCACCGCGCTCCACTAATTTTTTTGTACTTTTAGTAGAGACGGGGGTTTCACCGTGGTCTCGATCTCCTGACCTCGTGATCCACCCGCTTCGGCCTCCCAAAGTGCTGGGATTACAGGCCTGAGCCACTGCGCCCGGCCAAACCGAGGTTTTTGGAATTGCAAAATGTTTCTTGAATATACCACTACCACATATATACACTCATACAGCATAATAGTTCTTCTACAGGTTTCTTCATAGTTCTTGTGATTTAAAACACCCCTGCCCAACACACATAAATAACATCAAATCAGAAATGAATTGTAATTGCCACAGTCTATAGCATATTGGAATTTCTTAGGTTTTAAAATTAGTAACTTTCTAGATTTAAGATTTTAAATAATTTACATACCATCAGTTAACACTTCATGGAAGACTTCAGTGGAGAGAGTGATACAAATATACATACATATATATATACATTACCTTTATGGAATTTTCAAAAAGCAAAAAATGGGAGTTATATATAGACCTCTGGGATTGGTGTGCAAGTGTTGTATAAAGGAAAGACAATTATGCAACAACCAAAAGGTATCTGCCGAAACCCGGGATTGAACCAGGGACCTTTAAGATCTTCAGTCTAACGCTCTCCCAACTGAGCTATTTCGGCTACTCTGGAGCTGTCCCGTTGGTCATTTCTTCAAAATATAAAAACTGCAATTTGTAAGGTCAGTGTATCTTCCAACGCCTAATTCGGTTGTCTTCAATATCACCCGTCATTCACTCACCTCCCCCCAATCCAAAAATATAAATTCTGCTGTAATTTATGTATGAAAATAGGATCCAATTTTCCCCGGCAAAAGACGGGAAAGAAAAGACGAGACGGCCGGGCACGGTGGCTCACGCCTGTAATCTCAGCATTTTGCGAAGCCGTGGAGGGTGGATCACTTGAGGTCAGGAGTTCAAGACCAGCCTGGCCAACATGGTGAAATCCCTTCTTTACAAGAAATATAAAAATTAGCCAGGAGAGGTGGCGCACGCCTGTAGTTTCAGCTACTTCGGAGGCTGAGGCAGGAGAATCGCTTGAACCAGGGAGTTCGAGGCTGCAGTGAGCCGAGATCGCGCCACTGCACTCCAGCCTGGGCGACAGCGAGACTCTGTCTCTAAAAAAAAAAAAAATAAATAAAGGCGAGGAATAGGTCAAATCAGCAAGATAGATGCTCCCATGCTTGGTCACCTTGGAAACACCGCTCAGAAAACTAAAGGAAACTATCTAAAACTAAAATGAAATTATCTAGACTTTTCCTTTTCTCTCCTTTTGGCTCTTTTTTGTTTTGTTTTCTGTCTTGCTCTTCAATGACATGGCAAAAAGGAACAGAAGATTATTGAACACGTTAACCTGGTAGTAGGTTTATAGCTTCCGACTGAAGAAATCCTGAGCGAGCCAATTCTTTTTCTCTGTTTCCTTCCTTTTACTGATCTAGTGCTAACACATCCACCTTAGGTGGTACAGAGAGCCAGGGGTGGAAAAGACAAGCATATGTTTATTTTAGTGTGACCACGCTATATATATATATATATATACATATAAATATGAAATATATATAAATTAAAAATGTAAATATATTGTTGATATAGATATTATATATAATATAAAATATACATGTATCTCTCTCTCTCTATATATATATATATAGAGAGAGAGAGAAGATTCCAGCGAGTGAGAGAGAGAGAGAGAGAGACAGGGTCCCACTCTGCCAGCCTGGAGTGCAGTGGCAATCTCCTCTCATTGCAACTTTCGCCTCCCGGCTCAATCCGTTCTCCCACCTCAGCCTAGAAATTCTTATATCACTTCAAAAGTGTGAAAACATTGGACTCCTCTTGTTAAATAACTTAGAAACAATTTCAGAGTTTACCGAATTTCAGAAACAATCCTCTCTGGAATAAGGAAATAGCTACAGCCAACAACGACTTGCAAATTGAATTTTAATAAAACCGTCCCTATGTCTGGACAGTTTTCAAACTCAGTCTCCTATTCCGAGAGAGTCCAGGCTTTCTGTTTTTAGCCAAAATTTGTTGGGAGGGTCAATTAAAATATTTTTTGAATAATTTCCTCAAAAATTTTAGATTCTCTTACAGGCTTTTTTCTTTTTTTCTCTCCCTCTTGTAAGGCCCGAACCTCCCCAGACAGGAAACAACATTCCTCCAGGTTTATCCCCGCCGCCTGACGTCTCTCCCCATCTGGACGCAGCCTCAGCCTATGCTGCAGAAAACGTTTGAAGTTGAGCATATAGAGAAGGAAAAAAAAAAAAAAAAAGGAAAGTGATGTGGAAATTAAAACAGTGGCTACATATAAATCTCAGCACAGTGCTTAGAATGTGTGTAAATGGTTCTAGGAGTGCACTGCACTATTGTGAAAAGTTCATTCAGAAGTAAACGGGAGGGAAGGTGGAGAGGAGCCGAGGGCCAGCTGGCGGAGAGAGGGAAGAGGCGGGGTGCGGTGAAGTGGAGAAAGAAACATAAAAAGGGAGAGGGGTAGAGGACAAGGAAAAGCATCCTCAAGATTATTAGGATTTGGATGGACGGGATGTTAGAGTGAGTCTAAGCACTCACCTCTCCGTCGCTTCTTCTGGATATGAGGGAAGAGAGGTAGGGAGGTAGGCTAGACCAGGAAAGGGACCTGGTTCTTTTCGTCCAGACTGCCACGGCTGCGAGAGCGCCTCGCCGCTCTTTCCATCGCTCGATAGACAGGCTAGGCTCTTTGGAGGAGCACGTGATGTTGCGTTTTTTGTTTGCGGGTTCGGGAACCGCTGATACTGATAGCTTCTGAGGGAGCTGCAGGGATTTCCCGATTTCCTGAGTGTCTGTGTTGAGAGTTAAAAGCGGAATCTGCCGACAGCTTCGAGACTGAGCAGGACAGTGGAAACGTCTAATTTTATTAGGCTTGAAATGCAGAAGATGAGAAAGAAAGTTCCCGTTTGTTTGCTCCACATGTTTCCTTTAGAATGAAGCCGATTGGAAGTCAACTTCACCCTGAAGAAATTCCTCCTGGCGTTTACAATGAGCTTCTTTACTCCTCAAGTCCAGCTCTTGGCTCAAAAGGGCTCTGCAGGTTGGTACAAAGGCTGCGGAAAGGCGAAGTCGCGGTACAATCGGTGTTAACTACATGTGCAGCCACCGTCTTCTTAGTCTTATTACAGGTGCAGAGGTAATATAGGTGAATCCCTCACAAGTTGAGTGGGTTGACCTCAAAATTGACTTTAGCGATGGCTTGTGACCACCTGGTAGGTGGTGGACCATTACAGCGTTTGGAAAATGAGTAAAAGAAAGGATGCATACGGAAGCCCCACTAGCTTGCTTGGCTTCTGCAGATGCATAGAGAGGTCGCTTTTCTGCCTTCTGGGTGTTGAGTAACTTAATTTTTTATCTTTTGTTTAAATGAAATAGAGCTGAAAATAGAAGGCGATTTCCTTTTAACGAGATAGTATTGAGATGCTTGCAGAGTATCCCCGCGTGGATTCTGCTTAGCTCTGTGATACCAGCATCAGAAACTGTGCAAAGAGCTCTAATCTGGAGGTGTGGGTTGTTCAGTAGCTTAGAAAGAGGTTATTCCTGGAGAATAAGTGCAGCAGGTAGAAAAGGATCCATTGGGATTGGGAGAATAAAAGTTCATTCATTATTTTTATTGATGGAAAACAAAGAAATGAGCTTTACCCTATACTGATCTTGGTTCCTGGAGTTCCGAGTGCTTGCATCTCAGGGCAGAAACTTCCTTAGAGGACCCAGAGAAATATGTTCCCCCTACCAAATGTCAGCTGAAGTGACTGTGATCTTTTTCTCATTTGTCATTATATTTGCCATTTATTGTATTCTTGTAGTTAAATAGTTTACATTAAGTTTTAGAGTTTGTGGGTTTCTAATGGAAAAAGTGACCACCAGCACATCAGGTCCTCAGCCACTGGCAGTGAAATCTTTTAGTGAAAGCTTGTAGGGCTTCTGCAACCTGGGTTAGAAGAAGAAATACAAGGCCAAGCATGGTAGCACACGCCTGTAATCCCAGCACTTTGGAAGTCTGAGGTGGGCAGATCACCTGAGGTCGGGAGTTCTAGACTAGCCTGACCAACAGGGAGAAACCCCCATCTCTACTAAAAATACAAAATTAGCCAGGCATGGTGGTGCATGGTTGTAATCCCAGCTACTCAGGAGGCTGAGGCAGGAGAATCACTTGAATCCGGGAGGCAGAGGTTGTGGTGAGCCAAGATTGTGCTATTGCACTCCAGCCTGGGCAACAAGAGTGAAACTCTGTCTCAAACAAACAAACAAACAAACAAACAAACAAACACCACACACAGGAAAGGACTTGCGCCACGTGGTTCTATGGTTTCTGATTATTTCATTTACAACTAGAAATAGGCTGGAGGGCCAGGAGTAGTACTTGCTTCCATAGTGCGTGGTTCACCTTAGTGACTGCTGGGACTGCTTAGAAAGAATAGGTGGATAATCGTAAGCAGCAAATAACCTTAAGTGAATGAACACGAATTACCTCTCTGTATGAGAGAGAGATGTAGAGGTCAACCCAAATATCTTGACAAGGCAGGACATTCTGGACAGCTGGGGAAGGTCATGGAGCTCTTCTTACAGTGCCACAGGGAAGAAAATGGACCTCTGGAGGTACTGGGGAATCAGCCCAAGACCTCGTGCATGATAAGTACACTCTCTACCACTGAGCTATACCCCCTCATACCTCCTGTGTATTTGGAAAACTGGTGACCACCATTATCTGAGTATGTGCTCTATGTCATAAAGACAATTACCATGTGTTTCCAATTCCACTGTTTATGATTTCCCTATATCTAAGTGCCCCCTCTCTTAGGCACGGTTACATCAAGAAAAGGTACGTTAACAGTAAAAAGAAAAACACTGTTCCTGATTTGGGATCAGCAAATCTATTTCCAAATAGAGCATTTCAAAAGTATAACATAACCACATTGAAAATTCAGGAAAGAATTGACCTAAGAAAATGGTTTATACATTGTTCTCATTGTAAAAAGAAAAAGAACAGCAAGCATATCTTAAACTCTATGTATCAGGAATATTTTCTGTAATGCTAAGGCAATAGCAATTCTGATATTTTGTGTGAATTTTAGGATTGGAAAAATGAGCATGTGTGCGCCTGTATGTTGTTGGAACCAGGCTCTCACTGTGGGAAAGGAGGAAGGTAAAGAATAGTCCTATTGGTGATGATGGGAATTAGAGGCATCAGTATGAAATTATACACTTAATTGTAAAATTTCTCCACAGATCTCTCTGCTAATTGGGCCTAGAAGAAATGTTACCTCAGATGCAATGAGCAAAGATAATTCTATATATTGATTTTCAAATACCACTCCCTACTAAAAGGAACCAGCGATACTGATAGAAAGTAGCTACTGGTGTCAACTACACTGACTCCGGGACTGTGCCAGGGAAACTACAAGATGAACCTAAGATATCTTGCTGTGCCAGAATGTAGGTGCTCAGAATTGATGGGTATGATTTGAAAGGACACAGAAGCCAGCTTGAAAGGGATCTCAATGGCCAAATCTGACACATTTTGAGCATTAATGATGACAATAAGTGATTATCAATCTTGGGAACTTAAACACATAAATATGGAAGATGGGAAGATTTTCCTTACAGTTGTGTGCCAAGTGATAAATGTGGAAGTAAGGATAAAATTAGAAAATCCTCATTTGGGCTGGGCGTGGTGGCTCACGTCTGTAATTCCAGCACTTTGGGAGGCCGAGGCAGGGGGATCACCTGAGGTTGGGAGTTCGAGACCAGCCTGACCAACATGGAGAAACCCCGTCTCTACTAAAAATACAAAACTGTGGTGAGCCGAGATCACACCATTGCACTCCAGCCTGGGCAAGAAGAGCGAAATTCTATCTCAAAAATAATAATAATAATAATAATAAATAATGAGAAAAACTGACATCACATGCCTCTTGGTGTGATAGAGGGTAACATGATTTCTGTGACATTTCCATGACCTGAATGTAACCATGACTACACAAATTAAGAAACATTCAACAAAACCACTGGCATATGCTCTTCAAAAACATATTCATGAAAGACAAGAAGATTAAGAATCTGTTCCAAAGTGAAGGAGACTGAAAAGTCAAGACAACTAGATTCATATGTGATTCTGAAATGGCACCTAGTTTGGGAGAGAAATTCCTATAAAAGATTTTATTGATACAATTAAAATTTTTATAGACTGTATATTAGAGAATACTATTTTATCAATGTTAAGTTCTCTAAATTTGATAATTGTGCTGTGGTAAGAAATTGACCTTGTTCTTAGGAAATACACATTGAAGTATTTAGGAATAAAAAGATATAATGTCTGAAAATCATTATCAAATAGTTTAGAGAAATAATTTTTGTCATATGTACATATACATATATATACACACACACATACACACACACACATATATATTCCACTGTTGCTGATTGGTTGTTGAGGTGAGGAAGAGGCAAGACCGTGTTCTGAAATAATGTCAAGATTTGGACGATATGTGTTTCTCAAATGGTTCCCATTCCATTTTAAATGTTGCTAGGCTGAGACAAAGATACAAATTCCCCAATTTATATTAGAATTTAGCAGGTAGTTTATTTTGTTTTGTTTTGAGACAGAGTTTTGCTCTTGTTGCCCAGGCTGGAGTGCGATGGGAGGATCTTGGCTCACTGCAAACTCTGCCACCTGGGTTCAAGCAATTCTCCTGCCTCAGACTCCCAAGTACCTGGGATTACAGGTGTGTGCCACCACTCCCGACTAATTTTGTATTTTTAGTAGAGATGGGGGTTTCACCATGTTGGTCAGGATGGTCTCAAACCCCCAACCTGAGGTGATCTGCCCGCCTCGGCCTCCCAAAGTGTTGGGATTACAGGCGTGAGCCACTGTGCGCAGCCAACTCCTTTATAATCTTATAAGACCACCGTAGGATATGTGGTCTGTGGTTTACTAAAATGTCAACATGTAGCACATTACTGCACTCATATCAGATTTTTGGCCTCCAGAAGTGTGAAAGAATAAATTTCTGTTGTTATAAGCCATCTAATTTGAGATAATTTGTTACAGCAGCCATAGGAAACTAATCAATGACAAGCTTATTCTACTCTGCCAACTGCCTTGAGTGGTTTTGAGGCTCATGAAGTCTAAATAACGTAATATTGAAATTAACATCTTGGCAAAATTCAACAGCCCTTCATGCTAAAAACTCTCAATAAACTAGGTATTGATGTGATGTATCTCAAAATAATAAGAGCTATTTATGAAAAACCCACAGCCAATATCATATTGAATGGGCAAAAACTGGAAGCATTCCCTTTGAAAACTGGCACAAGACAGGGATGCCCTCTCTCATCACTCCTATTCAACATAGTGTTGGAAGTTCTGGCCAGGGCAATCAGGCAAGAGAAACAAATAAAGGGTATTCAGTTAGGAAAAGAGGAAGTCAAATTGTCCCTGTTTGCAGATGACATGATTGTATATTTAGAAAACCTCATCATCTCAGCCCAAAATCTCCTTAAGCTGATAAGCAACTTCAGCAAAGTCTCAGGATACAAAATCAATGTGCAAAAATCACAAGCATTCCTATACACCAGTAACAGACAGAGAGCCAAATCATGAGGGAACTCCCATTCACAATTGCTACAAAGAGAATAAAATACCTGGGAATCCAACTTACAAGGGATGTGAAGGACCTCCTCAAGGAGAATTACAAACCACTGCTTAACAAAATAAATGAGGACACAAACAAATGGAAGAACATTTCATGCTCATGGATAGGAAGAATCAATATCATGAAAATGGCCCTACTGCCCAAGGTAATTTAAAGATTCGGTGCGATCCCCATCAAGCTACCAATGACTTTCTTCACAGAATTGGAGAAAAACTATTTTAAAGTTCATATGGAACCAAAAAAGAGCCTGCATTGCCAAGACAATCCTAAGCCAAAAGAACAAAGCTGGAGGCATCATGCTACCTGACTTCAAACTATACTATATGGCTACAGTAACTGAAACAGCATGGTACTGGTACCAAAACAGAGATATAGACCAATGGAACAGAATAGAGCCCTCAGAAATAATACCACACGTCTACAACCATTTGATCTTTGACAAACCTGACAAAAACAAGAAATGGGGAAAGGATTCCCTATTTAATAAATGGTGCTGAGAAAACTGGCTAGCCATATGTAGAAAGCTGAAACTGGATCCCTTCCTTACACCTTATACAAAAATTAATTCAAGATGGATGAAAGACTTAAATGTTAGACCTAAAACCATAAAAACCCTAGAACAAAACCTAGGCAATACCATTCAGGACATAGGCATGGGCAAGGACTTCATGTCTAAAACACCAAAAGCAATGGCAACAAAAGCCAAAATAGACAAATGGGATCTAATTAAACCAAAGAGCTTCTGCACAGCAAAAGAAACCACCATCAGAGTGAACAGGCAACCTACAGAATGGGAGAAAATTTTTGCAACCTACCCATCTGACAAAGGGCTAATATCTAGAATCTACAAAGAACTTAAACAAATTTACAAGAAAAAATCAAACAACCCCATCAAACCCCATCAAAAAGTGGGCAAAGGATATGAACAGACACTTCTCAAAAGAAGACATTTATGCAGCCAATGGACACATGAAAAAATGCTCATCATCACTGGCCATCAGAGAAATGCAAATCAAAACCACAATGAGATTCCATCTCACACCAGTTAGGATGGCAATCATTAAAAAGTCAGGAAACAACAGGTGCTGGAGAGGATGTGGAGAAATAGGAACACTTTTACACTGTTGGTGGGACGGTAAACTAGTTCAACCATTGTGGAAGACAGTGTGGCGATTCCTCAAGGATCTAGAACTAGAAATACCATTTGACCCAGCCATCCCATTACTGGGTATATACCCAAAGGATTATAAATCATGCTGCTATAAAGACACATGCACACGTATGTTTATTGTGGCACTATTCACAATAGCAAAGACTTGGAACCAACCCAAATGTGCCTTCTATATGTAAGGCACATGTCCATCAATGATAGACTGAATTTAACAAACGTGGCACATATACACCATGGAATACTATGCAGCCATAAAAAAGGATGAGTTCATGTCCTTTGTAGGGACATGGATGAAGCTGGGAACCATCATTCTGAACAAACTATCACAAGGACAGAAAACCAAACACTGCACGTTCTCACTCATAGGTGGGAATTGAACAATGAGAACATTTGGACACAGGGTGGGGAACATCACACACCGGGGCCTGTCGCGGGGTGGGGTGATAGGGGAGGGATAGCATTAGGAGAAATACCTAATGTAAATGAGGAGTTAATGGGTGCAGCACACCAACATGGCACATGTATACATATGTAACAAACCTGCACGTTGTGCACAGGTACCCTAGAACTTAAAGTATAATGATTAAAAAAAAAATCTTAAAAAAAAAAGAGGCCGGGCGCGGTGGCTCAAGCCTGTAATCCCAGCACTTTGGGAGGTCAAGACAGGCGGATCACGAGGTCAGGAGATCGAGACCATCCTGGCTAACACGGTGAAACCCGGTCTCTACTAAAAATACAAAAAAAAAAAAAAAAATTAGCCAGGCATAGTGGCAGGCGCCTGTAGTCCCAGCTACTCAGGAGGCTGAGGCTGGAGAATGGTGTGAACCCAGGAGGCGGAGCTTGCAGTGAGCCGAGATCACGCCACTGCACTCCAGCCTGGGCGACTGAGTGAGACTCCATCTCTAAAAAAAAAAAAAACAAAACAGAAATTAACGTCTTGGGGTCACGTGTTTACTTCTCATGTGACAGGCAACGAAAAGAGAGTAGGACACCTGAATGTGCTTTGTACTAAGGAGTGGTATTAAGAACTCGGAAACTGACCGTTGAAGGTTCTCGGGAGCTGAACCTGAGGCCTCCTATATGTAAGGCACACGTTCTATCACTGAACTACATCTCCTCATGCCAAGAGATATTTGTGTCGTCCTCCAAGTACTATTGCAGTATATGAAAACAATAAAAATATGGAAATAAAAAATAACTTAAAAATTAAAAAGGTGGCCGGGCACGGTAGCTCACGCTTGTAATCGCAGCAGTTTGGAAGTTGGAGGCGGTCAGATCATTTAAGGTCAGAAGTTCGAGGCCAGCCGAGCCAACAAGGTGAAACCCTGTCTCTACTAAAAATACAAAAATTAGCCGGGCGTGATGGCACGTGCCTGTAACCCCAGCTGCTCAGAGGTTGAGGCAGGAGAATCTCTTGAACCTGGGAGGTGGAGGCTGCAGTGAGCGGAGATGGCGCCACTGCACTCCAGCCTTGGGGACAGAGTGAGACTCTGTCTCAAAAAACAAACAAACAAAAACCCAAAAACCCTAAAAAGGTATTTCTCCAATCTAAAGATGTAAAAAATTAAATAAAATGAAAAATAAAGGAATATCTCGTTATATTCTGTGGGTCTCCATTCCTGTGTTCATTGTTTTAGCACTAAGTGTTGGGTTTAGAAGCAGGATTTGTGACCATTTTAAGTTGGAAGACCCCCAGCTGTGGGGGATATTGAAGTTTTGGCAAATAAAGCTTGAAATGGAACACAGAATACTGGAAACTTGCGTTAGAAAACTGACCAGCTTTTTCCTGAATAAAGCACTTCTGCTATTGCTGTTTGCTTCACAGGAATGGTAAGAGCAAAACTTTGATGAGAAAACCCCAGGTGAGAATGAAAACCACATGCAACCTGTTATTCATTGCCAAGGGGTTCTTGATTGTACTACAGCATGAAGGCAACTGAGGAGGTTCATGGAGTAGTCCAGAATAATGTTCAAGACATGAAATAAATAGCAGATTCAAGGATGGAGAAAAACTTTGAAATTTTGAAAGCACATTCATAGGTAGCTAGACACAGGATTCAAAGACTTATTGGATTTATAGAGCAAGCCAGAAAGTGGGGAATCCATAAAAGAGAGCCTCAACAAACAGGAGGAAAAAAAGCAGAATAGAGATGCTTATTGTTCTTTGAAGGAATGGACAAGATATTAGGAGGAGGAGGTGAGTTTGTTTGGGAACGTGTTGAACTTACCATATTCTTCCGTAGGATCCTGCCCATTGGTGAAACACAGTGAACTTAGCCCAGTGCTCTGATCTGAATACGTGGAGGTGGGAGTGAGTAGAAGGCACCAATACAGTGTGAGTACAATGAGAACTCAAAGTGTCCTTTGAGATATGAAGATCAGAAACTTACTTACTGATAGTTGTGAAAAGCAAAAAAATGAACTTCTTCCTAGCTGATCTTCAACCCTGGAATTCACACTGGTTGTCACCATGGCCTTGAAACTTTCACAAAAGACCCAGAAAGTCTCATTTCCTGGCTAGTTTCCCAGTAGGTGTTATCTTTTCTCATTCATCTTCATTCTCATTCTCCTTATGTATGACTTTACCTATATTGGTAAGCATATTGCTGAGCCCCTTTCGAGGTTGGGAACACCTTATGGTTTGGCAGAATTTCTCTCTGTTGGCTCATAGGGATAGCGGAATAGGTAAGAGGAAACATAATGGCAGGTTTCACTGAAATTGGATATTTAAGTGTCACCCACAAAACTCTACAAGCTCTGGTGTGTGTGTGTTTGTGCGCGCGCGCGCGCGTGAAAGTGCTGGGAGGATGTGAGAAAAATTATCTAGGCTGTTTTGGCCGGGCGCGGTGGCTCATGGCTGTAATCCCAACACTTTGGGAGGCCGAGGCGGGCGGATCACGAGGTCAGGAGACCGAGACCATCCTGGCTAACACGGTGAAACCCCGTCTCTACTTAAAAAAAAAAACAAAAAACAAAAAATTAGCCAGGTGTAGTGGAGGGCGCCTGTAGTCCCAGCTACTCGGGAGGCTGAGGCAGGAGAATGGCGTGAACCCAGGAGGCGGTGCTTGCAGTGAGCCGAGATCGCGCTACTGCACTCCAGCCTGGGCGACAGAGCAAGACTCTGTCTCAAAAAAAAAAAAAAAAAAAAAGAAAGAAAGAAAGAAAGAAAATTATCTAGACTGTTTGATGGTGTGAAAGTTGTTTCCAGAGTCATCATGTAATTATTCTCTAACTTGCACCTGAAGAAACCAAGATACCAGTTAGATTACCAGAAGTTCCCCACAAGGAGGTGTTTCTTTTTTTTTTTTTTTTCTGTTTGCCCCAAAGTACAGAGAACACTGTGAGAATTGTTTAAGTTTCTGTAAGCATTCAGAAATATCTATGCATGGGGAGACATAGGATGAGTTCCAAATATATGAGATTTTTCTGATGAACCAACCATTTATCTCAGGAGATAGAACTCATTCATACTCAATTACTCTGCTCAGGGAGCCTGCAGACATGCGAATGACATCTCTAGACAATCTACAACCAGAGAGAAGATTGTAACTGGTTGAGTACTGTTTTCTTAAAGTTGACAAAAAGGTGGAGTAATAGTTTTCATGTAAGGAGCTCTTATATGATAATCTAGAAATTGAATTCACTCTATATTCTTTGGGATTTACATCTTGATTTGTTGACAGGGAGAGGGAGGTTTGATTACACTGTTGTAAGTCTCCCACCTTGATTGAATATTAAAAAAGAATTCCTGAACTAGACAGTAAAGGGTTAAATAATCTTTTTTCTTCAATTAAATATGTCTTTGAAAAGAATAAAACTCTACCTTTTGAGTCAGATTGACTACATGGCCTGATGGATTGTGTCTGTTTCCATATCACTGTGCAGCCAATGGTCCTGCCCACCTGCCGCTTCCCACACATTCACCCAGGGTCTCACGCATGGCCACGTCCTCATTCCTCTCAGAAGTCCTTAATTTTTTTTTTTTTTTTTGAGATGGAGTCTCATTGTGTCACCCAGGCTGGAGTGCAGTGGCATGATCTTGGCTCACTGCAACCTCCGCCTCCGAGGTTCAAGCAATCCTCCTGCCTCAGCCTCCCAAGTAGCAGTGATTACAGGTGGTCGCCACCATGCCCAGCTGATTTTTGAAAGAGGTCCTTAATTTCTCTGTGGAGAAAAATTTTTTTAAAATATGATCTCATTGAAGTATTCAACCCCAAAATAAAATATAGTTGAATTTCCAAAATTCATCTACAATGTACCTTAAAATGATTCACTATTGTCCTAGGCCAAAGATAGGCACTGTTTGCTCTCAAAGAAGTACTTCTATCTGTCATATGTCATTTGTTTTCATTGTCCCAAGATGTTTTTGAAATCTCCATCCTATATTTTCTATAGCTTTCTTATATTAAACTCTTGGTTTTTGCATCCTATCCATTTCTACCCTAAATTACAGAGGTGGACTTCCTTAAAGAAGTCTATTGTGGGGAGCAGAAAAAAATATTTCCATTTGGGCCTGAGCCCTAGCATAAAGCAATGGTAATAATTCATGATAATTTTCCTCATGCTTTTACTATATTCCTTTGCAAATTGATTCCCATGATTGAAGCCTGTGAATAATTTTTTTCTGCCACAGTGAGTATAAGTGGCAAAGAGACATTGTGGAACTGTACTTTGAAAATGAGAGAAGAGAGAGAAAAAATGTCAACAGAACAGAAAATTATCTATTTCCCACATCAAGAAAGTCTGGGTCCTCAGTACTAGCTCTGAATCTTTCTTTAAAGAAGTAAACTGAAACCCAAGACATCTTAATCTGAGAAAGAATGACTTTTGGAACTTATTTTCTCCATTGAAAATTTCCTAATCACTTCACAGGGACAGAGGTGGCCTGATATTATATCGGAAACCAAGGATTTCCCAATTCTTGAGATATCCTTCAGCTCACACTTTCATTAGGGTTAGCAAAGGGTTTTGGATCTTTAAAATCTATCACAGGGCTTAGAATACAAAGTGGTGTTAATACAAAAGTTCTTGAAGATTTGGTGGTAGCTGATGAGAAGAGGGCTGTGTATTCTGGAATGATTACAAGGTCTTATTCTATTTAAAATGTTTCAGAGCAAGGATACAAACTTCCCAGTTTACATTAGAAGTTAGCACAGCCTTTATTGCAAAACTTGCGAAAAAGAAAATAAAGGCCGGGAGTGGTGGCTCATGCCTGTAATCCCAGCACTTTGCGAGGCGGGCGGATCATGAGGTCAGGAGTTCAAGACCAGCCTGGCCAATATGGTGAAACCCCGTCCCTAAAAAAAATATAAAAAATTAGCCGGGCGCGGTGGCGCGCGCTTGTTGTCCCAGTTACTCGGGATGCTGAGGCAGGAGAATCGCTTGAACCCGGGAGGCGGAGGTTGCAGTGAGTCGAGATCGCGCCACTGCACTCCAACCTGGACGACAGAGTGAGACTCCGTCTCAAGAAAAAAAAAAAAGAAAATGAAAACTTCACATCATATTCAATCATGAATAGTGATTCAAAAAATATTACTAAGTACAATATTGCCAGAGAGGCAAGGAACAGAGTCAATGATTAGAACACAAAAATGATTCAGCAATAGAAATATATATTTTTTGCAATTATGTTTTCTGTTAGAATAGAAAATTGGGGGAAAAAACACAGCCGCGTATTTATACTATACACCCTTACTCCATCCACGTCAAAGCACGTCATATTGCTTCTTAAATGTGCAAAAGAATCTCTTGTGGATCTTGTTAAATTGCTACTTCTGGTTCAGTACGTCTGAGGTGAAGCTGAGATTTCGCTCTTCTAACAAGCTCTCCGGTGCCACCAACTCTTGTGTGGACCAAGAGTCTGAAAGATATCCTTACGATAGAGGGCGCACCTGTCTTAGGTAAAATTACTTCTGTAACGTCATCTAAGGGAAGTCAAATTATCCGGCAGGAGTGAAGACAGAATAAAACTGGAAATCAGTCCGTGAACTTTGAGATCTTCAGCAGAGCATGCTTCCCAGTGGAGCTATTTCGGCAGAAGTGTGACGCCTCTACATTCATTGATGAAAATAACTTTCTCAATTTCCCAGTTTGGAAGGCTTTGCGTTTGTCAGGGCTCAGCCTGCGATGGATCATGGCTAAACAAGGACCAGAAAAAAAATAAAGGAAATCGGCTGGGAGCGGTGGTGGCTTACTCCTGTAATCCCAGCACTTTGGGAGGCCGAGGCGGGAGGATCACGAGGTCAGGAGATCGCGACCATCCTGGCTAACACGGTGAAACCCTGTCTCTACCAAAAAAATAGAAAAAATTAGCCGGGCGTGGTGACGGGCGCCTGTAGTCCCGGCTACTCGGGAGGCTGAGGCAGAAGAATGGCGTAAACCCGGGAGGCGGAGCTTGCAGTGAGCCAAGATCGTGCCACTGGGCGACAGAGCGAGAGACTCCGTCTCAAAAAAAAAAAAGTAATAAAGAAAATTGAGAGCTTACGTTTTTCTTTTATTAAATATTTCCACATTTATCTTTTATTTCCTACTTTTTAAATAACAATACTCCAAAGGTTAATGAGCTCGTCAATTTGGCGACGCCATTGAAGTTTTGGAATCCGGAGCCGTCTTTGTCTTCCAGCTCCATCTTTTCCACCTTTTGCTTAGGCAGTCCCCCGAGTCGTGTCAAGGCTGAGGAGTAGAAATGGAACAGCACTAATATTAATGGCAAAACCGTTGTGAAATAGGGTTACTTTCTGTTTAAGCAAGGAAAATAAAGTAAAGCAATGGGAAAAAAATTAAAAGCAAAAGAAATGGAGGTGCCGGGGATTGAACCCGGGGCCTCGTGCATGCTAAGCACGCGCTCTACCACTGAGCTACACCCCCGTACTGAAACCGTTCTCTCGAGAGTATATTCAAGATCAGAACCTGACCCTTTTGCTAGGTTTCAGAACCATTAGTTGTAATCAGCCAAGGTCTATTTTATTTAGTTATTTCTGATATCTCAAATTTAGGTTTTGCGTCCCTCTTTGCTGACAGCTGAGCAAACCGCATTCTACACCGAAGGCCCTCTATTGATGGCCCTGGGATTTTTCTGCTCGTCAGTCCGGAGTCACTTACCGGGCACCACTAGAAGAACCCGGGATGAAACATTTTCTCCCGTGTCTTGACTCTCTCCTTTCTTTCACCGCTGCTTTAAAGGGCTGCCAGAAAGCCACAAAGTACAAAGCGAGGCATTTAGAGACCATAGTAGATGCAGGTGGCGAGGGAAGACAGGTGGAGAAACGCAGACGGGTTCGTGTCGGTGCAGCCACTGCTTTGGACCCGAGCCTCCGTCCCGCCGGGGGCCGGGGTGCTGAGCCCAGCGAGGCGCGGACTGGGGAGCGAGGAAGAGGAGCACCCGCCAGATCGCGCCCCCTTTCGGGCAGAATCCGCTCCCGGTCCGGTCCCGATTGGCAGAAAACGATACGAGGGCGGTATACACTCAACACGCGCATGAACGATTCATCAAGCCCTCCGTGTGCCGGGTCTGGCTCACCAACCTCATCCTCTGAGCTCCGGGCTTCTGCCTCCCAGCCCAAGGAACCCACAGGGTCTCAGCCAACACTGGGAGAGTAGCTTAAATGGGCAGAAAGACAAGATAAGGGGATGTGGTGAATAACAGAATTATCCAATCCTATTATCAGCCCATCTGAGATTAAAGGGACGTCAATCATACTTGAATACTTTATTTAAAAAAAACAGTTTGCAGAGGGTCGCATACAAGAAGAATAAAGTGGTTTTTTTTTTTCATAAAAATGTGGATTCAGGAGCATTACCGGAAATAATCAAGGAACGAGGAAGAGTGTGGCGAGAGAGTTCGGGTCCGGTATACCTCTCTCTCCGCACCACATTCTTTTGTAGTACCTGTGAAACATTCATGAAAACGGACCACAGAAGAAAACCTCAGTAAGTTCCAAAGTATAGAAATAACACAAACATCATTCTCTGACCATCATGCAATAAAACTAGAAATTGATAAAATAAAAAATAAAAGTCACTTCCACCTGAAAATTTTAAAGCATGCTATAATACAACTCGAGTCAAGAAGGAAATACAAATTTTAATTACATAATTTCTTGAAAGGGACAAAAGTGCAAATGTGACATAGAATCTGTGAGATAGAGCTAAAGCATTTATCAGAAGGAAATTTATTTCCTCACATACCTATATCGATAACAAAAAATAACAAATGAATCAAACACAGCTCAAGATGCTACTAAATGAACAACAAAATAAACCAAAAGAATGAGGAAGGAAGGGTTGTAAGGACAAATTCAGAGAATGAGTTAGAAACAAAGTATAACTAATAAAGATACAAAAAAGGTGGATATTTGAAAGTCAACAAAATAGACAAACCTCTAGCCAACAAAGAGAAAATTAGTGCAAATACACAAAATTAGAACTGGAGGAAATAATCATCAACACAGAAGACCTTTTTTGAAATCATCAGAGATAACATAACACAACTAGCAAATAACTGGCAAACTTAGTGGATTTTTTAGACAAATGTAGCATACTCAAACTAACCCTTGTAGAGACAGAAAGTCTAAACAGACCAGTTAAGAAAAATAGTTTAACAGGCATACTCAATAAAAAGGGCACCAAGCTCAAATACTTTCATAAAGAAATCCTACCAAACTGTCAAATATCAAAAAATCATGATGCTACTTAAATTATTCGAAGCATAGACACTAGCACTTTATAAAGTTAGTATAACATTTCAGTTTGCACTAAAAATGAAAACTACAGGTCAATTTCACATATGAAATATATGAAATGTAATGCCTAAATCTTAAATAAAATTTATAGCAAACAGAATACAATAGCACATTTAAAACAGTAATACAGGATGTCCAAGTAGGGTTTATTCCAGGAGTGTAAAGATCACTCATTATTAGGAAAGATATTAATATAATCCATTGTAATTGGAACTGGAGGTCATTATGTTAAATAAAGTAAGCGAGAAACAGAAAGACAAATTTCACATCTTTTCAGTCATATGTGGGAGTTTAAAAAGTTGATCTCATGGAGGTAGAGAGTAGAATCATAGATACCAGGGTCAGGGAAGGGTGTGTGCATTGGAGCTGCGTACAAAGGCAGGTTGGTCAATGTGTACAAACATATAATTAGATAGAAGGTATAGGTTCTTTTTTTTTTTTTTTTTTTGAGTTGGAGTCTGGCTGTCTTGCCCAGGCTGGAGTGCAGTGGCACCATCCCAGCTCACTGCAACCTCCACCTCCCAGGTTCAAGTGATTCTCCTGCCTCAGTCTCCTGAGCAGCTGGGATTACAGGTGCCTGCCACCACAGCCAGCCTCTAATGTTGATAGTAGAGTAGGGTGACTATAGTTAGCAACAATGTATTGTATATTTCAAAGTAGCTAGAAGAGATAACCTGAAACCAACACATAGAAATGATAAATACTCAAAGTGATGGATACCCCAAATACCCTGACTTTACTCATAATAAGTGAAAGACATACTAAATTAGATTGGATAGCATACTTTGTTGTCAAGGTTGCCGAGAAATTAGTCTTTTCATAGGGTACTGGTGGGAATGGAAAATGGTATAATTCCAAGGGCAGAAAATGTGCAGTATCTACAAAAAATGTATAATTATTTACCCTTTAACCCACAAATTCCACTTCTAAAAAGCTATCCCTAATATATACTATCAAAATAAAAAGGGCCAGGCACAGTGGCTTACGCCTGTAATCTCAACACTTTGGAAGGCCAAGGCCGGCAAATCACTTGAGGCCAAAAGTTTGAGACCAGCCTGGTCAACACAGTGAAACCCTGCCTCTACTAAAAATACAAAAAGTAGTCAGGTGTAGTGGCGGGCACTTGTAATTGCAGCTCCTCAAGAGGCTGAGGCAGGAGAATTGCTTGAATCCCAGGAGGCAGAGGTTGCAGTGAGCCAAGATGTCACCACAGCACTCCAGCCTGGGTGAGAGAGCAAAACTCCATCTCAAATAATAATAATAATAATAAATACTAAATAAATAAAAAGGAAAACAGATGCATGACTATTCATCACAACTCTATTTGTAAAGCAAAAGAAGGAAACAATCCAGGCCGGGTGCGGTGGCTCATGCCTGTAATCCCAGCACTTTGGGAGGCTGAGGCAGGTGGATCACCAGGTCAGGAGATCGAGACCATCCTGGCTAACATGATGAAACCCCGTCTCTATTAAAATACAAAAAATTAGCTGGGTGTGGCGGCACGTGCCTGTAGCCCCAGCTACTAGGGAGGCTGGGGCCAAGATCATGCCACTGCACTCTAGCCTGGGAGACAGAGCGAGACTCCATCTCAAAAAAAAAAAAACAAAAAAAAGGAAACAATCCAAATGTCTGACAAAAGGGTCAATTTGAGAAAACTATGGTACATCAATATAATGTCACTGTAAAAAGGAATACTAAATGATCAGCTTCAATCTCTCCTTCCCCTATGAAGAAGGGCATATATGTATTTGAACTTCACTGGGACACTGGGTAATCACTCTCCTACAATTACCCCATGCTTATGTATGTTAAATAAATTTTGTATGTCTTTTTCTTTTATTAATCTGCCTTTGTCACTTCATTTTCAGCAAATTTCAGTGGGCAGAGAGGAAGCTTTTCCGCCACCCCTACATAGTTAATACTCTACCTTGAGCATGGCACACAGAGAATACTAAGGTGCTAATAGCTCTTACTGCGGCTTGTGAGGCAGTGGCTTCAAAACAGGAAATACAAGCCAAGAGGATTTCAGACTACTGCACTTCATCCACTGAGTGTTCAGCATCTAGAACTTTTCTTCCACAAAGAGAAACATGCAATTGTTACCACCTCTAGCTCCAGAGTCCTAGCTCAGAGATTTTTCCTATAGAAAGAAATGAGCCAGCCGGGCATGGTGGCTCATGTCTGTAATCCCAGCACTTTGGGAGGCCAAGGCGGGCAGATCACCTGAGGTCAGGAGTTTGAGACCAGCCTGGCCAACATGGCGAAAACCCATCTCTACTAAAAATACAAAAAAAATAGCTGGGCCTGGTGGTGTGTGCCTATAATTCCAGCTACTATGGAGGCTGAGGAAGGAGAATCGCTTGAACCCAGGAGGTGGAGGTTGCAGTGAGCTGAGATTGTACCACTGCACTCCAGCCTGGGCGACAGAGCAAGACTCCATCTCAAAAAAAAAAAAAAAAAAGAAGAAGAAGAAATAAATGAGCCAAAAAGTAGATAGCTTCCAATCCTTTCCCAAAATAACTGATTTAATTTGTAACATAGAATAGAGAAGTGGAAAGCTAAGGGCATTCTCAAGAATGGTGGAGATTTTGATGAAAGGTAATTGGGAGGAAATTTGTGAATCTAAGAAAGATAGATCTTAAACTGTAGTCTGGCTAGTATGCAGGAGAGAATCAGGAAATAAGACAGGTAGGAGGAACCCTTTTGGAGTCAGGACAAATATCAAATACTTACATCAGAAACTATTCCATTTAAGGAGCTACATTTTGATTGGATTTGTTCATAGAGGAATTTATACCTCAAGGCATTGTTGAAAACAATACAACAACTGGTCAGCAATAACTGAAACACAACAGTAGGGTGTGGTCAGAAAAAGAGTGAAAAAGAACATTGCCAGCACCACTGTCATCCCAGGGTGACTGGGGGCATACCAAAAACTGCATCACCACGAAGACTAATGTCAGAGGATTAGCACTCTTGGGAGTGAAATATCCAGGGTTATATAATACTCCATGTTAATAAAATGAATGGCAATAATCAAATATCATCTCAATTGAGATACAGAAAGGATTCAACAAAATTCAACACACTTTTATGAAAAAAGCACTCAGCGGCCAGGCGCGATGGCTCACGCCTGTAATCCCAGCACTTTGGGAGGCCGAGGCGGGCGGATCACGAGTTCAGGAGATCGAGACCATCGTGGCTAACACGGTGAAACCCCGTCTCTACTAAAAAAAATGAAAAAAATTAGCCGGGCATGGTGGCAGACGCCTGTAGTCCCAGCTACTCGGGAGACTGAGGCAGGAGAATGGCGTGAACCCGGGAGGCAGACTTTGCAGTGAGCAGAGATGGCGCCACTGCACTGCAGCCTGGTCAAGGGAGCAAAACTCCGACTCAAAAAAAGAAAAAAGAAAAGAAAAAAGAAAAAAGTACTCAGCAAACTAGGAATAGAATGAAACTACCTCAACTTAATAAAAGCCATACATGAAAAGCCCACAGGTAATATATTCAGTGGCCTTAGCTTTTCCTCTAAGATCTAGAACAAGGCAAGGATGCTTACTCTCACCACTACTGTTCAACATAGCACTAGAAGTCCTACTCAGAGCAATTAGACAAGAAAAAAAGCCCCAGTGCGCTGGCTACAGCCTGTAATCCCAGCACTTTGGGAGGCCGAGAGGGTGCACTGCTTGAGCCCAGGTGTTCAAGACCAGCCTAGGCAACATGGTGAAACCCCATAACCATAAAAATCTACAAAAACTAGCCGGGCATGATGGCATGCACCTGTAATCCCAGCTACTTGGGAGGCTGAGGCAGGGTTCACTTGAACCCGGGAGGTGGAGGTTGCAATGAGCCGAGATCACACCATTGTACTCCAGCATGGGGACAAAGCCAGACCCCGTCTTGAAAGAAAAGAAAAGGAAGGAAAGAACGAAAGAAAGAAACAAAAGTCATCCAAACTGGAAAAGAAAACTAAAATTATCTGTTTACAGATGACATGATCTTATATGTGGAAACCCTGAAGACCTTCCCACACACACACAAAAAAACCTGTTACAACTAATAAACAACTTTAGAAAAGTAGCAGGGTATAAAATGAACACACAAAAATCAGTTGCATTTCTACAAACTAGCAATGACCAACCTGAAAAGAAAATTAAGAAAACAATCCCATTTACTATAGCACCAAAAAGAATAAAATATTTAGGCATAAACTGAACCAAGGAGGTAAAAGACTTGTGCGGGAAAAACTACAAAACATTGCTAAAAGAAATCAGACAAGATACAAATAAATGGAAAGGCATCCTGTGCTTGTGGAGTGGAAGACTTTAATACTGTGAATAAGTACATATTATCCAACGTGATCTACAGATTCAATGGCATTCTTATCAAAAACTCAATGGCAATTTTGCAGAAATAGGAAAATATAGAAAAAAATCATCCTAAGACTCATATGGAATCTCCAGGGAACCTGAACAGCCAAAACAATCTTGAAAAAGAACAAAGCTGTAGAACTCATTCTTCCTGATTTTGAACCATACTAGAAAGCAACGCTAATGAAGATGGTTGTAGGGGCCAGGCGCAGTGGCTCATGCCTGTAATCCCAGCACTTTGGGAGACCAAGGTGGGTGGATGACGAGGTCAGGAGTTCAAGGCCAGCCTGGCCAGCATGGTAAAACCCCGTCTCTACTAAAAATACAAAAGATTAGCTGGGCATGGTGGCACGTGCCTATAGTCCCAGCTACTTGGGAGGCTGAGGCAGGAGAATTGCTTGAACCCGGCAGGCAGAGGTTGCAGTGAGCTGAGATCATGCCAATGCACCCTAGCCTGGGTGACAGGTGACAGAGCAAGACTCTGTCTCAAACAAAAAAGATGGTTGTATTACTGACATAAAGACAGGTATACAGACTAATGGAACAGAGAGCCCAGAAATAAATCCTTGCATATATGGATGAATAATTTTGACAATGATGCCAAGACTACACAATGGAGAAAGGACAGAGCCTTCAGTAAACAGTATTGGAAAAAGTGGTTATCTACATGCAAAATAATGAATTGGACCTTATCTTTATACATATACAAAAAAAATTCAAAATGGGTTAAAGACCTAAACATAAGACCAAAAACTATACAACTCCTCGAAGAAAACATGGAGGAAAAGCTTCAGGACATTGGATTTGACAGTGATTTCTTGGACAAGCCACCAAGAACACAGACAACAAAAGCAAAAATAGACAAATGGGACCACACCAAACTTAAAAATTTCCGCACATCAAAGGAAACAATCAAAAAAGTGAAAACACAACCTATGGAACAGGAGGAAAATGTTTGCAACTGATAAAGGGTTAATATCCAGCGTATATAAGGAACTTGTACAACTCAACAACAACAAAAAACAAATAACCTGATTTTAAAATGGGCAACAGACTTTAATAAACATTTCTTGAAAAAAGATATACAAATAGCCAATAAGCATATGAAAAAATGTTCAACATTACTAATCATTAGAGAAATACAAATCAAAATCATAATGAAATATAATCTCACATCTGTTAGGATGGCCCTATGAAAAGAATAGAAAATAACAAGTGTTGGAGAGGATATGCAGAAATTGGAAATGTGTGCACTGTTGGCGGGAATGTAAAATGGTGCAGCCATTATGAAAAACAGTGTGGAGTTCGTGGTCTATATACATATATATATACATGTATATATATAAGTTATAGGTTTTCATCCACAGTTACTGGTTCATAACTTCCATCTCCCTTGTTACAGTCTTTTGTTATAATGTTGTGTGTGTTAGGCCTCAGGGGCAGGCCTCAAGGAACAGAATCTACCTCCTGCCTTCCTTTCACCTGCCCCAAGGCAGAACTCTAATATTACCCCATCTTTTTCATTATGGGTCTTAAGACCCTCCCCTGGGAGGGTCCAGTCTCATACCCTGGAGGAAGGAATGCTTCCATACAAACCCAAGAAGACTGGGTTCAAAGACCTCCAGATAGCTGAACCCGTGAAGGTTGCTGGAGGGTGGCATGCCCAGGGAGGGCATGGAAGCTCCATACCCCTTCCACCATACCTTGCCCTGCCAGTCTATTCATCTGTGTCCTTTATAATAAACTGGTGAATGTAAATGTTTCCCTGAGTTCTGTGAGCCACTCCAGCAAATTAACTTAACCCAAAGAGGAGGTTGTAGGAACCCCAAATTGAAACCAGTCAGTCAAGAAGTCCCAGAGACCCAGACTTGCAACTGGTATCTGAGGCTATAGGGGGAAGTCTTGCGGACTGAGCCCCCAACCTGCAGGAACTGACATTACCTTCAGGTAGACAGTGTCAGAACTGAATTGGAGGACACCTAGCTGGTGTCTGCTGCTTGATGTGTGGGGAAAAACCTTCACACATTTGGCCACAGTAGTCTTCTATGTTGATGATTATTGTGGTGTAAGACTAGAGGAAAATGGTTGGTGAGAGTTTTCCCAACACAGGGTTTCTTCACAAAATTAAAATTATGATTCCCATATAATCCAGCAAACCTACTTCTGCAGGGGTTTCAAAAGAATTCAAAAGCATTCAAAGTAGGATCCTAAAGAGATAACTGTAGCATTATTCACACTAGCCAAGAGGTAAAAGCAAAACAAATGTCAATTGACAGATGAATGGATATACCAAATGTGGTATATACATACAACAGAATATTATGTAGCCTTAAAAAAGGAAATCCTATCACATACTACAATAATAGATAAATCTTGAGGACATTATGGCAAGTGAAGTAAGCCAGTCACAAAAGAACAGACACTGTATGATTCCACTAATAAGAAGTATCTAAAGTAGACACAATTATAGAAACAGAAGGTAGAAAGGTGGTTGCCAAGGACTGGCTGGAAGGGAGAGGAGAATTAGCGTTTGTTGGGCATAGAGTTTCAGTGTTGAAAGATGAAAGTGTTCCAGAGATCTGTTGCATAACAATGTGAATATACTTAATACTACTAAACTGTATACTTAAAAATGGTTAGGATGATAAATTTAATGTTATGTGTTTTACTTTGATTTAAAACAATTTAAATACGTTCAGATAAATAAAAATGAGTTCAGTCAGGCGCGGTGGCTCATGCCTGTAATCCCAGCACTTTGAGAGGCCAAGGCGGGCGAATCACTTGACGCTAGGAGTTGGAGGCCAGCCTAGTCACAAAACCATGTCTCTACAAGAAAATATAAAAAATTAGCTGGGTGTGGTGGCACATGTCTGTAATCCCAGCTACTGGGGAGGCTGAGGCATGAGAATCGTTTGAACCTGGGAAGGTGAGGTTGCAGTGAGCTGAGAATGTGCCACTGCACTCCAGCCTGGGTGACAGGGTGAGACTAGGTCTCAAAAAAAAAAAAAAGTACACAACAGCACAACATATCAAAATGTACTGGATACAGCTAAAACAGTGCTAAGAAGTAAATTTATAGCTGGGAATGTTTATGTTAGGAAAGACAAAAGATCTTAAATCAATAGCCCTTACATTGTAAGACACTGAAAAAAGACGAGCAAACTAAAGCTAACGCAACAGGAAGGAAAGAAATAAAGATTAGAGTGGAAACTAATGAAATAGAAAAACAATAAATAAATAAATAAAATAAAATATTTATTTCTTAAAAAGGTAAACAAAATTGTCAAACCCTAAACTAGATTGACCAAGATAAGGGAGAGATGATTCAAGTCACTAAAATCAGAATTGAAATGGAAACATTACTGTGGGGCGCAGTGGCTCACACCTGAAATCCCAGCACTTTCGGAGACCGAGGTGTGTGCATCACGAGGTCAGGAGTTTGGGACCAGCCTGGCCAACATGGTGAAACCCCATTTCTACTAAAAATACAAAAATTAGGTAGGTATGGTGGTACCCACCTGTAGTCCCAACTACTCAGGAAGCTGAGGCAGAAGAATCACTTGAACCTGGGAGCCGAGATTGTGCCACTGCACTCCAGCCTGAGGGACAGAGTGAGACTGCATCTCGGAAAAAAAAACAAAAAACAAAAAAGAAATCCCCTGTTAGAAGAGAATAAAATAGAGTGAAAACAAGATGGCCAAATAGGAACAGCTCTGGTCTGCAGCTCCCAGCGTGATTGCCACAGAAGATAGGTGATTTCTGCATTTCCAACTAAGGTAACTGGTTCATCTCACTGGGACTGGTTGGACAGTGGGTACAGCCCATGGAGGGTGAGCTGAAGCAGGGCGGAGCATCGCCTCACCTGGGAAGTGCAAGGTTCAGGGGATTTCCCTTTCCCAGCCAAGGGAAACTGTGACAGAGTGTACCTGGAAAATCGGGACACTCCTGCCCTAATACTGCACTTTTCCAATGGTCTTAGCAAATGGCACACCAGGAGATTATACCCAGAGCCTGGCTCAGAGGGTCCTACGCCCACGGAGCCTTGCTCACTGCTAGAGCAGCAGTCCGAGATCGAACAGCGAGGTGGCAGCCTGGCTGGGGGAGGGGGTCCTCCATTGCTGAGGCTTGAGTAGGCAAACAAAGTGGCCCAGAAGCTCTTATTGGGTGGAGTCCACCACAGCTCAAGGAGGCCTGCCTGCCTTTGTAGACTCCACCTCTGGGGGGCAGGGCATAGCTGAACAAAAGGCAGCAGAAACTTCTGCAGACTTAAACGTCCCTGTCTGACAGCTCTGAAGAGAGCAGTGGTTCTCCCAGCACGGAGTTTGAGTCCTAAGAAGGGACAGACTGCCTCCTCAAGTGGGTCCCTGACCCCTGTGTAGCCTAACTGGGAGACACCTCCCAGTAGGGGCCGACTAACACCTCATACAGCCAGGTGCCCCTCTGAGACGAAGCTTCCAGAAGAAGGATCAGGCAGTAATATTTGCTGTTCTGCAATATCTGCTGTTCTGCAGCCTCTGCTGGTGATACCCAGGCAAACAGGGTCTGGAGTGGACCTCTAGCAAACTCCAACAGACCTGCAGCTCAGAGACCTGTTAGGAGGAAAACTAACAAACAGAAAGAAATAGCATCAACATCAACAACAAGGACATCCACACCAAAAGCCCATCTGTAGGTCACCATCATCAAAGACCAAAGGCAGATAAAACCACAAAGATGGAGAGAAACCAGAGCAGAAAAGCTGAAAATCCTAAACACCAGAGCACCTCTTCTCCTCCAAAGGATCGCAGCTCCTCACCAGCAATGGAACAAAGCTGGATGGAGAATCACTTTGATGAATTGACAGAAGTAGGCTTCAGAAGGTCAGTAATAACAAACTTCTCCGAGCTAAAGGAGGCGGTTTGAACCCATCATAAGGAAGCTAAAAACCTTGAAAAAAGATTAGACAAATGGCTAACTAGAATAAACAGTGTAGAGAAGACCTCAAAGGACCTGATGGAGCTGAAAACCATGGCACGAGAACTACGTGACACATGTAAAAGCTTCAGTAGCTGATTCCATCAAGTGGAAGAAAGGGTATCAGTGATTGAAGATCAAATTAATGAAACGAAGCAAGAAGAGAATTTAGAGAAAAAAGGGTAAAAAGAAGCCGGGCGCGGTGGCTCACGCCTGTAATCCCAGCATTTTGGGAGGCCGAGGCGGGCGGATCACAACGTCAGGAGATCGAGACCATCCTGGCTAACACGGTGAAACCCCGTCTCTACTAAAAATACAAAACATTAGCTGGGCATGGTGGCGGGCGCCTGTAGTCCCAGCCACTCGGGAGGCTGAGGCAGGAGAATGGCGTGAACCCGGGAGGCGGAGCTTGCAGTGAGCCAAGATGGCACCACTGCCCTCCAGCCTCGGTGACACAGTGAGACTCTGTCTCAAAAAAAAATAAATAAATAAAAGAAAAAAGGCTAAAAAGAAACAAACAAAGCCTCCAAGAAATATGGGACTATGTGAAAAGACCAAATCTACGTCTGATTGGTGTACCTGACACTGACGGGGAGAATGGAACCAAGTTGGAAAACACTCTTCAGGATATTATCCAGGAGAACTTCCCCAACCTAGTAAGGCAGGCCAACATTCAAATTCAGGAAATACAGAGAACACCACAAAGATACTCCTCGAGAAAAACAATCCCAAGACACATAATTGTCAGATTCACCAAGGTTGAAATGAAGGAAAAAATGTTAAGGGCAGCCAGAGAGAAAGGTCGGGTTACCCGCAAAGGGAATCCCATCAGACTAACAGCAGATCTCTTGGCAGAAACTCTACAAGCCAGAAGAGAGTGGGGGCCAATATTTATCATTCTTAAAGAAAAGAATTTTCAACCTAGAATTTCATATCCAGCCAAACTAAGCTTCATAATTGAAGGAGAAATAAAATCCTTTGCAGACAAGCAAATGCTGAGAGATTTTGTCACCACCAGGCCTGCCTTACAAGAGCTCCTGAAGGAAGCGCTAAACATGGAAAGGAACAACTGGTACCAGCCACTGCAAAATCATGCCAAATTGTAAAGACCATCGATGCTAGGAAGAAACTGCATCAACTAATGGGCAAAATAACCAGCTAACATCATGACAGGATCAAATTCACACATAACAATATTAACCTTAAATGTAAATGGGCTAAATGCCCCAATTAAATTAGACACAGACTGGCAAATTGGATAAAGAGTCAAGACCCATCAAGTGTGCTGTATTCAGGAGACCAATCTCACATGCAGAGACGCACACAGGCTCAAAATAAAGGGATGGAGGAAGATCTACCAAGCAAATGTAAAGCAAAAAAAAAAGCAGCAGTTGCAATCCTAGTCTCTGATAAAACAGACTTTAAACCAACAAAGATCAACAAAGACAAAGAAGGCCATTACATAATGGTAAAGGGGTCAATTCAACAAGAAGAGCTAACTATCCTAAATATATATGCACCCAATACAGGAGCACCCAGATTCATAAAGCAAGTCCTTAGAGACCTACAAAGAGACTTAGACTCCCACACAATAATAATGGGAGACTTTAACACCCCACTGTCAATATTAGACAGATCAATGAGACAGAAGGTTAACAAGGATATCCAGGACTTGAACTCAGCTCTGGACCAAGCAGACCTAATAGACATCTACAGAACTCTCCACCCCAAATAAACAGAATATACATTCTTCTCAGCACCACATCACACTTATTCCAAAATTGACCACAAAGTTGGAAGTAAAGCACTCCTCAGCAAATGTAAAAGAACAGAAATCACAACAAACTGTCTCTCAGACCACAGTGCAATCAAATTAGAACTCAGGATTAAGAACCTCATTCAAAACTGCACAACTACATGGAAACTGAACAACTTACTCCTGAATGACTACTGGGTAAATAACAAAATGAAGGCAGAAATAAAGATGTTCTTTGAAACCAATGAGAACAAAGACACAACATACCAGAATCTCTGGGACGCATTTAAAGCAGTGTGTAGAGGGAAATTTATAGCACTAAATGCCCACAAGGGAAAGCAGGAAAGATCTAAAATCGACATCCTAACATCACAATGAAAAGAACTAGAGAAGCAAGAGCAAACACATTCAAAAGCTAGCAGAAGGCAAGAAATAACTAAGATCAGAGCAGAACTGAAGGAGACAGAAACACAAAAAACCATTCAAAAAATCAATGAATCCAGGCGCTGGCTTTTTTGAAAAGATCAACAAAATTGATACATCACCAGCAAGACTAATAAAGAAGAAAATAGAGACTAATCAAACAGATGCAATGAAAAATGATAAAGGGGATATCACCACCGATCCCACGGAAATGCAAACTACCATCAGAGAATACTATAAACACCTCTATGCAAATAAACTAGAAAATCTAGAAGAAATGGATAAATTCCTGGACACATACACTCTCCTAAGATTAAACTGGGAAGAAGTTGAATCCCTGAATAGACCAATAACAGGCTCTGAAATTGAGGCAATAATTAATAGCCTACCAACCAAAAAAAGTCCAGGACCAGACGGATTCACAGCAGAATTCTACCACAGGTACAAAGAGGAGCTAGTCCGATTTCTTCTGAAACTATTCCAAACAATAGAAAAAGAGGGACTCATCCCTAACTCATTTTATGAGGCAAGCATTATCCTGATACCAAAGCCTGGCAGAGACATGACAAAAAAAGAGAATTTTAGACCAATATCCCTGATGAACATCGATGCGAAAATCCTCAATAAAATACAGGCAAACCAAATCGAGCAGCACATCAAAAAGCTTATCCACCAAGAACAAGTTGGCTTCATCCCTGGGATACAAGGCTTGTTCAACATATGAAAATCAATAAATGTAATCCATCACATAAACAGAACCAAAGCCAAAAACCATGTGATTATCTCAATAGATGCAGAAAAGGCCTTCGACAAAATTCAACAGCCCTTCATGCTAAAAACTCTCAATAAACTAGGTATTGATGGGACGTATCTCAAAATAATAAGAGCTGTTTATGCCAAACCCACAGCCAATATCATATTGAATGGGCAAAAACTGGAAGCATTCCCTTTTAAAGCTGGCACAAGACAGGGATGCCCTCTCTCACCACTTCTATTCAACATAGTGTTGGAAGTTCTGGCCAGGGCAATCAGGCAAGAGAAACAAATAAAGGGTATTCAATTAGGAAAAGAGGAAGTCAAATTGTCCCTGCTTGCAGATGACATGATTGTATATTTAGAAAACCCCATCGTCTCAGTCCAAAATCTCCTTAAGCTGATAAGCAACTTCAGCAAAGTCTCAGGATACAAAATCAATGTGCAAAAATCACAAGCATTCCTATACATCAGTAACAGACAGAGAGCCAAATCATGAGGGAACTCCCATTCACAATTGCTACAAAGAGAATAAAATACCTAGGAATCCAACTTACAAGGGATGTGAAGGACCTCCTCAAGAAGAACTACAAACCACTGCTCAACAAAATAAAAGAGGACACAAACAAATGGAAGAACATTCCATGCTCATGGATAGGAAGAATCAATATCATGAAAATGGCCCTACTGCCCAAGGTAATTTATAGATTCAATGCCATCTCCCTCAAGCTACCAATGACTTTCTTCACAGAATTGGAAAAGACTACTTTAAAGTTCATATGGAACCAAAAAAGAGCCTGCATTGCCAAGACAATCCTAAGCCAAAAGAACAAAGCTGGAGGCATCACGCTACCTGACTTCAAACTATACTACGTGGTTACAGTAACCAAAACAGATGGTACTGGTACCAAAATAGATATATAGACCAATGGAACAGAATAGAGCCCTCAGAAATAATACCACACGTCTACAACCATTTGATCTTTGACAAACCTGACAAAAACAAGAAATGGGGAAAGGATTCCCTATTTAATAAATGGTGCTGAGAAAACTGGCTAGCCATATGTAGAAAGCTGAAACTGGATCCCTCCCTTAAACCTTATACAAAAATTAATTCAAGATGGATGAAAGACTTAAATGTTAGACCTAAAACCATAAAAACCCTAGAACAAAACCTAGGCAATACCATTCAGGACATAGGTATGGACAAGGACTTCATGACTAAAACACCAAAAGCAATGACAACAAAAACCAAAATAAACAAATGGGATCTAATTAAACTAAAGAGCTTCTGCACAGCAAAAGAAACCACCATCAGAGTGAACAGGCAACCTACAGAATGGGAGTAAATTTTTGCAATCTACCCATCTGACAAAGGGCTAATATCCAGAATCTACAAAGAACTCAAACAAATTTACAAGAAAAAATCAAACAACCCCATCAAAAAGTGGGCAAAGGATATGAACAGACACTTCTCAAAAGAAGACATTTATGCAGCCAAAAGACACATGAAAAAATGCTCATCATCACTGGCCATCAGAGAAATGCAAATCAAAACCACAATGAGATACCATCTCACACCAGTTAGAATGGTGATCATTAAAAAGTCAGGAAACAACAGGTGCTGGAGAGGATGTGGAGAAATAGGAATGCTTTTACACTGTTGGTGGGACTGTAAACTAGTTCAGCCATCGTGGAAGACAGTGTGATAATTCCTCAAGGATCTAGAACTAGAAATACTATTTGACTCAGCAATCCCATTACTGGGTATATACCCAAAGGATTATAAATTATGCTACTATAAAGACACATGCACACATATGTTTATTGCGGCACTATTCACAATAGCAAAGACTTGGAACAACCCAAATATCCATCAATGATAGACTGGATTAGGAAAATGTGGCACATATACACCATGGAATACTATGCAGCCATAAAAAAGGATGAGTTCATGTCCTTTGTAGGGACATGGATGAAGCTGGAAACCATCATTCTCAGCAAACCATAACAAGGACAGAAAACAAAACACCTCATGTTCTCACTCATGGGGGGAATTGAACAATAAGAACACTTGGACACAGGAAGGGGAATGTCACACACCAGGGCCTGTCGTGGAGTGGGTTAGTGGGGAGGGATAGCATTAGGAGAAATACCTAATGTAAATAACAAGTTAATGGGTGCAGGATACCAACATGGCACGTGTATACATATGTAACAAACCTGCACATTGTGCACATGTACCCTAGAACTTAAAGTACAAAAAATAAGAGAATAAAATATTTCCCCCCTTAGACCTGAGCCCTGATAGTATTTATTTATATTTCTGACCCCCTACTACAGCTTCTTACTTTTGACAATTGTCCTTTTTTTTTTTTTGAGATTGAGGCTCGCTCTGTCACCCAGGCTGGATTGCAACAGCGCAATCTCAGCTCACTGCAACCTCCACCTCCCAGGTTCCAGTGATTATCCTGTCTCAGACTCTCAAGTAGCTGGGATTACAGGCGGCTGTCACTATGCCTGGCTAATTTTTTGTATTTTTAGTAGAGAAGGGGTTTTGCCATATTGGCCAGGCTGGTCTCAAACTCCTGACCTCAAGTGATCCTCCCACCTCGGCCTCCCAAAGTGCTGGGATTACAGGCATGAGCCACCATGCCCAGCCAATTGTCCTTTTTCTAACACAAAATACTTCCATGGTCTGAGCACCGTGAATGAGGCTGTCAAACTGGAAAAGTGAGTTAAGCTGAGATGCAGACCTGCCAAAGTCTCAACCAACACCATAGGGAGCACTGGATTACATATGGCCTATACTCCTGTGGTGCCAAAACGACAAATCTTTTTACTCCACTGCAATCAATTGTTGAAGGTGCATCATCCCAGGAAGGGTGTGCTTTTGGGAGAATCAACTCTCTGCACCTGAGATAAACCCTAGAACATTGGCAGCACTCCAAACAACTAAGGGAAATGAGTCCTTCTTTGAGAGGGAATGTAGGTGGCATTTCTCCATGTCTTATATATCTCAGTTATTATTTATTCAAATATTGCCTCTGCTCTATTGTCTTTCATCCATTAAAAATTCTAATTAAATATATATTAGATCTCCTTATCCTCTCTTCTATTAATACCATTATTTTGCATCTCCATACTTTGTTCTGAATAATTACTTTTTGTTTTTTTATGAGACAGAGTATCGCTCTGTTGCCCAGGCTGGAGTAAAGTGGCACAATCTCGGCTCACTGCAAGCTCCGCTTTCTGGGTTCATGCCATTTTCCTGCCTCAGACTCCCAAGTAGCTGGGACTACAGGTGCCTGCCACCACACCTGGCTAATTTTTTGTATTTTTAGTAGAGATGGGGTTTCACCGAGTTATCATGATGGTCTCGATCTCCTGACCTCGTGAACCACCTGCCTCAGCCTCCCAAAGTGCTGGGTTTACAGATGTGAGCCACCACGCCCAGCGTGTTCTGAATAATTTCTTCTAAATTATTTTCCACTTTACTAATACTCTTTTCAGTTGTGTCAAGTTTGTTGTTAATTTATCCTTCAAGTTCTTAATTTTGGTTATTATATATTTAAATTACAAATAAATTTTGGTTTTTATTTTTAAATCTACTTCGTCAGTTTTTATATTTTTCAATTTGCTCCTTAAATTTTTTAGATTAGCTTTTGTTTCTTTGAATATAGTAAGCAGTTTTGTTACACCCTTATCTGATAATTTCCAAATCTGAAGTTTAGTAGATTCTATTTCTGGTATCTGTCATTTCTTTTTCTTTCTTTCCTTTCTTTTCTCTTTTTCTTTTTTCTTTCTTTCTCTCTTTCTTTCTCTCTCTTTTCTTTCTTTTCTTTTTTTGAGTCTGTTGTTTCTGTTGATTTTCACGGAGACTTGTTTGTTCATGTGTATGCACGTTTGTATGCTGGGTTTTGTATTTGAAAAAAATATTTCTAGAAATAATGTGAAGTCTAGGTTAAAGTATTATTCCTTCAGAGAGGATTTTCTTTTGCTTCTTCAGAAACCTAGATGTGCTGAAATACAGCCCACCTTAAACCAGTGTCAAGGTTTGGGGTCTTATGGGCTACCAGATGATGGTAAGCCAAGCTGCAGTTTATGGGTGAGCAGGTTTACTTACAGTTCCCCTTTACTCCTAGAAAGCAGCCTCAGGGGGAGTGCATGATCACCAATGTCGCCACTTTGGGCAGCCCTAGGTTTCTGTTTTTGTTCCTCTAACCCTATGAGGCTATCAGAAACATAGATAAGTCTCTTGGCTTCTACATCCAGATTACAAATGTTGCCAGGGCAAAAGGGGTCCCAACTGCTAGATTCACTTCTCTGGGTTTGTTTCTTTTACTGACACTCAGCAGGTAATTGATTACTAGTTTATTATATTTTTAATGCTTTAAGAAAGAATTATTTTTATATATCACCCGGCTTTATTGTTGTCTTTACCAGGGGGATTATCTGAATTACCTAGACATCCATTATCTGGAACAGAGTTCTGTCTCTCTTCACTTGTCTTAATTGAAAACTAGAGTCAGCACCCCTGAATATCAGTGGAATCCACTGCACCATAATCTGTGGATTATGCTGTTAAAGCGAACTAAATATGGCCTGAGAAAGATTCCATACTTTTATATTTGGGTCCTTGTGGAGGAATTGCAACCTAGTTTAATGGGTAGACAAGATTGAAAACCTAACTTAGGAATATGTGCCTATAACAATAGCTGAGTCTTGGCCAATCCCAGTGGCTGTAATTCAACCATTCATACACTGCTGAGTGTTCAAATTGTGTTCAAATAAGGCAAAAACTGAGCTGTAACCCATCCAGCCATTCTGTACCTCACTTCCAATTTCCATATGTCATTCCTTTTTTTTTTTTTTTTTAAGAAGGAGTTTTGCTGTTTTGCTCTGTTGCCCAGGCTGGAGTGCAGTGGCTCGATCTCAGCTCACTGAAACCTCTGCCTCCCGGGTTCAAGCAATTCTCCTGGCTCAGCCTCCTGAGTAGCTGGGATTACAGGAGCATGCCACCACAGCCGGCTAATTTTTTTGTATTTTTAGTAGAGACGGGGTTTCACCATGTTGGTCAGGCTTGTCTTGAACTCCTGACCTCGTGAGCCACACACCTCGGCCTCCCAAAGTGCTGGGACTATAGACATGGGCCACTGCGCTCGGCCCTCCCTTTTTTTTTTTTTTTTTTTTTTGGTCTATAAATCTTCTTCCACCATGTGACTGCGCTGAGTCTCTGTGAATCTGTTGTGATTCTGGGGGCTGCCCGATTCGCAAACCGTTCATTGCTCAATTAAACTCCTTTAAATTTAATTCAGCTGAATTTTTTCTTTCATCAATGCCCATATTCTGAAGGTGTGAGTGAGCCTATACCAACAAGGTCAGGCTCAAACCTAGCCATTTTCTTCCAAAGTGTTAACCACAGTATTAAATAGCACCAAGGTTTTTAAAATAACTGAGACATTTACACACAAATATATTTTTAAAAAATAGAGATGGCCGGGCACGGTGGCTCAGGCCTGTAATCCCAGCACTTGGTAGGCTGAGGCAGGCGGATCACCTGAGGTCGGGAGTTTGAGACAAGCCTGACCAACATGGAGAAACCCCGTCTCTACTAAAAATACAAAATTAGCCATGCATGGTGGCGCATGCCTGTAATCCCAGGTACTTGGGAGGCTGAGGCAGGAGTATTGCTTGAACCTGGGAGGCGGAGGTTGCAGTGAGCCGAGATCGCGACATTGCACTCCAGCCTGGGCAACAAGAGTGAAACTCCATCTCAAAAAAAAAAAAAAAAAGAGATATAATCCAGTACCTTATATCTGTGCTACACCCTCATACTGTAGACTTTGTATGACTGTACGATGCTCTTCTTTGCATGACTATACAAGGCCCTTCAAAACCCGAGAAAAGTGTTCCTATTCTCATGTCAAAACTTCCTAGCACTATTAATGGAATGAACTGTTGGGGGAAAATGAAATAAAAAAGCAATGTTATTTCCCCTAAATCTTTAGCAAGCACTTGTTGGATTAGTGAATCTTTGCCCTTGCGTGCAAGTCAGAGGATGGCAGCTCAAACTCACTAGAATCCATCTGGTTGTCTCCTCTTTTCTTTTGTCTCACATGCTTTGTTATGTGTCAGTTTAACTATACATATTTTAAAATAAGGACTTTCAGGGCAAAACATCTTACCATATACTATCACCGTAACTTGATGTAAACTTGAACTTAGTATACAGTAAGGCTGAGCTTATAAAATGTTCATTCAGGCTTACGTCAAGTTATGGTGGTAGAATATGGTAAATGAACTTATGTGATCTTATAAACTTAAAAACTGCTTATAAACTGCTCTAAAACTTTTTTTAAAAATTAAAAATAAAACAAATTCAAGGTATGCTCTTCTACTGGATATGCCATCTTAATTTTCTGTAACGGAAACTATCCTTTTGCCAACATCTACTCAGATGACTGGACTAATACAGTCATGCCTAGATCAACCTCAGGGATATGATCTGAAAAATTAGTCATTAGGGCATTTCATCACTGTGCAAACATTTTAGAGAGTATTTAACACAAACCTAGATGGTATAGCCTACTCCACACCTAGGTTATACGGTGTAGTCCATTGCTGCTGGGCTACAAACCACTACAGCATGTTACTGTATTGAATACTGTAGGGCAATGGAACACACAGATACGTATTTGTGTACTTAAACACAGGAAAGATACAGTAAAAATATGGTATTATAGTCTTATAAAACCATGGTCGTACATGTAGTCAGTCATTGACGGAAAGGTCTTTGTGTGAAGCACAAATGTAGTTCCAATTTGAGCATGACATCTTGTTGAAGGTTTAAGAATTAACCTGTATACTGAGAGTACATGTGGCTTCAGGTTGTTCACATACATATATTTTCAGGTTGTTCATACATATTATATGCTATTATAAGGTATTTTAAACTACCATGAACACCACAATAAAACATGGGAAAATGTTAATGATTTATTAGAGGAAAATAACTCAGTTATGAATATTGAAGCCCATTCTAAAGATAGAATTTTTGAAGCTAAAGAATATGCCCTAGATAACTACTATAGGTATTGTAAAAACAATTTGTTTTGAAAACCCAGAGGGCATATTCAAAAACAAGAATCTACCATACAGAAAGGTAGTCGCCATCTCAAAACTCTCATATATAGCAAAGGACTTTGGTCTTCCCAAGATAGCCATTTGGTTGTGCCTAAGTCATTCCCCAGAACTTTGATGTGCCTCGCACATGAAAGCACCCATAAATAATGGCAAGAACAAATTCACTACAAATTTTCAAAATTATTGTTAGAAAATTTTTCTCAAGAAGCTCTATGGGTAGATGAATCTTTTCTTCTCTGTGTTGATCATAACCCTCCAAAAAACTAAAACTATAGCAAGGCTTCAGTTTTCCACCTCCAGTACCATTTGTGCATTTACAAATGGATTTCATTCAGTTTTCCAAAATTTTAAAAAATTGAACGTTGTTTCAACAATATTTTCAAAAGTAAAATTGTGTAATTTGGGTTGGACTGAAGCTTTCTCTTCTAAAAGATTAATACTTTAAGTTAGTGTTGTCAAATAGGGCTTTTTACAATGATGAAAATGTTCTATATCTGTGCTGTCCACCTGGTAGGTATGACATGCCACGTGTGGCTATTGAGCATTGAAATGGGAATAGTACAACAGCTGTTACCAAAACCTAATAACAAGTATCATTCAAAGCTTGCAGATTTTGTTTTTCCAACTGGGAAATACAAAACATTTAGCACTGTTAATGGACAGAGAAATCCACTTCAGTAGTGAAATTCTTAAGATTCTCCCATTAAAACATACACTTTTTGTCCTTATTCTCAAAATCTGAGAAAGCAACACAAATTTATGGTCTTCTTTAAATCAACATTTGAAAACACCATCGCAAAATTACAACTGAGACAGTGAGAGATCTAACCAATTCCATCTTGCTTCTAACCTCCAAGCTGTCCTTGTTCATTCCTGGTCGTAGGCTGACCTAACTTTGGGAGGAACTTAGTTTATAGTTTAGCTTTGAAACAAAGACAATAGCAGCCCTTTCCAAAACAAACCCGCTTCCTGCCTGGGGACTAGACTGCTTTCGCAGGACTAACAAATTAGCCACAAGATTATAAATTATGGTTTAGGAGTCATGCAGCTGGAGGCTGCAAGATTCTAAACCTCCCCCAATTGCTCCTCAGGATAACATCACTATTGTAAAACCGAAGATCAGTTCTTGAGATATTTTGCAGCCCCTGTACTCTATGGATCAGCTAGCACCACCCATAACGATAAACTGGCTCATCTGGTCTTGTGGCCCCCATCCAGAAATTAAGCCAACACAAGAGGACAGCTTCGACTCCCTCTGATTTCATCTCCGACCCGACTAATCAACTTTCCCAACTCACTGGTCCCCTACCCACCAAATTATCCTTAAAAACTGCAATCCACTTGGGGAGACTGATTTGAATAATAATAAAACGGGTCTCCCACACAGCCGGCTTTGCATGCCCGTCTTGATAAATGGTTCTGTCTAGGCAGTGGGCAAGCTGAACTCATTGGGTGGTTACACATTTTCAAATTTTCAGAGCTTTCCTTAGACTAAAACTTTACCATCAGTCCTAAGGTAGTATGATCCATGCTACAAAACTCGCCATAAAACCTTACTATGTAACACTGCTATAGAAATCTATAAAGTGTTTCCTTCGTAGGAGGGCCGTAGGCAGCCATGGCGCCCAGCAGGAATGGCATGATGTTGAAGCCCCACTTCCACAAGGACTGGCAGCAGCGTGTGGCCACGTGGTTCAACCAGAAGATCCGCAGAATCAAGGCCCGGCAAGCCAAAGGGCGCTGCATCGCCCCGCGCCCGGAGAGTCGGGACCCATCTGGCCCATTGTGCTGTGCCCTGCTGTGCGTTATCACATCAAGGTGCGCGCCGGCAGAGGCTTCAGCCTGGAGCTCAGGGTGGCGGGCATTCACAAGAAGGTGACCCGGACCACTGGCATCTCTGTGGATCCGAGGAGGCAGAACAAGTCCACCGATTCCCTGCAGGCCAATGTGCAGCGTCTGAATGAGTATTGCTCCAAACTCATCCTCTTCCCCAGAAAGCCCTCGGCCCCCAAGAAGGGAGACAGTTCTGCTGAAGAACAGAAATTGGCCACCCAGCTGACAGCACCGGTCATGCCCATCAAGAATGTAAGGAGAAAGCCCGAGTCATCACTGAGAAGTAGAGGAATTGCAAAGCTTTCGCTAGTCTCCGCATGGCCGGTGCCAATGCTTGGCGGCAATGCTCGGCTCTTCGGCATATGGGCAAAAAGAGCCAAGGAAGCTGAAAAACAGGATGTGTGAAAGCAAAAATAAAGCCCTCTTGGGGACTTGTAATAAATACGTTTTAAAAGAAATCTATAAAGTTTAAACTGATTCTTCCTCTGACAGAGAAAGGCAGTTTCTTAACAGATAGAAAACACGTGAAACTGGTGGTCGGTCACTTCCCAATAAGATCTCAGGAGTGGGGAGAAATAACACAAGATTTAGGAACTATGCCAACGTTTACGACCCCAGGTCTAGAGGTCAAGCCGTGCACTTGGTCTCTCAAGTCGCCTGCTTGGCCCTCTTCCAAGTGTACTTTCCTTCATTAGTGCTCTAAATATTTTCAATAATTTTTCACCCCTGCTCTAAGACTTGCCTCGGTCTCTCCTTCGGCATTATGCTCCTCAATCGAATTCTTTCCTTCTCCTGAGGAGGCAAGAATTAATGTTGCTGCAGACTCCTTACAGATAACTGCCACCGCTAATATGTTGAGATGTTCACACATGCATGTGTGAGGCCCTTCAAAATGTGAGCTGCGGTTAGAATTGGGAAGAGAAGGGAGTGGGGATATGTATCTTTGTTTTCTGATTGCCTTCCATATCTTTTAAAACTAGCTAAGTGCTGCTTCAAGTCAGCCAGATACGAAGGCTTCAATTTATTTAACACAATAAAGAACTTCTATTTGGATCCAAAGCTTACATTATGCTTTAATAAAAGTTACCCTAATAAAGTCAGAAACAATAACAATGAGTCAAAGAAATGCATACAAAGTAGGCCAGGCGTGGTGGCTCACGCCTGGAATCCCGGCACTTTAGGAGGCAGAGGCGGGTGGATCGTGGATCACTTGAGTTCAGGAGTTCGAGACCAGCCTGGCCAACATGGTGAAACCCCCGTTTCCACTAAAAAAAAAAAAATTAGCCGGGCATGGTGGTGCATCATGCCTGTAATTCCAGCTACTCGGGAGGCTAAGGCAGGAGAATCACTTGCATCTGGGAGGCACAGCTTGCACGTGAACCGAGATGGTGCCATTGCACTCTGCACTCCAGCCTGGGAGACAGAGTGAGACTCTTGTCTCCAAAAAAAAAAAAAAAAAAAAAAAAAAAAAAAAAAAAAAAAAAAAAAAGCCTACAAAAAGCTTACAAAGTCTAAAATCGGACGAACAAGAGGACACCTGATGGGGGAAAAGAAAAGAGATTGCGATGGGAAGAGAGTGGTGGGGAAATCCGTGGGACAGTTTTCCTATTTTCTGGGTCTGTCCCTTGACCAAGGAACAGCGCAAAAAAGAAAGGATCTAAAATAAATTGTAAAAAATTACCTGTGGTTTCGCATTTGTTTTCTGTCTTTTTCTTTCTTGCTTGATCTTCGATAATACTGGGAAATGTAACCAATGTGATTGGGCTTGTTAATTTGGTGCCTTGCTTGTTTTTCGGGTTTTGGAATTCTGCCAGTCTGTGCTTCCGCGGCCTCTTTCATTTTGTCTTTCATCTCTTGACACAGCCACCCAGGGTGGTGTCAAAGCCTTAGAGCAGAAATGCATCAATATTGAAAGCAAAACGGAGCTTGTTTTCCTTGGTTTCCATGTGAATTTGAAGAATTGAGAGAGAATGAAAGTGCCACAAAAACAAAAGAAAAAAAATTGAGGCGAGTCGTGGACATGATAGACATGATTTTGCAAACAAGGCACATCTAGGAGAAAAGGCGGGAGAAAAATGAAGCTGGAGGTGCCGGGGATTGAACCCGGGGCCTCGTGCATGCTAAGCACGCGCTCTACCACTGAGCTACACCCCCCAACGCTCAACGTGGGCCAAAATATTTCTATGACCTGTTACTATTATCGGTCGTGCCAAGAAGCATATTTTGTCGAATTTAATTTTGAATTCGCTATACTGGATATTGTTTCCTGACTGCGCTGAGAGAAGGAAAACTGAATGTTATATCGAAAGTCCCGTGCTGGGCCTGGGATCTCCCGCTGCAGGTCACCCTCTCGGACGGCCGCTCGACAACCACCTATCGGGGTTTATAAGGGAGCCGTCCTGCCTGGCCGCCCCCCAGAGAAAGGTCTGTGATGGGGTGATTCTGCTTGGAAAGGTTGCCAGGAAACCGCGAGCATAACGCAGAAAGATAAAACGAAAGCCCTAAACGCCGCCGTGGGAATTTAAGTCCAAGGGGCAGAGAAAACAGGAGGGGAATTGCAGATCGGCTTGTCCCGGTCGTAGTTACTGCCCCTGCAGGTTCCCGCGCCCAGCCTCGGGATGGAGAACCTGGCACGCTACGTTTCGCGGGCTCTGAGACTCGGGTGGTGAGAGTCGCCGAGATGCGCACTGGGAAGAGAAAAGAGCCAGGACGCACCTGCATTTATGGCGCCATCGCCCGGGCGGAATCCTCCACGGAATAAAAAGTATGCAGAAGCAAGGCGATTTATGACTGCATAAACCCTCCGTGCTCCTGGAGAGTTCTTAGACCTCTCCACTCCTTGGCACAACTGACCTCTCCACTCTTCGACAAACTGGCAAGCGCTTGCCGCCGTTCGCCAAACCTTGGTACGACAGTCAATCCAGAAATGAGCTTCTGGAACAAATCCTAAATCCTTTTTTGTCTGTCTTCTTCTGATTCGCTCTCATCCTTAAGGGACCTGTTTCTCCTTCAAAACCTGAAAACATCTAACCTATAGTACCAACCCCAGATCCAGGCCTGGCCTTCCTGACCAGTCAAAGCCAGTTGGACTGTGCGCCTAGAAGTGGACAGACATGCGAAATGCCATACTGTATACGTACAATGCATAGGCCAAAGGCGACCCTATGACCCAGAGATTAGAAAGACTCGGACGTCTTTTGACTGGGTTCAGGTCACACTACTCCCAAAATACGACACCTCGGCATTTGAGAAAACAGCAGAAGCAGAAACGTTTTTCTCTGGGCCCTTGTTCCGTGAAGCGGGCCATGAAAGCTACCTGATCTTCCAATTAAAGTAGGTGATAAGACCGTCAATTCAGAGGGGAGAAAATGTACTTGGAGGAAATAAACGAAGACACAGAGATGCCAAGGAGAACCTGAATAAACAGGCTTTGCTAAGTTCACCCCAGTTTATAACCATTAGATCATACCCCCTTTTATCCAATTATACTGCTATGGGACTATCCACTTCATCAAACCTAAGCATAAAAATATAGGAAGTCCTCACTTATTGTCAGTTGGTTTTTGGAAACTATTACTTTAAGCAAAATAAAACTAATTCTACCATAGACTAGACTAATTGATTTAAGAGTTAATTTTCTTGGCAAATGTCTGATCACAAAAACACCAAATTTCTAAATAAGGACTCCAAACACTTCTAACACTAAATATTGAAAAAAATAGGAGCTGCACCTCAAGTTAAGATCAGCAAAAACAGACATGATTGATTTTTGGTGAATCAGTGACTGCAGTTCTAGTGGTGGCAGGTTATATCAAGGAATAAATGTTTGTGAAATAGCAGTTGTAAGGAGCAACTCCTACTAACACACAATTCGTAAAACATTGTGTCCGGAATTGGCGGGTTCTTGATCTCACTGATTTCAAGAAAGCCACAAGTCCTCCGGATGAGTGTTACAATCGTTAGATGCGGTGTAGCCAGAGTTCATTCCCTCTGACGTTCGGATGTGTTATAGAGTTTCTTCCTTCTGGTGGTTTGGTCTTCTACTGGCTCAGGAGTGAAGCTGCAAACCTTGGCAGTCAGTGTTACATCTTCTAAGGCGGCGCCTCCGGAGTTGTTTGTTCTTGCCCGAGAATTCATGTTTTTCCTAACTTCAAAAGATAAGCTGCAGACCATCAACAAATTACAGCTCATAAACGTAGTGTAAACCCAAAGAACAATCAAGATCCATCGCAGAGAGCGAAAAAACACTTCCGCACCGTGGGAAAAAGCCCGAACACGTTGTCGCAGTTGGTTCCGGCAGCCTGCTTTTATTATCTTGTCTGGCCCCACCCACATCCTGCTGATTGGTCCATTTTACAGAGAACTGACTGGTCTGTTTTACAGAGAGCTGATTGGTCCATCTTCACAGAGTGCTCATTGGCGCGTTTACAATCCCTGAGCTAGACACAAAAGTTCTCCAAGTCCCCACCAGAGTAGCTAGATACAGTGTCCATTAGTGAATTCACAAACCCTGAGCTAGACACAGGGTGCTGATTGGTGTGTTTACAAACCTTGAGCTAGATACAGAGTGCCGATTGGTGTATTTACAATCCCTTCGCTAGACATAAAGGTTCTCCAAGTCCCCACCAGAGTAGCTAAATACAGAGTGTCCATTGGTGCATTCACAAACCCTGAGCTAGACACAGGGTGCCGATTGGTGTGTTTACAAACCTTGAGCTAGATACAGAGTGCCGATTGGTGTATTTATAATCCCTTAGCTAGACGTAAACGTTCTCCAAGTCCCTACCAGACTCAGGAGCCCAGCTGGCTTCACCCAGTGGATTTTCCACCGGTGCCGCAGGTGGAGCTGCCTGCCAGTCCCGTGCTTTGCGCCCGCACTTCTCAGCCGTTGGGTGGCCGATGGGATTGGGCGCCGTGGAGCAGGGGGCGGCGCTCGTCGGGGAGGCTCGGGCCGCGCAGGAGCCCATGGCGGGGAGGGGCGTCTCAGGCATGGCGGGCTGTAGGTCCCGAGCCTTACCCCGCGGGGAGACAGCTAAGGCCCGGCGAGAAGTCGAGAACAGCAGCTGCTGGCACAGGTGCTAAGCCTCTTACTGCTCGGGGCTTGCGGATTAGGGGGCCGCTCCGAGTGCGGAGCCCGCCGAGCCCACGCCCACCCGGAACTCGCGCTGGGCCCGCAAGCGCCGCGCGCAGCCTCGGTTCCCGCCTGCGCTTCTCCCTCCACACATCCCTGCAAGCTGAGGGAGCCGGCTCCGGCCTTGGCCAGCCCAGCAAGGGGCTCCCACAGTGCAGCGGCGGGCTGAAGTTCTCCTCAAGCGCGGCCAGAGTGGGCGCCAAGGCCGAGGAGGCGCCTAGAGCAAGCGAAGGCTGTGAGGGCTGCCAGCAAGCTGTCACCTCTCAGTATGGCGGCTGGCTGTTTTAGCACCATGTCGTTTATTGTCATGCATTTGTAGGATTATGAAATGCTTCCTGAATTTTGCTTTTACAGTAACTTGTATTCATTCATGCATTTTTCAACCTGCTCACTCCAGTTCAAGGTCTTTGGTGGCTGAAGCCTAATTCAACTCCTCATAGTGTCAGGAGGGAACCCACCGTGGACAGGTGGCCATTCCATCACAGGGCGGGCTCATACACACACACACACACTCACACATATGCTCGCGTGCTCTTTCACTCAGACTGATGACGCTAGACTCAGACTAGATATGCTAATGAACCTAATGTGCACATTTTTGGGATGTGGGAGGAAACTCAGACAGTGGCTTCCAGGAGAAATAGACTTTTTTCTCATCAACATTATAACAAAATGATGTTGAATGAAACAACGTTATTCAAGGGTCTGCTGTACGCAGATTTTCCTATTTCTTTAGGTCTTCATTTTTGAAGGCTCTTGTGTCAATAAAATTTGTTTGATTTGTATGCTTTTCCTTTTTTTTTTTTTTTTTTTTTGTTGTTGAGACAGAATTTCACTTTTGTTGCCCAGGCTAGAGTGTAATGGCGCGATCTTGGCTCACCACAACCTCCGCCTCCCGGGTTCAAGCGATTCTTCTGCTTCAGCCTCCCGAGTAGCTGGGATTACAGGCGTGTGCCACTATGCCCAGCTAATTTCGTATTTTTAGTGGAAATGGGGGTTTCTCCATGTTGGCCAGGCTGGTCTCAAACTCCTGACCTCAGGTGATCCACCAGCTTCAGCCCCCCAAAGTGCTGGGATTACAGGCATGAGCCACCCCACCCGGCCTGCTTTTCCCTTGTTAATCTATCTTTTATTATGAAGTGTCAGCCATGAACCTGGCACTGGGTGGGAAAAGATGTTTTTCTGCCCTAGACCTTCCTATAAGTGCTTTTGGGACAACACTGCAGGAGTCCCCAAAGGTGAAAATTTACCTGCGGGAGTTAATAAAAACAGGAATCCCCAGGCCTTACCCCAGAGACTGAGATGCTGAGTGCTTTCAGAGTCTCCAGAAAAGGGCCCAGGAATTATTATGGGGTGACAGATGTCACAGCTAGATCGTCCTCACATCTATGGAATATTGTGTTATTTAATATTTCCCAGTTGAATTTGATATTCAGGCAAGTTTGAAAACCACTGGGCCTGAAAATCTAGCCACAACAGAAACTGAAACTAGGATCTGGGGAAAGTTAACAAGGGGAGGAGAAAGATTGGAAAGTATTACAAGAAAAACTTGGGATTGTAACGTTCCCCCCAAACTGGGAAGGTCCCGGAAGACCAAAGACAGTCCAGCTTAATAAGCAGGTGAGTTTAGTAGGACTTAGATACAGGGTACTCCTGGGTGCAGCAGGATAGCTCTAGAGATCCATGCCGCCTCCTGTCTTTAAACTGTTTCTAAGTTAATTTTCTGGCTTTTTGCCTACTGTGTTTGAGCAATGAGACTGTTTTTCTTGGTAGGTTCTCAGATACTCTCTGGGATGTTTGTGTTCTCAAGGACACCTGCTCCTCTGCTGGGCATCGTGGCCTTGGCTCACCACTGGGCCTTCAGGGTTCAGGCAGTAGACATACACTCTTAAGTGACATGGTGGGTGATCTGTCATGCTGCAATCCACCCTGCCTCCCATCTCTTACATTCTTTCTGCCAATCTTGTGTGAGACTCCTTGAGTAGGGTGGAAGGAAAGAACTATACAGGTCTATAACGTCTAGCCATGGCTTGCGCATACAGGTCACATCTACAGTATACGTAGGAGCACAAAAAGCAGAAGTTAACTACAATTATAATGTCTATTAGCAAAACCTAATTCCCATGACTAGAGAAGCTGTGTAACCAATTTGAGAATGAGTAAAAGAAACCTAATTAGGTTATATCATGGATCTGAGTTGACAAATGGTTTAAAGTACCTCTGACATTACTCTCTTCATCAGGGAAATAGGTGCAACAGTTAGCACCTAGAAAGGCACATTTTGGGTCTTTGTCACGTTGGCGATTGAGCCTCTAGGTGGAGGCAATCCTTAGTGAGCCCGGGTTGCATTATCAGTGCTATTGTACAAGTCACTCCAGTTCTGTCAGGAGAAAGGCAGAGTATTTTAAGGCATATCATTATTATTTTATAGGGAGAGGTATCTGACTGGTTGTTGACTGCTTCTGGAGTTGCAGCTCAGTCTAGAAAGACATTACCAGCTGCCATGAGTAGCAGGAACAACCTATGGGTATAAACACAGGTGGTTAGTAGGAACTCTCACAGGCGTATTCACTCCTTGCAACATTTTTTTTTTAAATTTTTTTGAGACAGAGTCTTGCTCTGTTGCCCAGGCTGGAGTGCAGTGGCACGATCTCGGCTCACTGCAAGTTCCGCCTCCTGGGTTCACGCCATTCTCCTGCCTCAGCTTCCTGAGTAGCTGGGACTACAGGCGCCCGCCACCACATCTGGCTAATTTTTTGTATTTTTAGTGGAGACGGGGTTTCACCGTGTTAGCCAGGATGGTCTCGATCTCCTGGCCTCATACTCCACCGCCTTGGCCTCCCAAAGTGTTGGGATTACAGGCGTGAGCCACCGCGCCTGGCCACACCTTGCAACATTATTATCATTGTGTTTTCTCCCATTGGCACTATTAGGGATGCCACTGTGGGCTTCAGGCCTGGATTACAAAACCACCCATGTCTTCTTTTCCTAGAAGCAGCCACAATAGCCAATTGATAAGTTTCCAGCCTTGCCCATGCTATCCATACTATAATTATTCCAGCAGGTATGGGTGCTGCCATCTGTTGATAAAGTAAGTCTCTCGGAACTCTATCAAGGAGCACAGCTGGGACCACTGCCCCTATGGCAGTTATCATGGCACCACCCTCCAGTACTATAAAACTAATCCAGTATGGAGGCATATTCCAGCTCAGCTTCAGGTCCCTGTAGCCATCACTGCTTGGCAGATCCACTGGTGTTCTCAGGAGCATGTCTCACCATCTGCCTCAGAAGCATGGCTCAGTGTCTTTGAGGTAACCCCGAGAGTTTGTGGGACATGTCTTACAGGCCTTGCCAACCATTTATAAGGAGTGATGCCATGTGTGCTAGTGGGTGACTCATTTAAAGTTTGTATGGCTTTATGGAGATTCTTAGTCCAGGAACTTAAAGAGCCAACCTGAAACAGTGCACACATCTGGGTCTTTAACAGGCCATTATTTCTTTCTGTAAGTCCTGCCTCTGTTGGATTGTGGTGGTAAGTGGAACCTCCAGTCTATATTTTCTTCTTTTTTATTTTGAGACAGAGTCTCGCTCTGTTGCCCAGGCTGGAATGCAATGGTGCGATCTCGGCTCACTGCAACCTCCGCCTCCCGGATTAAAGCAATTCTCCCACCTCAGTCTCCCAAGTAGCTGGGACTACACGCATGCGCCACCACGCCTGGCTAATTTTTGTATTTTTAGTAGAGATGGGGTTTCACCATGTTGGCCAGACTGCTCTCAAACTCCTGACCTCAAGTGATCTGCCTGTCTCAGCCTCCCAAAGTGCTGGGATTACAGGCATGACCCACCGCACCTGGTCCAGTCTATATTTTCTTCTGATGCCCAGTGTTGGATATCTTTGCTATGCCCATCAATGTACCAGGGCCTAGCAGATATTGGCGGGGTACCCTTATATATGGTGGTTGGCCTGATGGGTGGCTCCACTGCCATGTTGGCTCCCTCCCATAACTGAGACCAAAACCCTATAGGTACCATTCCCATTAGTTGCTTTTGCCCCAAACCTAAATTCATCCCTGTGACATCTCTGGTGATTACTAATACAGCAGTAGAGTCTGCATGCTTGGGCTTGTTTCACCAATATTTTTGTTTTGTCAAATGCCTCTTGTTCTATTTATGTCATCTCATTTTTTACCTGTCTTTATTAGGGTGTATAATGGGTGGAGTATTTGTGCCAGATGAGGAATGAATATCCTCCAGTAGCCCAGTAAACCTAGGAAAACCTGGAGTTGCTCTACTGTCTGGAGAGCAGACTACTATGCTATCTTATCAATGACGGCTTTGGGTATGTTTCACATCTTACCCAACCAGGTAACTCTCAGGAATTTGACAGGCATGCCAAGCCTCTGTATATTTTTGGGGTTGATTTTCTATCCCTCCTTCAGGCTGTCCAAAACAGTTTGTAGGATAGTCTCCAAATCTGTAAGAGACTCTAGGGTAGCATGTTATCATTAATATAGTGAAACAGGGAGACCAAGGCAGGCAAAGAGATTATAGACAGCTCCTGTGTAACCATACTGTGAGAGATGGCGGGGCTTTGCAGATGCCCCTGTGGTGACACCTGGAAAGTCCATTCTTGGTCCTCCTAAGTGTAGACCAACTGGTCTTGTGAATCTTCAGCTGAAAGAATACTGGAAAAGGTATTAATGCAGTCAGTCACAGAATGGATACTTCCCAGCTTCGGTACTGCTTGCTCTAGCAGTTGAGCAATATTGGATACAGCTGCATGTACAGGGCGTACCACTTTGTTCAGCTAGCGGTAATCCACCATCATCTTCCAGGAATCACCTGGCTTCTTCACAGGCCAAACAAGGCTGCTGTAGGGGCTCTGGACCAGTCTGACTATTTGTACCTTATGTACTTTCTGGATTGTTTGGGTGATTTCAGAGTGCCCCCCCAATAGCAGGAAGTATTGTTTCATGTTCATTACCTGCAAGGATACAGGTGCATATTTGGCCCATCCCCTTTTTGCTTTCTCTGTGGACCTGATCGTTATTTTTATCCAGCTCACTGAGGTCTGCCAATGCTTCCCCCCATCACAGATTTCATTTCCCACTAAGAGGCTCAGAAGTGTTGTCTGAAATTGGTGGGTTCTATGGTCTCACTGACTTCAACAATGAAACCGCAAACCCTCACAGGGAGTGTCACAGCTCTAAAGTTCGCGGGCGTGGAGTCTGTCCCTTCTGATGTTCAGATGTGTCCGCAGTTTCTTTTTTCTGGTGGGGTCATGGTCTTGCTAGCTCAGGAGTGAAGCTGCAAACCTTTGCAGTGAGTGTTATACCTCATAAAAACAGCGTGGACCCAAAGAGTGACCAGTTGGAAAATTTACTGCGCATAATGAAAAAAACAACGCTTTCACAGTGCAGAAGAGACAACCCAGCGGGTTGCTAATGCTGGTTCGGGCAGCCTGCTTTTATTCTTTTATCTGGCCCCACCCACATCCTGCTGATTGGTAGAGCCGAGTGGCCTGTTTTGTCAGGGCGCTGACTGGTGCGTTTACAATCCCTGGGCTAGATACAAAGGTTCTCCTCGTCCCCATTAGATTAGTTAGATACAGAGTTTCCACATACAGGTTCTCCAAGGCCCCACCAGAGCAGCTAGATACAGAGTGTCAATTGGTGCACTCACAAACCTTGAGCTAAACACAGGGTGCTGATTGGTGTGTTTACAAACCTTGAGCTAGATACAGAGTGCCGATTGGTGTATTTGCAATCCGTGAGCTAGACATAAAGGTTCTCCACGTCCTCACCAGGGCAGCTAGATACAGAGTGTCGATTGGTGCACTCACAAACCTTGAGCTAAACACAGGGTGCTGATTGGTGTGTTTACAATCCCTGAGCTAGATAAAAAGACTCTCCACGTCCCCACCAGACTCAGGAGCCCAGCTGGCTTCACCTAGTGGATTCCGCACTGGGGCTGCAGGTGGAGCTGCCTGCCAGTCCTGCGCCCTGCACTCGCATTCCTCAGCCCTTAGGTGGTCGATGGGACTGGGTGCCGTGGAGCAGGGGGTGGCGCTCGTCCGGGAGGCTCGGGCCGCACAGGAGCCCACGGAGGGGGGTGGGAGGCTCAGGCATGGCGGGCTGCAGGTCCCGAGCCCTGCCCCGTGGGAAGGCAGCCAAGGCCCGGCGAGAAATCGAGCACAGCGCCGGTGGGCCGGCACTGCTGGGGGACCCAGTACACCCTTCGCAGCCACTGGCCCGGGTGCTAAGTCCCCCATTGCCCGGGGCCAGCAGGGCTGGCTGGCTGCTCCGAGTGCGGGGCCCACCAAGCCCACGCCCACCCGGAACTCCAGCTGGCCCGCAAGTGCGGCACACAGCCCTGGTTCCCGCTCGTGTCTCTCCCTCCACACCTCCCTGCAAGCTGAAGGAGTGGGCTCCGGCCTTGGCCAGCCCAGAAAGGGGCTCCCACAGTGCAGTGGGGGACTGAAGGGCTCCTCAAATGCCACCAAAGTGGGAGCCCAGGCAGCGGAGGTGCCGAGAGCAAGCGAGGGCTCTGAGGACTGCCAGCACGCTGTCACCTCAGTGTGACCAATGCCCTATATTATAAATGCCATTTTTTGAATTGGAAATGATCCAGACATTCAACAAGTACTTAAAACAATTTTAAGGTTTTAAACTACACAAAAAGTTCACCCGTAAGCATTTATCTCTTACATTTACTCAATTTATTCATTTTTAGCAGTTTACCTAGATTACTCATTGGAACGAAGACATTAGACAAAGTTACTCATCATTCTGAATTATTTTTTCTGTTAAACTGTGAATGTCAGGTGTTCACCTAGGCAAGAACTTTAAAGTTAAACACATGGGCATTTTTGCCAATAACTCAGGAATTTTAGCTGTTTTCACTGACCTAACAATATTAAATTAGTCATACTTACCAAAAAATCACACAAATAAAGATCATTCTGTTTTTGGCTGGGTTTACAGACTTATGATCTTTAGGTCAAACCCTGACACCTTAAAATATCTAGCAGAGGCAAATGTAAAACTAATTGGTAAACTGAGACAAAAACGTATGCTGACAATTCAAGGACATTTCTATTTTTATTTTACCAATAATTTTAAAGCCAGATTATTTATTAAAGATTACTAAATTCATATGAACTTGAAAAGCATTTGGACTTTATGAGTACTCATTTATGTATAAGCCATTTGGTAGTATGCTAGGCATAACACATAATATATATACATACACATAAACACATTTAAGCATGTATCTATACACACAAACCAATATCCAACAGCTTTTACTTGGAACTCTAGCCATGAGACAACATCATAAATTTACTATTTTACAAAAGATAGTTGGATCAGGCCGGGTGCAGTGGCTCAAACCTGTAATCCCAGCACTTTGGGAGGCCGAGGCAGGAGGATCACCTGAGTTCAGGAGTTGGAGACCAGGCTGGCTAACATGGTGAAACCCCGTTTCTACTAAAAATACAAAAAAGTAGCTGGGAGTGGTGGCGCACCCCTGTAATCCCAGCTTCTCAAGAGGCTCAGGCAGGAGAATCACTTGAACTTGGGAGATGGAGGTTGCACTGAGCCGAGATCTCACCGTTGCACTCCAGCTTGGGCAACAAGAGTGAAACTCCATCTCAAAAAAAAAAAAAAGGAAAAAAAAAAAAAGAAAAGCTAGATCCAAATTATTTTTCACAAAATTGAGACCTGTCCACAAGACTAGACTTTGTTTGCACTGATAGGTAATCCAATAAAGACTGTGGAACACAATTTTGGGTAAAGCAGTTTCTATAGCAGTTTGATTTTTAAAATCCTCATTTATCCACATCCCCTTTTTTCTGTGCTTCAAATGAGTTTCATTGTTTACATTTTAGTAAGAACTGGCTGTACTGTAGAGAAAAGTAAAATCTCCGAGTGGCTTTGAATTAGTGAGTTTTATTTCAACACCAATAGCTTAATAATGGCATATTTGAGTGTTGGGGTGATCAGACCCAACACCAGGTCGTGGGGGCGACAAAGTCCTGCAGAGTCACAGAAATGAGAAAAAGACAGTTTGAGAGAGAAAGTGGGACTAAGTGGCCATCACGAGTGTGGAGGCTGCGAAGGCCCTGAGCTCTGGGAGCCCACGCTATTTATTGGTGCTCAAACAAACAGGTAGTGAAGATGTGGGGGTTGAAAGGAAATGGTGTATCAAGTGAAAGAGAAACATATGGCTACTTTAGATAATGGGAGTGCTAAAAGCAAGGAGCCAGCAAGTCTAGCAGACATACAAGTCCTGTTGTCTCCCAACACTCAGCTTCTCTCCCAACATTCGAGGCTGGGCGCAGTGGCTCACACCTGTAATCTCAGCACTTTGGGAGGCCGAGGTGGGTGGATCACAAGGTCAGGAGTTCGAGACCAGCCTGGCCAATATGGTGAAACCCCATCTCTACTAAAAATACCTGGGCGTGGTGGTGGGTTCCTGTAATCCCAGCTACTCGGGAGGCTGAGGCAGGAAAAGAGCTTGAACCCGGGAGGCGGAGGCTGTAGTGAGCTGCACTCCAGCCTGGGTGACAGAGTGAGAATCTGTCTCTAAATAAATAAATAGCATATTCAAAATAAGCAGAAACAAAAATAAAGAGAGAAATAGCTTTAGGAGACTCTACTTAACTCTATAGTTGCAGCTTAACCATTTAAAATCCGCATTTTTTTTGTTGTAATTTCCCCATCAGTTAAAAAATGTGCACAAGAAAGGGCCATACATAATAGGTAACCAGCTGGAGTCCTAAAAAAGCTGGCATGCTTTGAACTTCTGCAGGTGTTTCTATCCTTTCTCTGTTTCCTGCTCTAATGATTTCTCAGGGGCCAGCCTTATTGCAACAATAGCACATTTGCTATCCTTATCCTACTTTGATATCTTAGCCTCTTGCAATATGCGCTTAGTCCCCGCCACATTTTCTGAGTATCCCTATACTTCCTCAGCAGTCCACAAAGGTTGAGCGATGGAGCAATTCCACCCCACCTGCATGTTGCCGACCACCCCAGGATTCCCCCTGCAGATGCCCTTTCCTGACTCATTGTTTGGTCTCTCAGATCCTGTTTGTGATGCCAATTGTTATGAGCAAAACTTGGGACTGTAACGTCCCCCTAAATTGGGAAGCAGCCAACAGACCAAAGAATGACTTGGACACGTACAGCTTGACAAGTAAGATGAATTTATTAGGACTTACACACAGGGTACTCCTGGATGTAGCAGGACAGCTCCAGAGATCCATGCAGCCTCCTGTCTCTAAATGGCTTTTTTTTTTTTTTTTTTTTTTTACCAAGTCTCGCTCTGTCTCCTAGGCTCGAGTATAGTGCTGCCATCTCGGCTCACTGCAGCCTCCGCCTCCTGGGTTCAAGTGATTCTCCTGCCTCAGCCTCCCGGGTAGCTGGGATTACAGGCACCCGCCACCCCATCCTGCTAATATTTGTATTTTTAGAAGAGACTGGGTTTCACTATGTTGGCCAGGCTGGTCTCGAACTCCTGGGCTCAAGCAATCCACCCACCTCGGCCTCCCAGAGTGTGGGATTACAGGCATGTGCCACCGCACCCAGCCTCTAAACTGCTTTTAAGCTTATTTTCTGGCTATTTGTCTACTGTGTTTGAGTGATGAGACTGTTTTTCTTAGTAGGTTCCTAGATACTCTCCCGGATGTTTGGGTTCTTAGGGACACCTACTCTTTGGCTGGGCACCATGGCCTTGGCTCACCACCTGGCTTTCAGGATTCAGGCAGTGGACATACATCCTTACCTAATCTGGTGGGGGATTCATCACACTACGGAAGGGAAAAGAGGAAACCCATGAGGTGAGAGGCAGCGTGCTGGGTAGTGGAGCCTCAAGGATGCTCAGGATTTGGATGCTCAGATCTGGATGTGTCCCAGGTCCCCAATGCATCTGTGCTTCCTCCAGGTACTAGAGAAGAATGAATGCCCCTTACTCTAAAGTGAGGCAACAGAAGGTGTCAATCCTTCGAGTTCAGTTGTTCACAAAGCATAGGTCCATCAGAATCATCTGGATGACTTGTTGAAACATATTGGAACATCCTTTGGGAATTTCTGATTTAGTGGACCTGGGGTAGGGCCCAAGAATTTGCAGTTCTAACAGGTTTCCAGATTATACTGATGGTGATCCATGGACCAAATTCCAGAACCTCTTACAAGAGACCCAGCTTGTCTTGTCTGAGACTTTTGTGACTCACTGAGTCTCTGAATGGGCTCAGCATTTTCTCAGGTGCATCTCTTAAACTGTATGTTTGAAGTTCGTTAGTCACATACAGCTGCTCTTTGAAACTGTCATAAGGAAGCCAACCCATCTGGTTGTCAGAGAGCAGTGTTAAATGCTCACACAAGAGGCAAGGCTGCATAGGGTTGGGCAGCTCCAGTTGCAGAAGGAAACACCAATTTAGCATGTTTGCTTTCTTGCTTTTTTTGCCTGCTTATTTTTAGCATATCTAGTTGAGAATCCAAAACAACAACAAAAAAAGACAAGACAGACCACAGACAAATGTGTACACTTTACAAGATTCTCAAGACAACAACAGCAACAAAGTTTCTGAGTTTATGAATCTAAGTAGCATTTTACTCCCAGGATCTGAAGTTCAAGTTCTGATCCCTGTGCACCCAAATTACGTCTTTCTCCTCCAGGTAGAAAGCTATCAAAATCCAGCTTTTTCCTGGGCACGCTCTTTATAGCATATGCAGCTGACTCTTCTGCTACTGGCACACTGCTATTGGATAAAAAGAAGTCTTGGCTGGGCACAGTGGCTCACACCTGTAATCCCAGCATTTTGGGAGACCAAGGCAGGTGGATCTCCTGAGGTCAGGAGTTGGAGACCAGCCTGGCCAACATGGTGAAACCCTGTCTCTACTAAAAATACAAAAATTAGCCTCGTGTGGTGTGGCAGGCGCCTGTAATCCCAGCTGCTAGGGAGGCTGAGGCAGGAGAATCGCTTGAACCTGGGAGATGGAGGTTGCTGTGAGCCGAGATTGCACCATTGCACTCCAGCCTCAGCGATAAGAGCTAGACTCCAAAGAGCGAAACTCCGTCTTTAAAAAAAAAAAAAAAAAAAAAAAAAAGTCTCAAGCGCAGAACCGTGAAAAAGCTAAAGTTGTTATACAATTGGAGAGCGAATGATTCAACATTTTGTTAATCATTGACCTTATTCTCTGTCCTACTCTAAGGAGGGCATAATGTGTGTCTCCTGCAATCGGTCATAGGAATAATGCTTAAGGTCTAAACTAGCAGAGACTTGAGTGACAAAAAACAAAGAAGGAACCTATTTGAACTGGAGAAAGAAGGTGGATGCTGCAGGATTGAGAGACTTTATGGATTTTAAAAGAAACAAAGATGGAGAGTGTCCTCAGGAAACACACACACACACACACAGGTAGTGTAAGAGATGGATGTTGCCTTTCACCAAACTATTAAGTAGAGAAGGAGAAGCAGGAATTATGCTTGTTTGTTTGTTTTTATTTGTGGGAAGTAGGATGGTATCCAGAAGGGGATGAAGCTGTTTGGTTTTGGACAAGAATTTAAAATACTTAAAGGCAACTTCATGGAAATGTCTGATAAACATGATCTGTGGATCGGCCATTGCACTCCAGCCTTGGTGACAGAGCGAGACTCCGTCTCAAAAAAACAAACAAAAAAATAAGTTGGTAAGGATATATTTTTTTGTCCATGTTCTGTTTCAACTTATGTAGATTATTATAAATTGATGTAACCCACGTGAGAGGAAAATGTGAATATAAAAATGCAAAGCCCTAACATTTACTCACACACATACACACACATACACAAATCTTCTGAAATTTCATTATTTTCCCCTTTTCTCCCATTAAAGACAGACCTATTATTATCTAGGGACAGTGAAAATGAGAAAAGGAGAATAAAAGGGAACAAAATGGAAGAGAGGAAGCTAAGCACATATTTCTGGGTATATTTTGCAGAAGACACAGGATGCAAAGTACAAGTGGAAGAGAAAGTGGGGATGGAGCCAAAGTTGAGACAAAAAAGGGGGCAGAAATAAAAGAAGGAAAATGGAGCCAGTCAGAAATTGCCCTTCTCTGAGCAGAAGAAACTGTAGAGAATAGTTCTGAATGATAACCAGGTAAAGGAGATCAGAAATAGAGTGGGAAGCAGGTTAGGAGGCTTAACATTTTCAGGTTAGCAAGGTGAGATTTAAAAGGAGAGGAAAAAACATCTCCATGAACTCTCAGTACTTATTTTTATTTTAGAATTAGAACCCTGTGAGAAAGCTGACAATTGTATTTTAGCTCACAAAGATCTCAAACCCTAATATTGTCACTATCCAGGATCTAAACCTTTTAGCTCTGTTGTGGCCTCTCTGGAGGAAGGATTAGGACCATGAATCATGGTATCATCCACATCTGTCCTTGGGCAGTTCTAGAAGATGTCCTAAGCCCCAGGTGACCTGATTCCAATTCATTAAAAAGGTGAGCCACATATATTCTTTCAACAGTAAGTGTCCCAATGCTGATGATGAAGATGAGAAAATATCTTCCAGTAGCTTAACTTTTTTCAGTTTCAATACTTTCAATATATCCAGTTTCAATAGTTGCATATAACTTCAAATATTTGGCTTTAATTGAAAATGTTCACCAAACTTTGAAAATGGGGAGAGAGAGTTGCACATATTATACACAATATGTATGTGTATTGCATCAAACACTTATAATGTGTCTTGTACAGGTTCCAGTTTCCAGTTATTTAAAGGGATTAAGAACTTCAAGACTGAATCTGAGTGGAGACTCTGACATATAAATACAGACTTATCCAATTGGGATCATACTGCATATGTTTTTATTATTTGCTTTATTCTCAACATTGTATTCAGAACATCTTCCCATGTTATCAAAAATTATTTTAGAACAGAGAATCCTCTTCAGTTTTTACATTTGTCCTTGTACTTGTTCATCATGGCGATATTATGTTTTGTTAATGGTTGCTGCATAGATAGGGCGCAGTGGCTGGTTCTTGTAATCCCAGCACTTTGGAAGAGACGGGTGGGTCTCTTGAGTCCAGGAGTTCCAGAGCAGCTTGGGCAGCATGGCGAGACCCCAGCTATACAAATACAAAAAAATTAGCTGGGCGTGGTGGCGCGCGCCTGTAGTCCCAGCTACTCAGGAGGCTGAGGTGGGAGGATCCCTTTAGCCCAGGAGGTCGAGGCTGCAGTGAGCCGTTATAGCGTCACTGCACTCCAGCCTGGGTGACAGAGTGAGACCCTGTCTCAAAAATAATAATAGGCTGGGCGCAGTGGCTCACGCGGTAATCCCAGCACTTTGGGAAGCCGAGGAGGGCGGATCACTTGCAGTCAGGAGTTCCAGACCAGCCATGGCCCAACATGGTGAAATCCCGTCTTTACTAAAAATGCAAAAATTAGCCGGGTGTGGTGGCGCATGCCTGTAGTCTCAGCCATTCGTGAGGTTGAGGCAAGAGAATTGCTTCCTGGAGGCGGAGGTTGCAGTGAGCCCAGATCGTGCCACTGTGCACTCCAGCTTGGGTGACAGAGCAAGACTCTGTCTCAAAAACAAAACAACAACAACAACAAAATAATAATAATAATTGCTGTATCTTTAGGCAATCTTTGCAGTTTTTGCAGTAGATGTTAAGCTACCTTTCTAAAATGCAGTGGGACATTTTGTTGTTTTTGTGTTCTGCAACAGTTTATGTAAACCTGTATTGGAATGACAAGAAGTACGATATTATTCCAAATCTTGTACTCATGCTAGTTCATATCCTATGCCACTCTGTGGTCTCTTCCTCATCAATGTCCCTTCCTCATCGATGTCCCTGGGTTCCTGAGCAAAGCCTAAAGTAAGACACTCTAAAAATTTTGACTGAATATTCGGCAATAATTTGAGCTTGGTCTTAACCCCAAAGAAAATACTATAGAAGAAAACACTAGGAAAAATAGAAGTTGATGGGATTCTTTGTTGACGAGTGTAGTGTTCAGGAAGGGAGAGATTTTGCTCGGATTTCATTGTGTTAGAATAACATGTCATTTTCAAGGAACCAAAATCATACTGTGTAATGGACAGACCGGTGTTATAGTTCTACTTAAGGGTTGGACGTTTCACATCTTTCCTATCCCATCCACACTTTTGGTGACTGTGGGGTTCCCCCCAAACACCCTATTGTTCTGTGCATTAATCCACAGCGAGCTGGTGACGCGTTTTTGTCAAGACCAAATCAAACTTGGGAAGTCTTCAAGTCAGGAATGGAAGTCACTAAGCTCCATGTAAATAAACAGTATATGTGAACTGAATAACCTACTTTGTTCCGGCCTTACGCCAACCCTGCACTTCCAACAGAACCATCTTTGAAGTTTCCTGGCCATCACTGCCCCGCTTCCAGCGTCGCCATCATTCCTTTCACACACCCCACTTGCCGAAAGTACGTTCTGTGCGCTCTCTCACCCTCCTCTTGATTGTTTTCCCTAAGGGGTGCAGCATCAGTTCAGAACTGAAAATCTCCCTATCCCACTTCTCGAAGCCATTAATCAGAGATTTCAACAGGGTTCACCGCTGATGACCCATCTAACTGCTCGTCCTCTCACAGTTTCTGACAACTGTGTATTAGTATTTGCAAGTTTTGGAAGGTGTTGTAAATAGTTTTTAACTGTTAGTGAATTTTAATTTCAAACGAGGAACTTTTTATTAAGCTGGATCTTTGAAGTCAGCACTTAAAAAGCCCCCTTCCCCACCATGTTACATTCCCTTTGTGTGCTATATAAGCATCTGTCTTTGGCGGTTGGCCGCGTGGCCTAATGGATAAGGCGTCTGATTCCGGATCAGAAGATTGAGGGTTCGAGTCCCTTCGTGGTCGTCGTTTTGCGTTCTCTGGTTCGAAAGATATTTGTTGATTCAGAGCATTTTCCCTTTTCTTGCTCCGGTCTGGCTGCCAATTAACAACTAAAGGTAGAAGTCTTATTTAACGAGTATATACGGTGTGCCTGCCCTGTGACAACTGCTTTATAAAAGAACAAAGCAGAAATAGCACTTGGCCTCAAAGAGCTTACTTTCTACTGGATCTAACAGTTGAAATCAAGCAAACGCTGGGAAGAAAAAAAAAATTGTTTCCACTCCTGTGAAAAAAAGAAGTACGAGGATAAAATAAAAAAATAAGGGATGGGGACTTCTTTAGGAAGCATCCACCCTCCTGGAGGTCCTGAAGAAATGCTATTTAGCTGAAAAATGAGTATTTTTCAGGCAGAAGGAATAGCATTTGTTAATTCACTGAGAATCTGAAATCACTAAGTATTTTCAAAGTTCAGGTTGCTGAACTCTTGTGTGTATGTGTTTGGAGCTGGGGGTGGGTGGGGGCGGGGGAAGGAGTGGAAATCACTACAGAGAAAAATCAACAAAAAGGGATAAAGGGAATTAAATTTCTGGGAACAAGATCTCTCACAGAGATTCTCTATGGCTGAGACTCTGAACATGGTTTAAAATTAGTGTTCTCCAGATTTTCACTAACTACCAAAAAAGGTAACTGTCATCACCTGGCAAATCGTCATCACTTAAGCCTAAAGGCAGAAACCACCAAAAGCTTTAATCCAAACTGAGCTGTCCTCTAGTGCAACCTGTATTAGAGTAGTCATGATAGGTTGAATTTTTGCAAGTGGGCCAATGCCATAAATTGATCTGAACATTACTGCAAAGAAAGCACAGTGAGAGCAGGATCAAGCAAGTTTTCATCATTTTTAATTGAGCTCCAGTCGCTTCTTGAGGAAAAGAAAGCTAAAATTGATTCTCAAGAACATTTGTTTCTGTGAGAATATGTGGTAACTGAATAAGAATTCTTTAAAAAGAAACAACGCAATTCCCAGATTTAACACCAACGCCAGTTAACATTTACCGAATGCATACACTGTAGCTGCACTATTCCAACTATGAGAAATATATTAATAGTCTTCTTTTACAGATGTAGAAACTGACACCTAAAAGGGTATAACACATTGCCCAACACAACTAATAAAGGGTAAAGCTGGAAACTTAACCAAAATATTAAGTTATTTCTGGAGCACAAGTCTCAATGTTTAGAACAAATTTTTATTGTTTAATGGCACGATGCAGTGTGGTAAAATATATATAACATAAAATGTCACTTTAACTTTTTTTTTTTTTTTGAGACAGAGTTTTGCTTTGTCGCCAGGCTGGAGTGCAGTGGCGCGATCTGGGCTATCTCGGCTCATTGCAACCTCTGCCTCCCGGGTTCAAGCGATTCTCCTGCCTCAGTCTCCCGAGTAGCTGCGAGTACAGGCGCATGCCACCACGCCCAGCTAATTTTTTCTACTTTTAGTAGAGACGGGGTTTCACTGTGTTAGCCAGGATGGTCTCCATCTCCTGACCTCGTGATCCACCCGCCTCGGCCTCCCAAAGTGCTGGGATTACAGGCGTGAGCCACCGCACCCAGCCCTTGTTTTGGCATTTTAAAGAGACAGGGTCTCATTCTCACTGCAGTCTTGAACTCCTGGGCTCAAAGAATCCTCCTGCCTCAGCCTCCCGTGTAACTTAAACTACAGTCATGTGTCACAACACCTGGCTAATTTTTAATTTTTTGTAGAGATGTGGGGGGCAGCATGGACTCACCATGTTACTCAAGCTGGTTTTGAACTCCTGGTCTCAAGCAATCCTCCCGCCTTGACTTCCCAAAGTCCTTGGATTACAGGCATGAGCCTCAGCCCCTCACCTTTTGTCTTTTTGAAATCGCCTATTCTAGATATTTCATATAAGTGGAGTTATACAGTACTTGTGTCCTTTCATACCTAGCCTATTTCATCACTAAGCAAAATGTTTTCAAGTTTCATCCATCTCACAGCATATACCAGCATATATCCCATATTGTATGTATATTCATTTTTTAAAATTTCTTATATTTTGATGCCTATTCTGCTTACGCAGTTTTATTTTTGTTATTTTGCTTATCTGCTCATCTGTTGATGGCTGGATTCTCCTTTTAGCTATTATGAATGATGCTGCAAAGAACATTGGATTACAAGGATCTGTTTGAGTCTCTGCTTTCAATTCTTTTGGGTATACACCTAGAATTGCTAAGTCATATGCTACACCCATGTTTAGCTTTTTAAGGGAACCACCAAACCGGTTTCCACAGTGGCTTTATCATTTTACATTCTCACCAACAATGCATGAAAGTTCCAGTTCATCCACATCTTCACCAACACTTTTTCATTGGCCATTTTCCTGATTATAGCCATCCAAGAAAGTTTGAAATGGTACCCTACTTTGGTTTTGATTTGCATTTCCCCTAGTGAATAAAGACAGAGTACTTTCCAAGTGCTTATTGCCTATTTACATATTTTGTTTGGAGAGGTGTCTATTTGAGTTCTTTGTGCATTTAAACTGAGTTGCCTTGTTGATTTTCAGTTCTAAGGTTTGGTTTTTGTTTTTTTGGATATATCTGGATGTTAGACCCTTATCAAACATGTAATTTCCAAGACATTTTCACCAATTCTATGTGCTCTTTTAACACTGCCTAATGTCCTTTGATGCACAAAAGTTTCTTTTGATTAAATTCCATTTATCATCTATTTGTTGTCTTTCAGATGGAGCTGTCACCCAGGCTGGAATGCAGTGGCATGATCTAAGCTCACTGCAGCCTCTACCTCCAGGTTCAAATAATTTTTCTGCCTCAGCCTGGTGTCCAGAATTGGTGGGTTCTTGGTTTCACTGACTTCAAACATGAAGCTGCAGACCCTCGTGATGTTATTTTTTAAAGACAGTGTGGTTGGAGTTTGTTCTTTCTGATGTTCACCCATGTTCTGAGTTTCTTCCCGCTGGTGGGTTCCTGGTCTGGCTGGCTTACAAGGAGCGAAACATGCAGACCTTCAGCATAAGTGTTGCAACTCTTAAGATGGTATGTCTGAAGTTGTTCATTTCTCCTGATGCGCTCATGGTTCTTGCCGGTCTCAGGAGTGAAACCGCAAATCTTCACAGTAAGTGTTACAGCTCACACAGGAAATACAAACCTCAAAAAGCAAGCAGCAGCAAAATTTATTACAAAGAACATAAAGAACAAGGTTCCCACAACAGAGAGATCGACTCCGAGTAGGTTATCGTGGCTGCTCCGCGCAGCCTGCTTTTATTGCCTTATCTGGCCCCACCCACATTCTGCTGATTGGTCCATTTTACAGAGAGCTGATTGGTCTGTTTTACAAAGAACTGATTAGTCTGTTTTGACAGGGTGCTGATTGGTGTGTTTACAGTCCCTGAGCTAGACACAGAGTGCTGATTGGTGCATTTACAATCCTTTAGCTAGACATAAAGGTTCTCCAGGTCCCCACTAGAGTTGCTAGATTCAGAGTGCTGATTGGTGTATCCACAAACCCAGAGCTAGACACAGAGTGCTGACTGGCACATATACAATCCTCTAGCTAGCCATAAAAGTTGTCCAAGTCCGCACCCGCCTCAAGAGCCCAGCTGGCTTTGCCTAGTGGATCCCGCACTGGGGCCACGGGCAGAGCTGCCCGCCAGTCCCGTGCCACGCACCTGCACTCCTCAGCCCTTGGGCGGTCGATGGGACCGGGCGCCGCGGAGCAGGGGGCGGCGCCCATCAGGGAGACTTGGACCGCAAGGGAGCCCACGGGTGGGAGGGTCGGGGGCGGGCTGGGGCATGGCGAACTGCAGGTCCCGTGCCCTGCCCCATGAGGAGGCGGCTGAGGCCCGGCGAGAATTCGACCGCAGCGCGGGCGGACGGGCAGTGCTGGGGGACCTGGCGCCCCCTCCGCAGCTGCTGGCCCAGATGATAAGCTCCTCACTACCCGCGCTCAAGACACCAGTCCGCACTAGCTCATGGTTTGTGGATGCACCAATCAGCACTCTATCTAGCTAACCTGGTGGGGACTTGGAGAATCTTTAGGTAAGGAGTGTGAATACACCAATCGGCACTCTGTATCTAGCTAACCTGGTGGGGACTTGGAGAATCTTTATGTCTTGTAGCTAAGGGTTTGTGAATGCACCTAATCAGCACTCTGTATCTAGCTCAAGGTTTGTAAACACACCAATCAGCACCTTGTGTCTAGTTCAGGGTTTATGAATGCACCAGTCAGCACTCTGTAACTAGTTAACCTGGTGGGGACTTGGAGAATGTTTATGTCTAGCTAAGGGATTGTAAATACACCAGTCAGTACCCTGTATTTAGCTCAAGGTTTGTAAATACACTTTGCGTCTAGCTCAGGGTTTGTAAATACACCAATCACACTCTGTATCTAGCTAATCTAGTGGGGACTTGGAGAACTTCTGCGTCTCGCTCAGGGATTGTAAACGCACCAATCAGTACCCTGCCAAAACGGACCAATCAGCTCTCTGTAAAATGGACCAATCAGCAGGATGTGGGTGGGGCCAGATAAGAGTATAAAAGCAGGCTGCCTGAACGGTGGTGGCTGTTTGGTTAATGCTTTCTCCACATTGTGGAAGGTTTGTTTTTTTTGCTGTTTGCAATGATTCCTGCTGCTGCTCGGTTTTTGCATGCGCATTGCCTTTGTGGGCTGTGATAATTGCTGTGAAAGTCTGCAGTTTCATTCCTGAAGCCAAGGAGACCATAAACTCACTGAGAGGAACCAATGACTCCAGACACACCGTCTTAAGAGCTGTAACAGTTACTGCCAAGATTGGTAGCTTTCCCGAGTCAGCGAAACCACGAACCCACCTGAATGGAATGAAACTCTGAACATATGCAAACATCAGAATGAACAAATTCCCCACACACTGCTCTTCAGAACTGCCACACTCACGGCCAGGGTCCATGGCTTCATTCTTGAAGTCAGTGAGATCAAGAACCCACCAATTCCTTGGCACATTAGGATCACAGGTGTTGAGCCACGGTTCCTGGATGCGTGGAGATTTCTAATGGTTGTACCTGTTGTATTTATGCTACATACTACAACATATATGTATACTATAATGTTTATAATGCCTGAACCCCACCCATAAAAATGAACATGCCATAACCTGGTCATTGTGAGAACCATAAGTGTACCCAAATACATCGTAGTAGGTAGCAATGCCCTGGCTAAAGACTACTGCGTGTTAGTACAGGTAAAGAATTAGCACAGATAAATTTTATTCAGTGCCCAAATAAAGTATTTTAAGGCTCAAGTGGGGCCAGGCACGGTAGCTAACACCTGTAATCCCAGCACTTTAGGAGGCCGAGGCGGGTGGATCACGGGGCCAGGAGATCATGACTATCCTGGCTAACACGGTGAAACCCCATCTCTACTAAAAATAAAAAAATTAACTGGGTGTAGTGGTGGGCGCCTGTAGTCCCAGTCCCAGCTGCTTGGGAGACTGAGGCAGGGAGGGGAAGGTTGCAATGAGCTGAAATCTCGCCATTGCACTCCAGCCTGGGCAACAGCGAGACTCCATCTCAAAAAAAAAAAAAAAAAAAAACTCAAGTGTTGTACTCCATAGTTTCCCTTTAATGAAAAGCTGATTGCTTTTTTGAAGAGAACTTCGTATTTTTTATCTCAGAGTTTCCTTTTAAAAGAAGCAGGCCAGGCGCGGTGGCTCACGCCTGTAATCCCAGCACTTAGAGGCTGAGGCAGGTGGATCACGAGGTCAGGAGTTCAAGACCAGCCTGGCCAAGATGGTGAAACCCCGTCTCTACTAAAAATACAAAAAATTAGCCTGGCATGGTGGCACGCGCCTGTAATCCCAGCTACTCCGGAGGCGGAGAATTGCTTAAACCTGGAGGGGCGGAGCTTGCAGTGAGCCGAGATCGCACCACTGCACTCCAGCCTGGGTGACAGAGCGAAACTCCGTCGCAAAATAAATAAATAAATAAAAAAGAAGCATATGTTAGTTTGTTTCCACAGTAAGTGAAGACAGGCCATGTCACAAAAAGACGGGGAACAACACTGGACTGTAGCTCGTAGACAAAGGAAACCTTGAGAAGTTTAACACTGTATCATAGTTTTAGACAGAACACAATAATTACATTGTTAGAACAAAGTACTTAAAGAACTGATGTTACTTTTTTTTTCTTTATTTAAGAGCATAACTTAACAATAGTCCCACTTGGTCAGGCCTATGATCCCCCCAGTCTATTACTGTATGATTCTGAAGCTGTGGGAGGAAGCAATGCCCTCCTACATATCAACTCATGAATTACATATACATCTTCAAAAGATCAGAGATTTCCATTTTAGCCATCTCGTCAATATTTCTACATAAGTTTAAAATACTTTTGTTTTCACTTTATGCCACTTCTTAAAACTGAATTTCAGCAAGTACACTATATAAGTCCAGGATTTAATTCTATTTATTTTAATTTAACTCATTTCAATAAACATTTATGGAATGCAAATGCCAATCACTATGCCAGCTACATGCATACAAAGATGAGGAAGAACCATCTGGTTCCCTTTCTCTCAATTTGTACCAACATCCCTAGATCTGTGTGACAGTCTGGGAATAGGACTACACATAGTGGTCCAGGTTTTGAACAGAGACAAGAAAACAATTTATTTCTTTTTTAATTTTTATTTTAGTTTTAGTTTTAGTTTTTTGAGGAGGGGTCTCACTCTGTTGCCCAGGCTGGAGTGCAGTGGCATGAACACAGCTCACTGCAACCTATTCCTCCTGGGCTCAAGTGATTCTCCCACCTCAGCCTCCCAAGTAGCCAGGATTACAGGCCTGCACCACCACGCCTAGCTAATTTATTTTTTGTAGAGACAAGGGTCTCACTATGTTGCCCAGGCTGGTCTCGAACTCTTCGACTCAAGTGATCCTCCTGCCTCAGCCTCTCAAAATGCTGTGATTACAGGTGTGAACCACTGCACCCAGCCGACAATTGATGTCTTAATACCTTTCAACTGATACCCAGTATTTTATAAGCTTTATTGGATATAGTGAGCATCTTTTCCTGAAAGAGAGAGCAGGGAATCACAAATATTACAAAGCTCTGTTTTCACAAAGGAAGTCTCAGGAGTGAGTGACCATTTCGCCTACCCTCTGAATATCAAAGTTTTCAAACATCTACAGGCTCACACAAAATACTCTTCATTTCCCATCTAAGAGTCGGGAACTTAGAACTGGTCACTGGGTGAGACTGACCCTTTCCTTAAGGAGGATAATGACTGAAAACACATTTATTTCTGCTAAAACAAGTTCTAGCCAACCCATTTCCTGGGCATGCTCTTGACAAATTTACTAATGTTAAGTGAGGCAAGAAGCTGCCATTCAAACATTTCAAAATTGTTATATTCAAAATATTTCCCTTCTATATCTACTCTCTAAAGGTCAATTACTAGAGAAACACAAAGTTTTACACGCATTCATCAGAGGTATATATCTTTTTTCTCTGATATGGGTTTTCTTTTTACTGTCTAAAAAGGTTCTGATGGGAAATAAGACCTTCATTTTGAGTAAAGCATTTTCCATATTCAGGGCAATGAGGAAGTCTTTCCCCTGTATGAATGTTGGGATAGTTAATGAAGTGTGAGCTCTCAATGCAGACTTCCCCAAATACTTAACTTTTATAAGACTTCTCTCTTGTGTGCAGTCTCTCATACGATGTCAGGCCTCCATTGTGACTAAAGCTTTCTCCACATTCCTTAAAGTGATAAGGTTTCTCTCAGTGTGTACTCTATGATGCTTAAGAAAGAGTGGGCTCTGATTAAAAGCTTTCCCATGCATAAGATATTTGTAGGGTTTCTCTCCAGTATGTATTCTCTGATGTTTGAGATGGTCAGAATTCTGAAGGTCTTATTGCATACATTACGCTTGTGGATTTCCCTCCAGTATGAAGCCTCTGATGTTTACTAAGATCTGAGCTCCAAATGAAAGTCTTGCCACACTGATCACATTCATAGTGTCTGTGAAAATACAGCTTCTATAATGCAGGCTTTCACGGTGAAGGCCCTTCTATGCTCATCACACTTATAAGGGTTCTCCCCAGTGTGGATCTTCTGGAGATAGAGGCTAGTGTTCCCACTGAAGGCTTGCCACAAACTTTGTATTTACAGGGTCTCTCTTCAGTGTGGATCCTTTGCTGTTGAATAAGATTTGATTTCTTAGTGAAGAACTGTCTACATTCATCACTTTTACAACCCCTCTTTCCCATAAGTATTTTGTTCAGTACAGTTTTCATGACTTCTCTATGATCTCTTTTTCCTGGGGTGAAAATGTTCTCTGTCTCACCAACAAAGGATTTTCTTAGTGCCTCTCATACCTGCCCTCAGGGTCACAAATGTTTTCAATTGCAGGATTTAACGGATCATCACTTTTCCATCTTCCCAGGAACAGTGAGTGAGATGCTACTTCTTCAGTACTTTTTGGAACCCTGAAGTCATGCTTAGCTTTCTAAACCTATACTCAGTCCAGGCATGGTGGCTCATACCTGTAATCCCAGCATTTTGGGAGGCTGAGGTAGGAGGATCACTTGAACCCAGGAGTTTGAGACCAAGCTAGGCAACATCATGAGACCCCATCTCTAAAAAAAAAAAAAAAAAAAAAAAAAAGCTGCTCATGGTGGTGTGTACCTGTAGTCCCAGCTACTCAGGAGGCTGAGATGGGAGGATTGCTTGAACCAAGAGGTCAAGGCTGCAGTGATTGTGCTATTGCACTCCAGCCTGTGCAACAGAGCAAGACTCTGTCTCAAAAATAATAAATAAACCTACACTCACCTTCTGAAATAAAACAACAAAAAATTATTTAAATTTCACTGCTAAATAAGAGCAGTAAGTTCTATTTCCCTTTCCTTCAACAGATTTGCAAATTTAGCTGTAAATGAAGGATTTGAACACACACAAATTCACACTAAACTCTAGTTTCAGTGTTTCCTATCTTGTTGGCTATATGACCTTAGGCAAGTCACATAACTTTGTGCATCTGTATCTTTGCCTACAAAACATGGACAACAGTTGCAACCTCAAAGGGTTATGAAAGCACACAAAACTGTGTCTGACACACTGTAAGCATTATTAAGTGTGAGTTGCTATTGTTACCATTGTTGTCACATCTCAGTATCCCAACATGTTGCTTATCTTAAATTGAAAAGGATTAAGAAATGTTACTTGCTATTTCTACAAATTCTTTCTTGGTTATTAAAATGTCATGTAAGTAGCTTTGTAGCAAGTCTTGTGTATAGTAGTTCCTTGCTATATACCTGGTATAAAGACGAATAAGATGCCCTCTTGAAGGCCACAACCTAGAGATGTCCTTCAGTTACAAGGCAGTGTGGTAAATACTATAAGAGTGAAGCATAAGAGCTTTGGGAGTGCAAAGAAGGAAACATCTAACTGCCTGAGAGAATCAAACAGAAAGTTTTGCAGCGGAATGGTTGATTGGCGTATCTTAAAACATAAATACAAATAGTCAGAAAAAGGGAAGGCAGTAAAAGCTTTCTAGATGGAAAGTATATACATACAAAGTTATTAAGGCACTTTTAAAATGGTACTTTCAGACAGTTGAGAACAGTTTGGTCTAGCTGGAACACAGATTGAATATGAAGGCGAAAGGAGATAAAGCTGAAAATGTAAGCTACATCATGAACAGTCTTGTTGCCAGGATAATGAATTGAACCATTAACAGATGCTAAGAATGTGTGTAGGCCAGGCACGGTGGCTCACGCCTGTAATCCCACCACTTTGGGAGGCTGACGCTGGTGGATCACGAGGTCAGGAGATCTAGACCATCCTGGCTAACACAGTGAAACCCTGTCTCTACTAAAAATACAAAAAATTAGCCGGGCGTGGTGGCAGGCGCCTGTAGTCCCAGCTACTCAGGAGGCTGAGGCAGGAGAATGGCGTGAACCCAGGAGGCGGAGCTTGCAGTGAGCCGAGATCGCCTCACTGCACTCCAGCCTGGTGACAGAGCGAGAATCCGTCTCAAAAAAAAAAAAGAAGGTGTGTGTAATATTAGCTTTCAGTTTTATGCAAGTCACTATAGTGACAGTGTGAAAGATGGTCTTCAAGGAGAAAATGGACAAGACTGGCCGGGCACGGTGGCTCACGCCTGTAATCCCAGCCCTTTGGAGGCCAAGGCAGACAAATCTCTTGCGGTCAGGAGCTCAAGACAGGCCTGGCCAACATTGTGAAAACCCGTCTCTACTAAAAATACAAAAATTAGCCGGGCGTGGTGGCACGGGCCTCCCAGCTACTCGGAAGACTTAGGCAGGAGAATCGTTTGAACCGGGGAGGCAGAGGTTGCAGAAAGCCGAGATCGCGCCACTGCACTCCTGGGATTGATTGATTGATTGATTGATTTAGACAAAAGGTCTCTGTTGCCTAGGCTGGAGTGCACTGGTGTGATCTCGGCTCACAGCAACTTACACCTCCCGGGTTTAAGTGATTCTCCCACCTTCGCCCCCTCGAGTAGCTGGGACTACAGGCACGCACCGCCACACCCAGCTAATTTTTGTATTTTCTGGTAGAGACAGGGTTTCACCATGTTGGCCAGGCTGGTCTCGAACTCCTGAGCTCAAGTGATTCGCCCACCTCAGCCTCCCAAAGTGGTGATCCTGGGTTTTAACCAGAATAGAGGACATACCACTACCCACTTATTGAACATATTCTAAATAAGTTTTCTTATCCTAAAATATTTTATATTCCAATATTGGAATCGCCTGAGTCCAGGGTGGTCAAGGCTGCAGTGAGCTATGATTGTGCTACTGCACTCCAGCCTGAGTGACAGAGTGAGACCCTGTATAAAAAGGAAGGAAGGAAGGAAGGAAGGAAGGAAGGAAAAGAAAAAAAATTATAGAAAATAGATTGTCGGTTGCCTGCAGGTTGGGGGAGGCTGAGAGATGGGGAGTGACTGCTAAGGAGTATTTTTTTTTACCTTGAGGTGATAAAAATGTTCTAACACTGATGGTGATAATGTTTGCACAACTCTGAATATTCTAAAAGTGATTGAATTGAATTGAATGGTGTGTAAATTATATCTCAATAAAGCTGGTAAAAATTTAGTGATTCAATAAAATCCTTTATTTGGTCAATGTACGGTATTCTGTCAGTTGAGACAAAAGTTAACATTCGAATTTAGATTTAGATTTTATATCTTCAGCTTCTTCTATCTAGAAAAGGCATTCACTAGTAATTATTAGGATGATTGTGCATTGTTATGTACAGATAACCGCAGTGACTTATCTGATAGTCCTTTAACAGACAGGAGTACTAGTGTAGTTACTTTGTTTTTATGTAACTAGGTAGGTCTTATGTAATGTCTTATTTGTCTGAATGAAAGATTATTGTGTCTTTAGCAGAGGAAAAGAGATAATCTCTCCGCACTGAAGATTATTTTAATGAGTAGTATAAGTAATGATATACACAAAATGGGAAATTATCTTGGCCTTAATGAACCATGTATTCTACATATAGAGTATAGAATACATGGCTTCTGTAAATAAAAGTTTCCAGTATTGGAATATAAAAAAATTTAGGATAAGAAAACTTATTTAGAATACATTCGATAAGTGGGTAGTGGTATGTCCCCTATTCTGCTTAAAACCCAGGATCACCACTTTGGGAGGCTGAGGTGGGCGAATCACTCAAGGTCAGGAGTTCGAGACCAGCCTCGTCAACATGGTGAAACCCTGTCTCTACTAAAAAATATAAAAATTAGCCAGGTGTGGTGGTGCACGCTTGTAGTCCCAGCTACTCGGGAGTCTGAGGCAGGAGAATCCTTTGAACCTGCGAGGCAGTGGTTGCAGTGAGCCAAGACAGCGCCATTGAACTTTAGCCTGGGTGATACAGCAAGACTCTGTCTCAAGAAAGAAAGAGAGAGAGAGAGAGAGAGAAAGAGAGACAGAAGGAAGAAAGGAGAGAAGGAAGGGAGGGAAAGAGAGAGAGAAAGAAGGAAGAAAGGAAGGAAAGAAGGAAGGAAGGAAGGAAAGAAACGCAATTTAATTCAGTTCAACTGCAGTTGAGCATTTGTGGGGGTGGGGGCGGGGTTGGGGTGAGGGGTTGGAGACAAGCCCAGGCTGGTCTTGAACTCCTCGCCTCATGTGATCCTCCCTCCTCAGCCTCACCCAAGTGCTGGGATTATAGGTGTAAACCACCGTGCCCAGCAGGACAGTCAAGAAAATTGAAACTGGAAAGTACCTTGGCCTTTTACCCCAAATCTACACAATTTTACACAGTGGCAGTGCTTTTTCCTCTAACGCTATAATAGAATTCTGCAGGAGAATTCTTTCAGGGAGTTCACCTTTTGTTTTATTAGAGAGCTAAGTAACCTTGGGAGGTTGGGCTGACTTTGGAAGCTTCTGGAAATAAATGGGGGTTTAACAGATATTAACTTCATCCCGCCTTACAGATAAATGCCATTTTACTTTGAAAAGCAGTAGGTGGGGGTAGGGGGCGAGAAATAGAAAATTCCATCAGTTTGGTGAAAGCTTTTAGAGGATAACGTACTCTGTTCCATGAAAGAATCAGAAATGTGAGCAATGCAGGGAGAAGTAAGGTAAATCCAGACAAGCAGGATGGATTCCAGATGAGAAACCATATCTTCCATAGTGAATTTTGAAATGAATTTAAAATCTCCTATTATATAATCTGCAGTTTACTTTGTTTTCTTGTTGGAGAAAGTGGTTTTTGGAGTCCAAGTATGCAGAGGGCACCTAGGATTCCAGAGTTAATGGGACTGAAGAGAAAAAAGCGTAACCTGACCCAGATTCTGCTGCTCACCGCTCCAAAGCCAAATGCTAGAGGGGAGGTTTGGTGGGAGGAAAAGCTGCTTTTAATCCGAAAGCCAGCAAACTGAGAAGATGGAACACTAGTGTTCTAAAGTACCACCTTAAAATTTAAAATTTACCATACGGTTTTTGTGTTTTTGTTTTTTTGTTTTTTGTTTTTTCCTGTGACAGAGTCTCACTCTGTTGCCCAGGCTGGAGTGCAGTGGTGCAATCTTGGCTCACTGCAACCTCCACCTCCCGGGTTCAAGTGATTTTCCTGCCTCAGCCTCCTGAGTAGCTGGGATTACAGGCATCTGCCACCACACTCAGCTAATTTTTGTGTTTTTAGTAGAGACAGGGTTTCACCATGTTGGCCAGGCTGGTCTCGAACTCCTGACCTCAAGTGATCCACCTGCCTCGGCCTCCCAAAGTGCTGGGATTACAGGCGTGAGCCACCACTCCAGGCCTACCATAGGGTTTTATTTATTTATTTATTTATTTATTTATTTATTTATTTATTATTTTTTTTGAGACGGAGTCTCACTCTGTTGCCCAGGCTGGAGTGCAGCGGGCAATGTCGGCTCACTGCAAGCTCCGCCTCCCGGGTTTAGGCGATTCTTCTACCTCAGCCTCCCGAGTAGCTGGGACTACAAGCACCCACCACCACACCCGGCTAATTTTTTGTATTTTTTAATATTTTTAGTAGAGACGGGGTTTCACTGTGTTAGCCAAGATGGTCTCAATCTCCTGACCTCGTGATCCGCCCGCCTCGGCCTCCCAAAGTGCTGGGATTACAGGCCTGAGCCACTGCACCCGGCCAGCAATATTTCTTCTGTAAAAGAAAAGAATAAGTGTTCCACATGGAAAGAACCCAAGATATATTAAGTGAAAAATGTCATAGCATGACTACATTTCTGTTAAAAAAAAAAAAACAAAATGTTATATATATATGCGAATGCAGAGAAAAAAGAAATGTAAAAAATACAATAAATTTTTCACGGTGATTACATTTGCGAGAGGAACGTACAGCTTTCATATTTCATTCAATGGTTAAAATGGTACTCAATTTTGACTGACAAAACGGTAATGATCAGATGCCAAAACGAGTGTGAATGTGCATAATTTACGAAAGACATTTTTGAGAACTGGTTACATGAGTTTTGAAAATAGGAGAGCAGAGGACCTGTGTAAGATTTTTAAAGAGACTGCACTGTCACGAGCCACAGGGTTGTGAGATTGGTAGGAAAGTGCTCCAGGAAATATCTAGGGGAGGGCTTGGATCTGAGACACAGAGTGTGAGCCTGGTCGAGAAGCGGGAAAAGAACCCGCCCGGAGCCCCTTCTCTCCATTCCCTCGGCGAGGCAGGAAGCTATCTGCGTTCCGAATCCCGCGACATCAGGATTATCTCGCACTGCAGCACAGAGACCAATCGCTAGTAACCTCTGCCTTTAATTAGGCGTTTTTTGGCCCAAATCTCGCGGCTTCGTAAAAATATCGCGATGCTTCCGCTTTTAATGTTTTTAGTTTGGACAAGCCCTTTGAGATAAATTTAAAAGCCAATTCTTTTTTTTTTTTTTTTTTTTTTTGAGACGGAGTGTCGCTCTGTCCCCAGGCTGGAGTGCAGTGGCGCGATCTTGGCTCACTGCACGCTCCGCCTCCCGGGTTCACGCCATTCTCCTGCCTCATTCCCGAGTAGCTGGGACTACAGGCGCCCGCCACCACGCCCAGCTATTTTTTTTGTATTTTTAGTAGAGACGAGGTTTCACCGTGTTAGCCAGAATGGTCTCGATCTCCTGACCTCGTGATCCACCCGTCTCGGCCTCCCAAAGTGCTAGGATTACAGGCGTGAGCCACCGCGCCCGGTACCTAAAAGCCGATTCTTAAAAATATACGTTGGTAATTGTTTATGCCTACTGCTGAGATCAGGATATCTCTAAAGTAAGGAGAGGAAAAAGAAAAGTATGTGTCAGAAGTGGGATTCGAACCCACGCCTCCATTGGAGACCAGAATCCCCACCGCGGAGGAAGCTTAGCTTGAGTCTGGCGCCTTAGACCACTCGGCCATCCTGACACACTGCATAACAGCCCTGATTTTTGCACTAAAATAGAGATCAACAAGCAATGATTCTGTGTCGTGCACGCACGCAGAAACGCGATGACGTCAGGGTTGCTTGGTAACAGAAGGGCAGAAAGCCACTTGTGGATTGAAAAAGCAAAAGGGTTCGCAGGACTAGAAAATGTTTCTGCATAAAACTGGATCAAGTCTCTTACGGGCCTTATAACTGTTATCGCCATCTCGAAAAACGTGTGCGGGTTTTTTTTTTTTTTTTTTGCTCCCAGCCTGCCCAGATTTCAGGAAGGAAAGAAGATCTTTTGCTTCTTCGGTCGCTGGGTCGGCTCTCCAGTGTCTGATGTTTACTGAAATCTTGATCGTGGTTAGCCTCCCCCAGGACTTCATTGTTTGGAAGATGGTGAGGAACAAAACAAAACCCTAACAAAAGACCCCGGTTCTATAGGAAGGTCCCCTTTTAGCCCCTCTATTTTGGTTCCATTTGTCACTGCCTTGCCACTCGTCGAAGTTTGTCTTGGGCTCTAAAAGTGGTAGCCGGGAACGGCTGGGAAGGTCTCCACAGGGACCACCACATGGGCAAGGCTGGTGTCCGCGCCGAGGGATCGGCGATCCCAGGTCCGGGGAAACTCCGGGAGCGACGCGCTCGCCCGCGGCCTTCCTTGTCGCTCTCGGATGTTCCCGATTAATGGGCTCCAAGTGACCACTGCCAGGTCGGGGAACACAGCGGTAGTTTTTAAGGGGGGTGCACCACATCGCCTGATCCACTTTTCTGTTTCTCAGCCTTCGCCAAGCAATCTGAGCTCCAGGCCGGGAAGCCCCAAGGTCACAAATTTTAATGGAGCCCTGAAACTAAACAGAAATCATCCCTCCCACTAGAACAAGAGCCCCTAGAGGCCAGCGACACCGCTAAAATAACATGTGTAGACCAATGCCGTCCAGGTAACAGTGCCTGGCAAACACGGTAGAGGTTCAATAAATACATTTTAACTCAACCGTCTTAACTCTTGTATTTGGGGCTGTGAGGTTCAGATAGAGGAAATATAAAGTTGGATATTTTAATTAGATTTTGTCCTAATAGCTTACTTTTTGTATTTGTTAATATAAAAAAAAATTTCCTTTTTGTAAGGCAAAGTTAGGTCTCTTTTCTGCATGGAGAAATAACTGAGTTTCAGTAGGCTCTATCTTAATTTCCACAGACTTCCTTGGTTTCATATCCTATTTTTGATAGAGAGAAAATTAGTAGTGAGAAGTACAGTGAACACTGGTTCCCCAGTCTCCCTCCAATACATGAGATTTGTATATTTTCTTTCGATTGGAAGGAAATTGTCCAGGAAGTGATTCCCAACATGGCAACTGTAATCTTACCCTAACTATAATTATTTTTTTCTAATTGCAAAGTACACACAAATTGTAGAACATACAAACATGTCAAAAATTAAAATCATCCATAATCTCACTAGTCAGAGGTAACTATTAACATTTTTATATATTTAGTCTTTCATATGGTATACATTTTTTCCAAAAATGGTCATGTGTAGTAAATAATTTGCTAACTTGCTTTCTAAATGAATATATTATGAATATATACTTGCTAAGTACTATATTTTGTATAAATCTTAATTCCTGCACATATTCCATATCAAAGTGGTATTCTTGAAAACTGGATTATTTCTAATTTTTTATTTTCATCAGCAATGCTGTAAAAACTATCCTTACATAAATATTTTCAAACATCCACGATTATTTCCTTAAATTTCTAAAAGTGAAACCATTACATCAAATTTTTTTTTTTTTTTTTTTTTTGAGACGGAGTCTCGCTCTGTCACCCAGGGTGGAGTGCAGTAGCACGACTTGGCTCACTGCAACTTCCACCTCTCGGGTTCACACCATTCTCTTGCCTCAGCCTCCCGAGTAGCTGGGACTATAGGCGCCCGTCACGACGCCCGGCTAATTTTTGTATTTTTAGTAGAGACGGGGTTTCACTATGTTGGTCAGGCTGGTCTCGAACTCCTGACCTCTTGATCCGCCCGCCTCAGCCTCCCAAAGTGCTGGGATTACAGGCGTGAGCCACCGCGCCCGGCCTACATCAATGTTTATCCAGTTTTTGTTTGTTTTGACGGAGTTTTGCTCTGTTGCCCAGGCTGGAGTGCAGTGGCATGATCTTAGCTCACAGCAACCTATCTCCCAGGTTCAAGTGATTCTCGTCTCAGCCTCCCGAGTAGCTGGAACTACACGCATGAGCCATCACACTCAGCTAATTTTTTTTTTGTATTTTTAGTAGAAACAGGGTTTCACCATGTTGGTCAGGCTGGTCTCAAACTCCTGACCTCAAATGATGTGCCCGCCTCGGCCTCCCAAAGTGCTGGGATTACAGGCGTGACCCACCGCTCCTGGCACATTTTAATAGGTAACAAATGACATAGCGCCCCCCCTTTTTTTTCTGATTTGATTATTAGTGAGGTCCAATATTCATGTTTAAAGGATTTTTATACTCCTTCCTCAGTAAATTGCTTACCAAATTTTTATGAGGTGTCCATCTTTCCTTATTGATTTGTAAGACTTATTTTATGAAAAGTAAACTCTTGGGATACAGTTTCTATTTACCAAGAACCCAAGCAGAAATTCCTATCTCTTATTAACAAGAATCCCATTATGTCCCTTAAACATTTAGTTACTTCCATCTTACAGAAACTAGAAGCTATACAATTAACAATGTTCCCATGTCAATTTTTAAAACCCAACTGTGGCCCACATTTAGTGTCCTCGTAGTTTTCATACTATAGATTCACTTCTAATCCTGGTCATTTTTTGTGCCATCTTTTTTTTTAATGAGACGGAGTCTCGCACTGTCACCCGGGTTGGTGTGCAGTGGCGCAATCTCGGCTTGCTTCAAGCTCTGCCTCCCAGGTTCAAGCAATTTTCCTGCCTCAGCCTCCCAAGTAGCTGGGACTACAGGCTCGTGCCACCATGCCCAGCTAATTTTTGTATTTTTAGTAGAAATGGGGTTTTTCACTATGTTGGCCAGGCTGGTCTTGAACTCCTGACCTCGTAATCTGCGTGCCTGGGCCTCCCAAGGTGCTGGGATTACAGGCGTGAGCCACCGCGCCCGGCTGTGCCGTATTTTTTCTTTCTTCCTTTATGGCATGTTAAACTCCTGATGTCTTGATTTTATGGGTTTGTTTTGGTTTTTTTTGAGATGGAGTCTTGCTCTGCTGCCCAGGCTGGAGTGCAGTGGTGCAATCTTGGCTCACTGCAACCTCCGCCTCCTGGGTTCCAGCAATTCTCCCGTCTCAGCCTCCCGAGTCGGGATTACAGAAATGCACCACCACACCTGGCTAATTTTTGTATTTTTAGTAGAGATGGGGTTTCACCGTGTTGGCCAGGCTGGTCTTGAACTCCTGACCTCAGGTGATCCGCCCGCCTCAGCCTTCCAAAGTGCTGGTGTGAGCCACCGAGCCCAGACATGATTTTATGTTTTAAATGGCTTTAAGTCCTTTTTGGAATAAGGTAAAATATAATTAAATATGTCAATATTTTAACTATTTACTAATAATATTTATTGCACAATAAGACTCCCCACAGGCCATTCTACATTTTTATGAAAACATCTGTAAGAGGAATTTTAAAAGGCCTGACAAATTATTTAAAGAGGGAAGCAGAGGGACTAAAAAGGAAAGAAGCTAACAATGGTGGTCTATGAAAATGAAATAAACAAAACAAAAAAACAGGATTTAATTTCCAACCTTGAAATGAGTCCCTTGACTGTTTTGTTTGAGGTTCATATAACTTGGTTTTCTGGTATGTCCAGGATTACGTGAGAGTAACAGAGATTGGGGTGGAAATTGAGATGATGCTGTATTCAAATGAGACTGACCATAAATTGGTAGTTGAAGTTGGGAGATGATATAGGAGGGTTCGCTGTGTATTTTCTTCATTTTTGTATATGGTTACAGGTTTCCATAGTGAAGAGTTCATTCAATACAGAAAAAAAAAAAATCACCAAGTCTCATCAAAAGCATCTATGCTAATATTTTGGCATATTTCTTCCCAGTTTTTAAAGAAATATGTAGGTTCAAATCTTTCTAATTCTCACTTTTTTCTATTATTCTTTTTGTGCATCAGAACCCTAAAATGGGTTTGGCAATCACATCCCATACAAATCCAAGTTCTTCACATCCTCTAAACAAAGAATCTGGTAGAGATGTGTGTATCTCTAAAGGTTACCTTCAAATGTCCTGCTTACATTTCAAACTTCAAATGCAAAATTAATTCAACAGATAAGCCAGATCTAAGAAATGTATCTTTTCTCCAACGGGAAAAAGGAAATGTAATGGGGCAATACTGTCAAATGGAAGTACTATTTGGCCTGGCATGGTGGCCCATGGCTGTAATCCCAACACTTTGGGAGGTTGAGGAGGAAGAATCCCTTGAGCCCAGGAGTTCGAGCCTGCAGTGAGTAATAATCTTGCCACTGCATTCCAGCCTTGGTGACAAAGTGAGACCCTTTCTCTAACGCTGGTTTGGTTGGGATTTATTATTACTCTCACAGACTTCATATAGGAGGAATTTCTGGTTTCAACAAAGTGCAGGATTTAGTAATGTGCTTATATCATTAAGTCAAAATTTAGTGCAGGACGGAGCTAGTGGGCAAGTCTCTTAGTCTCAAGAAAAAGGGCACTAAGAAACATAGCCCAGGCATTTAGGCTTCCTCTTACATTACTGTGGTCTGCAATGAGGTCTCCTGGAGCACAAGTTTCACTTCTCCCCAGATCATCTTTAGTTGTACTCTACATTTTTTCACGTTATTTTCCCCCTCTCCTAATTAACTTTTCAAAGGATAGAAGCCATGCTCTCTTGTATTCTCTTCAGGAGCAAGTTCAGCTGGGGCACCCAACACTGGTTGAATTGTCTATTTGAATAAAAGAATGTTTTTCATTTGTGAAGAAGCAACTCAACCACCATTGGTATGCTAAGAACCTTTTGAGTTTTGTTTTTTATTTTGCTGGGAGGAGATACGTGATTTCCACGTATACTCTTTGGTCTGCATCTCAGGTAACTAAAGGCATTAGCAAATGGCTCTCATTTACCATCTGACAGTTATTTGCTCTTAATTTCATAGTGCCTTTAAGTGTTAGGCTGTTACATGCATTCTCTCATCTTCTCACTTAATTGTACATGGTGGAGGGTATGGGCCATGTTCAGTTTCCCTTTATTCTTTGAACCTATCTCTTCTAGGCCTTGTCTGCTCTTGGGGAAGATGGTCTTCTTTGCATGTTGGCCTTTATCAGAAAAAACAAGAGCACCTGAAGACACACAGGCATGTGCACATACGTGCATGCACAAACACACACTTCCTGGAACAGCAAAAGAATTAAGGAAGAAGTTATTGAAACCGTAATGTATAATTAACAATTGCAGATGTTCTGAGGAAAGAGAGGGGAGTCAAAGGAATCGGAGTGGGCCCCATATGTCTTTAGTGACTCAATTCCTGACTCGGTGAACTCAAAAGTTGCTTACCTTTCTGCAGATGAGTAAACTTAGAATCACAAGTTCATTTAATCCCATTCAAAATGGCAGGCTTTTAAAACTAAAAATATAAATAAATACCTATAAACACACCACCCACAAGAACTAGAAGATAACCAATAACACATGTTGTGGGGCAGGACCTGATGTGGTCATGTGTTCCATCTCAGTTTGAATCCTGGCTCTGCTGCTTCCTAGCTGTGTACCTTGGATAAGTCATTTACCCTCTCTGCTGCAGTTTATCTGTAAAGTAAGACAACAGTACACACTTGATAAAATTATCATGAGCATTAAGGAAGCTACTGTGCATAAAACTCTTCATATGATGTGCCAAGCACTGCTCTATGTTTGTTAGTAGTATTTATGTGCCTGTATATATATTACCGTATACATTTAGATCTCAGAATATTCAGCAAAAGCTAATCTAGCCTCATGGAAGCTACTTTCTATAGCCCTGGTTCTATTATTTCCCTTAAAACCTGATGAATAAATGAAGAATTAGGACATGATATCACCAACTCATGAACCTCAGCCATGGAACCCCAATGCCTGGCACAATACTACAAAAAGGACTTGAGAAAATACTTTCCTAGTAAAATTACAGGATTAACCAATATAAGAACTGTAGGCAGGCCGGGCGCGGTTGCTCACGCCTGTAATCCCAGCACTTTAGGAGGCCAAGGCAGGTGGATCACAAGGGTCAGGAGTTCAAGACCACCCTGGCCAAGATGGTGAAACCCCGTCTCTACTAAAAATAAAAAATTAGCCGGGCGCGGTGGTAGGCGCCTGTAGTCCCAGCTACTCAGGAGGCTGAGGCAGGAAAATCGCTTGAACCTGGGAGGCAGAGGTTGCAGTGAGCCGAGATCGTGCCACTGCACTCTAGACTGGGCGACAGAGCAAGACTCCACCTCAAAAAAAAAAGAACTGTAGGCTATGAATGTCCAACACTACTTTCTTAGCACCACTAGAAAGTAGTGACATGGCACTGAGAAAGTGGTTTTATTTTCCAGTTTGAAGTAAACTATTGGCCAGAGTGGGATTTTTGCACCCATATGGGAAAGCAACACCATTAACCATTTCCTCCCCACACGCATTCCAACATCTGAACCCAATCCTACCAACACCCAGAAAGCAACAACAATGTAAACATCCATATTCAGTTTATTTTTAAACAGAGGGGCACGTACCCACAGAGAAGCAGGACTGAGAACCATCATGGGGGCTTGCTTGAAGTGATCTGCCCCAGCCTTCTGACTTCAGAGTGTCTCATGATCCAATGGCCATGGGGACGGAGCTGCCCCTTGATAGGATGCACTTAAGCATGGTCAATTCCCCCTTCCCCCAAAGGAAATGGAGAAAAGGAGCCAAGAAGTCAATGAATCCCTGGAATATTGTCCCAGAATCCTTCCAGGGATGGTATACGACTGGCCACCAGTCCACAAATGTGACTGGTAAGGGATCTAGTAACAGAGGATGGAGTTGGGCAGAATATTATCCTGGATGATATGCACCCAGCACTAGAATACACCTTTCATTAGAATGAAGAGAACAGACAAAGCCCTCAGAAAAGATACAAAGGCAGAGACATTGATTAGAACATTATCTCATAACAGAGGTGGGGCCATTACCCACCATTATTGTAAAATAACTGTAACTAACCAAAACACATACAGGCTTCTTTAATGGAGTTAATAAAACTATGGCACATTGGGAATCAGGGGCAGAGGTACTGTTCCCAGACGGAAAACTGGGATAAAGGGAGCCATGCTGACAGGGCCTTATTCCAGTCTAGGTTGTTAGAAAGGAGCCCTAGCCCAGAAATGACAGCAAATAGCCATAATCATTATGTGGGGCTGAACCAGAGGAAGCCAGGCTGAGCCAAGAAGCTGGAAGTATCTTGAACGGCTCTCCAAATCCAAAGATTATCCATACTCTTTATCCCTCCAGCGATGTGTAAAACCAGAAAGTATGAAACACTGGAGGTGGACATCTGGTTTTTATTTCTAGGATATCTTGATACATCTCATTACATTTCACAATCTGCATGGGAAGGAAAAGGATGGTAGAGAACATGGACATCCTGTCTCCCACTGCAAGGGCGTGGAACATGGTAAGGATACCCAGCTGTGACAGGACGTGGCAAGGCAACAAGATGCCTTGTGCCTGGCGTAGGATTACAGCCAACAGCCCTTTTGGCCTGAATTCACCTCCTCAAGGGGAGGTCTCCATGGAATGACCATGATTCCCAACATGGCCAGAAAACCCATCTATCCCACTCATGGGGCAGATGATCAGAGGAGCTGCACTTTTCCCTCCCGAGTAACTCAGACTGAAGTAGGGCCGGACAGGCCCACAAAAGGTAGCATGAGAGAAAGTGAAGGTGTGACACCTCTCTGTCACGTTGTAGAAGGAGACCTCACCAGCATCATAGTCCAAGAAAATCCCCACCCGCTGGAGCGGGGTCCGCAGGGGTAGGGCAGTCATTGGGGAGGTAAGAGCCCAATATTCTTTCCCATACCACAAAGACACTGCCCAGAATCCATTCTGGGGGGCTGAGGTTACTCCACCTTTTCTGCACACTGAGTCTTCACAGACACCTATGGTCCACTTGGCTTTATCTCCCACCTCTACCTCCCAATAATGTCTCCCGGCGATGAAGCATGGAGAGCCCAAGACACAGGGAAACAGATTGAACCTCTCGGGGTTGTCAGGCAGGTCCTGTTGGAGGTAACTGTACCGCACTTGCCGCAGATTATCAGAGAGGATCAGGCTGGGGTAGGCCGTGTCTGGGTCCAGAGTCACGTCCACTGCAGAGACACAAGGAAGACAGTCAGCCGTGGGCCAGGAGAGCCTATTTTAGAACACCCAGCGCCTTTCTACTACCTCCCCAATAATAAGAGGTTCCCACTGGAGGTTGCACGTATTTTATTTAGAATATATTCTAAACTTCACATTTCAAAAATTACTGCTTGGATTAGCTGGTTACCAGAATACACTGAAAATACAGAATTTTAGCCCCGTATCTTTTCTTTCACATCTGAAGCCACAATATCCATCATGAACTGATTTTAAGAGATAGGGTCTTGCTCTGTTGCCTAGGCTGGAGCGCAGTGGTGTGGTCATAGTTCATTGTAACCCCAAACTCCTGGGCTCAGGTGATTCTCCCGCCTAAGACACCCAAGTAGCTGGGACCATAGGTGTGCACTACCACCCTAATTTTAAAAAATTTTTTGTAGAGATGAGGTCTTACTATGTTGCTCAGGATGGTCTCGAACTCTTGGCCTCAAGCAATCCTCCCACCTCAACTTCCCAAAGCAATGGGATTTCAGGCATGAGCCACTGTGCCTGGCAGATACGCTGAATTGAGGTTTTCTTACACGCTCATCATCCCTTATTCTGAAAATTCCAGGGGCCCCAAGTTTCACAGAATTCAGAATATTACAGGTTTTAGACAGGCAGCATTCTATAATGAAGTATTAATAGATCTGCTGTGAGATTCATGAATGTTTACATAATGAAGGATAAAGGCTCTAAACAGTACCACATAAATTCAGGTTTTGATGCTATAATTAATTTCCCACAAAATAATGAAAAAGGTTTTGGCTTTCAGAGATTTGGGATTTTAGAACTGTGGGTAAGGGACTGGGAACCTGTATCAGTATGCTTACTTTTTAAATCACTCTTTTAAAATTATTTTTTACTTTTTTTTATTTTTTGAGATGAGGTCTCACTCTGTCACCCAGACTGTAGTACAGTGGCATAATCATGGCTCACTGCAGACTTCCCATTTCAGCCTTCCAAAGTGTTAGGACTACAGGTGTGAGCCACTACACCCAGCCCAAATCACTCTTTTATCCATTCTATAAGATCTTTACTCTGCACATCGAAGCTCTATTCATCTTCTTCTAATGTCCAGTCCAAAACACACATCCTCCAAGTTTTTCTTAATCTGCCCAGGCCATTACACTTACTGTTCTGAAATCTAAAACTGTGTATGACCCATGTCATCTCCTCTGGCATTTAGTATTACAGCATCTTGCTATCATCAAGTGTTTTCCTGCTTCAAAAACACTGATAATGGGCTGGATATGTGGCTCATGCCTGTAATCTCAGCACTTTGGGAAGCTGAGGCAAGAGGATTGCTTGCATACAGGAGTTTGAGACCCTGTCTCTACAAAAAATAAAAGTAAAAAAATTAGGCAAGCATGGTGGTGCATGCCTGTAATTCCAGCTACTCAGGAGGCTGAGGCAGGAGGATCACTTGAGCCCAGGAGTATGAGGCTGCAGCAAGCTATCACCATGCCACTGCACACCAGCCTGGGCAACAGAGAACCTGCCTCTAAAATGAATAATAAAAAATTTAAAAAATTAAAATAATAAATAAATAAATAAAAATACTGATATGTATTCTCTCATTTGCTCCTCACATCTTGTTCAGGAGGAAGAGTCCCAAACATTACCTCTCAGAAATTTAAGCCCACAAATTTTTACTCCCACAAAAGACAGGCAACTGATAGAGGTAACCAAGAACCCCAGAACCCTTGGCTCCTGGTTCAACAATCTGTCTACAACAGCTGCCTACCTTCTTCTTGTGTCATGGGTATACCTCCAACCAGACAATGTAAACCCCAAGAGTAGGATGACTTATGCTCTTCTGTTCCTCTAAAATACCCTGCACAATGTTAGGCAGTGTAGGATACAAGCAAAGTACTCATTTAATACTTGTTGAAAATAAATATGGATCAGAGCCACTGCACACCAAGGACTGCAGATCCACTGTATGTAGAGTCCTTCTCTTCATTTAGAGGATAATTCATAACAGAAGGTGACTGTGACTATGGGACGAATACACCTTAGATTTGAATACTTCTGCAATGTTAAATTTACCCAGGCTCTATAGTAGGGTGAAAGCGGTTGTGAGGGGGAAGGGAAGTTTCAAACTTTGCTCTGAGGCACAGTGATGGGATGACACAAGACTCCTAGACTTCCTCTAGCACTCAAGAGCACTATTGTGGAGCTCAATCAGTCCTGCTTGTCACAAACCATGGTTTGACCCTGAAGCTGGGCGGGCAGAGCAGTGTACTAGTGTACCAGCTCTGTTCTACTTTTGGGGAACTGCGGTTTCCACCCTATAATCCTTCTTTAACACCTGAGATTGATTTTACCCTATGGCTTCAGCTCTGAGACATTTCAGGAGGCAAAGATACTGTTAACACATAGAAACAACTGAGGATTTTTGTGGTTGTTGTGTATCATCTTTATACATGTAACCAAAAGAATCCAAATCTAAGCAATTTCCAAATCATTCATAATAGTAGTTAGGTTCACAAGGATTTTTACTCCTTACCCTAATATGGTTTTGTCTCTCATCACCTACCTGAGTATAACTGAGCCTCTCTTAATTCTGAAAGAATAAAAGAGCAAAGTTATGGAAGTCATGAGGGTTTCCAGGAAATACATAACTAAGGGGGCTTTGGTTAGTCATCATAAAGCAGTGGTCTCCACCAGAAACCCCAGAACCTCTGTTGTTAGTCATGCACTAATTTTTTCATATGATGTATGGCTCTATCATCCAACCAAAAGCTTTAAGGGGAGAGGGATTGGGAATCTTAAGTACAGGGATAACCACATGCCTGAGACTGGTAGAATATGGGATAAAACTGAGCCAAGATCAAGAATTCCACCTTCCAGTGAGTCAGCTGATTCTGCAGAGGGAAACGCGGTTCCAACCCCACGTCATACATAACTTTTGAGTTGCATAAGTCATCTGTGTACAAGAGCTGAATGGCTCAAGTGACACTCACTGACACTCTGGGGTAAACATGACCATTCATTTATAAGGCACTTTATAGTTGAAACAGAATTCTTCACACATTATCCCACTAAGACTTTTAAGTGGCAAGAAAAGAAGAGCCAGATCAAGGAAAGTCATGCCTGAACTAACCACTTCTGGTATTATCCACTGTATTGAGTGGAGTTTCTCCCCATTTGTCTTGCTTGTAGAGGACATGTATCTGCTAGCTCTATGTTGCTAGATGCCCCAAAAAGTATATATCTGAATAGATGCAATGCATATATGAACCCAGCATATACAAAATAGAAAATTATCAAAGATTGTGGGGGTTTGTAATTTCTAATAATTAAGAGAAGGGTTTACCTACATATAAGGATTTCAGAATCCACCAGACTGCCCAGGAATTTTAGTATTCCTGGGTGGAATAATATATGGCCAACTCTTTACTGAATGTGGCTCGTGAGCAGAAAAATTTTAATTTGGAAAAGCTTCTCCAAATGCCTAGAACGATTTAATAAACATAAATATAGGACTTATTATGTGTCAGGTTCTATTCTAGAAGTGTTAGAAATGGTAACTAACCTTAATTCTTATACCTCAGGAGGTAAGAACTATTACTGTTCTGTTACAGATGAGGAAATTACTTGTTGAATCCTTACTAAGTGGTAGAGGCAGGCCCAGAACCCAGGCAGCCTGACTCCTGACTGCCCGCTCCTAACCATGTCCCTGGCGGTGCTGCCTGTCAGTGCTGCTGGATTCCTCCAGCCCGAGCTGGCACCTGTGCCCACAAGCAGTAGGAACTCAGTAAATTACAATGATAAACACTGGCTCAAGTGAAACGTATCCAAGGTAGTTTTTGTTCATTCTTTCCGAAGTAAACAATCAAATTAATTCTGGATTAATTTTTGGATTGCTTATTTTTCTCCTCCATCAATGCAGACTGCGAATTGACTAAATACAGTTAACAAACTTCAAATTAGAACAAGAAGCTGTTAATTGAGAAAATTAATTAAGACCAAAGGGAAGATGTAAAATATCAGGGAAGGCTGGCCAATGGGTATCACCCTTATCCCACGTTTCCCACTTTCAGTGCAGATGTTCTTTTTTCCAAGCAACTTTACATCAAAAGCCCAGTAGGTAGATAAATTTACCTTGGATTTTCTCCATATCTGACTGCATTTTTTCTAAGAAAAGAAAACAAGAAAATATTCAGTCTGCATCCCACTATCTGGCTGGAAAATTATCCTCTTCATCAGGCAATATGCAGATACTCAGTATAAATCCATTTCCCCTCATGACACCTCTCCTCACATTACCTGTGAACTGCTTTAGACTCTCCGTCAAGAATAGACATTTTTGGGCAAAAATGTGGATTTTCTCTTGCAAATCTGGAGGTGTGATCCAAGGTTCAGGAATCCTGATTCTTTCAGCCCTAAATTTAAAAAACATGAGTAAATTTTTTTTTTTTTTGAGATGGAGTTTCGCTTGTTGCCCAGGCTGGAGTGCAATGGCGCCATCTCGGCCCACCGCAACCTCTGCCTCCCAGGTTCAAGCGATTCTCCTGCCTCAGCCTCCTGAGTAGCTGGGATTACAGGCATGCGCCACCATACCCAGCTAATTTTGTGTTTTTAGTAGAGATGGGGTTTCTCCATACTGGTCAGGCTGGTCTCGAACTCCTGACCTCAGGTGATCCTCCCGCCTCGGCCTCCCAAAGTGCTGGGATTACAGGCGTGAGCCACCACGTCCGGCCCAAGTAAATTCTTTTTCCCAATTCCATGACCTTCCAGGAACTAGGACAGGGGCTAAGTTAAACCGTCTAGCGTACACGGACAGTCTTTAAAATCAGCCACTACAGCTTTTCCCACCTTCTCTTCCTGAGCTATGATCCTCTAGACCAAAATAGGATACTGTACTCATTCTCATACCCCCCAAAGCACCTAGCTCACAGCTTTTCAAATACTAAGTACTCAAAAAGGTTTACTGAATTACATATGAGGCTGACTTTGCCAGAAAGCACTAGATTCCATGACAGTCCTTGATATTTATGGTGGGCAATTAACCCGAATTCTCAGGTTCCCAAATATGGAAAGAATGACATGTTCAGATAGAAAGGCACTGTGGGGGACATTACCCAATTCCCTAGCCCTGCAAGGATGTCTATAGCAAAGACTGCCAGTTGCCTATCCAATACCCCTTCTGCCATCTTCTGCCTTTTATGGCTCACAGCTGCCCAGTCCCTCATAGCTAGATGTGACCTTGTGACTAAGTTCTGGCCTATGAGAAGTAAGACGTATCTCATGGTGTTTTGAGAAATCTACTTAAAAATGTAACATGACCGGGAACAGTGGCTCATGCCTGCAATCCCAACACTTTTGGAGGCCAAGGTGGGATAATTACTTTGAGGCTAGGAGTTCAAGACCAGCCTGGGCAACATGGTAAGACCCTGCCTCTACAAAAAAGAAAAATGAAAAAAAAAAAAAAAAAAAAAACGAAGAAAAAAAGGTAATGTGATGCGACTTATCTCCTTCTTCTTGGTTGGCATTCTACCAGCTATTGTGGACTATATGAGGACCATACCTTAGGGATGGTAGAACAGTGAATGGGAAGAAACCTGAGTCTCTGAGGATCACTGGAGTTACCACACTAGCCACAGACTACCTACCTGCACATTTCTTACTTTTTTTTTTCTTTTGAGAGGGAGTCAGGCTCTGTCGCCCAGGCTAGAGTGCAGTGGCATGATCTCAGCTCACTGCAACCTCCGCCACAAGAGTTTGAGCAATTCTCCTGCCTCAACCTCCCAAGTAGCTGGGATTACAGGCATGCACCACCACGCCCAGCTAATTTTTGTATTTTTAGTAGAAATGGGGTTTCACCATGTTGGTCAGGCTGGTCTCGAACTCCTGACCTCAGGTGATCCACCTGACTTGGCCTCCCAAAATGCTGGGATTACAGGTGTGAGCCACCGCACCCAACCTGCACATTTCTTTTATTATGTTTAAGCCTTAAGCCAATAAAATTTTGGGTTTCCTATCTTATATAGCCAAATTCAATCCTTAATGTCACAAACTGCTAGGGTCTGAGGCAGCTAACTCTGTATGTTAGGTCACAGCTAGACTGGCATCATAAAGTATCAGGTAACAGTATTATTTGCTTAGGTCATCTGGCTGGGACTGGTATGAACTCCACCTTATCTCCATCCTAGGATCCCTCAGGAACCTCAATTCCATCAACATGATTCTATCAACACAGGCCTCCCAGCCAAACTGCCCCATCTATAAGGACCTCCCCAATCTCCTTAAATGCTCCCACATAGTCAAGCTGCATTTTGCTTTAGAAGGTTTTCACCATTCAGGATCTTAATCACCTTCACAGTACAGCTTCCTCAAAGTCAGTTTCCACCCCTGAAGGCATTCTTACACCAAACATGAGCTTCCCAAGGCCCATCCCACTTGCCTCGTCATCCATCCTGCAAAACAACTTTGCCCTGGCTTACTGCCCCCTCCAAGCTCTCCCTCTTTGATCGTGTTCCAGCTGCCAGGGAGTTCTTCCTCACTTTTTTTTTTTTTGATGGAACATAGAGAAATAGCAAGAGTAAGAATAAGAGCCAGAATCCAGGTGGCTCATCAGTAATTATGTAAATGCAGGCCAGTCACACCTTTCTTAGGCTTTATTTCCCCCATTACAGAAAAAAAAAAAATGAGATAATGAAGGGGGAAAGGATTCTGAAATGTATAGGAAGCAATAGACATAAACTACCCTTATATTCAGCCCAGGTCCCTGTAAGGCCACACCCTCTCCATGGAAGTGTCCTCATACCCCTAATCCACCGGCAGCCTCCCACATGAACCCCCTACTTCCTGAATTTTACTGAGTAGAGCTGTGGTTCATCTAATTCTTTGTATACTAGTGACTCTCTTCAGGGATATGTGTCAATTTGATAAGATGTCCATCCTCAGGCTCAGGGCTCCTTTCAGGATTTACAAATGTGAAGGAGACAGTCTTCTCATATTTGATTTAACACTAGGGAAACAGAAAACTATACCTGCTCAATGTGTCCCCAATGTCCTGCAAGAGAAAGGAAAAAAAATAACCATGAGAAGTCATTTAAAACTTCGGTTTTCTTTCACAGATGTTTGTTGAAAAACCAACTACAGACTGGCTCTCATGGGAGAAATTAGGGAGAAAAGGATCACTGGAACATAACTCAGTGTTGAGGAGCTAAAAGGCAGGCAGAGGAAAATGGGATGCATACTATTTGCTATACCAGCATTTCCCATACCCTCCTTCAGTACCCACCATCCACTGGTCAAGGACCTCAGGATTTCAAATTTACTAACTTAAGCGTCCTATGATTGGACCTCAAGCTTGCCTACCTGTCCAGCTTGCTTTCTTTTTATTATGAAATAATTTCAAATACACGGAAAAGCTGTTAGTACAAAGAACTCCAGTATACTTTTTTTTTTTTTTTTTTTTGAGACGGAGTCTCGCTCTGTGTAGCCCAGGCTGGAGTGCAATGGCGCGATCTTGGCTCACTGCAACCTCTGCCACCCGGGTTCGAGCAATTCTCCTGCCTCAGCCTCCTGAGTAGCTGGGACTACGGGTGTCTGCCATCACGCCCAGCTAATTTTTGTGTTTTTAGCACAGACAGCATTTTGCCATGTTGGCCAGGATGGTCTTGAACTCCTGACCTCAGGTGATCCACCCACCTCGGCCTCTCAAAGTGCTGGGATTACAAGTGTGAGCCAGCGGTGGCCTCTCCCTTCTTTCATACACAAAAAGTAGCATACTCTTGTCAGGCGCGGTGGCTCACGCCTGGGCAACAAGAGTGAAACTCTGTCTCAGGAAAAAAAAAAAAAGTAGCATACTCTCTATTTCACATTTTTATTTTCCACAAAGCAATATATACTGAAAACCACTCCGTATCAGTTCATAGGTATCATTCTTTTCCTTTTTTTAACTTGGATAGTATTCCATAGTGTATATGTGCATAATTAACTAAAACAATCTTGTAGGTTTCTAAGTCAGACTATTTCCAGTATTTTGCAATTATAAAAATGTTGCAGCAGGTTATCTTGTGCATATGTATTTTCAAATATATTTTAATAGTTATATCTTCAAAGTAAATTCTTAGATTTTTAAAATTTTTTATTGATACGTAACAGACATATATATTTTGGGGGTGCATGCGATAATTTAACACGTTCATAATTTGTAAAGAAATCAGTGTATTGGGATATCCATCACATCGTTAAATATTTGCCTTTTCTTTATGCAAGAAGCATTGCAATTATTCTCCTCTAGTCACTTTGGACTATAAAATAGGCCAGGCGCAGTGGCTCACGCCTGTAATCCCAGCACTTTGGGAGGTCCAGGCGGGCGGATCACCTGAGGTCGGGAGTTTGGGACCAGACTGGCCAACATGGAGAAACCCCGTCTCTACTAAAAATACAAAATTAGCCGGGCATGGTGGCGTATGCCTGTAATCCCAGCTACTCGGGAGGCTGAGGCAGGAGAATCGCTTGAACCCGGGAGGCAGAGGTTGCGGTAAGCTGAGATCTTGCCATTGTACTCCAGCCTGGGCAACAAGAGTGAAACTCCATCTCAAAAAAAAAAATATATATATATATATATATAAAATATACGTATGTATATGTGTGTGTATATACATAGATATATATAATAGTTTTGTAAACTACAGTCACCCTACTGACCTATCAAACACTAGGTTTTATTTCTTCTATCAAACTGTATATTTGTACCCATTAATCAATCTCTCATCTCTCCTCCCTCTACCCTTCCTAGAAAAATTGTTAATTCTAACTGTGTGTATACATACACACACACACATACAGTTTTGTTAAATATTGAGAAATTCTCCTCCAAAAGGGTCATGATTTTGCATTCCTACCAGCCCACTGGCATATGAGTGTCTCTCCGACACTTCGTCAAAAGTGTATTAAGTTGAAAATTTTTGCTATTGTAACGAGTAAGAAATGGTATTTTAGTGTGGTTTTAGTTTGCATTTCTCTTATTATAAGTACAGCTGAGCATTTTTTCACATGTTCACAAAGCAATTTATGTCTTTTGCAGCTTGTCTATTTGTGCCTTCAACCCATTTTTCTCTAGAATTTTGGTCTTTTCTCTCGCAATACTTAAAAGGTCTTTTTATATTAGAACTATCACTTGTATTTGTGATATTTGTGGCAAATATTCAATTTTAATACTATCTTTTGACTGGTTACAATGTGTGTGCGCTTTTTTCTTGTACTAATACCAACAGCTTTAATTATATGGGCTTTAAAATATGGTGTAGTATCTAGTAGGGCCAGTTCTCCCTCAGAGCTCTTCTTTCACAGTGTAGCCTACCTATGTTTTTTTTTTTTTTTTAAGACAGAGTCTTGCTCTGTTACCCAGGCTGGAGTGCAGTGGTGCAATCATAGCTCACTGCAGGCTCAACCTCTTGGGCTCTAGTGATCTATCCCAGCTTTTTTTTTTTTTTTTGAGACAGAGTCTTGATCTGCCTCCCAGGCTGGAGTGAAATGGTGCGATCTCAGCTCACTGCAACTTCCACCTCCGGGTTCAAGAGATTCTCCTGCCTCAGCCTCCCAGGTAGCTGAGATTACAGGCATGTGCCACCACACCTGGCTAATTTTTGTATTTTTAATAGCGACGGGGTTTTGCCATGTTGGCCAGGCTGGTCTCAAACTCCTGACCTAATGTGATCCACCTGCCTCGGCCTCCCAAAGTACTGGGATTACAGGTGTGAGTCACTGCACCCGGCCTATCCCATAAAAATAAGCACATAATAATATGTGCTTATTTTATATGTGCATATTATTATGTGCTTATTTTTCTATCTGAAGTTGACTGTCAATTTGTCTAGATCCAGAAAAAGAGCTTGTTGGTATTTTTATTGAAATTGCAAGGGTGGGGGGGGGGGGGATGAGGGATAACAGATTACTTAATGGGTACAACGTACACTGGGTACCTGGGTGATGGTTACACTGAAATCCGAGACTTCACTACATAATATATCCGAGTAACAGAAAAAAAAAAGAAACTGCATTTATGAATGTGAAGGACAACTTGCTTTCCCTGTCTTATCAAAGAATAAGTGATATCTCTTTATTTGTTCAAGTTTATTTTGTGTCTTTCAGGAATCTTTGAATGTTTTATAATTTTCTCCACATAGGTTTTTGTATATTTCTTATAAATTTATTCCCAGATATTTTATCACTTGTTTTTTTTTTGCAAATGGAAACAGCATGTTCTCTTCTAATATGTCTTCTAGTGGCTGCTATCTGGCATATGAAGGCTGCTGATTTCTGTATGTTAACTTCTTTCCCAATTTGTATACCTATAATTATTTTATTTAACTGAACTGGTTAGAACCTTTAATGCAGTGTTAAATAGAGATAAATGATACTGGGCATCCGGCCTGTTTCTGACCTCAATGGGAATGCCTCCAGTATTGCCCCATTAAGTAATATTTATCCTGCTTTTCCAGTGACTTCCAACATAAACACTTTTTGATATTCATGGAGCCCCTCCTCCCTTACTGAGTCCATGACTTCTTTCTTTCTCTCCTTTCCTCATCATCCACCTTCAGTTTCATGCTCCATCTGTTTAAAAAAATATTCTTAAAAAAAAAAAAAAAAAAAAAAAAAGAAGCTTTAGACCAGGCGCAGTAGCTCACGTCTATTATACCAGCACTTTGGGAGGCCAAGGTAGGCGGATCACCTGAGGTCAGGAGTTGAAGACCAGCCTGGCCAACATGGTGAAACCCCATCTCTACCAAAAATACAAAAATTAGCTAGGTGTGGTGGTGTGTGCCTGTAATCCCAGCTACTCGGGAGGCTGAGGCAGGAAACTCACTCAGGAGGTGGAAGCTGCAGTGAGCTGAGATTGTGCCACTGCACTCCAGCCTGGGCAACAGAGTGAGACTTTGTCTAAAAAAAATTTAAAAAAAGGTTTTAAAGCCTTAATTATGGTGCTTGCTTCAGCAGCAGATATCCTCAAATGGGAACCATGCACAGATTAGCATGGCTCCTGCACAAGGATAACACACAAATTTGTGAACCATTTTCTACTTTTTGTGTTCAATGTTCACAGCAGCACTATTGACAATAGCCAAAAGGTGCAAACAACCAAAATGCCCATCGACTGATGAATAAACAAAACATATTATATATCCATACAATGGAATGTTATTCAGCCATAAAGAGAAATACTGAAACATATATATATGTACTGAAATATATATTTTTTCATATATATATTTTTTGAGATGGAGTCTCATTCTATTGCGTAGGCTGGAGTGCAATGGCACGATCTCGGCTCACTACAACCTCTGCCTCCCAGGTTCAAGTGATTGTCCTGCCTCAGCCTCCTGAGTAGCTGGGATTACAGGCATGCGCCACCACGCCTGGCTAATTTTTGTATTTTTAGTAGGGACGGGGTTTCACCATGTTGGCCAGGCTGGTCTCGAACTCCTGACCTCGTGATCTGCCCACCTCGGCCTCCTGAAGTGCTGGGATTACAGGCGTGAGCCGCCGCGCCTGGCCAGTACTGAAACATATTACAATATGAATGAATCTTTAAAAAAATATGCTAAGTGATAGGCCGGGCGTGGTGGCTCACACCTGTAATCCCAATACTTTGGGAGGCTGAGGTGGGTGGATCACCTGAAGTCAGGAGTTTGAGACTAGCCTGACCAACATGGAGAAACCCCGTCTCTACTAAAAATACAAAATTAGCCAGGGGTGGTGGCGCATGCCTGTAATACCAACTACTCGGAAGGCTGAGGCAGGAGAATCGCTTGAACCTGGCAGGCGGAGGTTGCGGTGAGCGGAGATCGTGCCGTTACACTCCAGCCTGGGCAACAAGAGTGAAACTCTGCCTCAAAAAAAAAAAAAAGTATGCTAAGTGAAGAAAAAGGCTACGTACTGTATGATTTCAATTATATCTAATATCTAGAATAGACTAATCCATAGAGCCAGGAGTTAGGGGTAGAAGGAAATGAGGAGTGATTGCTTAATAGTGTGAGGTTTCCTTTTGGGTGGTAAAAGTGTTTTAGATCCAGACAGTGGTTGATAATTTACAACACTGTGGATTTACTAAATGCTACTTTGTGCCAGAGTTTTACACTTTAAAATGGTGAAATTTAGGTTACGTATATTTTACAATTAAAAAAATGAAGAAGGCTGGAAGGCTGGATGTGGTGGCTCACACCTGTAATCCTAGCACTTTGGGAGGCTGAGGCGGATGGATTGCTTGAGCCCAGGAGTTCAAGACCAGCCGAGGCAACATGGCAAAACTCCATCTCTACAAAAATTACACAAATTAGCCAAGCATGGTGGTTTACGCCTGTAGTCCCAGCTACTTGGGAGGCTGAGGTGGGAGGATCATCTGAGCCTGGGAGGTCAAGGCTGCGGTGAGCCATGATCATGTCACTGCACTCCGGCCTGGGTTTCAGAGTGAGACCCTGTCTCAAACAACAACAATAAAAACTAAGGAAAAAAAAACACTCAAGTCCATCTTGCAAAACCCCAATCCTGGATGAGACTGACCATCTGCTTACTCAGTGCCCACGCCAGAGCAGTCAAGATTTGAGAAAGCAAAGCTGATAAGAAAGTTACACGACAGGGGCTGGGCACGGTGGCTCGCACCTGTAATCCCAGCACTTTGGGAGGCCGAGGCAGAAGGATCACCTGAGGTCAGGAGTTCAGGACCAGCCTGGCCAACATGGTGAAACTCCGTCTCTATAAAAAATACAAAAATTAGCTGGGCGTGGTGGCACACGCCTGTAATCCCAGCTACTTGGGAGGCTGAGGCAGGAGAATTGCTTGAACTTGAGAGGGGGATGTTGCAGTGAGCCAAGATTGCACCACTGCACTCCAGCCTGGGCAACAGAGCAAGAGTATGTCTTAAAAAAAAAAAAAAAAAGAAAGTTACACAACAGGGCAGAATGGTTACACTATAAATAGATGTTCACTGACCAAATACTCCTACTAGTTCTCGCAAACCAACTGTCTTTCCCATACTCTGAAACAATCATTTCTTCCCATACAACAGAAGACTCTCTGACACTAATTCCTGGCATATGTACTTTAGTTCTCATTTCCACCTGCCTTCTCAGGAACCGCACATTGCTGATCAGTACATGGTTTCTTTCTTCCTTTCTTTTTTTTTTTTTTGGAGACAGGGTTTCGCTCATTGCCCAGGCTGGAATGCAATGGCGCAATCTCGGCTCACTGCAACCATCGTCTCACTGGTTCAAGCGATTCTCCTGCCTCAGCCTCCTGAGTAGCTGGGATTACAAGCATGCGCCACCACACCCGGCTAATTTTGTATTTTTAATAGAGATGGGGTTTCTCCATGTTGGTCAGGCTGGTCTCAATCTCCCGACCTCAGGTGATCTGCCCACCTCGGCCTCCCGAGGTGCTGGGATTACAGGCATGAGCCACCGTGCCCGGCCAGTATATGGTTTCTTGTGGCTTCAGTGTTCTCCCTCACCTAGAAACCTTACAACATATACTCCTTTCCATATGTATTTTGAAAATATGTCTAACTTCTAGTTTCTTTAACCAACCCTTCCAGATAAAACTCCATAATCCTGTCTCGTCTCTAAGTATTTTATTACAACCCCTTAACAGTTGTACTTGAAATAGTCATCTACTTGTGTAGTCTCCATTCACCTGACCTAGTCACTACTCAACTCCCCCTAATGTGGCTCCTGCCCCAATTATTCCATTGTGATAGTTCTACCTAAGATCACCAATGATGGTCATGTTATTGAATCAAATGGGTATCAGCTTTGATATTATTTGACCTCAACTGCATTACTATGCTGTCCACTCCCTTCTTGCTTCGTCTCAAAAATAAAAAAAGAAAAAAAGAAAGAAAGAAATACATTTTTCTGATTTTTACCATTTAAAAATGTAAACTGGCCTGACGCTGTGGCTCACACTTGTAATCCCAACACTTTGGGAGGCCGAGGAGGGCAGATCACGAGGTCAGGAGTTTGAGACCAGCCTGACCAATATGGTGAAACCCCGTCTCTACTAAAAATACAAAAATTAGCCAGCCATGGTGGTGTGCGCCTGTAATCTCAGCTACTCAGGAGGTTGAGGCAGGAGAATCGCTTGAACCCAGGAGGCGGAGGTTGCAGTGAGCCAAGATCGCACCACTGCACTCCAGCCTGGGCAACAGAGCAAGACTCAATCTCAAAATAAATAAATAATATTAAATTAAAATTAAAATGTAAAAACCATACTTATTGCCCAGGACATACAAAAACAGGGGATGGACCATAATTTGCTGACCCTTGCCCTATGCCATCATCCATTTTTATTTTTATTTTTTATTATTTATTTATTTTTTTGAGACAGAGTCTCGCTCTGTTGCCCAGGCTGGAGTACAGTGGCGCGATCTTGGCTCACTGCAACCACTTCCTCCTGGTTTTGGGCAATTCCTTGCCTCAGCCTCCCGCGTAGCTGGGACTACAGGCACACCGCCATGCCTGGCTAATTTTTGTATTTTTAGTAGAGACGGGGTTTCCCCATCTTGGCCAGGCTAGTCTTGAAGTCCTAGACCTTGTGATCCACCCGCCTCGGCCCCCCAAAGTGCTGGGATTACAGGTGTGAGCCACTGCACCTGGCCCGCCATCATCCATTTTTAATGGCTTTTATCAAATACCTATAAGAACTATCTGATCGCCACACTAAAATATAATTCAGGAAAGCTTATTTGGCACTTAATCCCAGTGCCTAGAATAGTGCCTGACACAAAGCAAATAATTAATACGCACTGAATGAGCAAACGACAGACAGGCATTAGCTCATTTCCTGTAGTCTTGCCGGGGTAGGTCTGCTGCAGCTTTATCACCTGCTCTACCAAGGTTAAATCACAGGACTGCTCAGGTAACCTAACCACTCCTGCTCAAGTGCTCATTGTTTTGTGGCTATAGTAATACATTAAAACTACAGGATACTGGAGTGAGGAGAGTCTTTGAATGACATGTGGTCTAAGCCCCTCATTACTGAACAAATGAGGTCACTGAGGCCCAAAAAGGTTGAGAGCCTTGCCTGTAATCAGACCACTTGTCAGTGCTGTGTAGGCACAAGCACCAGGTCTTCTTTTTGCCATTTCTATGAGACAACGCAATTGACTAATTCAAGTTGTGTGAACCAGAACTTCTAGTTTACACAGTTTCCTTCCAAGGTGCACAATATAGAGTTTGGCAAGCTCTTGCTATTCCTGCAGAGTTAAAAAGAAGACAGGGGGTCCTGGATACTACTTGGCAAAGGAGAAGGGACGATATTTTCAGTGGGTGCTGCTCTAGCAGGGCTCTGCAAGCCTTACCTGCAGGAGCTCCCTGGTGGGCTGCTGCTGCTTCTCTTCTAGCTGAGCGATCAGGCTGCTGAGGTGGGAGATGTTGCAAGAGAACTGGGTGATGGCACCATTGATGCTATTGTAGATGGCCAAGTCTAGCTCCTCAAGGCGGGCCAGGAGGCGATACTCATGCTCCTTTAAGGAGTGATACAGCTGCTCAAACTCCCAAACAATCTTCTCCCTCTCCATCTGGGTTAGGCTCTATGCAGACGACAGGGAAAGGCAGTAAAGAGAAAAACGGCTCATTTCTAGGGCCTTCATAGTTCTCCTGTGACCATGTAGCCCAAGACCTCATTATGGATTAAAACAAGCACAGTGCTAACTCATTATTTCCAGTCTTTACTGACTGGATATATAATGCCCAGGAACTGAATTACCCCAGTGATTATTAAGACATAGTCCCTGTTCTCAAGCAACTCAGAGAAGTGAGTCAGGTTCATATGATATACATAGTCATGGATGGGTAATTAAAGATAGGGTGACAGCCTGCAATGAAAGAAACTGGTACCATCTTCACAGAAGCAATTTCACACAATGTTCATGTGATGAACAAGAATTCACCACATAGGCAATGAGCGGGAAGCCTTTCCAGGCAGAAGAAATGGCACAGGCAAAAGAGTGGGGAGAGAAAGCAAATGGTGCTATCTGGCTGGAGCACATGAGTGTTGAGGGAAGGGACCAGAAAAGGTAAGGCCTTGTCATGCCTGGCCTGGGAGGCTGGGGGTAAGGACTCTATCCCAACTGGGAAGCATGGAAGATTGTCACACAGGAAAGTGACAGGGTCAGATATGTGCCCTATGGAGGATGGAACAACCAATAACAGCTTCCTTGCCCAATTTCCCTGGGCCCTTCATATGTAATCCATACCCGCTGTCTGTCCTTCACGGGTGTTCACCAACTGCTGTCTCTAGCTTTGGGTAGGAGGGGGAGAGGTGCTCTCCCCACGATTCCCTCTTGGCGCTCATTTGTTTGCCATAATTTACTGTCCTTCGTTCTTCACCCAACCCCCACCACCAACAGGACTCTATTATAAACTTTTGTTCTAAACAAGGAGCCAGGCTGGGCGCGGTGGCTCACGTCTGTAATCCCAGCACTTTGGGAGGCTGAGGTGGGCGGATCACCTGAGGTCGGGAGTTCGAGACCAGCCTAACCAACATGGAGAAACACCATCTCTACTAAAAATACAAAAATTAGCTGAGTCTGTTGGCGTACGCCTGTAGCCTCAGCTACCTGGGAGGCTGAGGTGGGAGAATCGCTTGAACTGGGAGGCAGAGGTTGCAGCGAGCCAAAACCTCACCATTGCACTCCAGCCTGGATGACAGTGAGACCCTGTCTTAAAAAAAAAAAAAAAAATTCCCATATACCCCTAATATAAATTAACACATCAGCCACTTGTTAAGGCCTTGAGACTGGAGGAAGAGGGCAGAGTAAAAAATTCAGAATTAAGGCATTGTTAAGAAAGGAGAATAAGCCAAAGAGAAGCAACAGTGGGGATTACACAAATCCACTATTAGCAATTGTCTGCAGAATGGTACCAACGCAAGCTAACTGTATCCAATAATTTTACCTATCTCAGCTTTGCCAAGGATCAACCCTGGTCTACGCAGTTAGCAGGTTAAAGTAAACTGACAGGTCTGATTTCCAAGGGTTCCAAACTTGGCTTCTCCATGCTTTCCCCAAAAGTAAGGGAATCTTAGTTCTCCGGGTGAGTTCCCACTGCCATGTGCGGTTGATCCACCTCTACCTACAAGTTCTGGGTGACATGCTGGACAAGTTTAAGGGAAGTAACATCAGCTCTACAGAAGAGGAGAGCACCAGCAGAACCAACTGTGAATTCCAACAACCCTTACCAAGAGTTCAGCTCGTGCCTGTTCCCCCTGGGCCCGACGTCTCTTCTTTAAATCTTTCACTCTTTTTAAATGGTCGAGCTGGTTCTGGATTTGCTCCTGAGAAAAGCAAAACAGATGGGCAGTTCAAAATTAGGTAGACCTTAGCATCAGCATGGTACTTCTTATCACACATGGAGTCCACACACCTGATGCCAAGTCTCCAGTTGGCGCTTGTCCTTAGGCCACACTGCCACCCACAAGAGACTCAGGGCGCAGGGGCAAACAAGCCACTCCTTTGGCAATCTGTGTCTATCTTAGCAGCCTGTGGCTTCAACCACTCAGCTACCTCGTCAGGACTATTTGTGTCTATCTTAAACAATGAGTCATCTACCTGTCCCTGGTAGGATATTGCATGACTTAGCGGAACTGTGACTGGAGTAGGAGGCTTAGAACTATGTTGTATTGTAGCTCTTCCATATAGGTACACTGTGAAAGTGACTTATTTCCCTCATGTGTGAAATGGGCAAACACCATCTTCCCAACCTACTCAAGAGTTCTCACCAGAGTGAGTGAAATAATATAGCTGAAAGGTCCATAAATGTTAAGTGATTGCACATGAATGTACTCATATTTAAACACGGACATAATTGTGTACGCATTCCTGAAGCCCTCAACGTACAGAAAATACACAGTATCATGGACTCCTTGAAGGTCACCTTACAACTGTTTTATATGTAATACTTTGTTTCCACGTTTCTGTTTAGCTGTGCCAGTTCACAAAGGGCTCTGTGAGTCACATGATTCCACAATATTCCTCATAACTGTGTTATCTCCTGAGTCTCAGAGTGGTTAAGTGACTTACTCCAGCAGCGAAAAGCTGTTCTTTTCTGTGAGTTTCTAGACCAGGACGGATTGCAGGAAAGTGCTGGGGAAATGCTTATAGACTAAGGAATGGGCATAAGTCAGTTAACGTCCAACTGCGTTTTGTCTGAGAGCCGATGGGAGTAAGAGTGTCTGCAGCTTGTCGATGTGTACGCGGTTTTATGCACTTCTTTTAAACTGTCAAAAGGATGTCTCCGTGTACAATGTGTCCGTGAGACAGGTAACATGGGGGTAAACAGAGAAAAGAGAGTGGGGGTGGGGACACTCCTGGCTTCCTCGCCAGCTACAGGTTTTCCTCCAAATCTGAGTGCTGAGGCTCTGGAGCGGACAGAGAGGAAATGACGGCTGTGAACCACACGTCCGGCTCAGCCATTTTCTAGGCGGAAAAAAGGAAGCCCCTTTGGCTCTCTCCTCCCTTTGTCCGACTCGCGCTCCCGCCCTCCCGGATCCGCGCCCTCACCTTGAAGCCCTCCACCGCCTCCTCGAGCGGCAGCACGCTGTGGCCGCGGTGCTCGCGGGAGCGGTCGCACACCACGCAGATGGGCATCTGGTCCTCCTCGCAGTACAGCTTCAGGGGCTCGCGGTGCTTCTCGCACACGCCCATCTCGCCGCCGGGCCCCGACGGCCGCTCGGTGCGCAGCTGCTTCACCAGTTGGGTCACGTTGGCCAGGTGCCGGTTGGGCCGCATGTGCCTCTGCGGGAAGGTCTCCCGGCACTGCGGGCACGACACGTTAGTCTCTGCCGTGCCCCAGCAGCGGGCGAGGCACGCGCAACAGATGTTATGGCCGCAGTCGAGCATCATGGGCTCTGCGAAGTACTGCAGGCACACGGGGCAGGTGGTCTCCTGCTGCAGGCACTCGGCCACACTCCCGGAGGCCATGGCGCCGGCCTGCGGGGGCGCACGGGCATGGGCCCCGGCGCCGAGCTCTGCACTGAGCCCAACTCTCCGGCGCTCTCTCCGGTTCGCTGTTCCTGAGAGGCACCGGGCGGACGGAGGGCGGCGCCTCCCGGGCCCGTATCCCAGACGCGCCCGCGCACCGAAGGCTTGGAGTGGCCGGGCCGATGCCTGCGCCTGTGCCCCCTAAGCGAGAGCGGGAATACGGCCGGCTCACCGAGGCTCGCGGCCACGCTAGTGGGGCAGGAAAGGGTAGCCGAGGGTCAGAGTCCCAGGGCCAGGCGGGCAAAGCGCGCAAGACAACGTGGCCGCGTCCGAGCGGATGCCGGCGGCAGCGTAAACCCCACCCCAGCGCGAGCGGAAGAGGCGGCTCGCGGGGGCGGGGCTTGGCTCGCGCTTCCAGCGAGTGACAAGATTTCGTGGCCTGGGGGCCTGAGCTGTTTCCTCTTGGAAAGGCCGAGGAGGCTCCGCCACTCTCCTTTGGACTGGTCGCGCTGAAGCTCTATCCTAGGGCACTGGTCGCAAGAGCAGATGGTGCCACACGCTCCGGGCCTACAAACTTCAGCGGCTGCCGGGCCCGGGCCCCTCGTCTTTTGTTGGGTTTCCTCTTGGTGCCAGGTCTCAGCCCCTGCAAAAGAAAGCTGGCTTTGGCCGCGCGCAGTGGCTCGCGCCTGTAATCCCAGCATTTGGGAGGCCAAGGCAGGTGGATCACGAGGTCAGGAGATCAAGACTATCCTGGCCAACATGGTAAAACCCCATCTCTACTACCAATAGAAAAATTGGCCGGGCGTGGTGGCAGGCGCCTGTAGTCTCAGCTACTCAGGAGGCTGAGGCAGCAGAATCCCTTGAACCCAGGAGGCGGAGGTTGCAGTGAGCCGAGATTGCACCACTGCACTCCAGCCTGGGTGACAGAGCCAGACCCCATTTCCAAAAAAAAAAAAAAAAAAAGAATTTAGTACAAGATACAGGAGAAATTGCAGGTTGGTGCTATACATTCAATAAATGATTGTGGAATAACTGGCTAGCTACTTGGGAGAAAAAAGATCTCATCTCACTTCTTATACTGAACTATATTATTGATCAATGAAATTTTTTTAAGAAAATTAATCCATAAAAATTCCAGGAAAAAGAAAACTGATTGATTTTTTTTAAGGCACTTGTCATCTGGAAGATCTTTCTAAACATGACCCCACAGAAGTCACAAATGGATAAATTTGGTTATACAGAATTCAAAATTAGATGTCTTCTTATAAAAAAATTTTCTAAACAGCTGAATGATAAAGGAAAATTGGGGAAAGATGTTTTTAGCAAATTAAACAAAGGATGAATTTCCTTGAGACAAAATATTTGCACAAATAAAAGCAAAAAAAGAGAGAAGAAAAATGAGCAAAGGTCATGAACAGATGGTACAGAGAAAAAGAACAAATGGTCAATAAACATGTGAAAAGAGGTGATGTTAATTTTAATTTATGAGATTAGCAAAGATTTAAAACTTTGACAGTATTCAGTATTAATGAGAATATGAGGAATTCCAGTACACTGTGAGAATGTAAATTGGGAGAACACCATTGAAAGCAATTTGACAATTGGGCTGGGCGCGGTGGCTCACGCCTGTAATCCCAACACTTTTGGGAGCTGAGGCGGGTGGCTCACCTGAGGTCAGGAGTTCGAGGCCAGCCTGACCAACACGGAGAAACTCTGTCTCTATTAAAAATACAAAATTAGCTGGGCGTGTTGGCGCATGCCTGTAATCCCAGCTACTCAGGAGGCTGAGGCAGGAGAATAGCTTGAACCCGGGAGGCAGATGTTGCGGTGAGCCGAGGTCACGCCATTGCACTCCATCCTGGGTGACAAGAGCAAAACTCCATCTCGATTAAAAAAAAAAAAAAGTAAAAGAAAACAATTTGACAATCACTAAAAAAATTTAAATGCACTCACTCTTAGAACCTTCTACTCTGCTTCTCTCCCATCTGGACAGAGATGTTTGATTATACAAGGATTGCCATTACAGCATTGTTTGGATTTGTAAAATACTGGGACCAACGTCAATATGCTCCAACAGGGGATAAGTTAATGAAAATATTATGCAGGTGTACAATGAAATGCTATGCAGTTTCCAAAAACAAAAACAAAGAAGAAGGAGGAGGAGGAAGAAGAAGAGGAAGAGGAGGAGGAGGAGGAAGAAGAAGAAGAAGAAGGAGGAAGAAGAAGAAGAAGAAGAGGAAGAAGAAGGAGAAGAAGAAAAAGAAGAAATAATCTAATAGGGAAAGGTGTCTGAGATTTACTTACTCATTAATTTATTCAACAAATGTTTGTTGAGTGTCAACTATGTGCCAGTCTTCTAGATTCCAGGACACTGTGTGGAACAAAACAGACAAGGTTGCTGGGGTCATGGAATTACTTTCTAGAGGGAAAGTTGGATGATAAGCAAACCAAGCAATAAACACATGGTATGAAACATGCCATAAAGTGGAATGAATCAGAATATGGAAGATGAAGAGTGATGGTTATTACTTTATATTGGGTCATCAGGGTGGAATCTCTCTGATGAGGTAGCCAAACAGCTGCTGCAGTTTAGAGTCTCAAATTTGTATGTCACTGGGCATTTATCTCAGAGAAATAAAAATGTTTGTTCACCCAAGAATCTGCACAAAACATTGTTCGTAATAGCCAAGCCTAGAAATAATTCAAATGTCCTCGAATGGTGAAGAGTTAAACAGTGGCACATCCATATTATGAAATACTACCCAGAGATAAAAATGAATGAACTACTGAGATAGGCAGCAACTTGGATAGATCTCAAGGAAATTATGCTGAGTGAGAAAAGTCAATCTCAGGTTGTGATTTGTATGATTCCATTAATAACATTTATTTATTTATTTATTTTTGGGAAAGAGTCCCACTGTGTTACTCAGGCTGGAGTGCAGTGGGACAATCTCGGCTCACTGCAGCCTCTGCCTTCCGGGTTCAAGTGATTCTCCTGTGTCAGCCTCCGGAGTAGCTAGGATTAAGGCATGTACCACCATGCCCAGCTATTTTTTTTTTTTTGTATTTTTAGTAAACACGGGTTTTCACCATATTGGCCAGGCTAGTCTCCAACTCTTGACCTCAAATGATCCACCTACCTCGACTTCCCAAAGTGCTGGAATTACAGGAGTGAGCCGCTGTGGCCAGCCCACAACATTCTCGAAATGATAAAATTATAGAGATAGAGAGCAGATGAGTAGTTGCTAGGCATTAGGGAGAGAGAAGGGAAGGAGGTGTCTGTGGCTATAAAAGGGTACCCTGAGGGATCCTTGTGATGGAACAGTTTTGTATCTTGACTGTAATGTTGTTCCTATGTGATATTTACACATGCAATAAAATTGTATAGAACTAAACACACACAAACAGATGAGTGTATGTAAAAATGGTGAAATCTGAGTAAGATTGGTGGATTTTATCAAAAATAATTTCCTGGTGTGATATTGTACTATATTTATGCAAGATGTTACCATTGGGAGAAACTGAGTGAAGGGTATGCTGGATCTTTATTTTTATTTTATTTTATTCTTTTGGAGACAGAGTCTTGCTCTGTCGCCCAGGCTGGAGTGCAGTGGCATGATCTTGGCTCACTGTAACCTCCGCCTCCTGGGTTCAAGCAATTCTCATGCCTCAGCCTCCCAAGTAGCTGGGATTACAGGCATGTGCCACCATGGCTAGGTAATTTTTGTATTTTTAGTAGAGACAGGGTTTTGCCATGTTGGTCAGGCTGATCTTGAACTCCTGGCCTCAAGCAATCTTCCCTCCTCTGCCTCCCAAAGTGCAAGGCTTATAGGAGCGAGCCACTGCACCCAGCCACTGAATCTTAATTACATCCTATAACTGTATGTGAATCTACAATTATGTCAAAATAAATTTTAAAAAATTTCTGCAGTCACAGCATCAATGACTTGTCTTTCCCAGCCAGCAAAGCCCTGTGTTTTGCTCTTATTGATTGGACTAATCCCTGTGGACAGAGAAATTCATGTGCCAGTTGGCTTAGGTTTGGTTTTACTACCTATTCCTGAACCAATTACTATGGCAAGGGGACTGAGATAATGCTCACTGGTCTATGCATCAAGACCCACTGAAAAATGTAATTGTCATTAGTCATCTAAATATAATTTATTTTTGAATTGGTTATGTGCTTCCCAACATTTAGCTATATTCTATTTCCTGGGGATAAAATCTTTGAAGACAGTGGGAGGAAAAGCTAATCTGACCCCTTCTTTCAAACAGCAAGGGGTTGAGGATTTCCTTGATTTTAACACAGGCATTTTGAATATGAGCAGACCATGCCTGGTAAACACACTAGACAAGATTCCTGCCCTTATGGAGCTGACAGGCCACTGGGGGCTGGATGGAGGCCGAGATGGTAGCTGTCTCCAAGATAGTCACTATCTTAGAGACCTCTCATATGCACATGACATTGGATCACCAAGATATGTAAGCTGGGCATCATGGCACATGCCTGTAGTTCCAGCTACTTGGGAGGCTAAGGTGGGAGGATTGCCTGAGCCCAGGAGTTTGAGGCTGCAGTGAGCTATGATCATGCCACTGCACTCCAACCTGGGCGACAGAGTGAGATCCTCATCTTAAAAAAAAAAAAGGCCGGGTGCGGTGGCTCGCACCTGTAATCCCAGCACTTTGGGAAGCCAAAGCAGGCAGATCACCTGAGGTCAGGAGTTCAAAACTAGCCTAAGCAACATGGAGAAACCCTGTCTCTACTAAAAATACAAAATTAGCTGGGCATGGTGGCGCATGCCTGTAATCCCAGTTACTTGGGAGGCTGAGGCAGGAGAATCACTTGAACCTGGGAGGTAGAGGTTGCAGTGAGCCAAGATCACACCATTGCACTCCAGCCTGGGCAACAAGAGTGAAACTCTGTCTCAAAAAACAAACAAACAAACAACAACAACAACAGAAAACAGGGTGCAGCCCACTCCTCCAGCCCCTTGAATCTGGTGGGCTGGCCTATGAGTACTGTGACTAACACTGTATGGCAGAAGTGATTCTATACCAGTGCCAGGCCAGGGCTGTAAGAGGGCTGACAGCCCCTGTCTTGTGTCTCTGAGTCCTGAGACACCATAGATATGTCTTTATTAGTCTCCTCAGGCTGGCATACAAAATACTAGATGGCTTAAAAAACGGGAATTTATTTGCTCACATTTTATTTTCTGGATACTGGAAGTCCAAGATCAAAGTCTGCAGGGTTGGTTTCTCCTGAGGTCTCTCTCCTTGGCTCGCAGGCAGCCGCCTTCTGACTATGTCCTCACATGACCTTTTCTCTGTGCGCATGCACCTCTGATGTCTCTTCTTCTTCTTATAAGGACACCAGTATTATCAGCTTAGGGCCTCACTCTTATGACATCATTTATCCTTAATTGTCATCCCTATAAAGATCCTATCTCCAGGCAGTCGCGGTGGCTCACGCCTGTAATTCCAGCAATTTGGGAGGCCGAGGCAGGTGTATCACTTGGGGCTGGGAGTTCAAGACCAGCCTGGCCAATATGGCAAAAGCCTGTCTCTACTAAAAATACAAAAATCAGCTGGGCATGGTGGTGCACACCTGTAATCCCAGCTACTCAGGAGGCTGAGACAGGAGAATCACTTGAACTCAGGAGGCAGAGGTTGCAGTGAGCCAAGATTGAGGCACTGCACTCCAGCCTGGGCAGCAGAGCAAAACTCTATCAAAAAAAAAAATTATCTTCAAATATAGTCACATTGGGGGTTAAAATTCCAAAACATGAGTTGGGAGCTGTGTGTATGTGGTGGGCAGAGTGGACACAACTCAGTCCATAGTGATGTCCACCTACTCTACTACGGGACTCCATAAGGGGGGAGTGAGCTCATTGAGGCCATCCTTCCAGCCATTCCCTGAGAAAAGCATGAGGATTTTCAGTGAAGAGCAGCCCAACTACCAAATGGATACATTCTGAGTTGCCAGTTAATGCCAGGTGTTACAGAAAAATCATCCCAGTGAGCCCTACCTGTTGGGGCAGTTTGTTATGCAGTATGAAATAATCAGAATAAGGAGTTGCATTCAGTTATTAATCAAATCAATATGTGGTTACTAATTGTGACAACTTCTATGATGGAAGAGACAGGATGCTATGAGAAAGAATAACACAGTGGGTGGGAATGGCATCACAAACTGCAAGGGAGAAATAATTGAAGGACCTAGAGATGTTGGGCCTGAAGAAGATTTCAATGCTTTTGTGAGCTCTGGAACCATTTCTCTTCCCTTTCTGGGCTAAACTCCTTGAATAAGCGGATCCCTCCGCTTTCCTTGCAGGTGACCACTCCCTCCAGATCAGCCTCTCATAAAACTTTTCTCGTCTTCCCAGGTCACAACAATTTTTCCCTTTTTAACATTGTATTAGGCTGTGCCTGCACTGCTGTAAAGAAATACCTGAGGGCCGGGTGCAGTGGCTCACACCTGTAATCCCAGTACTTTGGGAGGCTGAGGCTTGCGGATCACTTGAGGTCAGGAGTTTGAGACCAGCCTGGCCAACATAGTGAAACGCTGTCTCTACTAAAAATATAAAAAAATTAGCTGTGTGTGGTGGCGTGTGCCTGTAATCCTAGCTACTTGGGAAGCTGAGGCAGGAGAATCGCTTGAACCTGGGAGGTGGAAGTTGCCGTGAGCCAAGATTGTGTCACTGTACTCCAGCCTTGGCAACACGGAGAGAGACTCCATCTCAAAACAAAACAAAACAAAAAAAGAGAAATACCTGAGACTGGGTAATTTATAAGAAAAGAGTTTTAATTGGCTCATGATTCTGCAGGCTGTACAGGAAGCACAGTGGCAGCTGCTTCTGCAGAGGCCTTGGGAAACTTCCGGGTTTTTTGTTTTGTTTTGTTTTTTTTCAGACGGAGTTTCTCTCTTGTTGCCCAGGCTGGAGTGCAATAGTGCTGTCTTGGCTCACTGCAAGCTCCGCCTCCCGGGTTCAAGCAGTTCTCCTGTCTCAGCCTCCAAGTAGCTGGGATTACAGGCGTGCACCACCGCGCTTGTCCAATTTTGTATATTTTTAGTAGAGACTGGTTTCACCATGTTGATCAGGCTGGTCTTGAACTCCTGACCTCAAGTGATCCACCTGCCTCGGCCTCCCAAAGTGCTGGGATTACAGGTGTGAGCCACTGCACCTGGCCTAGGAAACTTCGAATCATGGCGGAAAACAAAGGGGGAGCAGGCATATCGCCTAGCGAGAATGGAGCAAGGAGGCCCCACCAGACCCCACCTCCAATATTGGGGATTACATCTCAATGTGAGACAAATATCCAATTTGAGTGGGGACAAATATCCAAACTATATCAAACATTTTTAGAGTTTATGCTGTAGAGCATTTAATTGACATTAAATGATAAACTGTTTCATATTGTTAATTTATTGAGGTAAAATATACATAAAGGGAACAAGCCTTCAGTGTATAAGCTAATGAATTGTTACATGTGTGTACCCACCATCCAGATCAAGAGGAAAAATATTTTCAGCATCCAGGAAGGCTGTCTCATGTCTCTTTCCATCAGTATCCACTCCCAGAGGTTACTTAGAAAAAATCACTATTCCAAATTTCTAGAAGCATTGATTAATTCTGCCTGTTCTTGAACTTCATATGAAGAGACTCCTATCATGAGCACTTATTGGGGTTTTAAATTGTTGTCTGTTATGAATAAAGCTGCCCTAAACGTTCTGGTGGTATATGTCTGTTCATGGACAAATGCCCTCATTTCTAGGAGTGGAATTGCTAGTAGGCATATGTTTAGTTTTTTAGATAATGCCAAAAAATGTTCCATAGTGAATGTGCTAATTAACACTTCTAGCAGCAATGCATGAGAATTCTAGTTGCCGCACATATTACACCAACACTTGGTACAGCATATGTGTTTTAAAATATTTTAGCTGTTCAGGTGGATTTGTAGTGGTATCTCATTGTGGTTTTAATTTATATTTCCCTGCTAATTAATGATACTGAGCACATTTTCAAATTTTCTTTTGCTGGAGTGCAGTTATGCAATCATGACCCACTGCAGCCTCAACTTCCCAGGCTCACAGGATCCTCCTACCTCAGCCTCCTGAATAGCTCAGACTACAGGCACACGCCACCATGCCTGGCTAATTTTTTTTTTTTTTTTTTTTTGTAGAGATGGTGGGGCAGGGGGAGTCTTACTATGTTGCCCAGGCTGGTCTCGAACTCCTGGGCTCAAGTAATCCTCCCACCTCCTGAAGTGCTGGTGGCATTACAGCGTGAGCCACTGTCCCTGGCCTCATATGTGTACTATTTGAATGTAGTCTTTAGGGAAGTTCCTGATCAAGTCTTTTGTCATTAAAAAAAAATTATTTGTCTTTTTCTTGTTGATTTACAAGAGTGCTTTATATATTTAGGATGAGTCCTTTCTCAGGTATGTATTTTGCAAATGTTTCCTGCAATTTGTGGCTTCCATTTTTCATTTTCTTTTTCTTTTTTTTTTTTCGGGAGACAGAGTCTCACTCTGTTGCCAGGCTGGAGGGCAGTGGCACAATCTCGACTCACTGCAACCTCCGCCTCCCGGGTTCAAGTGATCCTCCTGCCTCAGGCTCCTGAGTAGCTGGGACTACAGGTGTGCGCCACCACGCTCAGCTAATTTTTGTATTTTTAGTAGAGACAGGGTTTCACTGTGTTGGCCAGGATGGTCTTGATCTCTTGACCTTGTGATCTGCCTCAGCCTCCCAAAGTGCTGGGATTACAGGCGTGAGCCACCACGCCCGGCCTCCATTTTTCATTTTCTTAATGATGTTTTTTGATGAATAGAAGTTTCCAGTTTTGATGAATTTTATTTCATCGACTTTATTGATTTATTTTTAAAATTTTTACACTTATTTATTTATTTAATAGACATGGGTTCTCACTGTGTTGCCCAGGCTAGAGTGCAGTGACTGTTCACAGGGGCTATCATTGTGCACTACGACCTCAATTTCCTGGGCTCAAGCGATCCTCCCACCTCAAGCCTCCTGAGTAGCTGGAACTACAGGTGGGTGCCTGTTTAACTTTTTTTTTTTTTCATTTTGGTTACTCTTTCCTGTTTTTGAAATCTTTGCGTACCTTACATTCATTAACATATCCTCTTTCTAGAAGCTTTACTTTCCCTGTCATACTTAGGTGTATGGTCCATTATGAATTCATTTTTGTGTTTGGTGTGAGGCAAAGGTCTAGATTTAGTTTTTTTCCTAATTGGTCCAGCACCTTTTATTGAAAAGTTATATCATAAATTTGTAAATGCATTTCTGTCTATTCACCTCGTTTTAACCACTATGTCCAAAAAGCAGAAAATAGCTGCACTAATGGAAAACCAGTTCACCAGATTTACTTATTCTGTTTTTTTTTAAGACGGAGTCTCCCTCTGCCGTCCAGGCTGGAGTGCAATGGCATGATCTCGGCTTACTGCAACCTCCTGCCTCAGCCTCCTGAGTAGCTGGGACTACAGGTGTGCACCACCATGTCTGGCTATTTTTTTTTTTTTTAAGACAGTGTCTGGCTCTGTCGCCCAGGCTGGAGTGCAATGGCGTGATCTCGGCTCATTGCAACCTCCACCTCCCCGGTCCAAGCAATACTCTTTCCTCAGCCTCCTGAGTAGCTGGGACTACGGGCAGCCACCACCACGCCACCACGACCAGCTGATTTTTATATTTTTAATAGAGACGGGGTTTGACCATGTTGGCCAGGATGGTCTCGCTCTCTTGCCCTCGTGATCCCCGCACCTTGGCCTCCCAAAGTGCTGGGATTACAGGCATGAGCCACCGCACACGGCCTATTTTTTGTATTTTTAGTAGAGATGGAGTTTCACCATGTTGGCCAGGGTGGTCTTAAACTCCTGACCTCAAGTGATCCGCCCGCCTCAGCCTCCCAAAGTGCTGGGATTACAAGTGTGAGCCACCACACAAGGCCTACTTGTTCTTTTTAACTAATTATAACATTTACAGCAACTCATATGTTGAAGCGGTTTTAACAGCTTTAAAAGGTTTCTGTGGGATTATCATTGACCTGTTTTTACTTTGTCTTAGTGATAGCTTTATAGGAAAGATTAATTTTTCCTTAGCCCAGCAGAGAGAGGTGAGACTGATGGACATAAAAAGAAAATACTCAAGAAAATATATTAATCAATAGTGTATTTTATTATTAGAATACATCCATAAGAATCCTTTATATTTATGCATACACTCTTCATGAATCTCTTCTTGTGGACATATTTATTTACTTATACATTTCTTAATTCAACATATATTTATTGAATACATTTTTGAATATGGCAATATACATTCATATTTGTTATTATTATTATTATTACGAGATGGAGTTTCACTCTGTTGCCCAGGCTGGAGTGCAGTGGCGCCATCTCAGCTCACTGCAACCTCTGCCTCACAGGTTCAAGGGATTCTCGCGCCTCAGCTTGGGAATACAGGGGTCCGCCACCACGCCCATCTATTTTTTTGTATTTTTAATAGAGACAGGGTTTCACCATGTTGGCCAGGGTGGTCTTGAACTCCTGACCTCAGGCAATCCGCCTGGCTCGGCGTCCCAAAGTGCTGGGATTATAGGCATGAGCCACCGTGCCCAGCCTCATATGTATAATTTTTAGTTAAATTAATAAATTAATATTTATGGTTTTCATCATTATGACTTTGTAATATTTTTCACAGCTGAGCTCCATGGTATACCATAATTACCTTCTTTGACAACCTTTTGTTCTTCCTGGGATTAATAATTGCCTCCTGTTCTTTGCTTACTTTTCTAAATATTTATTCCTAATTCAATACCAGCTTTCTGACACTATTTTCTCGTCAAATGCATGAGGCAGTATGTCAGTTCCATTTTCCCCCATTGGAAACAACCCTCGTTTAGCCCTCTTTTTTCTATTCCACCGTAGACTGATTGCCTTCTAGCCTGGTAGCTCAGCAGTTGCCCCGGAGTTTTTTCCTTTACCTTTCTCCTGTGTTAGGTCCCCAGTCACCGGATTTCATATTTCCTTTTTCTTAGTTTAATTCCCTAGTTAGTGGACAATTCTCCAGAAGCTTTCTGAGAAAAGGTACTTGGGAGATAATGTTCTGCAAATGTCCATTCACATTTGATTGATAGTTTGGCTGGGTTCAGAAATCTAGTTGTGGAAACTATTTTCCTTTATTGAAATGATTTAGAAGGCATTGCGTCATTGTCTTTCAGCTTTTGGTGTTGGTGCTGCTGTGGAGAAAAAAAGATGACATTCTAATTCATAATCCTTTCTGTGCAATCTTTTAGTTTTGTTTTCCTTCTGGAAACATTTAGGATATTCACTTTATTCGTCTGATATTTCACAATGACAAGCTTTATTGTGGGGCTTTGCCACACCCTATGCAGGGTAGTTGGTGGGCCTTTTAAATCTGGAGACTTAAGGTCTTTGGTTCTGAAAAATAATCTTATATTACATCTTTATCTCCTTTATTCCACTTTCTCCTCTTTTCCTAGAATCCCTGTTAGTTTGTTGGCATATCTTCTATTATACACCATTTTATTTTCTTATCAATTCTTTGCTATTTTCCATCATTCACCCCAAACTTTCCAGATTTCTACAACCTTATTTTGAAATTTTAGGCCAGGCGCAGTGGCTCACAACTGTAATCCCAGCACTTTGGGAGGCTGAGGCGGGCGGATCACCTGAGGTTGGGAGTTCGAGACCAGTCAGACCAACATGGAGAAACCCTGTCTTAACTAAAAACATAAAATTAGCCGGGCGTGGTGGCGCATGCCTGTAATCCCAGCTACTCTGGAGGCAGAAGAATCTCTTGAACCTGGAAGGCAGAGGTTGTGGTGAGCCGAGATTGCATCATTGCACTCCAGCCTGGGCAACAAGCGCCAAACCCCGTCTCAAGAAAAAAAAAAAAGAAATTTTTAAAAATCCAGCCATCATAATATTATTAATAATTTTAAGAACTCCCCTCCTTTTTGTTTCATGAGTGCAGTATCTTCTCTTACTTTCCCGAGGATTAATTATAATTTTTAAAAAATCCAACTTCCTGCATTGTATTTGTTTCCTCTTAGGTTCTTCCTGCCCCCTTCTGTTTGTATTCGTCCTTGTCTTATTGTAGAAATATTTTCACAACCACCTGATTATCCTTGGTTGTCGTACATATTTTAAGTAAGGCACTAAACACCTGATTCTGGAAGCTCTGTGGACCTGCTCCAAGCCTGTAGACTGCAGAGTCTTTGGGGATTCTATGGAGACCCAGCCATTTCTTTGGGAGATCCTCAAATACCAGTGTTTGTCGTTGTTTTAATTTTTATTTTTTCCTTGTAAATTGACTTGGATATCTCATCTGTCTTTCTTTATCTCTGGAAAACTTTATCCCAGTTTCCCTTGACATACTCCTTCAACCTCCTGGGAGAGGTAGGGGGAGGGGAGATGAGCCTGTTTGACTAGTTCTGGGAATGTGGTGAGGGAAGAGATCTGGGGATTTCGGCTCTGTGCTGACACTTCCTTCATGCTACTCTGGTTTAGCACCCCTGCACTTCACCCTCTTTCAACTCCTGACCAAGTCAACTCCTGTTACTCACATCGACAGTCATTTTTCATGTTCAAGACCCCTGAACCGCTCTCATCCCCCACTCTCCGCTAACTCTCCTGCTTCGCTTCAGGTCTACATTGCCTCGCTCATTTCTTCCCTGCTGAGCTCTTTGATTAGTTTGCTAAGCAGCATCTCGGGAACAGCCCCCGTGCTATGTGTTCTTTCTTGTCATGGATATGTGTTTTTTCTTGTCATGCTATGTGTTCTTTCTTGTTCAAGGCAGAGTCGCGGCTGGGTTGTTAGGATGCTCGCGCCCCTGTACCCGGGGCGTGCAGGGAAGTGTAAGAAGGGGGCGAAGGGCGAGAAACGCTGAATTCTAGCCTGAATTGGTAGGAGAGCCTCGCAAGCTGAGTCACGGTTCCTGATTCCATTTAAATAGAACGTTTTGTTCACTTGTAGGAATTTCCTTTTCCATTTCTTTCATTAAATCGCGAACGTAGTAATGACTTAACGCTGGTTACGCATTCATTACAATCGAAGATTATATTAATTTGCGATGGTAAGTGTCCCAGGTGTCAGGATGGCCGAGTGGTCTAAGGCGCCAGACTCAAGCTTGGCTTCCTCGTGTTGAGGATTCTGGTCTCCAATGGAGGCGTGGGTTCGAATCCCACTTCTGACACAACTATCTTATTCTCCTTTTACTCTACTTTCTCAGCCATTTCTGTGTTTTCATTCTTTCTACCTCAACTTTTTTTATTCTAACTAAAATGATACACTCTCAATGAGGTCTGCCCCCTTGCTTTTCAGTCTTGTTCGCTGTTTAGTAGTGAATCACGTTTTGCCCCGCTTTGGTCAGTTCGTTAAAAGGCGCATTCATTTACCACATGAGCACTCACCCAGAGGCGTACTGGGAGGAAACTAGACTAGGTAGGAATAGAAAGACATGTATACAGACTCCATCATTACATACTGGCCCTGAGCTCATAGGTTATTGGGACCGCAGATTACATGTTTTTCCTCACGGCCAGAAACCATCAAAAATAAAAGTGATGAAACTGAAATTGAAAGCAGCAAGGTTCACGCTCAAGGTTATCGGAAACAAGGCAAAAGGAGAGAAATGAAAGGTTCCACCGAGATTTGAACTCGGATCGCTGGATTCAGAGTCCAGAGTGCTAACCATTACACCATGGAACCCTACTTAACAAAAAATGGATACTCGATCCACCTGGGGTCTCTCTTGTCTTCTACTTACTAATTGATTTAAAGTAATTTTGCAGGGGCAGTTTTTTTGTTTTGGATGGCCAAACGCAGGGATGGGAGGGGTAGGGCTCACACACTGTTTCCACCGCGCCTTTCTCCCAGATTTCTTTCCATCCTTCGGGGCAGGGCAGTATACTGATCTGGGAATATGGTTATTCCTGGAGATTTTTATTTTCTTTCGTTTCCAGCCCACGAAAAGGTGAATTGAATTTTAGTCTCACGGTTTGAAAGGGAGAAAAGAGAGAAAAGAAAAAATATACTATCTACTTTCTACAGTCTTATTTATTCATTGTACGATACCTACAGATGCCTCTAGAACAACCTCCGAGTATCTTGGCACTGCCCCTCAGTTGTAACCATGGGCTTAAATTTTTAAAATCTGTCTCCCGCATTCCTCCAAAATGCCTTAAGTGCAGGGCTGAGTCTCAGTAGTCTTTGATAGCCCACGGTCTGCTACTTTGTAGAAGCTCAACCAATGCTTGTTGCATGAATGCATAAATGAAAGGATGAGTGAATGAATGAATGAATGAATGAATGAATACTCAGTGGGACAGCCCAGCTTAGACTTTTGGGAGACTTTAGACTTCTTTTTTGCCTTCACTTGCTAGGCTAAATTTTACAAGTTCAAAAGGGAATAATTATTTCTCCTCCTCCTCCTATCTTCTTTTGCCTTTCCAGGTCCCAGCTCCCAGGTGGACATCTTAGCGTCCAGATGACCCAACATATAGGTGTCCTTTAGTATGGATGACCAAACTAGGATGTTATAGTGCTGGATGTAGTAATTCATTTTTTCAAATCTTAACTTTATTAAGATAACATGGTTATTTATCTAGTAATTGTGAGAACAACATATAACAAATAGACCACATATATACGTAGCGTGTCTGGAAGAAATACTCAGATATAAATTACTACTTTAGTCAATCTTAATATTAATTATTTGTCAACTATGCTTAATGTGCCTCTCTAGTCTCTCAAGACTAAATTGCTAAGGAACCCTGGAATCATTTGCTGGCATTCATCCTTTCAAGCAAGGTGCCTGTTACAAAATATCTGCTCAATTAGTATGTATTGGATACATCTTTTGGAAGGTGAGGAAGGAAGCAGTGAAATTAGAAGACTTCTGCCTAGGCGACTGTAAAGTGCTCCTAAGCATCTACCCACCTCCCTGCACACAAAAACTCTCCATTCTATCTCCTCGAGTCTCCTAGCCTTAAAAGATGGTCTAAACTACCCCAGATCCAGGTAAATAACGGATCAAGTCCTTCTTCCCTAAAACAGGTGTTATTCTTTCTATTCTATGAGCCTCCACCTTATTTCTTAAAAAAAAAAAAGAAAAAAATGTTTACTGTTTAAGAAGATAACAGAATCTCAAAAGCTAACTCTTCAACTGTGTTCAACTAAGGACCTTAAACTGCTCTCTGAGGATAGGTGAAGCGGGAAAGGCTCTAGGTGTCTGGTGACTGTTTCTTTTGTTGGTTCGTTTGTTTTTTCAGCCTTAGCACATTTATCCCTTGGAGAAGACAATGGAAAATAGGGCAGATGAGCGTGCGTGGCTTATTTATTCTTGAGTCTGGAGTTAAGAAGGTTGTACTTTTTCCTTAGGATTGCCCTTGGTTGGTTCACAAATTTCGCAAAGTGAATGAAAACACATGAAGGCCACTGAAGGGAATAACTAGGGGACGAGATGTCTGAGCCCCTAAATCGAGAAACATTTGGGCACCGTTTGTGGGACTGTACATATGGGTGTTATCTGTGGCCCCTAGGAAAACAGAAGAGGAACCTGTCTCACTTAGGAAGCTGTGAGAACTGCCCACACAAGGCTTGAAAATGGAACTTTACTGGGTCAGAATGACGAGGGGGAAAAAAAAATACCTCACACTGGCAGCGGTGGGATTCGAACCCACGCCCCCGAAGAGACTGGAGCCTTAATCCAGCGCCTTAGACCGCTCGGCCACGCTACCACCCACAGGGTGCGTCGCCGCTTTCAGTTTCACCCAAGTGACTGTCGCCCCTTTCCAGTCCTTTCATTCCCATTCCCACATCACCATAAGCCCTTCCCTCAGGCCCCTTCTTCAGCATTCCTTGCTTCTCAGCATAGCCCGAGAACCCCCGATCCCTGACACTTTGCTTCTTCTCAGCTCCCAGATGGATCCTGGACAGGATGCTGCAGGTGGTGCAGGAGGGGAATCCTGCCCCATTTATCATCAACACAGTAAAAAGGGGTCGAAGAGACCGAGAGCGCCAGAGGACGCCATGGGCTCCACATCCACTTGGATTCCAGGAAGTAAGCCTCTCGACTTCAGGAGTAAGCAAGGCCAACCGTTTGGTTTGAGCCTGTTGCTTCTAAGAAAAGCGAGGAAAAATCCTGAGACCTCCTCCCCTCGCCCTTCATCCACTTCAGGGGACCGAGTGTCTCCACGGAACTTCACAAGGGAGGAAAAGAGTGAACTCATTATTATTTGTCTTGTCTTCGTTTCAGAGGCGGTACATCTACGAAAGCCCTAATCATAGAGGGAAAGACTCCTCGTTCCTGGCCCAGAAATGAGATGAGAAATCCAGGGCCCCGTACAGGAAGGCCTTTCGCAAAGTCCAGACTCAATTGCCTTCGCAGCCCTTAAAGTTTCCTTAGGAAGGTCTGTGGGAGAACGAGGTTGGTTTAGGAATTGGCCCCTGCCTTGTACTACGTAGTTTTGTCATCCAAAGTGTTTTAGAAGTGAATTGAATCATAGTTACGCCTTATTTTGAAACACTGTAATTCAGAGAACGTAAAACCTTATTAAAATGCCTCATAATCATCTTGGTAGAGCCGTTGGTTAAGCGGGAGAGACAGTTGCCTCCTTAGCGCAGTAGGCAGCGCGTCAGTCTCATAATCTGAAGGTCCTGAGTTCGAACCTCAGAGGGGGCAAGGCGTCTGTTTTGCCATTTTACTTCTTCTTGATCCAAAATGAGTAAGACAACAAAGGAAGTTGACAAAACGTTGTTCTTTCTCTGCTTTCTCTATAGAAAAGTGTACAATATGTCTGGTAAGGGAAAAAAAAATCTAAGGACATTGCTTTGATGGAACAGAACGGGTAATTGCTGTTTAATAGAACCATGTTCAGTTACAAAACAGTGATTTTCACTAAGAATTAAATTCTCCAAAATTCTCATCTCCCCTCCCGCCCTGCATACCAATTGGAGATAGAGCTGGTAGCATTTTCAAATGTTTTTCAGATATGCTTGGCAATTGTCTTTGTTTTAACAACACCAGAGTCAAGAAACTTGCCAGTTTTAGAGTGCTGAGATAAGAAAAAGTGGGTGGAGGGTTGTACTAGGGGTGTGGAAGGTATAGAATCTAATTATCAATTACTGACTTGGTTATCTTTTACCATTCTTCTGGAATGGCTTACCACCAGGTTGCCACCAATAACATTCCATATGAAAAAAGAAAGGAAACAAAAAACTGACAAAAAACTCCCCCCTCAGTCTCATTGCATTGGACCTTTTCTCTTGCTTCCAGTCCTGTTGACTGGATCTAAATCATCCAAACTACCAGATGCAGGAAGGGGTAAAAAGAGAAACAAGAAGTGAAGAAGATAGGCTGATATTTACAGTCAAGATGAGCCCCTGACTCAAATAATAATGAGCAAGACTGATCATTAATGTCCTGCTCTTGAGTCCTACTTTGTTCCAAGCTGTGTTCCTATTAATCCATTCCCTCTCAGCTTTAAAATCACCCTTATATACTTTGTTTTGTGACATTGGGGCTGGGCGCCTGCAAATGATATTTCCCAAACTCCTTTGCCCATTGGCTTCCTCTTGTGTTCTGTCAATAAGAGGAACCAGAAAGAGACTAGAAAGCAAGAGGAGAGAAGCAGGGGCTGCTTTCTAAATTTTGTTCTTCCTGTCAGGTCACTCCAACAATGGCAGTTGAATCCCATCTCTATTTGTTCTCTTCATGCATTCCAGAATGTCTCACTGTCCATTACATAAGTAAGTAGTAGTCCAGCTGCAGCGCGTCCTCTTTAGCACTCCAGGATGCCTTTCCTCAGTGGTCTCAACCTCTTCCTTTTTGTTCTTCCAGCCCTACAAGGTGGTAGCTACTTCCCAGTAGTTATCACCTCTGAGTTACCATGGTGTGCCCAGTTGAAATACCTAGTCTTATTCCTTTTTTTTTGAGACAGAGTCTTGTTCTGTCACCCAGGCTGGAGTGCAGTGGCACAATCTCAGCTCGCTGCAACCTCTGCCTCCCGGGTTCAAGCGATTCTCCTGCCTCAGCGTCCCAGGTAGCTGGAATTACAGGCGCCCGCCACGACGTCCAGCTAATTTTTGTATTTTTACCAGAGACGGGGTTTCACCATGTTGGCCAGGCTGGTCTTGAACTCCTGACCTCAAGTGATCTGCCCGCTTCGGCCTCCCAAAGTGCTGGGATTACAGATGTGAGCCACCGTGCCCAGCCTTATTTCTTAACTAGACCCTGAACCACACATAGGGGGTGCAGGGATAGCACTCCACACAACAGAAAAAGCTTCTGCTCTCATGGAGTTTACATTTTAGTGGGGAATGATAAAGAATAAATTCAACCAGATATATAAAATGTGAAGTAGTGATACATGCCATGAAGGAAAAGAGCAAGAGAATGGAGAACAAAGGGGAGGGGATTGCTTTATAATAAAGGGTGACCAAGGAGGCCTTCCTGATAAGGAGGCATCTGAACAGAGACTTGAAGGAAGTGAGTGAGTGAGCTGTGAGGCTATCAGGGAGAAGAGAATTTCAGGCCAAGGGAACAGTAATTACAAAAGGCTTGGCAGGAATGCCATTGGCATGTTCAAGGAACGAAGGAGGAGACTAGTGCAGCTGTAGGTCAGTAAACAAGGGAGAACTTGATAGGAGATGAGGGGGTTAGATACACATAGACCCTACAGGATGCACATAGATCATGCAGGGTCTCAGAGGTCATGATCATGTTCAGAGAGGGAATTCGCTGCATAGGGGAGAGAAAAGACAACAGTGATTTAAGTTGTGGAGGTCAGCCAGACCTTGAGAATATTCTGATTCATGAGTCTGAGATAGAATCTGTGAATCTTTTTTTTTTTTTTTGAGATGGAGTTTCACTCTTGTTGCCCAGGCTAGAGTGCAATGGCACGATCTCGGCTCACGGCAACCTCTACCTCCTGGTTCAAGCGATTCTCCTGCCTCAGCCTCTGGAGTAGCTGGGATTACAGGCATGCGCCACCACGCCCGGCTAATTTTGTGTTTTTAGTAGAGATGTGGTTTCTCCATGTTGGTCAGGCTGGTCTCGATCTCCTGGCCTCAGATGATCCATGCACCTGGGTCTCCCAAAGTGCTGGGATTACAGGTGTGAGCCACTGCAACTGGCCTGAATCTGAGTTTTTAACAGTGACTCCAGGAGATTTGAATGCCATCAGTGTGGCAACATTTTGGAAGCCCCAGTCAAGGACTTACTCGGCCTATATTCATTTATCCTATGTTGACCGTCTCTGGAGAGATCATTTCCTCCCAAAATTCTCCTCATTTTTGTTTAGTCATCCAGGGCTTGCTTACTGGTTAAAACTAGGAGCACTTGCCTCATCAAGAGCAGAATAAATGCTCTATGCTTCCCAGAGAACTCTCAAAAGCTACAAGGTGCCATTTCCTATTCTGCTTTATTTCTAATTTTTCTTTTTTCTTTCTTTCTTTTTTTTTTTTTTTTGAGATGGAGTCTTGCTCTGTCACCCAGGCTGGAGTGTAGTGGTGTGATCTCGGCTCACTGCAACCTCTGCCTCCCAGGTTCAAGTGATTATTTTGCCTCAGACCCTTGAGGTAGCTGGGACTACAGTCATGCACCACCACACCTGGCTCATTTTTGTGTTTTTAGTAGAGATGCGGTTTCATCATGTTTGCCAGGCTGGTCTGGAACTCCTGACCACAATTGATTTGCCCACCTCTGCCTCCCAAAATGTTGGGATTACAGGTGGGAGCCACTGGCCTCGCCCTGTTTTGCTTTATTTCTGCCTTTCCCTGTAAAGAGCTTTTCTTGGTAAATAAGCAGCTGAGACATCTTGACACCTCCTGCCCTCCAGGTTCCCAGGGGCAGTCTGGGCCCAAGTTTTCTTTCTTCTAGCTGTTCCCCAGTTTCTCTGCATCATTCCTCCCCACTGCCATGTCTCGATGGCCTTCTTCTGCACAATGGCCTAATTTATGTTTTTGCATCACCTCTTCCTCCATTCTGACTCATTCTTTACATAAAGCCAGTGTACTCTTAAAAGTAATCTCATCATGTCATTTCTTCCTGCTTAGAATTCCCAGTGGCTTCACATTGCTGCTAGGGTGCAGTCAGCTCTCTGCACTACTAGCCATAACCTCTGAGCCTGTGAGTCACTGGTCTGTCCCTGCCTTCCTGTCCACCTCAGACCCCACCTTCATGAACACTCTCTTGAGCTCTCTGTACACAAGCTGCTCAGGCCTTCTCTCAGGTGTCTGGAAGTGTTCTGCTCTTTAATCTCCCTGGAATGCTGGAATCACATTTTTGTCCAACTAGGCCTTTAGTTTTCAGTTTAAACATCACTTCCTGGGAGAAGTCTTCTCTAATCCCCTGGAAGAGGTCATCTCCCTTTATAATCCATGCTCTTGAAGATAGAGGGCAGGGTGTGATTTACAGTGTGCGATTTACAGTGTGCATTATTTTGTCTCACCTTACTTTTCTCTATGTTCCCTTTATCTTGATTTAAATTAACATTTTTCACTTTATCTTACAGTATAGTTGTGTAAATAACCTCGAATCTGTTTTTCAATAGTAGCATAAATAAATGCACGATCAGAAATGTACCACATGACAACCATTGTGCTAGACCTAGCCTTTGAGGGATTTCTGCTGTGAGATTAAAGTGGTCAAGAGATTAACAAACTTGTCTAAAGTGGCACAAGCAAAATGGTTAAAATACAGTGTTCTAAATGATCCACTTTACAATAAGAATAATTGTGATAACACCTAATTTTCATGGAAATGTCACCAAGCGTTTGCTTACATTATCTCGTTTAATTTGCAAAGTAAGGTCATGAGATTTTGCTTGTTTTTCCTCAACATTTTGTAACCTAAACGTTTTCTCAAGAGCATGTGTTACAGTGACTGTTTAAACAGTGTAATTTGTCGTTTAACGGCTGCTTTTCACTTGTAAAATATGAACGCCCCAAGGGCTGAGGTAGTGTGTCCCGAATTGGTGGGTTCTTGATCTCACTGACTTCAAGAATGAAGCCACGGGCCCTCGCGGTGAGTGTTACAGCTCTTAACGTGACGTGTCTGGAGTTTGTTCCTTCTGATGTTCCCATGTGTTAGGAGTATTCTTCTTTCTGGTGGGTTCGTGGTCTCGCTAACTCAGGAGTGAAACTGCAAACCTTCGGAGAGAGTATTACAGCTCTTAAGACAGCACGTCTGGAATTGTTCGCTCTTCCTGCTGGGCTTGCGCTTTCGCTGACTTCAGGAAAAAAGCTGCAGACCTTCACGGTGAGTCTTACAGCTCATAAAAGCAATGTGGACCCAAACAGTAACCAGTCGCAAAATTTATTGCAAAGAGCAAAAAAAAAAACAACACTCTACAATATGGAAGAAGAGCCGAGCGGGTTGTGGATGCTGGCTCCGGCAGCCTGCTTTTATTCTCTTAGCTGGCCCCACCCACATCCTGCTGATTGGTAGAGCCGAGTGGCCTGTTTTGACAGGGTGCTGATTGGTGCATTTACAATCCCTGAGCTAGATACAAAGGTTCTCCACGTCCCCACCAGATTAGTTAGATACAGAGTTTTGACACACAGGTTCTCCACGGCCCCACCAGAGCCGCTAGATACAGTGTCGATTGGTGCACTCACAAACCCTGAGCTAGACACAGGGTGCTGATTGGTGTGTTTACAAACCTTGGGCTAGATACAGAGTGCCGATATGTGTATTTACAATCCCTGAGCTAGACATAAAGATTCTCCACGTCCCCACCAGACTCAGGATCCCAGCTGGCTTCACCCAGTGGATCCCGCACCGGGGTTGCAGGTGGAGTTGCCTGCCAACCCCACGCCATGCGCTCGCACTCCTCATCCCTTGGGTGGTCGATGGGACTGGGTGCCGTGGAGCAGGGGGCGGCGCTCGTCGGGGAGGCTCGGGCTGCACAGGAACCCACGGAGGCGGGGGAAGGCTCAGGCATGGCAGGCTGCAGTCCCGAAGCCTGCCCCGCGGGAAGGCAACTAAGGCCCGGCGAGAAATCGAGCGCAGCGCCGGTGGGCTGGCACCTCTGGGGGATCCAGTACACCCTCTGCAGTCGCTGGCCCGGGTGCTAAGTCCCTTATTGCCCGGGGCCGGCAGGGCCTGCCGGCTGCTCCGAGTGCGAGGCCCGCCAAGCCCACGCCCACCCGGAACTCCAGCTGGCCCGCAAGCGCCGCATGCAGCCCCGGTTCCCGCTCGCGCCTCTCTCTCCACACCTCCCTGCAAGCTGAGGGAGTGGGCTCCGGCCTTGGCCAGCCCAGAAAGGGGCTCCCACAGTGCAGTGGTGGGCTGAAGGGCTCCTCAAGTGCCGCCAAAGTAGGAGCCCAGGCAGAGGAGGCGCCCAGAGCAAGCGAGGGCTGTGAGGACTGCCAGCACGCTGTCACCTCTCAGTAGTACTTCTCCACTGCAGGAAACCCGGGGCAAAGCTGAGAGCCTTGCTCAAAATAAGTTCTCAAAACCTATTTTTTTTTTTTCTGGAGTCTCACTCTGTCACCAGGTTGAAGTGCAGAGGCAAGATCTCGGCTCCCTGCAACCTTCGCCTCCCGGGTTGAAGCGATTCCCTTGCCTCAGCCTCCCGAGTAGCTGGGACTACAGGCGTGCGCCACCACGCCCGGCTAATTTTTTTGTATTTTAGTAGAGACGAGGTTTCACCATGTTGGCCAGGATGGTCTAGATTTCCTGACCTTGTGATCGCCCGCCTCGGCCTCCCAAAGTGCTGAGATTACAGGCGTGAGCCACCGCGCCCGTGTGCCAGGTGTTCTTAAGGTCGCAGGGAAGACTGGAGCATAACCTTTGAAGACTAAAGACAAGACAAACCCGGCGATTACGTCTGTAGTTATACATTGCTTTTACAAGTAATTGTTTGGAGTACATTACACAAAGATGGGAGTTAATTTTTTCCATGAGTTGGGGACAAAAATAACTGTGAGCCATATTCAAAGTGGGCAAAAGCATAGATGGGAATAAAGAAAAGGAACATGGATAGGATTTAAGTTGGACGATATCAAGTTTCTGCACCTTTTTACTCACTAGAATGTGCAGGAAGAAGGCTTTTGCAGGGAGCCCGGATAGCTCAGTCGGTAGAGCATCAGACTTTTAATCTGAGGGTCCAGGGTTCAAGTCCCTGTTCGGGCGGGAGTGGTGGCTTTTAGTACCTGATTCTGGTATCATGTTTGAAAAAGCCAAAAAGGATACTATCGTTTTATAGGGACAGATTTCATATACTGCAAAAATTCACCAAACCCTGTAGAACCCCAAATTTTAAACCACGAATAGGCGAGTAACTCTGATGCCAAATAAAAGTAGTAAGGTGAATACATGGGCCCTCTACAGTGAGATAGCCCCAGATTTTCTGAAGAAAACTAACATTTAAGGACAACCTTAGAATACGAAGTATTTAATATTTTATGATTCCTGTTACTCTGCTTACAGGTGCCAAAGTAATCTTCTGTTGTTACTTGCTTTCCAGTGCAGAGTTTATTTTACGTAGGAGGGAATATACTGATCAATTATCAAGAAAGTTATAATATGTTCATATTCTGGCTTGGCATATTTCTGGCATTTAGTTACCGTGAGTCAGCCCTGCAAGTCTTAAAAACTCTAGGTGAATTTAAAAATAGTTTCCGGCCGAGCGCTGTGGCTCACGCCTGTAATCCCAGCACTTTGGGAGGCCGAGGCGGGCGGATCTCGAGACCATCCTGGCCAACACGGTGAAACCCCGTCTCTACTAAAAATACAAAAATAATTAGCTGGGCGTGGTGGCGGGCGCATGTAGTCCCAGCTACTCGGGAGGCTGAGGCTGGAGAAGGGCGTGAACCCGGGAGGTAGAGCTTGCAGTGAGCCGAGATTGCGCCACTGCACTCCAGCCTGGGCGACAGAGCGACTCCGTCACAAAAAATAAAAATAAAAATACATAAAAATAATTTCTGACGGGGCGCGGTGGCTCACGCCTGTAATCCCAGCACTCTGGGAGTCCGAGGCGGGCAGATCACCTGCGGTCAGGAGTTCGAGACCAGCCGGGCCAACATGCTGAAACAGTCTCTACTAAAAATACAAAAATTAGCCGAGAGTGGTGGTACGCGCCTATAATCCCAGCTACTTGGGAGGCTGAGGCAGGAGAATAGCTTGAACCAGGGAGGCAGAGGTTGCAGCAAGCCGAGATCGCACGGCTCCACTCCATCCTGGTAGACAGAGGGAGACTCAAAATAAATAATACAAATAAGTAAATAAAATAAAAATAGTGTCTGATTCTGCAAAGGAGAGGAACAGACTCTGAATTGTGATGGCTCCAATAAGGATAAAGCAGTCTCTGGAGAGCTGCCTGAACAGCCAGACAACCCAGCTCTTAGGCTTCTCCCAAATCTTTAACAGCATTTCCTTAACTGTGGTAGATGCAGGCTCCTGGAACCAGAGGCCTAGGGTCCAGACGAAATTGTTAAGATGTTCCCTATAAAACGCTTCCTTAAGTCGGCAACAGAATGAACTGTTAAGAGAGCTGTCCTGAAATACAGACCCCTGAGGTCCAGACATGTTGGAGGAGAGCCCTCTCTTTTTGCAGCACGGACTGGGCCAGAGAGGTATAGCCTGCAAGATGAATTTCAGTATGTGTAACTGCTGGGGTGATGATTGCAAGTAATCTAAGTTTGAGATGTTGATTGTGTGGAATAAGATAGTGACAAGAAGCATGGAAAGAAAACCATAACATTTAATATGCAAATTAAATGATTGATTTGAGAAATACTTGTTTATCAGATACCGTGCTAGGCACTGAAAATATAGAACTGGATAAAACAAATTCAGTCTCTAACGGAATTTACAGTCTAGGAGGATGGGTGGGCAACAGACAATAAAAACGTTAAAAAATAAAAGAACAAGGAAACTTTATATAGTAAAAAATTCTATGAAGAAAATAAAACAGCTTGAGGTTGATGTGATGGGAGGTTGGTGAGTGAAAGAAGGGATGGTGTGTTGGTTTCCTAGGGCTGCCACAACAAATTGAATATCAGGTTTTCATCTGTCTATTCATTTTTTCAATAAATTAAGTTGCACCAGTAGAAGGATACTGTCCCACGAGGGAATTGAGGTCAGAAGAACTCGGAGAAAACAGCAAGCCCACTGGAAAGAGATGATACTCATAAGAAGAACTAAAAGAGATTTACTAGAACTTGATAAGCCGTCGGGACAAAGAGAGCTGAGACTTCGTCTGTCTGACAACATATGCCGGGCCCAGCAATTATAGAGATAATTGTATACTGAACAAATAGGGTTATTTGTGGAAGTTGGGGACAAAATGGCAGCTGCCCCCTCTGAGGTTCGAACTCAGGACCTTCAGATTATGAGACTGACGCGCTGCCTACTGCGCTAAGGAGGCAGACAACTAGTGCTCCTCAGCAGGTGTTTTCAACACTGATTTTTACCTTATTTAAACATTTTTGTCTACATTACCTTTATTTTAAATTTCTAAAATAAAATATTCTTATGAAACTTCTCAAAGCTCACCAGCTTCCAAAACCTGAATCAGATGAAGAAAGTCGCTGCTGATCCCGCTGCTTTTGCCCCTCTTATTCTGAACTGATGACCCCCCACTTCTCACCTTAGGTGGAAAATTTCCAAAACGTCCTGTCCAGAAACCTGACAATTAACCTGCACGGGCGTCCATCCATTTTGTCTGGAGAGATCAGGAAAACGGCCTGTTTTTCTCTCTCCCTCCATACCGGTTCTTTCCCGCAGGAAAAGTGATCCGGTGTTTCCCATCCGGAAGCATTGAAGCGTTTACTATCTTAAACAACAAAACAATGTCCTTTGACAGGCGTCTCCACCTGTCGCTATCTCATGTGCTCAAACGTCTTGTAAGGCCGTCTTAATGTACAGCAAACTTCTTGTAAGGCCGTCTTAATGTACAGCAAACTCCTTGTAAGGCCGTCTGTTTTAAAAAAATACCTCCCTAAGTCCCACTGGCTTTTCAACCCACTGCAGTCTTCCCCAATCACGTCTCCGTCTCGGTCTTGAGGAAGTCCAAAGGGATTTGGACAAATGCAACTTCATGGGGTAAAGAATATGGCGCTCTTGGTGCAAACTCTTGGGCATCTGCTAGGATGTGAGAACGGTAGTAATAGCAGGAAGGGGTGAAAAGCTTGTCTTCTCCACTGTCTTTGTTTGCCAGGGGATTGTCTGGAGTTTAGCACTCAAAGACCCACTTCCCAGGAAAACCCTACCTGGGATGTGAAAAGTCCGGGCTTTCGGTTTTTGGCGATAGGTTGGAGAGAATATATACACACAAAAAGTGACAACCCCATCCTTGTTCCCACCCCTGCCCCAGGGCCGAAAGCAACACTGATTTTATTGCCAATGGATAATAGGGTTTAGGTTATCCCACTTTTGTAGTTGTCGCCGTTTTTCCCCTGTCCGCTGATGGTGACAACCTTGCACCGTGCATCGCTCTGAGTGAGGCGACTTAAATGCGCGATGTTACCGTTTTCAGCCGTGACCGTAGCACTCGGTCTTTGACTGTAGACTGTTGTGTCTACATAGTGCTAGTTTGTATTGCTAGTTTAATTTTTTTTTTTTTTTTTTGAGACGGAGTTTCGTTCTTGTCGCCCAGGCTGGAGGGCAACGGCGTGATCTTGGGTCACTGCAACAGCTGCCTCCAGGGTTCAAGCGATTCTCCTGCCTCAGCCTCCCGAGTAGCTGGGATTACAAGCCTGCACCACCACGCCCGGCTAATTTTTTGTATCTTTAGTAGAGACGGGGTTTCACCATGTTGGCCAGGCTATTCTGGAACTGCTGACCTCAAGTGATCCGCCCGCCTCGACCTCGCAAAGTGCTGGGATTACAGGCCTGAGCCACCGCGCCCGGCCTTAGTTTAATTTTTAACATTGTGAATATTATGGCCAGATTTTTAGAGTTTAGATAACGAAAACGAGAACGATTATCATGCGAACGCCAGCATAACCCAGATAGCACTGAAAAAGTCTAAATAGACTGTTACTTCAATGACAGATAGAAGGACACATACAACCGGATTTGGAGAATAAATAATCAAAACGGAGCATACTACGCAATATTCAAAACAGATTTGGATGTGAAAGTACACAGGGAGACGGCATCTCTCAAGTCTGGGATGAGACAGGCAAGAACTTCTGAACCAATCAAAAGTGTTTTTGTCTCCCAAAAGTGACACCAGCGCTCTGTAGAGAATAGCATTGGGCTTGCTTACAAGGAGACCTTAAAAAAAGTTAAAATTAAATAAAAGAAAATGGTATTGGGCAGAATATTAGAAAAGAACACGCATTATTTTATGGCTTCCTTAATTACTCTATTTCCTGATTCAGAGGTTGCATCTCGTGGGTGAACAAGAGGAAATTCTGATACCACATATTGGTCTCTTGCAGTGTACAGCTGATTCTATCAGACGACCTTGCTCTCTACAACATAATGATGTGTCAAATCCACCTCAACCATTAAAAAAAAAGTTTCCCTTAGCTCTTACATACTTTGATTTGAAACATGATGTTGAAAATCATCTTTCCTGGTATGCATGAAGACTTAATGAAACCACTTGAAGCATAAACAATCATTGATATGTTGGTCAACTACAAGTTAGATCTTGCTCATCTATCTGCATGTTTGGCAGACAGTGCAAATGTAAATTTTGGCAAATTCCATTCAGACTATAAACTTTCTACCAAAGAAAATGAAAAGATCTTACATGTGACGTGTTCTGCACATGTTGTTCACAACACTGCTAAGAGGCCGGGCGTGATGGCTCACGCCTGTAATCCCAGCACTTTAGGAGGCCAAAGCTGGTGGATCACCTGAGGTCAGGAGTTTGAGACCAGCCTGGCTAACATGGTGAAACCCCGTTTCTACTAAAAATACAAAAAATCAACGGGGTGTGGTGGCACATGCCTGTAATCCCAGCTACTCGGGAGGCTGAGGCAGGAGAATCACTTGAACCCCAGAGGCAGAGGTTGCAGTGAGCCGAGATCGTACCATTGCACTCCAGCTTGGGCAACAAGAGCGAAACTCCGTCTCAAACAAAACAAAACAAAACAAACAACACTGCTAAGAAGGATTGTGATTTGTTTACTGGTGATATTGAGGCTTTCATGGCTTAATGAGATTTATGGTCACTTTTTAGTTTCCTCAAAATGTGCAGAAACAATAAGAATTTTCACTTTATAGAAACGAAAGGAGGTAGCCTCCTTAGAAATGTCTAAAGTTGACTATAATTATTGCTGGCCATAGGATAGATGTTAAAATGTTTACTTGGTGTAAAATCATATTTTCAAAATGTGGGACAAGAGGAATGCTATTCTCTAATTTGACAATATTTTAAGAGTGAGAATGGAGAAAAGAACTACCGTAAAACAGAAATTTATACTTTCATTTGTTTGACGTTGTCGAAGAACAAAATTTCAACACACTTAGGTTAAAGATCAGATCAACTTTTATTGGCAATTCATGAATCAGGCAGCATCTCATCTACAAAATAGGAAGGTGCTCTGACGAGGAGATGAGGTTATAGGTAGAAAAGGCTGAAGAAACTACAAACAAGGAACAATAGGTGGATTGGTAATTACAAAGTGACTGTCCTTGTAAGGTTAAAGCAGAGGATACTTCCTTAACATGCTGGCTGAGGTAGTCTGGACCCTTTTCTACTGGTTATTGTGAATCTCCTGTTTTTTGGAAAACTGGCCTGTTTTAAATTTCAGTTTGATTACTTGGCACCCTGCACAAAGGGCTCCCTTCTGGTTTGGTCTGGTCTGTTGGAGCCTAATGCAGGAGCTCATTCCAAAACAATAGCCTCCCATTAATTTTAACAATGTTATGTTATGTAGATTGTGACATAAAGATTCATACACTAAGAAAAGATTCTTTTTTAAAAAAAAAAAGACTGCTTCAGAATGCAAGTTAAATAGGACTTTATCAATCTCTTGCTAAAAATACAATTTATTTGGAATCCAAGCTTTGTTTCCCAAATTTATCATTTATTTATTTCATTTTATTTATTAATTTTTTTGAGATGGAGTCTCCCTCTGTTGCCCAGGCTGGAGTGCTGTGGTGCGATCTCAGCTCGCTGCAACAGTCTGCTATTGCTAGTAAGTAAAATACCGAGTATTCAATGCTCAAATGCTTTTGTTGAGAGGATATTTAGTGTGATTTTATCACACTAGAATGATACCAGGAATCTAAGTAATATGGGCTTGATAAGAGCAGAGCTGCAATTCAAAGTGAATTTTACCTTTGACTGTATTCAGTATTACCACTATATAAAAGAAAATAAAGATGTCTTAAATGTTGCAGACAGGTCACAGAAAGAATATTGGAAAAAGAAACAGAAAGGGTAAAGATACTCGATTGTTTCATGCGACAGAAAGAAATGTCATTATTTTTTATTAAATATAGGTAATATCTGCTTAAGTAGTTTTATTGTAGTTATGTTCTTCTTTTACATTCTTGTTGTATTTTACGTTTTTGTATTTATGTTTTTCATTTATTAATGCGCCTTAAAGTTGAAATAATATAGCCTATGAGACTTAAATATCCAATAGTTTTAAAAAGTTAAAATAAATCACTACATAAGAGAACAGATAGAAATACTAAAAACATATTGTTATATTTTTCCCAAACATATTATTTATGTAATTAGTCCTATTATAAATTACTTCTAATTGCCATTATTAACTACTCCTATTGAGAGGTGACAGCATGCTGGCAGTCCTCAGAGCCCTCGCTTGCTCTCGGCACCTCCCCTGCCTGGGCTCCCACTTTGGTGGCATTTGAGGAGCCCTTCAGCCCCCCCACTGCACTGTGGGAGCCCCTTTCTGGGCTGGCCAAGGCTGGGGTCCACTTCCTCAGCTTGCAGGGAGGTGTGGACGGAGAGGCACGAGCGGGAACCGGGGCTGTGTGCGGCGCTTGCCGGCCAGCTGGAGTTCCGGGTGGGCGTGGGCTTGGTGGGCCCCGCACTCGGAGCAGCCAGCCAGCCCTGCTGGCCCCGGGCAATAGGGAACTTAGCACCTGGGCCAGTGGCTGCGGAGGGTGTACTGGGTCCCCAGCAGTGCCAGCCCACCAGTGCTGTGCTCGATTTCTCGCTGGGCCTTAGCTGCCTTCCCACGGGGCAGGGCTCGGGACCTGCAGCCCACCATGCCTGAGCCTCCCATCCACTCCATGGGCTCCTGTGCGGCCCGAGCCTCCCGGACGAGCACCACCCCCTACTCCATGGTGCCCAGTCCCATGGACCACCCAAGGGCTGAGAAATGCGAGCACAGGGCGCAGGACTGGTAGCCAGCTCCACCTACAGCCCCGGTGCAGGATCCTCTAAGTGAACCCAGCTGGGCTCCTGAGTCTGGTGGGGATGTGGAGAGTCTTTATATGTAGCTCAGGATTGTAAATACACCAATCAGCACCCTGTGTTTAGCTCAAGGTTTGTGAGTGCACCAATCGACACTCTGTATCTAGCTGCTCTGGTGAGGACGTGGAGAACCTTTATGTTTAGCTCAGGGATTGTAAATACACCAATCGGCACTCTGTATCCAGCTCAAGGTTTGTAAACACACCAATCAGCACCCTGTGTTTAGCTCAAGGTTTATGAGTGCACCAATCGACACTCTGTATCTAGCTGCTCTGGTGAGGATGTGGAGAACCTTTATGTCTAGCTCAGAGATTGTAAATACACCAATCGGCACTCTGTATCTAGCTCAAGATTTGTAAACACACCAATCAGCACCCTGTGTTTAGCTCAAGGTTTGTGAGTGCACCAATCGACACTCTGGCTGCTCTGGTGGGGCCTTGGAGAACCTGTGTGTCAAAACTCTGTATCTAACTAATCTGTTGGGGACGTGGAGAACCTTTGTATCTAGCTCAGGGATTGTAAACGCACCAATCAGCGCCCTGACAAAACAGGCCACTGGGCTCTACCAATCAGCAGGATGTGGATGGGGCCAGATAGGAGAATAAAAGCAGGCTGCCCGAGCCAGCATTGGCAATCCTCTCGGGTTCCTTTCCACATTGTGGAAGCTTTGTTCTTTCGCTTTTTGCAATAAATCTTGCAACTGGTCACTCTTTGGGTCCATGCTGCTTTTGTGAGCTGTAAGACTCACCGTGAAGATCTGCAGTTTCATTCCTGAGCCCAGCAAAACCACGAGCCTACTGGGAAAAACAAACAACTCCAGATGCGCTACCTTAAGAGATGTAACACTCACTATGAAAGTCTGCAGCTTCACTCCTGAGCCAGTGAGACCACGAACCCACCAGAAGAAAGAAACTCCGAACACATCTGAACATCAGAAGGGGCAGACTCCAGACCCACCACCTTAAGAGCTGTAATGCTCACCGTGAGGGTCCGTGGCTTCATTCTTGAAGTCAGTGAGACCAAGAACCTACCAATTCCGGACACACCATTATTGTTTTGTTTAAGTAATAACAGTTTTGCAATGGAGAAACAAATATTGCAGAATAATATATAATTTCAAACATCTATTTTTAAAATTTGATGTCAAAGTAATACATGCATATATTATATAATTATTGGATTTTTTTTTTGTGGGGGTGGAAAGGTTTGGTATGGCTATGTCTCAGTTGGCTCCCTAAAAAGTTGAACAGCAACAGCAACTGGTTCACCAGTTTGGGGAAACACTATTTATGAAAAGAATAAAGAATTAAGAGGTCTCAGTGAGCTTCAAGGACAACGTCTGGCTTAACAGATAAAAATGGATGGTTTGATAGATAATAATGGTTTATAGGTGATTGGAGGTAACAGGATGATTGCCAATGGCTTTTCCTTCTTTTCAGATACTTGTTCTTTGGGTCATGAAACTGCTTCTGCCTGAATAATAAAACAATTTTAGCAACACTGAAGGAAGTTATTATTTCCTTTCTGCTGTGAAAAAAGATTAAAAGAGGTCATCTCATAAACTTGAGGCTGGTATACTTGAGGTCTTTCATTAACATTCAAGGATTTAATATTTGTGAAAGAAGACCCTCAGGGGTCTAATGAGGAACATGTTGTTTTTTTTTAAATTTATTTTTATTATTTATTTATTTATTTATTTATTTTGAGATGGAGTCTTGCTCTGTTGCCCAGGCTGGAGTGCAGTGGAGCCATCTTGGCTCACTGCAAGCTCCGCCTCCCGGGTTCACGCCATTCTCCTGCCTCAGCCTCCCAAGTAGCTGGGACTACAGGCGCCCGCCACCACACCTGGCTAATTTTTTTGTATTTTTAGTAGAGACGGGGTTTCACCGTGTTAGCCAGGATGGACTCGATCTCCTGACCTCGTGATCCACCTGCTTCGGCCTCCCAAAGAGCTGGGATTACAGGCGTGAGCCACTGCGCCTGGTCGGAATGTGTTTTCATGAAGGGGGAATATCAACTGGGCCAAATGACATTGAGAGGCTGAGCAAATTGAAGCCTGAAAATTGAACATTGGGAGAGCATTGGGAACATTATGGCAGACGGGAGACAGGACTAGATTGCACCTCTTACTTCAATGGACGGAGCAGCGTGTGGAGGCCCTCATCATGAATTTTAACTCCAGAACGACTTCAGGAATAAATCCGGAAACCCGAGAGGACCCACGGACCCTCTGAAGGAAGCAGATTGCTCCTGTAGGACCTGGGAGACACCTCAAATACTGTGAGTGCCCAAACTGTGGAAGTGAGAAAGGGAGATCCTCCGCCCCCGAGCACACACCCCCACTGGGGAAACTGAAGGTCTACTTTACGGGAGAAGATTCTGAATTTATCTGGAGCTGAGTCAATTTAGAGAGCCAAGGGAAATACAGGGGTAGAGGAATCAATTGGACAGGCCCTGTGAGCTTGCTGGGTCCCCAAGTAGGCCACTCCTGCTGGCATCACAGGGATCCTTTGGGAGGGCAGCCAGAGGCACAGGGAAAATGGCACAGGAAGAAGGAAACCTCCAGCTGAGCTTTGTAACAATTTGAACTAGTCAAGAAACCTCATGGCCAGAACTTGGGGGAGGGCATGAATCCAGCATGCAGACTCCACAGGTAGGGGAAGAACTAAAACCCTACTTTCTTTCACAGCTGGGAGGCGGGTAGCCTGGGGCAAATTCTCAACTCTTCTTGCCCACTGCCTGGAAACAGATTTGGTGCTGTTAGGGGAGGCACAGTGGGAGTGAGACTGGCCCTTCAGATTGCATGGGAGCTGGGTGAAGCCTGTGACTGCTGGCTCTCCCCCACTTCCCTGACAACCTACATGACTCAGCAGAGGCAGCCAAAATCCTTCTAGGTACATAACTCCATTGACCTGGGAACCTCCCCTCCTCCACAGCAACCGCAGCAAGACCCACCCAAGGAGAGTCTGAACTCAGACACGCCTAGCCCTGCCCTCACCTGATGGTCCTTCTTTACCCACCCTGATAACTGAACACAAAGGGCATATACCCTTGGGAGTTCTAGGGCCCTGCCTACCGCTGGTTCATCTCCATACTACCACAGTTGATGTTCTCTGGAAAGTGCCACCTACCAACAGGAGGCCAACCAGCACAAAAATAGAGCATTAAACCACCAAAGCTAAGAACCGTCACGGAGTCCATTTCACACCCTGCCACCTCCACTGGAACAGATGCTGGTATCCAAGGCTGAGAGACCCATAGATGGTTCACATCACAGGACTCCGTGAAGACAACCCCCAGTACCAGCTCACAGCCTGGTAGACTTGCTGGGTGGCTAGATCCAGAAGAGAGATAACAATCATTACAGCTTGACTCTCAGGAAGCCACATCCATAGGAAAATGGGGAGAGTACTACATCAAGGCAACACCCTGTGGGACAAAAGAATCTGAACAACAGTTTTAGCCTTAGACCCTCCCTCTGACAGAGCCTACCCAAATGAGAAGGAACCAGAAAACCAACTCTGGTAATATGACAAAACAAGGCTCTTTAACAACCCCCAAAAATCACACTAGCTCACTAGTAATGGATCCAAACCAAGAAGAAATCCCTGATTTACCTGAAAAAGGATTCAGGAGGTTAGTTACTAAGCTAATCAGAGAGGCACCAGAGAAAGGTGAAGCCCAACACAAAGAAATCCAAAAAATGATACAAGAAGTGAAGGGAGAGACCAGGTGCAGTGGTTCATACCTGTAATCCCTGGGAGGCTGAGGTGGGCAGATCATTTGAGGTCAGGAGTTTGAGGTCAGCCTGGCCAACATGGTGAAACTCCATCTTTACTAAAAATACAAAAATTACCTGGGTGTGGTGGCGTGCACCTGTAATGCCAGCTACTTGGGAGGTTGAGGCAGGAGAATCACTTGAACCTGGGAGGCGGAGGTTGCAATGAGCTGAGATCATGTCACTGCACTCCAGCCTGAGCAACACAGTGAGACTTCGTCTCGAAAAAAAAAAAAAGTGAAGGGAGAAATATTCAATGAAGCAGATAGCATAAATAAAAAACAATCAAAACTTCAGGAAACATTGGACACATATATAGAAATGCAAAATGCTCTGGAAAGTCTCACCAATAGAATTGAACAAGTAGAATAAGGAAATTCAGAACTTGAAGGCAAGGTCTTTGAATTAAACCAATCCAACAAACACAAAGAAAAAAGAAAAAGAAAATATGAACAAAGCCTCCAAGAAGTCTGGGATTATGTAATGACCAAACCTAAGAATAATTGGCGTTCCGGAGTAAAAAGAGAAATCTAAAAGTTTTGAAAACGTATTTGGGGGAATAATCGAGGAAAACTTCCCTGGTCTTGCTAGAGGCCTAGACATCCAAACACAAGAAGCACAAAAAACACCTGGAAAATTCATCACAAAAAAGATCATTGCCTAGGCACATTGTCATCAAGTTATCTAAAGTTAAGGCAAAGGAAAGAATCTTCAGAGTTGTGAGACAAAACCACCAGGTAACCTATAAAGGAAAACCTTCAGATTAACAACAGATTTCTCAGCAGAAACCTTACAAGCTAGAAGGGATTGGGGCCCAACATTCAGCCTCCTCAAACAAAACAATTATCAGCCAAGAATTTTGTATCCTGCAAAACTAAGCATCTTATATGAAAGAAAGATAGTCTTTTTCAGACAAACCAATGCTGAGAGAATTTGCCACTACCAAGCCACCACTACAAGAACTGATAAAAGGTTCTCTAAATCTTGGCCAGGCGCGGTGGCTCACACCTGTAATCCCAGCACTTTGGGAGGCCGAGGCGGGTGGATCACCAGGTCAGGAGATCGAGACCATCCTGGCTAACACGGTGAGACCCCCGTCTCTACTAAAAATACAAAAAATTAGCCAGGTGTGGTGGCGGGCACCTGTAGTCCCAGCTACTCGGGAGGCTGAGGCAGGAGAATGGCGTGAACCCAGGAGGCAGGGCTTGCAGTGAGCCGAGATGGCGCCACTGCACTCCAGCCTGGGCGACAGTGCAATACTCCGTCTCAAAAAGAAAAAAAAAAAAGCGGAGGAAAACGGCATTTCATTCAAACGGACAATAAAATTGAGCAGGCGTAGCTATTCTTATATCAGACAAAACAAACTTTAAAGCAACAGCAGTTAAAAAAGACAAAGAGAGACATTATATAATGGTAAAAGGCCTTGTCTAACAAGAAAATATCACAATCCTAAACATGTGTGCACCTATGATTGAAGCTCCCAAATTTATAAAACAATTACTTAATAGCCCTAACAAATGAGATAGATGGCAACACAATAATAGCGAGGGACTTCAATACTCCACTGACAGTACTAGACAGGTCATCAAGACAGAAAGTCAGCAAAGAAACAATGGATTTAAACTATACCTTGGAACAAATGGACTTAACAGATATATACAAAACATTCCATTCAACAACTGCAGAATACACATTCTATTCAACAGCACATGAAACTTTCTCCAAGATAGACCATATGATAGGCCACAAAATGAGGCTCAATAAATTTAAGAAAATTCAAATTATATGAAGCACTCTCTCAGAGTACAGTGGAATAAAACTGGAAATCAACTCCAAAAGGAACCTTCAAAACCATGCAAATACATAGAAATTAAATAAGCTGCTCCTGAATGAACATTAGGTCAAAAATGAAATCAAGATGGAAATTAAAAAATTCCTTGAACTGAACGACAATAGTGACAACCTATTAAAACCTCTGGGAAACAGCAAAGGCAGTGCTAAGAGGAAAGTTCATAGCCCTAAACACCTACATCAAGAAGACTGAAAGAACACAAACTGACAACCTAAGGTCACATCTCAAGGAACTGGAGAAACAAGAACAAACCAAACCCAAACACAGCAGAAGAAAGGAAATGACCAAGATCACAGCAGAACTAAATGAAATTGAAACAAACAAACAAAAAAATACAAAAGATAAATAAAACAAAAATCTGGTTCTTTGAAAAGATAAAATTGATAGACCTTTAGCAAGATTAACCAAGAAAAGAAGAGAGAAAATCCAAATAACTTCAATAAAAAATGAAATGGGAGATATTACAGCTGACACCACAGAAATACAAAAGATCATTCAAGGCTGCTATGAATACCTCTATACACATAAACTAGAAAACCTGGAAGAGATGGATAAATTCTTAGAAAGATGCAACCCTCCTAGCTTAAATCAGGAAGAATCAGATACACTGAACAGACAAATAACAAGCAGCGAGATTAAAATGATAACTACAAAATTACCAGGCCAAGCTGGGCATGGTGGCTTATGCCTGTAATCCCAGAATTTTGAGAGGCTGAGGTGAGTGGATCACCTGACATCAGGAGTTCGAGACCAGCCTGGCTAACATGGGGAAACCCCATCTCTACTAAAAATACAAAAAATTAGCTGGGTGTGGTGGTGGGTACCTGTAATCCCAGCTACTTGGGAGGCTGAGGCAACATAATCGCTTGAACCCAGGAGGCAAAGGTGTAGTAAGCCGAGGTCACACCATTGCACTCCAGCTTGGGCAACAAGAGTGAGACTCCGTCTCAAAAAAAAAAAAAACAAAAAAAAAATTACCAGGTCAGGCATGGTGACCCATGCCTGCAATCTCTTTGGGAGGCCAAGGCGGGTGGATCACCTGAGGTCAGGAGTTGGAGACCAGCCTGGCCAATATGGTGAAACTCTGTCTTTACTAAAAATACAAAATTAGCCGGTGGTGGTGGCGGGCCCCTGTAATCCCAATTACCTGGGAGTCTGAGGCAGAAGAATCCCAATTATCCAGGAGGCGAGGCTGCAGTGAGCCGAGATCATGCCACTGCACTCCAGCCTGGGTGACCGAGCGAGACTCCGTCTAAAAAAGACAAACAAACAAAAAACATTATCAACAAAAGAAGTTCAGTACCAGATGGATTCACAGCAGAATTCTACCAGACATTCAAAGAAGAATTGGTACCAATCCTATTGACGCTATTCCACAAGATAGAGGATGAGGGAACCCTCCCTAATTCATTCTATGAAGCCGGTATCACCCTAATACCAAAACCAGGAAAGGACATAACCAAAAAAGAAAACTACAGACCAATATCCCTGATGAACATAGATGCTCAAATCCTTAACAAAATACTAGCTAACCGAATCCAACAACATATCAAAAAGATAATCCACATTGATCAAGTGGGTTTCATACCAGGATGCAGGGATGGTTTAACATACACAAGTATGTGTGCAATAAATGTGATACACCACATAAACAGGGTTAAAAACAAAAATTACACAATCATCTCAATAGATGCAGAAAAAGCATTCAACAATATCAAGCATCCTTTTATGATTAAAATTCTTAGCAAAATCGGGATACAAGGGACATACCTCAACGTAATAAAAGCCATCTATGACAAACCTACATGCAACATAATCTGAATGGGGAAAAGTTGAAAGCATTCCCTCTGAGAACTGAAACAAAACAAGGATACCCACTGTCACCACTCCTCTTCAACATAGTACTGAAAGTCCTAGCCAGAGCAATCAGATAAGAGAAAGGAAGGGCATCCAAATCAGTAAAGAGGAACTCAAACTGTCACTATTTGTTGATGATATGATTGTTTACCTTGAACACCCTAAAGACTCCTCCAGAAAGCTCCTAGAATGGATAAAAGAATTCAGTAGTTTCTGGATATAAAATTAATGTACGCAAATCAGTAGCTCTTCTATACAGCAACAGCAACCAAGTGGAGAATCAAATCAAGAACTCAACCCCGTTTACAATAGCTGCAAAAACAATTAAAATACTTAGAAATATACCTAACCAAGGAGGAGAAAGACCTCTACAAGTAAAACTACAAAACACTGCTGAAAGAAATCATAGACAACACAAACAAATGGAAACACAACCCTTGCTCATGGGTAGAATCAATATTGTGAAAATGATCAAACTGCCAAAAGCAATCTATAAATTCAATACAATTCCCATCAAAATATCACCATCATTCTTCACAGAATTAGAAAAAAAAATCCTAAAATTCATATGGAATGGAAAAAGAGCCCACATAGCCAAAGCAAGACTAAGCAAAAAGAACAAATCTGGAGGCATCACATTATCTGATTTCAAACTATACTATAAGGCCATAGTCACCAAAACAGCATGGTACAGGTATAAAAATAGGCACATAGACCAATGGAACAGTAGAGATCCCAGAAATAAACCCAAATACTTACAGCCAACTGACCTTCCACAAAGCAAACAAAAACATAATATGGGGAAAGGACACTCTTTTCAACAAATGTGCTGGGATAATTGGCTAGTCACATGTAGGAGAATGAAACTGGATCCTCATCTCTCACCTTATACAAAAATCAACTCAAGATGGATTAAGGACTTAAATCTAAGACCTGAAACTATAAAAATTCTGGAAGATAACATTGGAAAAACCCTTCTAGACATTGGCTTAGGCAAGGATTTCATGCCTAAGAACCCAAAAACAAATGCAATAAAAACAAAGATAAATAGTTGGGACTTAATTAAACTAAAGAGCTTTTTCACAGCCAAAGGACAGTCAGCAGAGTAAACAGACAACTCACAGAGTGGGAGAAAATCTTCACAATCTATACATCTGACAAAAGACTAATATCCATAATCTACAATGAACTCAAACAAATCAGTAGGGAAAAGAAACAAACAATCCCATCAAAAAGTGGGCTAAGGACAGGAATAGACAATTCTCAAAAGAAGATATCCAAATGGCCAGCAAACATATAAAAAATGCTCAACACCACTAATGATCAGGGAAATGCACATCAAAACTACAATGTGATACCACCTTACTCCTGCAATAATGACCATAATCAAAAAAATCAAAAAACAGTAGATGTTGGTGTGGATGCGGTGATCAGGGAACACTTCTACACTGCTGGTGGGAATGTAAACTAGTACAACCACTGTGGAAAACAGTGGGGGAGATTTCTTAAAGAACTAAAGTAGAGCTACCCTTTGATCCAGTAATCCCACTACTGGGTATCTACCTAGAGGAAAAAAAGTCATTAAACAAAAAAGATACTTGAACATGCATGTTTATAGCAGCACAATTCACAATTGCAAAATTGTGGAGCCAACTCAAATGCCTGTCAATCAATGAGTGGATAAAGAAACTGTGGTATATATATACAATGGAATACTACTTAGCAATAAAAAGGAATGAATTAATGGCATTTGCAATGACCTGAATGGGATTGGAGACTATTCTTCTTTTTTTTTTTTTTTTTTTTTTTTTTTTGAGACGGAGTCTGTCTCTGTCCCCAGGCTCAAGTGCAGTGGCATGATCTCGGCTTGCTGCAACCTCTGCCTCCTGGGTTCAAGTGATTCTCCTGCCTCAGCCTCCCAAGTAGCTGGAATTACAGGCGCCTAACACTATGAATGGCTAATTTTTGTATTTTAGTAGATACAGGGTTTCACCTTGTTGGCCAAGCTGGGTTTGAACTGCTGACCTCAGGTGATCTGCCTGCCTCGGTCTCCCAAAGTGCTGGGATTACAGGTGTGGGCCACTGTGCCTGACCTTGGAGACTATTATTTTAAGTGAAGTAATTTAGGAATGGAAAACGAAACATGATATGTTCTCACCAATAAGCTATGAGGATGCAAAGGCATAAGAATGATACAATGGACTTTGGGGGAAGGGTGGGAGGAGAGTGAGGAATAAAATACTACAAATAGGGTGCAGTGTATACTTCTCGGGTGATGGGTGCACCAAAATCTCACAAATCACCACTAAAGAACTTACTCGTGTAACCAAACGCCACCTGTTCCCCAATAACTTATGGAAAAATTCATAAATAAATAAATTAGTTAATTATGAAAAAGAAAACTAACCATTGGATCTAGCAAGATGGAGGTTGCTGGGATTTGACAAGGAAGTTTCAGTGGAATGGAGGGGAGGAAACCTTGGTTTAGAGTGTGACAAAGAAAGGAGCGCAGTTAGGAGTATTCTCTATTCATTCACCTATTCATATTCAGATACGCCTTTGCAAAGATTATCACAGTGAGAGAAATCTAACATGGCTCACTCCATCTTGCTTCTTTCTACCTTCACAGGCTGATCATCCTCACTCATTCTTAGGTGTAGGCCAAGCTAACCATTGGAGGAATTTAGTTTATAGTTTAAGTTGGAAGCAAAGATGATAATATCCCTCCTTGTTTGGGGTGCTAAAACTGCCTTTGTAAGACAAATGAAAGACCATAAAATTAGGATTCTGAAAGGGGCCTGAATTCTGCTAAAATGTAGGTATAGTTTCTATAATCCCTTACGGCTCAGGAGTCATGTGGTCAGAGGTCACATGATCTGTGACTTCTCCAGTTGTTCCTATAGATAACATCACTATATAGATCCTAAGATTGGTCTTAAAGATGCTTTTCAGACTTTTGTATTCTACCAACCGACTGACCCCACCTGGATTTGGGACTCACAACTCAACTGATCCTATACCTCCCTCCAACCCTCCACGAGAGGTGAACTCAGCACATGAGGACCGTTTTCCACACCCCTGTGATTGCATCCCCAACCAATCAGCAGCACTCATTCCTTTGTTCCCTGCCCACCAAACTATCCTTGAAAAACCCTAACTTCTAAACCTTCAGGAAGACTGATTTAAGCAATAACTCCATCTTCCACGTGGCTGGCCTTGTGTTAATTAAACTGGTTTTTTTGTTTGTTTGTTTGTTTGTTTTTTACCTCCGAACTTCCTATTGGTCTCCTGCGCCCCAGAGGGTACCCTGCTTTTGCCAACTTGATGTCTCAGAACTTTGGTGTCCTTGGTCTCAGACACCACTTTGCCATCCACTCACTATCGGGCGGGTGGTGGTCTTTCGGATGGTTTGCATGGAGTTGCTGCTGTCCAGGGCATCACGAAGGCTGAAGTCCTCGCCATCTTCCAGCAGGCGGCGGTAGGTGGCGATCTCAGCCTCCAGCTTTACCTTGATGTTCAGCAGGGCCTCGCACTCCTGGGCCTGGCGCTATCCGTCTGCCCCGGTCTGTGTCAGCTCTGACTCCAGGTGCAGCAGGATTCCGCTGAGCTGCTCCATCTGCAGGACATAGCGGGCCTCCACCTCCCTCAAGCTGTTCTCCAAGCTGGCCTTCAGATTTCTCATGGAGTCCAGGTCGATCTCCAAGGACTGGACTGTATATCTCTGCTCCGTGAGCGTCATCTCAGCAGCTCCAACACCGATGGACTGCATGGTGACCACTGTGGTGCACTCTCAATCTGCTGAGGCCAGTGCTTGTCTAGCTCCTCTCGGTTCTTCCAAGACAGCTCGTCTTATTGGGCCCAGATGTCTGCCATGATCTTGGCGAGGTCCTGAGATTTGGGGACATCTACCTCCACGGTCAACCCAGAGATGGCAATCTGGGCTTGTAGGCCTTTTACTTCCTCTTCTTGGTTCTTCTTCAGGAAGAGCAGCTCCTCCTTGAGAGCCTCGATCTCTGTCTCCAGCTGCAGCCGAGTGACATTGGTATCATCAATGACCTTGCGGAACCCATGGATGTCGCTCTCCACAGACTAGCGCATGGCCAGCTCTGTCTCACACTCGACTCTGAAGTCAACAGCAGCAAGTCGGGCATTGTCAATCTGCAGAACGATGCGGGCATTGTCCACAGTATTTGATCTGAGCCCCCAGGTCCTCCATGGTCTTGAAGTAATTTGTCCAGTCTCCGACCTGGCGTCCCTTCTTCTCCAGGTGCTCCCGGATTTTGCTCTCCAGCTTCCGGTTCTTGGTCTCCATGCTTCTCACTCTGTCCAGGTAGGAGGCCAGGCGGTCCTTCAGGCTTTGCATGGTCTCCTTCTCGTTCTGGATGCCTCCCATTCCTGCCAGAACCCCAGCCATCCCTGCCGCCAGGCCTCCAGACCCCATGCCGCCCCAGAAGCTGGTGGAGGGGGACGCGGAGATCCGGGAACCAGAGCCCCCGGCGCCTGCATAGACGCTGGCCGCGCTGCAGACTGGCTGGGAACCGTAGCTGGGCGCCTGGACAGAGCCCAGGGACCGGTAGTTGGTGGAGAAGGTGGAGCGAGTGGTGAAGCTCTTGCTGTCCGGGGAGGAGAGCGAGAGGACAGGACTCAGGCTTTGCTGACGACCAATTAAACTCTTAAACGCAATACCACAGTCTCAGTGAAATGATTTTGTCTGTGCAGGGTGGGGGCAGGAAGAACCTGTCTGGTGATTACATGACCAATGATTGTGAGTGAGACAAAGGTTTTGTAAGCTACTAATGCTGATAATTAATCATGAAATTTAAGTTGTGTAAAGAGGGAAGTAAAGATGTAAGGAGAAAGGAGATGCATTAAATAATTTTCCACTGGGCAAAAGAAAATAAGCTGAAAAAACAGAAGGTGATAATCAGTATAAGAGATGATTGAAATTTACATCTTGGGCTTGGTGCCTGCAGTTTAGGTTAATGTCAAGGTCAAGGGTAGTGTGTTTTTCAAAATGTATATTGTGACACCCTTGTGGCACATGAAGTTAATTGAGTGGATCATGAGTAGAATTTTGATTTTAGTGAAAGAGAATGGAATGCAAAATGTCCCAGTGCATTGCAAATAAATAAGAGTTGTGTTGTAACCTATACTTATATTTTTTATTATGGGTTCCACTAAAAAAGTTTGAAAAACAGAATGGGATATTTAGAAATGAAAAAGTCAAGGACCTGGGGGAGACTAATGGCTGAGGGAATGCATGTCCCCCTGCACACCTGAAACCCATTTACTAGACAAGGTTTGGGAAGCTCTTTGGTGTATCCACTATACAGAAAGGGAAGGAAGACACCATGAGTAAGATTTGTTTCTCACGAGTTTCATATATACCTGGAAAAGGTGAGAAGTCATAGAAGCTGGCTTTTGACAGAATAATGCAGGCACATTTACTGAAACCATGATTTTTAAAGCAGGAAGAAATCATAGTTCTCAAATTAAGGAAAGTGAGCATATTTCTTTCTACAAAAAGACTATCTTAGATTTTATGTCGAAATATACTCGTGGTTGGGCATGACGGCTCATGCCTGTAATCCCAGCACTTTGGGAGGCTGAGATGGGTGGATCACTCGGCGTCAGGAGTTCCAGACCAGAGTGGCCAAAGCGGTGAAAATCCATCTCTACTAAAAACACAAAAAATTAGGCCGGGCACAGTGGCTGACACCTGTAATCCCAGCGCTTTGGGAGGCTGAGGCAGGCAGATCACTTGAGATCAGGCGTTCAAGACCAGCCTGGCCAAAATGGTGAGACCCTCCCCCCACCCCCGACTCCGTCTCTACTGAAAATACAAAAATTAGGTGGTGGAAGTTGAAGTGAGCCAAGATCGCCCCACTGCACTCCAGCCTGGGCAACAGAGCAAGACTCTGTCTAAAAAAAAAAAAAATATATATATATATATATATATATATATATATATATATATATATATATTATATATATATATATTATATATATATACATATACACACACACACACACACATATGTGTACATATATATATATTTGTGCTATTATTTTCTTATCCTTTTTTAAATCTTCCCTTTTCTCCTCATTCTCCTTCCTCTTTCCTCCTCAATTTGTGAGATTTCTAAATACAGAGTCAATTCTTTTTGAGCATGTTAAGGAGAGGATTACTATCAAGCACCCCCATCAGCTTTGTAGGCTTCTTTTCACTGGGCTCCAAATTCAGTCTTGCTGACTCTGGTAACTTCAAAACATTTTAGCATGCAATAGCATTTCTTTGTTTTGTTTTGTTTTGTTTTGTTTTTGAGATGGAGTCTTGCTCTGTCGCCCAGGCTGGAGTGCGGTGGCGCGATCTCGGCTCACTGCAAGCTCCGCCTCCCGGGTTCACGCCGTTCTCCTGCCTCAGCCTCCCAAGTAGCTGGGACTACAGGCGCCCACCACCACGCCCGGCTAATTTTTTGTACTTTTAGTAGAGACCAGGTTTCACCGTGTTAGCCAGGATGGTCTTGATCTCCTGACCTCGTGATCCGCCCGCCTCGGTCTCCCAAAGTGCTGGGATTACAGGCGTGAGCCACCGCACCCGGCTAGCATGCAATAGCATTTCTTCATCTGAATGAAATACTGTGTTAAGGCATCAGACTCAAAGTTCGTTATTCTTTTGTTTTCTTATTTTTTCAAATCTCACGTCTTCAGAAGAAAAGTATCATCTTGGAGAAGACTTGCTGCTTCTGATGGCAGGCGACTAGCATCATCACATCTGCATCCTTTTCAATCTTTTCCTCTCTTTTACTTCCCACATCTTATGACCTTTTTTTTTTTTTTTTGAGACGGAGTCTCTCGCTCTGTTGCCCAGGCTGGAGTGCAGTGGCGCGATCTCGGCTCACTGCAAGCTCCGCTTCCCGGGTTCACGCCATTCTCCTGCCTCAGCCTCCCGAGTAGCTGGGACTACAGGCGCCCGCCACCATGCCCGGCTAATTTTTTGTATTTTTAGTAGAGATGGGGTTTCACCATATTAGTCAGGATGGTCTCGATCTCCTGACCTCGTGATCTGCCTGCCTCGGCCTCCCAAAGTGCTGGGATTACAGGCGTGAGCCACCATACCCGCCCTAAGGGAGTGTAATTTTGTCTAGTTCTGAGTTGTTTTTTTGTTTGTTTGTTTTGTTTTTTTTGAGGCGGTGTCTCTCGCTCTGTCGCCCAGGCTGGAGTGCAGTGGCCTGATCTCGGCTCACTGCAAGCTCCGCTTCCCGGGTTCATGCCATTCTCCTGCCTCAGCCTCCCGAGTAGCTGGGACTACAGGCGCCCGCCACCACGCCCGGCTAATTTTTTGTATTTTTAGTAGAGACGGCATTTCACCATATTAGCCAGGATGGTCTCCATCTCCTGACCTCGTGATCCGCCCACCTCGGCCTCCCAAAGTGCTGGGATTACAGGCTTGAGCCACCGCACTCAGCCTGAGGGAGTGTAATTTTGTCTAGCTCTGAGTTGTTTTTGTTTGTTTGTTTTGTTTTGTTTTGTTTTTTTGAGATGGAGTCTCTCGCTCTGTCGCCCAGGCTGGAGTGCAGTGGCCCGATCTCGGCTCACTGCAAGCTCCGCCTCCCGGGTTCAAGCTATTCTCCTATCTCAGTCTCTCGAGTAGCCGGGACTACAGGTGCCGGCCACCATGCTCAGCTAATTTTTGTATTTTTAGCAGGGACGGGGTTTCAGCATGTAGGCCAGGATGGTCTCAATCTCCCGACCTTGTGATCTGCCCACCTCGGCCTCCCAAAGTGCTGGGATTACATACAGGCGTGAGGCACAGCGCCCGGCCCCGTACTTCCCACATCTTATGAATTCTGTGTCTTCAGTTCTTCTGAGTCTGTTTCCTTTATTCTAATACAAGATTACCACCACCGTTTTACATGAGACTTTTTCCCTCCTCTTCCTTCTCCTCTTTCTGTATCTTTCCTGGATTACTGCAACAGCCTCCAGTTTGGTTGATTTGCTTCTAGCCCTGCTTGTCTCCCATTGTTTCTCTATACAGGGAGTCCCACTGGTGCCCTACAAAAAAAGATTTCCAGAGAAGGTGAATGGGGGCTGAAATATGACCTGAGCACTGAGAGCTAAGAGTCCTGGAGAGAGGACTTTTGACATTTTCCCTTTTCTATGCTTCATCAGCCCTGAGGGTTGTCTTTCTGTAATTCATCCACCAAAATGGCTTACTGTGGCATTTTTTTTTTATTTTATTATTATTTTTTTGACACAGAGTCTCACTGTGTTTCCCAGGCTGGAGTGCAGTGGTGGGATCTTGGCTCACCGTTGTCTCTGCTTCCTGGGTTCAAGCCATTCTCCTGCCTCAGCCTCCCGAGTAGCTGGGATTACAGGCATGCGCCACCATGTATTTTTAGTAGAGATGGGGTTTCACCATGTTGGCCAGGCTGGTCTCGAACTTCCGACCTCGGGTGATCCGCCCACCTGGGCCTCCCAAACTGCTGGGATTAGAGGCCTGAGCCACTGCGCCCAGCCTTACTGTTGCATTATTTGCCCAAAGGCACTCTGTGTGCTAGCTGTGGCTCTGCTTCCACAGAACTGGCAAGAAGAGCTTGCAAAAATACCCGTCATACTGACCTCTCTGTTCAGAACACTTTTCTGTCTCTCCATAGCCTTTTAGGGAAAGCTCAAAGTATTTAGTATTGTCAAGATACGGCTCACAGTTTGTTCTTACTTCCTACCAATATACAAGAGACAATTCCAAATGGAGTGATAGACAGAATAATGCTATTTCCACCCAAAAATATGCCCCTTCTAACCCTTGGAAACTGTAAATATGTTAACTTACATGGCAAAGGGACTTTGAGATGTGATTAAGGTTAGGGAACTTGTGATGGAGAGATGATCCTAATCACTAGAGTCTTAAAAGTGGAAAGAGGAAGCAGAAGAGTAGTTCAGGGAGGTGTGATCTGAGGACGCCATCCACCATTGCTGGTTTTAAAGAGCCCAGCAACACAGCAGCCTTTAGAAGCTGGGAGTGGCCATTAGCTTACAGGCAGCAATAAAACAGAGACTTTGATCCAACAACTGCAAACAACTGAATTTTGCCAATAATCTGAATGAGCAGAAAACAGATTCTCCCTTGGGGCCAACAGAAAGGAATGCAGCCTGCCAATACCTTGATTTTAGCACAGTGAGACCATACCAGACTTCTGTCTTAAAAAACTCTAAATAATAAATTTATGTTTTTTATAACCACTACATTTGTGGTAATGTGTTATGACAGCAATAGAAAACTAACACATGTCTTGAAATGCCAGCCGTTTTACTATTTCTTACAATTCTGTGAATAGACTGGGCTTACCTGGGTGATTCTGCTCCACATGATGTCAGTAAGGACTCCATTCCTCTGAAGGCTTGATTGAGCTAGGGATGTTCAAGATGGCTCACTCACATAACTGGCAGTGGCAGTTGATGTTGCTAGGACCTCAGTCAGTTGAGACTGTGACCCACAGTGCCTAGCCATGGCCTTTTCATGTGGCTTGGGTTTCTCATGGCATGGTGACTGGATTCTGAGAGGGAGCATCCCAAGATTTAGCATTCCAGAAAACCAAGTCAGAAGGTGCAAGATTTCACATGGCTTAGCCCTGGAACTGGCACAGTATCACCTCAATGAAATAATTTTGTTAGGTCAGCCAAGATTCACTGTGGGAATGGACTACAAAAGGGTGTAACGACCGAAAAATATGCTGCATTGAGGTCAGTTTTTGGAGACTGTATACTACACAAAGTAACGATTTTTTCCTTTGTAGCCTCATCTTTATCCTTTTTTTTTGTTTTTTTCAGATGGAGTCTCACTCTGTCACCCAAGCTGGAGTGCAGTGGCACAATCTCAGCTCACTGCAACCTCTGCCTCCAGGGTTCAAGCGATTCTCATGCCTCAGCCTCTCAAGTAGCTGGGATTATAGGTGTGTGCCACCACACCTGGCTAATTTTTGTATTTTTAGTGTGTGTCGGTGGCGGGGGGTCTCACCAAGTTGCCAAGGCTGGTCTTGAACTCCTGACCTCAGGTAATCCTCCTGCCTTGGCCTCCCAAAGTGCTGGGACTACAGGCCTCAGCCACTGCTTCATCTTTTTACTTTGGTCCATGAACCTTTGATTTTCTGCTCAGGTCTACTTGAACTAGGAACTAGTAATTTTCCCAGGCATTCATACCTTTTTAGCTTTGCTTCTGTCAGGACTTGATGGTAAAAATTTTTCCATGCCCTTCTTTATGTGCCTAATTATAGCTTATCTTTAAGACATATTTCAGGTAGCACCTCATCCAGTAAGCCATTCTTGTTCAGATTAGGTGCCTGTATTGGTGATCTTGTACACAGTACCCTGCCCTTACACCTATGGAAGAACTTAGGAGTAAATCTTCACTCTCACTGATTTACTTGTCTCTATTCTTTTTTAAAATTTATTTATTTATTTATTTATTTATTTATTTATTTATTTACTTTTTTGAGACGGAGCCTCACTCCGTCGCCCAGGCTGGAGTGCAGTGGCGCGACCTCGGCTTACTGGAAGCTCCGCTTCCCTGGTTCCCACCATTCTCCTGCTTCAGCCTCCCGAGTAGCTGGGACTACAGGTGCCCACCACCACGCCCGGCTAATTTTTTGTATTTTTAGTAGACACAGGTTTTCACCATGTTAGCCAGGATGGTCTCCATCTCCTGACCTCGTGATCTGCCTGCCTCGGCCTCCCAAAGTGCTGGGATTACAGGCGTAAGCCACCAGGCCCGGCCGTCTTCTATTCTTTAACAGGCCATAAGCTCCTTAGAGGAGTGCATTTTGTACTCTCAGATTCCCCAGGTAGACCTACTGTATATGGCACAGAAAAGGGTCTCAGTTAATGTTGGCTGACAGAAGGAGTGATTGAACAATTATCTGTACATATTTACCACTTACACAAGGTGGAAATGCACCCAACATGAAATCGTACAAATGTCATGGCTTCCACCATGGAAAAAATTATGTATGCGTGAGGACAAGAGCTAAAAAACAAGAAAGAAAATGTCTAGAGTCACTTGTGAGGCTGGAACTGTGGTTTTCTTTCTTTCCTTTCTTTCTTTCTCTGTTTCTTTCCTTTCTTTCTTTCTTCCTTTCTTTCTCTTTCTCTCTCTTCTTTCTCTCTCTCTTTCTTTCTCTCTCTTTCTCTTTCTTTCTCTCTCTTTCTTTCTTTCTTTCTTTTCTTTTCATGTTCTAATATTATAATGATGTGACAAGAACTTGTAGAACCATCAGGTCCAAAAGCATCAACAACCTTGTCACTTGCAGCGTGGGCTGCTGATCAGCAACACTGACCTAACCTGGGAGTTTCTCACAAATGCAGAATATCTACACCCCATCCTACACCTACAGCGTTAGAACTCTTCATTTTAGCAAGCTCCCCAGGTGATTTCATATACGTATTGAAGTCTGTGAAACCCACTCAACACAGTCCTTCACTCTTTCCCTTATTAAATTTACAGCTGTTTGTTTAATTGACCTTTTTGTAAAGGTTCCGAGGACAACATAGTAAGGGATGCTCATTCATCTCTCTGCCAGTGCTTTCTGCGGTCTCTTCAGCTAGTTCTATCAGGCACTTCTGGCAATCTGGAGCGGCAGCCGGCTGGGCGGCGAGGAAACCGCTGCACGGATCCCGCCTCCCAGCACACGCAGTCGGCAGTTGCAGCCTCCAAGACCGCGGTGCCACCAAACCAAGCGCCGGACGCGGTGGCGCGCGCCTGTAATCCCAGCTCCCCGGGAGGCTGAGGTCGGCGGATCGTGGGTGCTCGGGGGTTCGGAGCTACGGCGCTGTGTGGAGCGGGCGTCCGCACCGGGCCTGGCACCAACATGGTACTCCCGGGGGAGCCCGGGAGTACCAGGTTGTCTAAGGAGGGGGGGACCAGGCCCAGGCCGGACACGGAGCAGGTCAAACTCCCCGTGTTGGGCGACGGTGGGACCGCGCCTGCGAGCAACGCCTGCAGTTCCGCCCGGGACATCCGACGAGACCCGGTCTCTTTTAACTTCCCTTTTCGGGATTTCTTTTAAAAAATCAACAGCATTATTTCTGCATACCAAGTGAGTTCACTGGTGGGACTGGTATATGCTACCCTTTGCTCGATCTTCCTTTTTTTTTTTTTTACCCCTCAGGGAATGATGATTCATTCAGTCAGTGGGAGCCGGAAGAAACTCGTTAGTGACTTATCATCTTGGAAATTTCTCCATGTTGCACTCTTCCTTTCCCCAAACAACAAGACAGTAGTCTGTTTTGCATTTTGCAAATGCAGTTGCATAAGAATTTAACAAAGACTATTCGCTTGGCCAAACTTTAGTCAGGCTTCTGAATCTTCTGCTAGGCCCATCTGTGCACTTCCTTGTAACGTCCAGTTTTAGCAAAGAACCCTGCCAAGTCAGTTTAGCAAGAACCCCCATATCATCTATGTTTAACCTCCATTTCTGATCAGGCTCCTCATTCTCCACCATCCCCCAGATGATTGATGTCTGATTACCTTGGCCTGTCTTCAGCAAGAATCCTGTTAGGTTTGTTTGGCCAGAATTCCCCTTACCTCTGAGGTTTTCTCTTGGTAATTTCCTGTCCACTGACCAGGACACACTGCTCCTTGGCTATAAATTCCCATTTGCCCATGCTATATTCAGAACTGAGGCCGATCTCTTTCCCTCACTGCAAAACCTCCTTGCAATGGTCCCTTGTGCCTATCCCGATAGTCCTGAATAGTCTTCCTTACATTGCTTTCAGAAGTATCACTAAATAATTTTTTTAAAAAACAAATTGCATGGCATGAGAACTTCATAATCTAAGACAGAGATTTGGAAAAGGTTTGAACTTCCAGCTTTTTCAGGAACTTCCCACATAAAAACCTGTACACAACTATTCTTATCGGATTGGATAAAACACCTAAAGAGACATTTCACCGAAGAAGATATACAGATGGCAAACGAGCACATAAAAATGTTTTCAACATCCTTAGCACTAGGGAAATACAAATTACGACCAAGATGAGATATCACTATACATCTATCAGAATGACTAAAATAAAAATAGTGGCAACAACCAAATGCTGATGAGGCTGTATACATGTAGGTGGGAATGTGAAATGTAGCTGTTCTGGAAAACAGTTGGCAGTTTCTTAAAAAGCTAAATGTGCAAGTACCATACCACCCGGCAGCTGCACTCCTGGACATTTATCTTGGCTAAACGAAAATTTATATTAACACTAAAACCAGTATGCAAATGTTTATGGTAGCTTTATTTGTAAAAGTCAAAAGCTGAAAATGACTCAAATGTCTTTCAGCAGGTGAATGTTCAAACTGGTAAATTCATACCACAGAATGCTAGTGAGCGAGAAATAAGAATGAACTACTGATGCCGAACAACCTAGATGAATCTCTAGAGAATTACACTGAGTGCAAAAAGCCAATCCTAATAGGTTACATAATGTATGATTCCATTTTCATAACATTCTCGAAATGATGAAATCATAAAAGTGAAAAACAGATTACTAGTTGCCAGAGGTTGAGGCAGGAACAGTAGGCAAGTGGGTGTGGCTGTAAAAGGGCCAAAAGGAATCCTTGTGGTGATGGAAATGTTTTGCATCTTGACTTTATCAATATCAATATCAATATCCGGATTGTGATTTTGTGCTATAGTTTTGCAAGATGTTACCATTGGGGGCAAGCAGGTAAAGGGGACATGGGACCTCTCCATATTATTTCTTATAACTGCATGTGAATCTACGACTACCTAAAAATTAAACATTTAATTTAAAAAAAGACCAAAGTCATTAAAATTGGAGGGATAGGGAGCTGAAAGGGAAGAGCAAGAGAGTATGGAGAAAAATAATGGAGAGTCAAGTTGATACAGGAGATACAAAGAAATTGCTTAGGTAGTTAGGGCAAAAGAGTCCTCGGCAGAACTTCTCTTCTAACAAAAAGCAGCCCTAGAAATTATTCCTTTTCTAACAAAGAGCAGCCTGCAAGATGGAGCTGCAGACATAGATAAGGAAGCTGGAAACTTGCATGGGGGAAGGCTGGCAGCTGCACCGATAGAAAAGGTCTACCTGGGGGTGAGGCATGTCCACCATGAGGCTCCACCTTCCCTTTTTTGTTAGCATGTGTACAGTAAGAAAGAAATGGGCAACATGGAGAAGTTCAGGCAGAGAACCCACCTGCATAATAACAGATTGGGGTGAGGGTTGCCAGAGATTCACACCCTATGCAGTTGGCACACCTGGTCCTATCTGGGTTTTTCATGCCTTATGTAGATCAGACACCATCTCCCCACTAGCTCATCTGTAAAACCCCCTGCATTTCACCGAATTTCGGCAACCCATTTTTCCAGGACCCCTCTCTGTAGCAGAGAGATATTTTCTTTCTTTCGCCTATTAAATTTCCACTCTTAACCTCTCTGTGTGTCCAGGTCCTTGATCTCTGTGGCTGTGAGACGATGAATCTAGGGTGTCACCCCAGACAACGAGGCTGCTTCAAAATCCCAAAGTCCAAAGGAGGACTGCTTCATAAGGGAAGGATTGTTTATAGGTTGTTATACTGTGCAAAATTAAGTATAGGACCAAAAACAGCCAAGACATTTGAAAGTTGGAAAGTTGATGGTAATGGTTTCCTGGGATTGGAAGGCAGACCTCCTCCGCTGATGAGCAAATAATGAGGTAAACATTGTTCTTTCAACAGGTTTGGTGCTGAGTGGAAGGAAAGAGTCTGAGGATAATGCATAAGGTCATGTGTTCCATTTTTGTTGTCCAAAGATAGAGGTTTAGACATTCTGTAATTTGAAGAGAGGCACGTAAGGAGGAGAGAGATGAAAGACACAAACATAGAGCAAAATGGAATGGGTAGAGGGTTCAAAAGCTCAGATGGAATATTAAGTAGACTTGGAAATGAGAGACCATTCCTCCGAGTAGGAAGACAGGGGTTGAATATGCCAAGAGCTAGCAAATTAGGAGGTTAGGAAAAAGGTGGCTGAGGGAATATGCTGGCTGTCTCCCTTTCACAGCGCAGCAGCCACCCCTCCCCTCCCCCACCTCTAGCAAGTAGCCACTTTTTCAACAGCTTAGGCGGCTCCTTTTTCCAGGAAACTTCCCTTCAGTTCACCGGCCGTGCCTCTCTCTATCCTTTTCCTCGGAGCAGGCTGTGCTATGATCAAGGCATTGTGACCCCTGTGACCCACACGTACACATCCAGAAGGTCTCCTGGAGCCAGAAAGTCTGGGACAACAGGAAAACCACAAAAGAAGAAAAACAGCTCCTGTCTTAGCTGATTAGCCAACCTTGCGACCTTCTACCATTGTAACATGCTCTACCCTAACTGATCAATCAACTTCGTGACACTGTGCTCTGTGACCCCTCCCACCTTGTGATAATGTACCTTGTGACATTCTTCCCTTGCCCGCAATAAACGGGCCCTTATTGTATCTTTCCACTGCTTACTCCTAACCTATAAAACTAGCTGCAATCCCACCACCCTCCGGTGGTGGGACTCCCTTTTCGGACTCAGCCCGCTCGGACCAGAGTGAATAAACAGCTTGTTGCTCACACTTAGCCTGTTCAGGTTGTCTCTTCAGTTAGACGCGCGCATAACACTAACAATTCACTTAATAAATATTTATTGAGGGAACAGAGGTCGCAAATAAAATGTAATTAGTATTGCTCAAGATTAAACTTCTTTCAGCACGTTTGCCTTTTCTTCTTTTATCTAGTGAGATGTTGAAACCCATACCTAGAGTTCTGCTACAGAAATAAACGTATCCCACAGTGTTCTTGCGATTTCCTTTATGAATTTGAGAAAAATATGACCCCATTTTAGGTTCTAAGGAGTGTTTCTGTATTGTAGAAGGAAAATTCCATATTTGTATTGCCGTGGGCACAAAAAACCGAGCGCTCTCATGCCGAAACCCGGGATCGAACCAGGGACCTTTAGATCTTCAGTCTAACGCTCTCCCAACTGAGCTATTTCGGCTCCGCCCACGCCACTTAAAAATAAGGCTTAATGAATTTATTACTTATGTTTTTTATTTACTATTAGGTATTTATTAAAAAAAAAACCCACAATGACAGGTACTCCGAAGGAACCAAAGACAAATTAAAAAATTATTTCGTTCTTCAAATGGCTCACCACTTTATGCAAAGAAAAGCAAGAAGACAATTACAAATTGATGCTACAATTTATTCTCGGTTGAATGCACACATCGAAACAGAGCACGTTCCATCATCCAGTTACGAACTTCCCAAATTACTCTTATGGCATTGCCACGCCCTCTGCCGTCCAGATTTTATTGGTTGGTGCAAAACAGGAGGTCAGTGAATACGAGAGCATGACCGTGCACTAACTCGTCGGAAAAGTAGAAGTCAACTGTGTGCGTATGTGTTGAGTTCTCGCTTCATAAATATGTTTTAACAAACCTACTTCAGCTTCCCTGGTGGTCTAGTGGTTAGGATTCGGCGCTCTCACCGCCGCGGCCCGGGTTCGATTCCCGGTCAGGGAATGAGGTTTTTCTGTTTTAACCTCCAAATTCTTTCATCCAGGAACGAAATCTCTGAGTAAACAGCAAATTGTGGATAAGTTAACTTTCAATTTTCATAGGAGGCATTTTCTGCATAGAAACCCTGTTCCTGTTTTAGTATTCCAGGTACAAAATGACAAGCAATGTAATTTTCAATTATTTTAAAACATTTATTAATGAATACTTAATCTAGCGTAGACCGAGTGTCCGGCATTGTTCTAAGTAAGCGCTTTAACATTTTTAACTCAATTGGGTGATTCAGTAAGCGGGAAATTCCGGAGACAATCCATTAGGAGTTAGTTGAGATTAGCATAACCTTTTGAAAAGACAGTTATGAAGATGACAGAGAAGAAATGGCGAAGTCATTTCTGGGAGATTTGATCGCTGTGTTCAAGCTTCTGAAGCTGCTAGAGCCTCGGTGGTTTAGACACCTACTCTATCTTCCTCGGATTTCTCTGTAAGTTTCACGCTGCTCCAACTGGGCGCTAGGGGATAGCCCTAGAAATACCTACACAGTAATTTAATATTCTGGGCCAAAGCAGTTTCAGGACTGCTTCATCTCTCCAGCGCTTCAACCTTTTTTCCCCTATGAAGGTACAAATTATGTTTTTTTCCTAAGAGAGGATAGGAGAAGGTCATAAACATGAAATTAAAACCTGCTGTCACAAAACTGAGAAACAGGCAAACAATGAATTCAGCACCATCTCTGAATGCACATTTGGTAAATTTACCGAGAGCTACTGGAGAAAAAGCAGACTTTTTGTTTCTCTCCTGACAAGGTTTGGTGACCCTGTGCTAACTGGTTCCTGTCTGACAATATCGGGGCATGAATCTTTGTTTCTTGGTCTGTCTAAAGAGCAGCTATTGCTTATTATTTCTTTCTTATATCTGCTAAGAGTTTGGGGCACGTATGACTTCTCTACAAGTTTCCAAACAAAGATCGTGGTGCTCCTGATCTTATTTCACCAACAAATGGAATATGTGATTTTTTGTTTGTTTTTTGAAATGGAGTCTCTCTTTGTCGCCCAGGCTGGAGTGCAGTGGCCCGATCTCAGCTCACTGCAACCTCCGTTTCCCGGGTTCAAACAATTCTCCTGTCTCGGCCTCCCGAGTAGCTGGGATTAAAGGCACGTGCCACCACTCCAGGTTAATTTTTGTATTTTTAGTAGAGACGCGGTTTCACCATGTTGGCCAGGCTGGTCTCGAACTCCTGATCTCAAGAGACCCACCCGCCTCAGCCTCCCGAAGTGCTGGGATTACAGGCGTGAGCCACCGCTTCCAGCCAGGATGTGATGTTGTTATGATCCAGTTAAATGAAGCAGGACTTTTTCTAATTAATTGCACTTTCTCTTCTCTTCCCTGGCTCCATATATTCACAGTTTCCAAAACTTCCTTGAGATGGGACACTCTTTTGTCATCTTGTCAGTTCTGTCCTTGAATTAATAAACTTTGACACATACATAAGATCAATTTGACTAAGAAATCTTATTTTGACATAGACATAAAAGTAATATGGTTTGTAAAATTCCTGTATATACGGAAGCCTTTTAATCTAATGTTTCATAGGAATTCAACCCTCTAGGCCTGCTGGTGATCAGTTCTTGAAAAGCACCCTCTTTTCGTGATATCACACGTTGTCTCCTCTATGTGCAGCAAGAATCTCTTGCTTCATTAGTTTTTATGCCTCTGCTTTCAGAAAACAGTCTGGTTGGGACCCCTGTGAAAGGAACTGTCTGGCTTAACTTATCTTGATTAATGCCTCTTTTTTTCTTTTCTTTTCTTTTCTTTCATTTTCCACATAAAGCTAATTGGATTAGAGAAAAAGAACTCTTCTTCGAATGCTACCAGTTTCTTTCCTTCTCATCTGAGCTATTATTCATTGTCCATAGGAAAAAAAATTCCCTAATTTTGGCACGGTAGGTTCTGTTTATTCACCAGACTTGCTACCGTTTACTCGTCAGCTCAGAGAGAACGTCGAAAAAATATAACAAAACCAAAATATGCATCAAGACAAGAGGAGGAAAGAGAATGTGAAAGACTACTAAAAAAAAAAAAAAAAAAAAAAAGTCAACAGCTAGGGTCAAGGAATCAATCTGCAAATATTCAGAGCCAGTAGGCTTGTACTACACTAGTCACTATGGAAAATGAAAAATGACCAAGACAGAAATCTCACCTCTTAACACCCCCCAAATCCCAATTTTCTCAACTGTAAAATGGGAATAAAAGTATTACAGTATTTACTATATAAAGTTGCGATGAGTCAATAACATAATACACAAAAGCAGTCAGCCAATTATCCAAATCCGTGTTATTAATATTATCATCATCATCATTCTTCTCACCGTACTTGGGGAATGAAGGAGACAGATACTGTGAGTAAGTTTTCCTTTTTTTTTTTTTTTTTTTTTTTTTTTAGACAGAGTCTCGCTCTGTCGCCCAGGCTGGAGTGGAGTGGCGCCATCTCGGCTCACTGCAAGCTCTGCATCCTGGGTTCACGCCATTCTCCTGTTTCAGCCTCCAGGTAGCTGGGCCTACCGGCGCCCGCCACCACGCCCGGCTAATTTTTTGTATTTTTAGTAGAGACGGGGTTTCACCGTGTTAGCCAGGATGGTCTCGATCTCCTGACCTGGTGATCCGCCCGCCTCGGCCTCCCAAAGTGCTGAGATTACAGGCGTGAGCTACCGCGCCCCGCCAAGTGAGTAAATTTTCTATTGGGCACAGAGTTACCTGCTAAAATGAAGTGTGGAAAAATACAATGGGGTGTGTGTATGTGAGAGAGAGAGGGAGATTTGGAGGTGGGGTGGGGAAGACCCTATTTGAAGTGGGCTTTGAAGAATGAACAAGATTTTTATTAGGGAACAAAATGGAAACCAGCATTCCAGGACAAGCGTCTCAGGAGAAGCAAAAGCGCAGAGTTGTGAAAGCTCTTAGATTTTCAGAACTTTGAATTCTGAACTATATATAAACCTGGAAAATCTCGGTTAACTATGGGATGGCATCAAGATTTCAATTTCAAGCTTTCTGGTCATGCACAGTAAAGCTGGAATTAGAGTCTCTTACGTATGGCAGTTGTTGACAAGTCCGTACAGGTACCTAAGTGCTTCCCAGAAAATTCCTCAAGTTGGTAGGTCCTGGGGGAATCAGTTTAGTTCTAAAGAGAGGACTCATCAGAGATCTGTTCAACTTCCAGGAATCTGTGAGGATAGCTCCAAATCTCACTCTCATGCCCAGCCTATCAAACAAAGCAAACCGGTTGGACTGAAGCTGTGGGATCGGGACTGAAATAGAACCAGCGAGAAAGGCAGTCCTCCTCGATTCCTAGAGAGAACACATTCAGCCAGCAGTTGGATAGAGGATACTAGCAAGTCCCTCGCCAGGGCGGGGGAGCAGAGACACATTCCTGTCCCGTTTACATTCTTCCTCTGGCGGAGGCGGGAGGGTCGCTTGAAGCCTCGGATTTCGAGATCAGCCAGGACAAAAAAGCGAGACCCCCGTTTCTACCAAAAAGGGGGGGGGGTGGGCGGGGGGAAGAGAGAGAGAGAGAGAAAGGAAAAGAAAGAGAAAGAAAAGAAAGAAAAACTAGGCGCGGTCACGTGTACGTGTAGTTCCAGCTGCTCGGAGGTTGAGGCGGGAGGATCTCTTGAGCCCAGAAGTTCGAGGCCGCAATGAGCTCTGATCGTGGCAGAGCGAGGCCCTGGCTCAAATACATACATACTTTGTTCTGACTTTGTGTGCCCTTACTCTTTCCTCAGGTGCACGCTTGGGCTCGTTACTGCTCAGAATTTTAGAATCACAGATCCAGCAGTGATCAGGCAGCTGCAGCTGTCAGGGACCACCACCACCTACGCGATTGATCCGTGGGAGAAGCCGTCCTACTCTTTTCTTTCTCCTTTGTCCTTCTCATTCCTGACCCCTTCAGGATTCTCAGTCTTCCCTCCGGGAGGTAGGGATTCTACGGAGAGAGAAGGGTTGTGGGGCTTGTTCTGTTGCGGGTTCAAACCCAAATTGTCTTTTTCTTTTCAGACTTTTGGCCAGTCTTGTCTCGCTCCAACCTCCTACCCCCACCCCATTCCTCAGTGCATTCGTGAATTTCTCCAAGCAGGCCTTTCCAGATCGACACTAAGTTCCAATCCCGAGCTGTGTGACCCAGCACCAATTCAGTCACGATGATGACTTGCAATTGCTTAATCAGTTGGCCTTTCCTCCTAGCTGTGAAGGTGAGGACCACCGGTGTCAGCGTTCGTCCTGAATACTCAGTGCCCAGGCACAGAGTAGGCATTCAGTCAATACTTGTTGAACGGGTTAATGGATTCCTGATGTTCACTGGTTGATATCGTCACTTTCAAATAATTTCTCCCATTTTTCTGTTTTGTTTTCACCCTCCTAGTTTACCGTGCAGGATTGCAAACACCAGAGAGAAAATCAGTCTCTGGAATGATGCCTTTGATGGACCAAGATGCAGCTGATGAAGCATTGAACCAATTAGCACCTAGCAGGAGGGCACCCTTGCTCTGTGTCCTTGAAGGTTAAAGCTGTCAAAAAGTGGTCTCCCTCAAGTTCGGCCATCTTGCTCTCAGAGATCTAGAACTGGTAGGAGAATATAGCCTTGATAGTGGAGAGGAAACTATTGCTGTTGTGAGGGACTGAGAGAACCAGGCAGAGAGCCCAGATTGACACAGCAGGTGACAAAAGAGGCGCGCCTACCTTGGGGAATACGGAGGAACAGAGGAAAGTGAGACCAGGAGAAAGAGCAGGGGGGCGGGTGTGCAGGCCGGGCGCCGTGGCTCACGCCTGTAATCCCAGCACTTTGGGAGGCCAAGGCAGGCGGATCACAAGGTCAGGAGTTCGAGACCAGCCTGGCCAATATGGTGAAACCCTGTCTCTACTAAAAATACAAAAATTAGCTGGGCGTGGTGGCGAATGCCTGTAGTCCCAGCTACTCGGAAGGCTGAGGCAGGAGAATCGCTTGAACCCGGAACCCGGGAGGCAGAGGTTGCAGTGAGCCGAGATGGCGCCATTGCACTCTAGCCTGGGCGACGGACTGAGACTTCGTCTCAAAAAAGGGAGTGACTGTGTTGCTTTTGCTTTCTTGGAAATCTTTTTTCTTAGTAATTTTCCTAAAGTAATTTCCTTAGGAAATAATGTATTGCTAAGAGTATTGCAACTTTTAGTATTGACGAGGTACTTTTACTGAATCAGTATAAGTCAACAAGCAACCACCAGAAGCTGGAAAAGGCCAGGATAGGATTTTACTCTAAAGTTTCTAGAGGGAGCTGGACGCAGCCCACACCTTGATTTTGGCCCACATACTGATTGTGGATTTCTGGCCTTCAGAAATACATATCTGTTGTAAGAGAATACATATCTGTTGTTTTTAGACAGTTTCTGATAATTTGTTACAGTAACCACAGGAAATTAACACCAGGCACTATGCAGTAAATTCCGTATGAACAACTCAAGTATAAGAATTTGTAAGACAGCCGGGCGCGGTGGCTCACGCCTGTAATCCCAGCACTTTGGGAGGCGCGGTGGCTCACGCCTGTAATCCCAGCACTTTGGGAGGCGCGGTGGCTCACGCCTGTAATCCCAGCACTTTGGGAGGCCGAGGCGGGCGGATCACCTGAGGTCGGGAGTTCCAGACCAGCCTGACCAACATGGAGAAACCCCCATCTCTACTAAAAATACAAAATTAGCCGGGCTTGGTAGCGCATGCCTGTGATCCCAGCTACTCGGGAGGCTGAGGCGGGAGAATTGCTTGAACCTGGGAGGCGGAGGTTGCGGTGAGTCGAGATCGCGATATTGGACTCTAGCCAACTCCATCTCCAAAAAAAAAAAAAAAAAAGAATTCTAAGACAGCATAGTTTCCACTGGCATATTGGATAAAAACTTCCGTCAGCAGTGATTTTAATGAAGATGAATGACAAAACAATAAGAAACTCCAGCGCTAGTTAACTTTCTTTATTATGATCTTATTTGTCATAATTTTTTGCACAATGCGTTTTTATTTTAGGACTCAGTCAAAATTTTGGGCCAAGGAGACCGACGCGCTGTCGCCTGCACTAAGAGAAACGCAACGAACAACTTTGTCAATGCATTGCATTATACTATAGCAGCAACTATACTTTTAAATGATTCGAATCTTGAGGTTTCAAACTGAACCGTCTTGTGCCTTTTGCCCGGCGGGCATTTCTGCGGGGACCGCGGGTCACCTTCTGAATTTTTACCTTCATAAACAGCAAGGACTGCGCTCTTTCGCACGGCGCCCCGTTTTTTCGTAGAGTTCCGTCGGCCAAAACCACTTGAAACTCGCTCAGCGGCGTCGGGGCTCCAGCCAGGCGTCACCTTCCACGGCGAACCTGCGAACCACAGCGTCCCCTGGGGGTCTCCGTCCGCGTGGCCGCTTCCTCTTACATCGGTGACGCAAGGGAAGGGCGTCTAGGATCCGCCGGTTTCCTTCCTCACTGCTCCCATCAGTGCGAAAGCAACGTGTTGGGGGTTCGGGGTGTGTGGCGGCTGAACAGCTGCCTGAAGTTCTCTGATGGCGCTGGAGGGAGCTCCAGAGAAGAGGTCATGGGGAGAAGGCACACCTTAAACGCCCCGGGGTGGGGGGGGGGGGGCGACATTCCCTAATGGGAAAAAAGACACACCTTAAACGCAGTAGAGGGCGACATTCTCTACTAGGGAAAATGCGGAAGAACACAGTTGTAATCAACGGTAGCGTGGCCGAGCGGTCTAAGGCGCTGGATTAAGGCTCCAGTCTCTTCGGGGGCGTGGGTTCAAATCCCACCGCTGCCAAGTACTTTTCATTCTCACTAGGGACTGTTTTTAGGAGAATCCCTTTCCAAATGTTCAGTATGAATGGTTCTTACGTATCAATCCCATTCTCCTCTTCGACTTCTGTTTACCACGGAGCCAGAGATAACCGTCCCCAGAACAATGTTCCCCCATTATTTAGAGGACAGTGTACTCCAGGCGCCTCAGATACAGCAATGAGTGACACAAGCAAAAAAACCCTTAATGGCACATACTTAGTGAGGTGGCACGATCTCGGCTCACTGTAACCTCCGCCTCCCTGGTTCAAGCCATTCTCCTGCCTCAGTCTCCCGAGTGGCTGGGATTACAGGTGCGCGCCACCACGCCCTGGCTAATTTTTGTATTTTTAGTAGAGACGGGGTTTCGCCATGTTGGTCAGGCTGGTCTCGAACTCCTGGCCTCAAGTGATCCTCCCTCCTCGGCCTCCCACAGTGCTGGGATTACAGGCGTGGGCCACCGCACGCAGCCTGAAGGATTAATTTATGTTTGGAATCAGCTGCTGTTCTTCCTCCAGCCTCTCTGTAGTGTGCTCACTTCACACTTGGAACCATAGTTATATGGTATAGAGAAGAGACAACTCTAGGGAAAGTGCCAGTGCCTTGCCTTACAACTGCCAGACACACCCAGTCAGGTACCTTCTCTGTGGGCTTCTCAGTACCCCGTATCTCTGTGGTTGCCGGGGGAGCCCTATCTCTCCTCGGAGCAGTTCTCTCTGCATACTTCTGGTCTGTCTCTCATTCTCTAGACCTCAGCTTGGAAGTTGTTTCTCCTTGGAAGCCTTCCCTCATCTCCTTCTCTTCCTCTTTCCAGCTTCATAAAGTTTGGGAGGGTATGGAGAGGATAAGGAAGGGAACAGCACAGAACGTCCTTGCCCCACGGAACTCAGAGTTTAGTGGGGTTCTCATGGGGGTTCACAAGGATTAGATAAGTTATTGCCCTAATATGGGGCAAACTCTACTAAAAAGGAGATAGCTTTCTATGTGTAGATTTTGAATGATGTTCCAGATTTAAGAGAATAAAAAGAAAATAATATGAATTGTATGTTAGAAAGAAGGACTGTCACAGAATTGTTCCCAACTGGGATTACAGGTGCAGGCCACTAGGTCCGGCTAATTTTTGTATTTTTAGTAGAGAGGGGCGTTTTGCCATGTTGGCCAGGCTGGTCTCAAACTCCTGACCTCAAGTGATCCTCCCACCTGGGACTCCCCAAGTGCTGGGATTACAGGTGTGAGCCACCACGCCTGACCACCTTTATTGATTTTTGAATGCTAATCCAACTTCTCCATGCTAGAATAATCTTAACTTGTTCAAGACATGTAATCTTTTAAAAAATGTATATTCCTGGATTCAGTTTGTTACTATCTCAAGATTTTTCTCACTACATTCATGAATGATAATAGCCTGTAATTTTCTTTTTTAAAAAATTTCCTTGTGTTGTTTGTTTTTCCTCATCGTTCCCTAATGGTTTGGTATTAAGGTTATACAGGCCTCATAAAATGAGTTTAACATTGGGATGATTTTCCCTTGCATGTTTAGTAGAATTAACTGGTGAAAACATCTGACCCTTGAGTTTTCTTTCTGGGAATATATATTATAGGTTCTATTTAAATAATTGGTATCAGACTATTCAGATCTTATATTTTTTTCCTGTACTAGTTTTAGAAACAAGAGTCTTCCTAAGGAAATATACCAGATGAACCTGGAAAATCTTTTCACCAGAAAGCAAGGAGGCTACTGAAGACTACTTTAGTCATGTTAAACAAAAAAGGCTTGTGCTGACACCTATGAAGTAGTCTTACCCAAATCAAATCTAAATATAGAATTTGATAAAGCCCTTAGATCTAACTATTAATTTTTAGGACATGCAGGGGCAGAGGAATGTGTTAAATACTACCAAAGGTGTGCAATAATTAAAATCCAAACTGTGAAACTCTGCAGCACCAGCAACCTAGTTAATCATTAAATAAATTTCAAGAAAAAAGAGATATAGGGAGAACTTATATATTAAAATACTTAAGATACATACCAACTAATCACAATGTATTGACCTTATTTGAATACTTTTTTTTTTTTTTTTCTGAGACAGTGTCTCACTCTGTCACCCAGGCTGGAGTGTGGTGGCACAATCACGGCTCACTGCAGCTTTGACCTCCCAAGCTCGTCTCCCGAGTAGCTGGGACCACAGTCATGCACCACCATGCCTGGCTAATTTTTGAATTTTTTGTAGAGACAGGGTCTTGCTATGTTGCCCAGGCTGGTCTTGAACTCCTGAGCCCAAGTGATCTTCTTGCCTTGGCCTCCCAAAGTACTGGGATTACAGGTGTGAGCCATGGTGCCTGGCTTGGTTTTTTTTAATGTTAAGAAAAAATGGCATTAGAGAAAAATTTGAACAGCGAATGAATCTTTGATGATGTTGCCAAATAGATAATTTTGTTTAGGTGTGATAACTGTACTAGTGTTAGTTTACTTATATTTTTGGTTTGTTTTTTAGAGATGGGGTCTTGCAATATTGCCCAAGCTAACCTCAAACTTTAGGGCTCAAGGAGTCCTCCCACTTCAGCCTCTTAAGTAGCTGGGACTACAGCATAGGCCGTCGTGCCCCTGGCTCTATTATTAGTTTGTTAGTTAGTTTGTTTGTTTGTTTATTTATTTATTTATTTATTTTGAGACTGAGTCTTGCTCTGTCGCCCAGGCTGGAGTGCAGTGGCGCGATCTCGGCTCACTGCAACCTCTACCTCCCGGGTTCAAGCAATTCTCCTGCCTCAGCCTCCCGAGTAGCTGGGATTACAGGCGCCTGCCACCACGCCTGGCTAATTTTTGTATTTTTAGTACAGGCGGGGTTTCACCATGTTGGCCAGGCTGGTCTTGAACTCCTGACCTCAGGCAATCCATCCACCTCAGCCTCCCAAAAGTGCTGGAATTACAGGTGTGAGCCACCGTGCCCGGCCCATATTGTTAGTTTTTTTAAACAGTCATTATCTCCTATAGACAATTAAATACTTATGGATGAAACACAATTTCTGTCATTTGCTTGAAAATAATCTTAAGCAGAGGGAATGGGTGGGGATACAGATGAAACAAGATTAACCCTGACGTAATAATTGTTGAAGCTGAATGATGTGTACATGGAGTTCATTTTTCTATTGCCTTAACTCTTGCATGGGTTTGAAATGTTCTATAATAAACTTTATTTTTTATTTATTTATTTTTTTGAGATGGAGTTTCGCTCTTATTGCCCAGGCTGGAGTGCAATGGCACAATCTCGGCTCACCACAACCTCTGCCTCCCGGGTTCAAGCGATTCTCCTGCCTCAGACTCTGAGTAGCTGGGATTACGGGCAAGCGCCACCATGCCTGGCTAATTTTTGCATTTTTAGTAGAGACAGGGTTTCTCCATATTGGTCAGGCTGGTCTTGAACTCCTGACCTCAGATGATCTGCCCACCTCAGCCTCCCAAAGTGCTGGGATTACAGGCAGGAGCCACTGCGCCCGGCCAATACATTTTTTTTAATAGAGGAGGACTATAAAACCTATGGGAAGCTCTGATGGCACGACTATGACTTGCTGATGTTCACTACAGGTTATCTGGCTAGGCCACTTGCTGAGAAACTCCTGATGTATCTTCAAGTCTATTCTGGTTGGATTTCTCACTGAAAACTGCGTCTTTTGTCTGGGAGGTGAAAGCCAGACCCTCATCTTTCTGGGAGATAAGGAAAGTAGGCTGGAGGCGTTGACATTCAGTATGCTCCTTTTTCAAATGGAATTCCTGTCCTCCATGTGTCTAGCCCACATATCCTTTGTTTAACCTTCTTCAGAAAATAAACCTCCAGTCTTCTTTGGGCTTGAGGACCTAGGACTCTGCTTGCTTCCTAAATAGCCTCTGACAGACTCTCCTCGTTTTAGTCTATTCATTCTCATTTCCAGGGGTACATGGTGCCACCAATTCTTGAGTCGCTTAAAGATTCTATGATGTAAAATAAATGTCTTTTTTTTTTTCTTTTCTTTTTTAGAAGGAGTCTCACTCTGTTGCCCAGACTGGAGTGCAGTGGTGCAATCTCGGCTAACTGCCACTTCCGCCTCCCACTCCCCAGTAGCTGGGACTACAGGCACGCACCACCAAGCCCAGCCAATTTTTCTATTTTTAATAAAGAGACAGGGTTTCACCATGTTGGCCAGGCTGGTCTCAAATTGCTGATCCCAAGTGATCTGCCCATCTCGGCCACCCAAAGTGCTGGGATTACACGTGTCAACCACGGTGCCCGGTCAGATTTGTCCTTTACTTGCCCCCTTCAGGCTAAAATTTAGCTTTCTCAAATTCAATGTCATTATTACTTATCCTTTTTTCAGTTTCCAAAATTTTGTAGTTGCCTCTTCTGCCATTCTTCCTGATTATGAATGGTTTTACTGTAGCATTAGTGTAGTTCTGAGGGGGAGCAATACCAAATACACGTAGTCAAGCTACAATCCTTACCAAGAAGTATCTTATCATCTTTCTTAAACTTAAATGAAATTGGCATTCTCCATTTCTTTTGTGAAGGTAAAAATAATCTCATATCAGTGTTCTGGTAAAAATTTTGTGTTTGCACGTGGAATGTAATTCGATTTAAAAAGTGAGTTTTACCTGGTGATTTTTGTATGTAAATTATAACTTAGACTAACTCTTGTTTGGTAACTCTTCAGAATTAGAACTACAGATATCTTAGGGTTTCAAGCAACATGTTTTGTCATTCAACTATGCACCTGACCTTCGAATTCCTTCAGTATTATTCTTACCAAACTTATTACCTTATGGCAGAATCTGTTCCAGTTGAGTATCTCCTAAATGTACAGATGTCCTGTAGCTTCTACTTGTGGATTGTAATTCTATTCTGGGATAGTTGCAGAACAAGATTAACCCACTGTTCATAAAGTAGTCCTTCAGAATTTTCAAGACATATCTTTTTCACCAGGTAAAAATCTAAAATTTATTCAAATACGCTCTCAAAATATTCATTTTATGTGTTTAGGAAACATCAAAAGACTTCTGGAGGTCAGACTAGTAATTTCTTTTTTTTTTTTTTTTTTTTTGAGATGGAGTCTTGCTGTGTTGCCCAGGCTGGAGTGCAGTGACACGATCTTGGCTCACTGCAACCTCTGCCTCCAGGGTAGCTGGGACTACAGGCGTGCACCACCATGCCTGGCTAATTTTTGTATTTTTAGTAGAGACAGGGTTTCACCATATTGGCCATGCTGGTCTCGAACTCCTGACCTCGTGATCCTCCCTCCTCAGCCTCCCAAAGTGCTGGGATTACAGGCATGAACCCCCGTGCCTGACTCTTATCTGTGATTTCTAAACCTGTTCTCTCCCTGCCTCCCTTTTCACTTTGAATCTTAGCAATCCTGATACAATATGGAGAAGTACCATTCTAGCTTTATGTTAAAAAAATTGCTAAAAATGATTGGTGTTTATAAATTACAAACTGTTTTCTGCTGAACTGAGGTATAACTTCATGTCGGAAAGATGTGGTGCACGCATATGGGAATTGCCTAGGAAAGCCTGAGCACAGAATTTACTAGTTACGTGATCCTGGGCAAGTTTGTTAATCTTTCTGTGCCTCAAATTCCTGATCTCATAGGGATGTTGTATGGATTTAAAAAGTTTAAATGTGTAAATCCCTTAGAACAGTGCCTAGAACACAGCAAGCACTAATAAGTGTTTATTAATATTAGGAAGTGATTGATAAACTCTTGGAAGTAAATGTGCTCACTGAAAAAATAGTGAATAAGAAGGTAAAGGACAATGTCTTTGGGGAATCTCACAATTAAGGGTCAGGAAATCAGGAATAACTAATATAAGAGACAGAAGGACCAGCCTAAGAGGTAGGAAAAACAGAAAGTAACACCAGAATCGTTATACTCAGGCACTGGTCAAAATACTGACTACTGAGGTCTGAGAAACAGTCACTGGAGAGAGGGATTTCCTACTCCCATCAAGTTCATGGGTACTCCATACTTGATGTTTTCTTTTCTTATGTCCAGTAAGATTTGAGCTCACTCTAAAAGCTTTTCCACATTCCTCACATTCATAAGGTTTCTCCCCAGTATGAACTCGCTTATGTCCAATCAGAGCTGAGCCCTGACGGAAGGACGTGCCACACTCACTGCAGGTGTATGGCTTCTCACCAGTGTGGATTCTTTTGTGCTGCCTCAGGACTGAACTATGATGGAAGGCCATTCCACATACCTCACATTTGTGAGGCTTCTCTCCAGTGTGAATTCTTCGATGATTGGTCAAGTTTGACTTCCCACTGAAAGCTTTCCCACACTCTAAACATTTGTAAGGTTTCTCTCCAGTGTGGATTCTCTGATGGATGGTAAGGCAGTGCTTATCTTGGAAGGTTTTCCCACAATCCCTGCATTGATAGGGCTTCTCCCCTGTATGCTCTCGTTCATGAGCCCTGCGCTTACAGTTATGACGAAAGGCTTTCCCACACTCCTCACACCTGTAACGTTTCTCTTCAGTGTGGATCCTTCTGTGTTTGGTGAGTTCTGCCTTGATGCTGAAGTCTTTTCCACACTGGGGACACCCATAGTGTTTCTCCCGAGTATGGATTCGTTTGTGTTTGCTTAGGTCTGAGCTCCGACTGAAGGCCCTTCCACACTTGCTGCACTCATAAGGTCGTTCCCCAGTGTGGATTCTTATGTGTTTGGTGAGGTCTGAACTCCCACTGAAGGCCTTCCCGCACTCCTCACATTCATATGGCTTCTCCCCAGTGTGGATTCTGCCATGGATGGTAAGGGAATGCTTAAACTGGAAGGCCTTCCCACAGCAGTTACATTTGTAAGGCTTCTCCCCGGTGTGGATAAGCTGATGCATACAGAGACGGTTCCTGGTCTTGAAGGCCTTCCCACAGTCCCTGCACTCGTGAGGCTTCTCCCCACTGTGGGTTTTTTTATGTCGGCAAAGAGCTGATCTACTGTTGAAAGCCTTCCCACACTGGGTGCAATTAAAAGGTTTCTCCCCTGTGTGGATTATCCGGTGCATAGAAAGCTGATTTCTGGTCTTGAATGCTTTCCCACACTCATTACACACATGGGGTTTCTCACCAGAATGAATTTGCTCATGGAGAATTAGATCTGAGTGCCAACTGAAGTTTTTGCCACACCTGGCACATTCATGGAGTTTCTGTGCTATAAGAACTTTATTACATTGACTATGTTTTGAGTTTGGATTCAAGTTTTTACTAAGCACTTTCTGGTTCTTTCCTTTTTTGCAGGTCACTTCCTCAGAGCCTTCTTTCTCTTCTCTCAGTTTCTCCCTTATAGATGTTTCCCATTGATTCTCTAATTTGACATCCTGAACACAAACTTCTCTAACCTTAGGATCCCGGGAATCAACTTTTAGGAGACTGTTAAATTTCATCCAGTAGGCTTCTCCATTTTCAAAAATCTCTTGTTGTGAACTTGCCTTTTCATTCTCAGGCCACATCTTGTCAGCTGACACTTAAACAAGAAAATACAAATGTCAGAGGGAAGGAAATAAGTGAGATGGGAGGCGTGAAGCAATGTTAAGCTGTTTGAAGAGTAAATAACTTTTCCATGCTGGAAAAATTACTAACGTTGTGGCCAAAAGTCAGAACAGGCTGAAATAATGAAAAGTATTGAGATATTTTACACTCAGCACACTTTATAAAAAATCCTTAAAAACCTATTCCTCCTCTATAGTCTCCTAGTTTAGTGAGTGTAAACTCTATACACCTAGTCATCTAAGCCACAAAACAAAATAATCTTCAACTCTGTCTCCCTTGTATTTACCCAGCTAACATTTTACAAATTCTACCTGTGAAGAGAGTTACAGAGGAGGTGCTGAAATGCTGATGCAGTCCCTTTTCAAGGAACTGTCTGCTTTGCTCCCAAGGGTGGGCCCTGGAGAGCCATATTTCTGTTATGTGACTCAGCCCATCTGGTTGGGGCAGATTAGATCTGTGCAATACCTGACCCAAACCAGGTCAGATTCTCTAATCCTGGACTTTAGAATTGTGATCTGACGGCAGGTAAGGCCAGCTCTAAGAGTAGCTCAGTCTTTAGCACTTAAATTTGAGAACTAGTGGTGGTGGGATGGTATTTGGTACAGAGGAGGGAATGTTCTGCCATCTGGTCCGAGAAGAAGAGAAGGTCAATTTGCCTAGAAAGAAGAATGAAGCTGACTCACAAAGAAGCAGGGAATACAGTTGGAAACCTGATGGTTTTGAGTCTCTTCTAGGGCCTGACACATAGCTGCCCTTAGGTCCCATGACACATCCTGAATAATAAATAAATTCATGTTTTTCTGCTTAAGCTAGCTTGGGTTAATTTCTATTGCTGTCAACCAAAGACTCCAAATACATCTTATTAATATTATCTCTGAACTCTATCTCTTCCTCTTTATTTCCACTGCCAGTGCATTCTCACTAATTGCTATATCCCTCAAACATCCTTTACCCTGAATCCCTTCTAATCCATCCTCTGCACTGCTTCCAGATTATTCTCTCTGAAAATCAAGTCTAATCATGTCACTTTTTAGCTTAAAATACTTCAATGGCACTCCATAGTTAACCAGACAGGAAGAAAGTAAAGCATACGGTCAAGAGTCCTGGCTCTAGAGTGAGACTGCCTGGGTTCAAATCCTAGTATGACAGTTAATAAATCTTAATACCTGTGTGAACTTGGGAGGATGACTTCACTTCTCCTTTGCCTCAGTTGCTTTATCTAAATGAGTTAATGTATGTAAAGCACATGCCACACTGAAGTACTTTAATCAATATTAGCTGTTATTGTAAGTTCAAGTTTTGTAGTTTAAATTCCTTAAGAAAACTCCCAAAAAACAGACGTCATATCATGATCTTGCCCCTTTCTACTACTTATGAACCTCCCCAAAGCTATTCTAAGTCCCCTGCTCTACTCACACTGAACAATTCATAGTTCATATTATTTTATTCCTCAATGCTTTCTCACATGTTATTCCTTCTGCCTAGAATGACTCTCACCTGTCTCAATTTATGAGCACTGCAGTAACTGACACACAGAAGGGTAATAAATATTCTGAGATTTTTTTTTTTTTTTTGAGGTGGAGTCTCACTGTGTCCCCCGGGTTGGAGTGCAGTGGTGTGATCTCAGCTCACTGCAACCTCTGTCTCCTGGGTTCAAATGATTCTCCGGCCTCAGACCTCCCAAGCAGCTGGGATTACACCCAGCATGCACCACCACACCCAGCATGCACCACCACACCCAGCTAATTTTTGTATTTTTAGTAGAGATGGGGTTTCACCATACTGGCCAGGCTGGTCTCAAACTCCCGACCTCAGGTGATCTGCCCATCTTGGCCTCCCAAATTGCTGGGATTACAGGCATGAGCTACTGTGCCCAGCCTCTGAGCCTTTTTTGAGGGCCAAATTGCAAAAATCTATTAGATAGGTTGCAAAGAACCAATTAGATAATAACAGAATAATTGCCCAAATAGTTTGTCACTGTTTCAATTTTCTTTTCCTTAAGTTTCCTAAATGGGTTTCCTTTCTGGGCCCTTCGACTGGATGATCCACCACTGAGAATGTTCCATAACCATTATGCCACATGGAAGATCAGAGGGAACTGAAAGTTTCTCTATTACTCACCTGGGTAGGAGCAGCTTAGGGACTCCCTGTCCTGTGGATCCTGCACACAGGGGTCTACTTCTCGCTCCAGATGAGAGATTAAAGGAGGTTTAGGAAATGGAAATCCTGGTTGCAGAGAAGAAATAAGTGTGTAGAGTAACTTATAACTTAATAACTTATAACTTAGCTAAGCAGCCCTGATCCTTCTGTTTGTATATGAAAACAGGAAAGAAATGTTAATTTAGATAGAGAAAAGGGTTTTTCAGGGGTCTAGTAACATGTAAAAGAACATGTTTGGGGACTTTCTCAGAAAAGTCACACTCAGAAGGAAAGAGAAGTTCTGGGAAACAGTCATTTGGGTGTGCTCTCCTGTTTTTTTTTTTTTTAATTTTATTTTGTTTTACTTTAGGAGAATGGGAGTCTGGTATAGGAAGACTATCAGTTTCAGGCACATAGAAGGCAGTTCTTGACTAGGAGCGGAATATAGAACACCCCATAAAAAAATGAGAGGCTTGAGGAAGCAAGAACCCAGGGAAAACAGAAGGTAAATGTCTCCTTTTAACTCATTCCAAATCAGAAAACAGCAACTAGGTTAGCCAAAAAATTATCTTGCTATGTAATAGAGGCAACTCAAAACTCTTAATTTTTGGGCAAGATCCTGATGATAAAGAATAAGGACTCTTTCAATATGAGACCTTATATACATCAATAAATAAATCAATTAAATAATAAAAAAAGAAGGTAGAAAGCATTAAGTGTAGGGAAGGTCCTTACCAAGTGATACCATGTTCCCATAATTTTCCAACATCACATCCTTATAGAGATGCCTTTGAGCGTAGGTCAGACACTGCCACTCCCTGTTAGTGAAGTTCACAGCTACATCCTCAAATGTCACTGACTCCTGAAATAATATGCTCCTGCTATCCTGGAGAAAACGCCATAGTTTCCTCAGGAAACAGAGGCAGAAGAAAGGAATTTGCAAGGAGGAGGTTTATAGAAGTGAAAGGCTCTTCCCTTTTGGTGGGTATGTACAAATGAGATGAAAGGGAGCATGGGGTTTTGATAGCAAAAAATAATGAAAGAGAAAACAACCCACAAGTGGTTTATCATGCAACAAAATGTTCCTTATGAGAGGGAGAACATTGATTTAGGAGTTGCACAGCCAGAGAACGCAGTGAAAACAAGGCCATATTTTGGAGGTAGTGATGTATTTTCAAGGAGGAGGAAAGGGGCCTCAGCTCACTTGGGCCTGGCTCATTAGTGTGATATCTGCTTGCGGCAGGTTTCCTTGGCTTCCATCTTTAGTGAAGGCAGGATATGGAGCAGGTAATAGAGCTGAGGGAAGATAAGTAAGCCAAGAGTCAATATAGCACAGTATTAATGAAATCTCCTGCATTCGTCTTCTCTTCCTCAAATGTAGAAGCTTCTGCAGCTCTAACCTAGGGCTTTAGGCTACTGCCTTACAGTATCCTTCCTCTTCATTATTTTTCTAGTCTCAACTTCCAGTGTTGGGCATCAGGCCCTGGCACAGCAGCCAAGGCAGCTCTTGGAAATGCACTCTTTTCCTGTCTCACCTACTGTTTTCCTGTGGTCTTTGTCCTGGAATAAACTTTCCCCCTCCCCAAACAGATCTGGTAAAAAGGCCCAAATCACTTATTCCCTGGTTTTGAATAGACCTTCTTCCTGTATTTGAATACTGAAGTCATTTCTTCCAAAATACTTGGGGTAGAAGGAGGGTGAAAAAGAGTGTGTGCATGCACGCGTATGTGTGTGTGTGCATATGTGTTGAACAGAAGCATCCAGGGATAGGACCAAAGCTTATTTTTTCAGGTAACTTAATGGCTGGTCTACCTCCAGTTAGTTACAAATTTTTTTCCTTATTCCTCTTAGAGAAGAATCATTCTTCCCGATTTTGCACATTTTTCCTACTAATTCCCTAGTACTGAGTTATCCTCCCTATGTCAATATAGTATAGCACACAGAGCATTTTAAAATGCAAAAGAAACTTTATAAAGAGTGTCCAAGTGTTCAGGTATAATCCATATGATTGGGTGAGAAGTAGTTTCTTTTTTTTTTTTTGAGACTTAAGAGTCTCGCTCTGTCTCCCAGGCTGGAGTGCAGTGGCGTGATCTTGCCTCACTGCAAGCTCTACCTCCTGGGTTCACACCATTCTCCTGCCTCAGCCTCCCAAGTAGCTGGGACTACAGGTGCCCACCACCATGCCTGGCTAATTTTTTGTATTTTTAGTAGAGATGGGGTTTCACCATGTTAGCCAGGATGGTCTCCATCTCCTGACATCATGATCCACCCGCCTCGGCCTCCCAAAGTGCTGGGATTACAGGCATGAGCCACCACGCCCAGCTGAGAAGTAGTTCATATTACTAATTAATAGGGCCTGACTTTATTCCTTGCAGGCCAGCTCAATCTTTCTGTAGCTTCAATGTTTAAGGTGCCTTATTTTTCTTGATAGTTTATCAACACATCGCCAAGTCCAAATCTGAATAATTGCTGTCTGCTTTTAAGACACCAGCAGGGTCAAAGTAATCTATTGGTAAGATTTTATAATCACCCTTTGGATTTAGACCTCCAAGACTATCATTCCATTTTTACGAAAAACCGATTTAGAACCAAGCTGATTTCTTTTCACTGAAATTGCCCAAGAAGACTCTTCTTTAGTTTCAGCTACTTATAGCTTTTGACCAAGACCAAGGCTGCATCTCAGTCATGGTGGTTCCATACAGTTTTTCCACTGTCTCACTCTAAAAGCTCCGAGCTCCTTTATAACTGTCTCAAAAAGTCTAAACTCATCTGGATGGCACACAACTCACAGCAGACACATGTTTGTGCCTTGTTAATGTTACATAACAGTTCTTTTCCTTATAACATTAACACACTTAAAGCTCTCAATTGGATGTTTTCAACCATTATTTTATTATGAATATTTTCAAGTATATAGAAAAGTTGAAAAAATTATATAGTAAATATCCATATACCAATCACTTACATTCCACAATTTACGTTCTGCAATATTTGCTTTATCACATACTTATCCATTTATCTATTCCTCTCTCTGTTCATTAATGTATTTTATTTTTTGAATCATTTCAAAGTAAGTTGAAAGCATCAGTACACCTCACCCCTAAACAGTTTAACATGTATATCATTAACTGGAAGTTCAACATTTGTTTACCTTCTTTTTCGAGGTAAAATTTACATATAATGAAATGCACATGTCTTAAATGTACCCTTAGAGAAACTTTGACAAAAGCATACCCCTATGTAACTCATTCCCTACTGGTTTTTACCATATCTTCTTCACAACTGGGAAAGTCTGTCACTCATAGTGATTCATAAGCTTTATTTTTTAGCTTTAGCTTTAGAAATTGAAAGGTTATTCCTCTTAAGTTAAAAATGAATTTAGGAAACAGGCTACATGAAAAAACAACATAAAACTTTTTGTTAAAGCAGTATACAGATATCTTGTGGGATAAGATTAATACATTTGTATTGTATTATATGATAGGTGGCTACAGAATTTCTGACCCTGAAAATCCACCACAGCAGATTTCACGACCATTTGAGAAAAAGAAGACTGGGAGACTCGTGCATCCGAGTTTAGCAATAGCTATTATTTTTTATTTCTAAATCTATAAAAAATTTATGTTCTATATTATTAATTCTCATTTATGATCCCTTGTACAGCAGATATCTCAGGATTCCTCCTCTAGATGTTTCAACACTATATCTAGAAACACATTTTATTTTTATTTTTTGCAGGTAGCATATACTAAAAAGCTTACTTTTGAATGTGCCTACTCCTCTGTCCAAAAGTCTATGCCTTTCTGGGTTTGATTTTATGACTCCTGAATTGCTATATACTATCTCCTAGGTTGCACCTCCAACAGCAATTTTTTTTTTTTTTTTTTTAGACAGAGTCTCACTCTGTTGCCCAGGCTGGAGTGCAGTGGCATGATCTCAGCTCACTGCAACCTCCACCTCCTGGGTTCAAGCAATTCTTCTGCCTCAGCCTCCTGAGTAACTGGGGTTACAGGTGCATTACACCACACCTGGCTAATTTTTGTATTTTTAGTAGAGATGGGGTTTCACCATATTGGCCAGGCTGGTCATGAACTCCTGACCTCTAGTGATCCACCCACTTAGGCCTCCCAAAGTGCTAGGATTACAGGCATAAGTCACCGCACCCGGCCTACCATCAGCTTTTATACAAATCTTAACCACTTTTCCTCCTCACATACGCCACCAAAGAGCACAAGGCTTCAATGGGAAAACTTTTGCTTCTTCTTTTGTCACTGCTTTATTTTATATTTTGGAGATATCTATACATCATTTAAAAGTATCAGGGCTCCAGAAAGGTCTGCAGAAGTAAAATTGTATATATTCAAATTTTACATGTTGGCAAAATTATGTTTGGGTAGGAATTACTGAATTATACCACAAGTTTTATAAGTGTAAAATATGTGCAAATATGTACGCTATTTACCATATATCTCAGGTTATACAAACAGTAAATGCCTGACTGCATTGATTCTTTCTGATAAATTGCTTTGTAGAATCTTTTACACACTGATTTTTTTCAAAATTTAAGATACTGACAGAAACTGAATATTTAGTTCCTCTAGATATTGATCCAAGCCTCGTATAGAAACAAAATAAGACTTTCTATAAATGCTCATTAATGAACAGATTTTTGGGCCCCAGTGTGGCATTTTCCACCCACTCTGTGTCCTTACTACATTCTCAGCTGCCGTGACTCCTGCCACAATCTCCTGTGTATCTCACCGCTTTCCTGAGGGAGCTGGGTATCCTGGCGGGTCCAAAGCAGCTGGCTTGGTGGTCCTGAACTCTCATCCAACAGCACAACCTATTGCAAGACACAGAATGAATTCAGGAAAGTTATGAAGGTGAGAAAAATACATAGGAAGATGCAAGCAACCATACAGGTCTATCCACAGAAACTGTCTCCCAGAAATACCAAAAGAAGGGAGAAAATAATGGACTCAGTTCCTAATACCTTATGAAAACTAGAAATGGCATCTACAACTACAAAGCTTTAATGATCACCAGGTCAAGCAGCAAAAACAGTATCTAGGAGGAGACACCTCCAACAGTATCTAGAGTCAGACACACCTCCACTCACACTGCTTTCCTTCTTTCTTGGACTCACTTCTCCTTCTTCCTCCTTGTGATGTATCACAGACCCTCCTCTTCTTACCTCCTGCATCTTTTTACTCAGGTTTCTTTAACAGTCTTCCACTGCTGTCCTGGTTTCTTCCTACTGGTCAGATCCAGTTCTCAAACAAGCTGTGAAGTGGCTCCAGTTGATGCCAGCCTCCTTTGGAGAACACATGTTTTGGTGGTGCCAGCCAAAGGGCCCTTCTTGACCCACAGTGCCGCTACTGTTTGGCTTAATGTGTCAAACACTGCCCTGGATTTGGGGTTCATTAGCAACACTAAACCGCTGTGATCTCACATCTTGTTTCCCTGCATATTTGGTGAAGGGAAAAGAGGAATGTGACCACAGGAAAAAATAGGGAGTCACTGAGAACCTGAGGCACGAAGTCAAACTGAAAATGTGAACATATCCAGAATACAATCTCAACGGCTACCACCCTTGTCTGAGCCACCATCACCTGCTATCTCCCCTCCTTTCCATTACTGCGGTAGTCTTCTAACTGGTCTCCTTTCTTCAATCCTTGCCTTCCTCCTTTCTTTTTTTTTTTTTTTTTTTTTTTTTTTTTTTTTTTTTGAGACGGAGTCTCGCTCTGTGGCCCAGGCGGGAGTGCAGTGGCGCAATCTCGGCTCACTGCAAGCTCCACCTCCTTTCTTAATAGGGCAGTCTGAGTAGTCCGTTTACAACTTGAGTTGGATCATTTCATCGCTCTGCTGAAAACTCTCCAGTGGTTCATACTTAAAATAAAACCTGAAGTCCTTACCGAGGTATACAAGGCCCTACTGAATGTGCCCGTGACTTCTAACTTCCTCTCCTGCTCACCCAAAATAAGAGCTGAAGTCTTAAGAGTGGCATACAAGTCTACAGGATGTGTCATTCTCAACACCTTCTACTCTTCTCCCACTCCCTCAATCTTCAGCCATACCGACCTTCCTTCTCTTTCATCTTAGGGCCTTTCCATTGGCTGCTCCCTTCACCTTAAGCGATCTCCATGGCTAATAATCTTGCCTCCTTCAAGTGTTTTCTTATAGGTCATCTTCCCAAGGAGGTCTACTCTGAGTGCCTTATTTAAAATTGCAGCCTATCCCCTCCTTCCAATCCTGATGGGCCTTACCTTGCTTTACATGAATTCTTCTTTTCCTCTATAGCACTTTATAATTTTCCAGTATGGTGCATAAGTTACTTATTAATATATACATTGTTTACGGTGGTTCTACCTTCGCTAAAATCTAGGCTCTTAGGCTCCATGAGGGCAGGAATTTTTGTCGTCTTGTTCACAGTTGTATTCTCAACGCCTAAAACAGCGCTTGCAATAGTATGTGCTGGATTAAAAATTAGCTGACTGAATGAATATATGAATGGATGCTGTAGAGAAGAATAAAAAGAATGGGTCAGGAGGCGACAAGAGCAAGACTCCGGTCTCAAAAAAAAAAAAAAAAAATGGGTCACGAGCCCCTGGGAGGAGGTAGGGCAAATGGGCGGGAAATGCTCATTTTGGGGAATGGCTTCGAGGGAGGAAACCGCAGCCGACTCCCTCCTCAAATCTGGCCCCAAAGACCCGCCCCTGCCTGCAACCCCAGGGGCCCGGGTATTTAGGTGAGGGGGGCGACGGCGGCACCGGACTCCTCTCCTCTCAGCTGCAAATTCCGACCCACGACGGCCCAAGGCACAGACCTTCCCGCCGGTACTCTCCCCAAGAAATGAGAAACAGAAATATACAGAAGCTCCACTTCCTAGTCCGCCAATTATCATTTCCGGTGATTTTCTAGGAAAGGCGTCAACTCTCTGGTCTAGGCGTTCCCTTAAACTCTCCGCCCTCCTCCTCGCGGCTCAGCCTTCTAGGAGTTTGCGTGCGTTTATGGCCTGTGCAAAGGGGTTGCAGAAATATTACCCTTTTGCTCCTTTTTTCCCATGTAGAGGAACCTCTAGATAGGAATGGACAGAAGTTTTGTGACAAATATATGAAAAAGTTACTTTTAAATATTAACTAAGAACACAAATAATTGAATGTCTTTTTCAAAAGTAAAGACTATTTTAAGCCTATGCAGAAGTCGAAAGAAGAGTATAATTAACCCATATATACCCATCATTTACATTTAAAAATACATAAAATTCTGCCACACTTGTTTCATCCATCTCCATTTTTTCTTGCTGAAACGTTTTAAAGCAAACCCCAAATATCTTACTTTCAACTTCATTATGCATTTATTTTAAAAAGGATATTTTCCTACAGAATCACAATACCATTATCCCATTTAACAAAATAATTCCTGGTTATCATCTAATACCAAGTCCATATTATATTTCCCTAAATATATACATATGCTTCTTACATTTGTTTTCTATTTCATTCAAGATCTAAAGTTCCAGTATTTAATTTGGGCATGTGTCTTAATTCTTTTAAAATTCACATCTGAACTAGTTCCTCCTTCCATCCTCCTCTTCGTCTTCCCCTCATATAGTCAACTAATTGAACAAATTGGGACATTTGTCCTGAATGTTCTACATGCTGGCTTTGTCTATTTGTGTCCCCATTTTATTAGTTTCTCTAGCCTCATATTTCCTGTAAAACTTGATGTTACCTCTAAAGGTTTTATTAGAGTTAGGTTTAACTTTGTTAGTAAGAATCCTTAGGTGGTGCTATGTACTTTTTGCCACACATCAGGAAGCATATAATGTTTTTGATGCTAAGATTGACCAGTGGGTTTAATACTTGATAGCTGAATCCTTCCATGTAAACTTTCCCACTGGCTTTTAATCTGATAGATTCAGCCACCCCATTTCATTAGAGTTTGTAAAATTGTAATTTTTCTAATTCAATAATTTTTTCACATTTATTAGTTAGAACTCCTCTATAAAGAAAAACTTTCCTTCATCAATTTAGCAATTTAGGGCTATTTGGTTATCCTGAAATGTAGTTTGTACAGGAAAGAAAGACTGTTTAATTTTCAACATAATTGCCAATTTTCAGAAAAAGCAGTTGTGCCTTAGGTGCCATCAATGGTAACCACCTTACAAAATGTGATAGCCATCCTATAAAATGGCTAGCTGGGCCCTACTGTCCAGCATTCACATCCTTGTGTAGCCCCCTTCCACATTGTACCAGGGTTGGTTTGTGTGACTGAATGATCTGGTAAAAGTGATGCTATGTTTTGTTTGTTTGTTTGTTTGTTTGTTTTGTTTTTTGAGACAGAGTCTTGCTCTGTTGCCCAGGCTGGAGTGCAGTGGCGCGATCTTGGCTCACTGAAATCGCCACCTCCCGGGTTCAAGTGAGTCTCCTGCCTCGGTTTCCCAAGTAGCTGGGACTATAGGCATGCATCAGCATGCCCAGCTAATTTTTATATTTTAGTAGAGATAGAGTTTCGCCATGTTGGCTGACTGGTCTTAAACTCCTGGCCTCAAGTGATCTGCCCACCTTGGCCTCCCAAAGTGCTGGGATTACAGCCATGAGCCACCGCACCTGGCCGATGCTACATTATCTCTAATATTAGGTTATAAAATAATCTACGGCTTCTGTTTTGGTCTGTTTTTCTTTCGTAGATCACACACCCTTGGGAAAGCCAAATGCCATGTTGTAAGGAGAGGCCCAGGTGGTGAGGAACTGAAGCCTCCTGCCAGCAGACACATGAGTGAGTTTGGAAGTGGATCTTTCTACCTTAGTCAAGCTTTCAGATGACTGCAGCCCTGGTTGATGTCTTGGGTGCAACCTTATGACATACGCAGGACCACCAGCCAAGCTGCTCCCAGATTTCTGGTCTTCAGAAGCTGGGGAATGGCTTTGAGGGAGGAAACTGCAACAGATGTTTGGTTCTAAGTTTTATAACTAATGCAAAATTTTGTTTTCTCTTTTTGTGCATCTAATGTGCACTAATGTAAAATCTTTTTGTGCAACTAATGCAAAATTTTGTTTTCTCTTTTTGTGCACAACATCAAGTGTTCTGCATCAGTTGATAACTAATGCAAAATTTTGTTTTCTCTTTTTGCATATCAATATGAACACATGGATTTAAAAAAATACATTCAATGAGTCTCAATCAATTGCAGTAGTTATTCTTTTTAATGTTCAAATTATTTCATCTTTGGTCAGTGGGAGTCCCTTTATTTTATCTCCTGTGTCCTTTTCATCCAACTCTAAGCGTCTTTGCTTTTTTCCTTTATGGCAAGATAAATGTTTCAGACACATGTCATACATTTCCTGCCTCAGACCTGGAATCAGCCATTTTTCCAAGGTGTTCTGGTGCTTTCAGTGGGGGCAAGGATTGCATACCTTTGTGAATAGTCATGGTTAGCTGTTTTAAAAATGTATCAAAATGAAATAAAATTTGCTTAATTATGAGATTAAATCCTGGCTACCCCACTCACAATGTGTGTGTATCATACCTTAGACCCACCCTAGTTTGTCTATCTGCAAAATGGGTCCAGTGTAAATACCTAAATTTCAGAGCCGTTATAAGGATAAATTAGTTAATACGTGGAAATCACTTAACACATTGCCTGGCATCAAATTTCATGATGAGAATAACTGCAAACCTGGAAGATACTATAATGGTAATGAGGTATACTTTCTTCATTTTATACTTGAGAAAATTGAGGCCCAAGAGATTAAAAACTTGTTTGTACAAAAGAGGATAAAATTAGAAGAGAATCTAATGATTTCAGACTCTTGGATCTCATACCTAGACTACTTTGGATATAAATGCAGCCTTTCCAGCCCAGTCGGGTCTTCTATTTATTCAAAGACAAAGGAGGTAAGAAAATACTTGGCACAGTAGCAATAAAGTGGTATTATGGGAAGTGCAGAAACTTTATATTGAGAAGATCTTGTTCCTGATTCTGCAACTTGTTAGCTATGATACTGTGAGCAAGTTACTTAATTTCTCTGTGTCTTAATTGCTGCATCTGTAAAATAGTGAAAACAAATCCCTTATGCACAAATTCATTGTGAGAGGGTTAATATACATATATTGTATATGAAAATGCCTGGCCATATTGCTTGCTGAATAAAAATCATTATACAAAAATAATTTCTTCAATCCCCCAATTTTATAAAATTTTATTCTCATCTAATGGAAATTGGCATTTTAAGTAGAATGATCCCTAAGGATACTAAGTCTATAATTTTGTAAAGGACTTTAGTGAATACTGTGCAAAGGCACTGTGCAAGGAGCTACAGGAGAGATGCTATGCGTGGTCATCTACCTTCCAGGCTGACTGGGTACAGTCTTTCTTCCCAATATTAATCTACTTAATAGTAATAATGTCCAGTTCACATATTTTTGTGCAATACATTCATGAAAGACTGCTATACCCTTTGCTGTTATAAAGATACTTCCACAGTAGACTGTTAGCATATACTTTAATAATCTAGTTGGATTAAGAGACATTTATTTACATTATTTCCTCTAGGCTAACCACAATCGCTCATAAAACATCTCCTAAAATAATTAATACTGGAATTTTACCAGGGATCCATGTCAAATTTTTCACCCTGTTAATTCCACAGTTCACCTTCTTACTTTTTGAAAATTTGGATATTTGTCAGACTTCGGCATTTGTTGCACTACTCAAAAATGGGCTTCAGGGGTCCTGTGGCCAATCCTCCTGAACTTTAGTATGCTTTAAGCTGGGCATGAAAACTTGTAGTTACTGTTTAACTACCTTCCTTATGTAAATGTTTGTCCTATCATTCTCAACTTGAAGGTCACGACACTTGATGGAGATATGAAAGCCTGATAATGTTAAGTAATTTTATGGCCCTTCTGCCATCTGTCAAAATTACAAAATTCATTTCCTGGGGCTTTTGAAAAAAATAGCAAATATTTCAGGCATACTAAAGAGTAATATAAAGAACACTCAACATCTAGCTTAAGACATAAAAGATTATATACACAATTAAATCACCATGTCTACTCCTCACCAATTCCTTCCCCCTTCCTTCCCAGGTTAACTACTATCTTGATTTTGATGTTATTATTCCCATGCATGTTCACATATTTTTAGTACATACGTGGGTAGCCACAAATATTATATAGTATAATTTACATGTTTTACAAATTTTATACAAATAGTTTCAGTTTGTACATATCCTTTGAGCTCTAAATACTTGATTTCATTTTGGTTCAATATTTTTGGCAAGAATACATTATAGGGGTTACTATGTAATTTGTACTCAACTTTACATGTAGTTTTGAGATTTATCCTTCATGAAAAATGTGGCTCTAGCTCATCCATTTTAACTGCCATAGACAGGTCTTCCCATTTTCCTTCCAATAATCTTTTTAATTAACCTGATTGTTTTTCAGTTCAACTCAGAACTTGCTAGCAAGTATTTTTTTTGTCTTTGATATTTCATTTAAAAAATATTGGCAATCTTTTTGAAATAATTGTTTTCTTGGAATTTTCCCTTCTAAAAGGGTAATTTCCCATAATTTTTGGTAGAAAGTTTATATTCTAATATGGGAAAGAACAATCTAAAAAGTATTTACTATGGTACATAGAGGAAACTTAAATGCATATTATTAAGTGAAAGAAGCCAATTTGAAAAGGTTACATTCTGTATGATTTCAACTATATGACATTCTGGAAAAGGCAAAACTATGGAGACAGTAAAAAGATCATATATGTAGCATCTTAACCAAAGAAAAAAAAGTTCAGTGGTTGTCAGGGGTTGGAAGTGGAGAAGGATGACCAGGCCGAGCACAAAGGGTATTTTTAGGGCAGTGAAAATACTACGTATGATTATGTAATGGTGGATACATGCCACTATACATTTGTCCGGACTCCAGGTGATTGTCAATGTAGGTTCACCCCTCCGGTTGGGGATGCTGAGAGTGAGAGAGCTACACATGTGTGGAGCAAGGAGTATGGGACATCTCTGTACTTTCAGCTCAATTTTGCTGTGAACCTAAAACTGCTCTAAAAGATAAAATCTAGTAAAAAAAGTATTTATTACTTCCCCAAACTTTTAAATATATCTTTTGTGTTTAACCTTATTACTTACATAGATGGAACAATTTTCTGTTCAAGGTTCTGCTCATAATCATTATATTGAAACATAACATGATAAAAATATATTATAGAAAAATACCATATATTGGAAATATATTCTTGAAAATACAGAATACATTACTTATAACGTATGCTTGTTGGCCCTCATGATCCTAAAAGTTATAGCACATTTAAATGTATGTGACTTATGGTTCTTTTTAAAATAAAGCTACTGAGAACAGTCAAATGGTGATAGATCAGTCAAAGCTGCTTTGCGTCCATTTTGTTCAGACTCATTTCAATTCATTCTTCAACAAATATTTCTAAAAGCAACTGTACTAAGAGCTTGGAATAACATGAATGTACAAAACGGTTAAAGATCTCTGCCCCGTGGAGCTTATATTCAAGTAATTCTAATTGACTCGTGCTTTCATTTTCTTTGTTTTTCTCTTTGTATACTGAAGAGGATAAATTTCATATTCAAGCTAATCTGTTCCTCCCAAATGGTAACAGTGCAACACTGGCCAAGCTGATTCAGACAGCACAGCTTCCCGGTGTCTGCAGGGCTGGACCAAAGAGAAGAGTCTTCCGCGGGTGCTAGAAAAGCGAAGCACGCGTTACCATGGAGACTGCGGAATGGAAAAGCGTTCGGTTTCTTGTTTCCTAGCCGCGAATGGGGTCGTGGTTCCTTCGACCTCGCCTGGGGAGAAAGGGGACGGAGGGCTTCGGGCTATACTTGGGCCACACAGCCGGGAAGCTGAGGCCGCGGGGCAGGTCTGCGTGGCGGCGTCGAGTCCGAGCGGGGAAGCCCCTTTGCGGGAACTCTGGGGCGGGGCGGGGCGGGGCGGGGAGGTGGGTAGGGAGGGTCCCGCCAGCAGAGGCATCTTATTTTTAACCTCTTCTCGGCTGTTTTTCTCTCGTCCATTTGCTCTCCTCCTTTAAGCCATCCTTTAATATTAAACATTAAAAAATATATTTGGCAAACATTTGAATAGAGCGCGCTTATTCTGGGTCAGGTGTCGTTTTAAATGCTTTATGTGTGCTAACTCATTTAATTCTCAAACAATCCAATGGGGTAAGTATTATCATTATCCCAATTTTTAGATAGGCCTGGAGAAGATAATAAACTTGCCAACAGTGTCACAGCTGGTAAGTTGAGGGTGGGAAACCCCGGCCTAACACATATATTTTCTTTTTATGTTCTGTAAGGATTGGGATCCTTTTCATTTTATTAGACAGAAAAGGACAGTTAGCACTGTCATTGAACCCTCAACATGGTATGATCTCTTGAGAAGATTAAGCAGCCATTTGGTGGCAGATTGATCACTTTGAACCCTTTCTATTAATACCTTGCAGTGGGCAGAGACTCATCCTTATAGGGATTTGTATGTATTCCAGGTATAATTTTGCTTCCCTGTCTCCAATGCCCCTGCTAATACTACCCAAGGACTCACAATGTCTGATGTACTGACATGGAACCTTGCCTTACATCTCAGACCAAGGGACTCACTTTACTGTGAAGGATGTGTTACAAAGGGCACATGATCATGGGATCTACTGGTCCTACCTTATTCTATATTACACAGAAATGGCAGCCTGTTTTTCCCCAGCTTTGCCAACATAATAATTAGCAAAACTTTTTAATTATATGATAATATATTTCAGGAAGAAAACACTGACAACCGTGAAATTCAAACTAGATAGTAGAGAAACTGGAATTGGGGAGACCAGTTAGAAAGCGGTTTGGAAACAAAGATACACATGAGTTTTAAAGCTGTGGGCTAATGTAGATGTTGATGTGATTATAAGTCTCTGTTAAAAGAGTTAGGGTGAGGTTTGAGGTGGTTTTAGATTATTATTTTTGCTAAAGAACCCAGAAATGACTAAGTTTATCCCTGTCAATCACTTCTGACACTCTACTCATATCATGTTCCTAAGGAAGTTGAACAAAAGGAGCGATAGCCAAATGGGACTAACTATAATAGCTAATATTTATTGAGTACTTATTAATACTGTACTAAAGATATTGTGTGCTACATTTTACTTAATATTCTGTGGGGCAATAAGCAGAACTATTCAGAAATGATCCTGGGATCTCACTCTAGATTGCCCAGGAAATGTGCTAGCTACAACTGGAGTTTCCCGTTCCTCTTGGAAAGAGGGGCTGCACCTACGTATAGCTTTGCATGAGACCAGCTGCTTACACTTTCTAACACGAAGGGGCTGCAACTGTCCATAGGATGCATGGTCTCCAGGTGTTGGGCATCTGGTCCTCAGATGCTTCCTCAGCTCTGCTAGCATCTAAACCCAGACTGCCCGGCAATCAAGTAGTCTGCTTGTTGTCTTACTGAAAAGTGGTGTTCAAGTTTATCCTTGACAAGATAGAATAATTGGGTCAGGACCAGAGCCCCAACCTATTGCATGTGAAATGGCTTGTTCTTGCCCCTGGTTCACCTCTCCATGGGATTATGAGAGGATTGAGAACTCTATGCCTCTTGTGCCTGACTCTTGCTTTCTAAGTTTCCCCAGTAAATCTTATTCCCATTCCTTCGTTCATACTATGTGATGTTGTAGAATTTATTGCAAGGCCCATTGTACCACATCCTTGCAGCAAATTTATGACTCAGAAATTACTATTTCTATCTTAGAGATGAGGAATATGAGACAGAAAAAGTCACATAGCAGGTAGGTGGTAGGATTTGAAACCAAGTCATCTAGTTCCTGAGCCCATGATCTCAAAAACTTTGTTAAACTAAATGGAACTACTAATTTATAAAGAGCTAAGTGAGTGCTCAGATAATCAAATAATCACCCATGGAGAAGTTCAAATCTCTTGCAGAAGTTCAGATCTCTGTTGGAGCATGTACCCTAGATTTAACCTCCAGTGGTGCCTTTAACTTTGTCCTAAGTCTTAGGCTTGTGTCAACTGCTGGCCAGCTACATGGAGGAAATAAGTTGAGAAAAAGCAGGAAGCAACATGGCTGGGTCTACAGAGAAGATCCAAGTTTAGCTGTCTCATGCTCTTTGGGCCCAGAGGAGAGGAAAAGCAAGACAAAGTCTTAAACTTTCCACCAGATATCAAGACCTTGTTGATGTCCTAGAACATGACCAATCAGATTAATGATGGCTCTACCTGGGAAGAGTAGCTGAGAAAGGATTAAGTTGAGGCAGGCCTGGTGTGGGCAGATGTTGTTGAATGTTTCCCACTACCCCTTCCAGCCCACTGGAAGAATGGGTTTTTTAAAAAAACATACACTCAAGATGAGCTCTATTAGTCATTTCCTCATCTCACTTATTATTCCAGTTAAACCAAGGCTGAAGGACAGAAAGATCACAAACTTATTAATCTCTGGACAAACCTAGCTCAGGGCCAGAATCAGGAGGGTGAATCTCAGGAGGCTGTAACCCAACTGATTGCAAATAGGATTTTGGAATAACAGTTTCTGAGGTGTCACAAAGAACTGTCAGCCCTTGTGTCTGTTCTCTAATAGAATTTTTACTTTCTTCTATGATCCCAAATTTCATAAACTCATACTATAACTAGGAAGTAGGCAGAAATGTCCTTTTGATGAACCAAATAATCAGAAACTTTTCTAATAATCCTCTTTGTGTATTTTTCTAGCCACAGAACTGAGTCATTCATTACCCAAAGCTAAACCCTGCCTACATGGTAACGCTTTTGTAAATGGGATTCTTTCTCTCTGACATCCCTTTTTCCTGCAGTCCCTTATACCCTCTCAATACCAGTGTGGCTCAAGGGGCCTTCAGTTCTGTCCTAATTCAGTCTCACATTCAAGCTGCACCTCCTTAGGCACCAGAATGCGAGAGAAGGTTGTTCCTTCAGGGAATATTTTCTTTTGGCAGGGCCATGTCACTGAGTCAGGCTTACTAATTATGTCCCAAGGTGGGCTCAGCCTCTGGCCCTTCAAGGAGCTTAGAGAGCTCTGGAGAGCTAAAGGACGCAATTCCACTCAGTTCCCCTAGGGACTTGTTTTGTTACGACCCTGTAGCGGTTGCCGCCAGCCTCCCGTCCCCGGACAGCGCGCCTCTTTCCTCCGCGCGGAATCTCGCCTTGCCGAGAGGTGACAGCGTGGTGCCAGGCCTCGCTCGCTCTCCGCGCCTCCTCGGCCTCGGCGCCCACTCTGGCCGCGCTCGAGGAGCCCTTCAGCTCGCCGCTGCACTGTGGGAACCCCTCTCTGGGCTGGCGAGGCCGGCTCCCTGTTTGCGGGGAGGTGTGGAGGAAGAGGCGGGAACTCTCTTGCGGGCCAGTGCGAGTTCCGGGTGGGCGCGGGTTCCGGGGGCCCCACACTCGGAGCGGCCGGCCGGCGCCACCGCTCCGGGCAGTGAGGGGTTTAGCACCCGGGCCAGCAGCTACGGAGGGGGCGCTGGGTCCCCTACCGCTGCCGGCCCACCCGCGCCGCGCTCGCGTGCTTCAGCCGCCTCCTCGCGGGGCAGGGCTTGGGACCTGCAACCTGCCATGCCCGAGAATTCGCGGTGGGCTCCTGCGCCGCCGGAGCCTCCCCGACGATTGCCGCCCCCTGCTTCACGGCTTCCCGTCCCATCCACCGCCCAAGGGCTGAGAAGTGCGGGCGCACGGCGCGCGGGACTGGCGGGCAGCTCCCCCTGCGGCCCGGGTGCAGGATCCACCAGGTGAAGCCAGCTGGACTCCTGAGTCTAGTGGCGACTTGGAGAACCTTTATGTCTAGCTAAGGGATTGTAAATATACCAATTAGCACTCTGTATCTAGCTAAACTGGTGGGGACTTGGAGAACCTTTATGTCTAGCTAAGGGATTGTAAATACAGCAATCAGCACTCTGTGTCTAGCTCAAGGTTTGTAAACAAACCAATCAGCACTCTGTGTCTAGCTAATCTGGTGGGGACTTGGAGAACCTTTATGTCTATCTAAGGGATTGTAAATACACCAGTCAGCACTCTGTGTCTAGCTCAAGGTTTGTAAATACACCAATCAGCACTCTGTGCCTAGCTCAAGGTTTGTAAATGCACCAATCAGTGCTCTGTGTCTAGCTAATCTAGTGGGGACTTCGAGAACTTTTGTGTCTAGCTCAGGGATTGTAAACACACCAATCAGCACCCTGTCAAAACGGACCAATCGGCTCTCTGTAAAATGGACCAATCAGCAGGATGTGGGTGGGGCCAGATAAGGGAATAAAAGCAGGTTACCGGAGTTGGCCATTGTAATTTGTTTTGTCCTGTTTCACATTGTGGTGGTTTTGTTTTTTACTATTAGCTGCTTGGATCTGCATTTTGTTTTGTGAGGTGTAACACTGTGAGGGCCTGTAGTTTCACTCTTGAGGTCAGCGAGGCCACGAACCCACCTGGAAAAACAAACAGTTCCAGATATGCCGCCTTAAGAGCTGTAACACTCATTGTAGAGGTCTGCGGTTTCACTTCTGAAGCTAGCTAGTCGACGAACCCACCAAAAGGAACAAACTCCAAACACGTCTGACTATCAGAAGGAACAAACTCCAGACACGTTTTTTAGAACTAACACCCTGAGGGTCTGCAGCTTCATTCTAGAATCATGCCAAGAACTCACAAATTTCTGACACATTGCTTTTCCGCAGGAGGTTGCGGGAAGACGTACAAGGAAGGGTCGGGATGGTGCTTGAGGTGGTCAGAGCCACACCCAGGGCTGCATTCTCATCAGAGACACCTCTAAGTTACTGCGAAGTCGGAGACACCAGAAAGGAAGACTCCAACGTATTCCGAGAGGAGTGGAGGCAAATGGGATAGACTAGCCCTCCCGCCCGGGATCCCGCGTCTCGGGGAACGGAGACCCGGGCACACGCCACTTGCTTGCTGGGAGGTTCCTTACAAGTTACATAGAGGGGGAGCTTTTCCTGGCCAAACGTGGGTTATTCTCGTTCTCCCTTCCCCACACTGTCGCAGAGGAGGAAGACGTCTTGGTCGCCGTTAAGAGCTAAAACGAACGCCAAGGCTCTAAGTGGCCCTGGGGTCCAGGCTCGCCGGAGGCACCAGCGTGTGCAGGCCCGGAGCGCCGTCTTCTGGGCGAGGAGTGTCATTAGTAACACTTTATGTTGCGGATAGGTGAAAGAAAAACTGACGCTTCGGAGATGGGGGTGCCCAAAGAGGAAGAGAGAACAGCGATTAGGGCCTTAAACCTCACACCCGAACAAATTCGGCCGGAGTTACTGAGCGGCAGGCTCTCTGATGGAGATGGGTGCTTTCAGACTTAAGACGTGAAAACAAAGATCAGCCACTCATGAACGAACTCAAGGCTCACTGAGATGCAACTGCCATGAAGAAGTGGGTGCAGGGTGAGAGGTCTGTCTACCTCCTTAGAAGGACCACTGTGGCTTGTGCAGAGATCCGAAGTTTGTTCTCATTACAATGGGGACGGTGAGTGCTAGTAATGTGGACCATTTTTCAATAGCGCCACCTTGTGGCAGTGACAAAATGGCCGTAGTGGACTTGGGCTCAGGTGCTTTCTTGAGTGTGCAAACTGGTAAGAACTAATTTTTTGAATCAGATTTGGGGATTATTCAGGCAGAAGGGGATCCCTAAATGGAAACACTGACATTTTAATACTGCAAGTGGGGGATGATGAACAGACAAATAACAAGCAATGGGGGGCCACATTTGTGTTCAGAATTCATGGAACTTTTTTTTTTGATTTTTCTATTTCTCATTTTTTTAATGTATGTATTTTGAGGGTACATGTAATATTTTGATACATAACGTATAAAGGTCAAAGATAAGGATAATTTGTGTGTGTGTGTATATATATGTATAAACTTAAATGTCCTTTTTGCTTGGAACGTTCAAATTTTTTTCTAGTTATATCTAAATATATATCAAGCAATCTTTTAGATATTTTGAAATGTCTAACATTATTTTGAGACAGAGTCTAGCACTGTCACCCAGGCTGGAGTGCAATGGCGTGATCTCGACTCACTGCAACCGCTGCCTCCTGGGTTCAAGCGATTCTCCTGCCTCAGCCTCCCAAGTAGCTGGGATTACAGGCATACGCCATCACACCGGGCCAATTTTTATATTTTTAGTAGAGGCGGGGTTTCACCATGTTGGTCAGGCTGGTCTTGAACTCCTGACCTCGTGATCGGCCACCTCTGCCTCCCAAAGTGCTGGGATTACAGGCGTGAGCCACCGCGCCCAGCCAGAAGTGTCTAATAGATTATAGTCACCCTACTGATCTATTGAACTCTGGTTGTCTTTCTTCTACCTAATTGTATACTTATACCGTTTAACCAACCTCTCTTTATCCCACGTCTTCCCTCCTCTTTCCAGGCCCTGATAACCACCATTGTACTCCCTAGCTTCATGAGATCTTCTGTTTTAGCTCCCACATAGGAGTGAGAACATGCAGTATTCATGAATCACACTCATCATGAGCGATCTTCTTGGTTGTTGAATTGGGGTTGCTAGTTATTTTGAGAATTTTTGTATCTATGTTCATCAGGGATTTTGGCCTGTAGTTTTGTTTTTGATTTGATTTCTGACACAGATTTTGCTGTATCCTTGTCTGGTTTTCACATCAGGGCAATGCTGGCCTTGTAGAATGAGTTTAGAGGAATACCCTCCTCTTCAATTTTTTTTAAAAGAGTTTGAGTAGAATTGGTATCAGTTCTCTAAATATTTGCTAGAATTCAGCAGTGAGGCCATAATGTCCTGGGCTTTTCTTTGATGAGAGACTTTATTAAGGCTTCAATTTCATTACTCATTATTGGTTTGTTAGGGTTTCTATTCATGGTTCAATCTTAGTACGTTGTATATGTTTAATAATTTATCCATTTTTTCTATGTTTTCCAATTTGTTGGTGTATAGTTGTTCATATTCTCTGATTCTTTGTATTTTTGTGGTCTGTTATATCTCTTTTTTTTTTCTTTCTGATTGATTTATTTGGGTTTCTCTTTTTTAGTCTAGGGAAAGGTTTGTTAATTTTGTCTATCTTCAAAAAATCAACTTTTCATTTCATTGATCAAATGTATTTATGTTTTAGTTTCAATTTCATTTATGTCTGTTCTGATATTTATTTCTTTCTACTAATTTTGGATTTGGTTCATCCTTGCTTTTTTGAGTTCCTTGAGATCCATTTTTAGGTTGATTATTTGAAGTCTTTTCCCTTTTTTGATGTAGGTGTTTATTGCTATAAAGTTATTGTTATGCTGTATTCTGTAGGCTTCGGTATGTTGTATATCTATTTTCACTAGTTTCATGAAATTTTTAAAATTTTCTTAGCTTATTCATTGACCCATTGGTTGTAGGAGCATGTTGATTTCCATGTGTTTGTATAGTTTCCAAGGTTCCTCTTGTTGATTTCTGGTTTTATTCCATTGTGATCAGAAAAGATACTTGATATAATTTTTACTTTTTTGAATTTGCTGAGACTTCTTTTGTGACTTAAGATATGGTCTGTTCTGGAGAATGTGCCATGTGCAAGTGAAAAGAATGTGTACTCTGTAGCAGCTGGGTGAAATGTTCTATAAATGTCAGGCCTACTTGGTCTAGTGTGTAGCTTAATTCCAATGTTTCTTTATTGATTTTCTCCCTGGATAATCTGTTACTGAAAGTGAGGTGTTGAAGTCCCTACTATTATTATATTGGAGCCTATCTCTCCCTTGAGATTTATTAATGTTTGTTTTACATATTTGGATGCTCTGGTGTTGGGTGCACAGATATTTATAATTTTTAATATCCTCTTGATGAATTGACCCCTTCATCATTATATAGTGACCTTTTGTCACTTTTTACATTCCTTGACTTGTAGTCTGTTTTATCTGATATAAGTATACCTAATCCTGTTCTCTTTGATTTCCACTTGCATGGAATATCTTTTTCCATAAATTCACTTTCAACTTATGTATGTCCCTATAGGCAAGGTGGGTTCTTGTAGCACCACATAGTTGGGTCTCGTCTCTTTACCCATTTAACTTCTATACATCTTTTAATTGGAGAATTTGGTCCATTTATATTCAGTGTTATTATTGATAAGTAAGGACTTATGACTGCCATTTTGTTGCTTGTTTTCTGGTTGTTTTGTAACGTCTTTCTTCCTTTATTCTTTTGCTACTGTATTTCTTTGTGGTTAAGTTATTTTCTCTGGTAGAATGCTTTAATTCACTGCCTTCTATTTTTAGTGTATTAATTACAGATTTTTGCATTGGGGTTACCATGAGGCTTACAAAACATATCTTATAGCTACTTTGTTTTATTATTACTTATTATTCTGATACAGGGTCTCTGTCACCCAGGCTGGAGTGCAGTGGTGAGATCTTGGCTTACTGCAGCCTCTACCTTATTGAACTCAGGCAATCCTCCTACCTCAGTCTCCTGAGTAGCTGATACCATAGACACATGCCACCATAGCCAGCTAAGTTTTGTATTTTTTGTAGAGATGAGGTTTTGCCATGTTGCCCAGAGTGGTTTTGAACTCCTGAGCTCAAGTGATTAGCTAGCCTTGGCCTCCCAAAGTGCTGGGATTACAGGCATGAGCCATGGCGCGCAGCTGATATTTTACAAAGATGACAACTTAACTTTGATCACAAAGAAAAGACTAGAAACAAACAAAAAAACTTAAATAACCCCCACAAAACCCTGCCCTTTAACTCTATACCCCTACATCTTGACTTTTTGTTGTCTCGGTTTACATATTTTTATATTGTCTATCTCTTAGCAGGTCACTGTAGCAATTATTGTTTTTGATAGGTTTGTCTTTTAGATTTCATACTACAGTTATAAATGGATTGCACACCACAATTAGAGTATTAGAGTATCCTGGGTATGTCTTGTACTTAATGTTACCAGTGGTTTTTTTCCTCAAATATTTTCTTTATGCATGTTAGCATCTTTTTCTCTTAGATTGAAGGACTTCATTTGCCATTTATTTTAAGATAGGCCTGGTGGTAGTGAATTCTCAGCTTTTGTTTGTCAAGGAAAGATTTTATGTCTTCTTCATGTTTGAAGAATAGCTTTTCTGGTACATTAATCTTGGATGGCGGTTTTATTTCTTTTAGCACTTTGAAAATGCCATCCCACATCTACCTGGCCTGTATAGTTTCCATTGAGGAGTCTGTTGCCAGAATAATTGGAGCTCTTTGTATGTTATTTACTTCTTTTCTCTTGCTGCTTTTATTTTTTATTTTATTTTATTTTTTTTGAGACTGAGTTTTACTCTTGTCACCCAGGCTGGAGTGCAATGGTGCTATCTCGGCTCACTGCAACCTCTGCCTCCCGGGTTCAAGCGATTCTCCTGCCTCAGCCTCCTGAGTAGCTAGGATTACAGGCACCCACTACCATGCCCCACTAATTACTGTATTTTTAGTGGAGACAGGGTTTCACCATGTTGGCCAGGCTGATCTCGAACTCCTGACCTCAGGTGATCCACCTGCCTTGGCCTCCCAAAGTGCTGGGATTATAGGCATGAGCCATGGTGCCCAGCCAACTTTTGTAATCCTCTTTGTCCTTGACCTTTGAGAATTTGATTATTGTATGTCTTGGGGTGGTCTTATTTGGGTTGAATCTGTTTCATGTTCTCTAATCTTGTACCTAGATACTTATATATTTCTTAAGTTTGGAAAGTTTTGAGTTATTTCTTTGGATAAGCTTTCTAATTTTTGCTCTTTCTGAATTCCCTCTTGAGCACCAGTCATTCTTAGATTTGTCCTTTTGAGGTACTTTTCTATATTATTTAGGTGATCTTCATTCCTTTGTATTCGTTTCCCTTTTTTCTCCTCTAACTGTATTTTCAAATAGCCTGTCTGAGTTTACTAATTCCTTCCACTGTCTGATCCATTCTGCTGTCGAGAGTCTCTAATAAATTTTTCAGTTTGACAAGTATATTTCTCAGTTCCAAGATTTTTGTTTGATTTTAAAAAATTATTTTAATCTCTTTGTTAAATTTCTCTGATAAATTTTTGAATTGCTTTTGTGTGTTATCCTTGAGTTCACTGAGTTTCTTTAAAACTGCTATTTTGAATTCTTGGTGAGAGAGCTCACATACCACTGTCTTGCCTAGGGTAAGTCATTGGTTCCTTGCTTTGTCTGTTTGGGGAAGTCATGTATATTAGTCTGTTCTCACACTGCTATACAGAAACACATGAGACTGAGTAATTTATAAAGAAAAGAGGTTTACTTAGCTCATGGTTCTGCAGGCTGTACAGAAAGCATGACAGCATCTACTTTTTTTTCGCCCTCTTGGTCTTGCCTTCTTTCTGACATCACATGGAGTCTGCAGTCCAGGTTTTCCTTGGCCCTAGTAAATGACTGGAGCACTGCCGGACCCAAATGTAGAAGGTCTTACGGGGGATATCCCAATAGGGTGGGAAGTCTGGCTAGAATTTCGTGCTCAGGGAACCTGTGGAACATACCTCCTATGGTGTGTCGCTGCTGACCAGCTTCGCTGATTTGGCGTCTCCTTTGGCTGAGTTAAAGAAGAGTGTTTCTAGGGTTGGGGAAGGAAGTCCCACCTCCCCACTTTTTCTCTGGTTGTCTTTGGGAATATTTCTCCCTTTAAGTACTTAGGGACAGATCTCTTGCCAGGGAATCCAAGATGGTGGGGAAACTGGTTATCCACTTCAATCTCACTTTTTCCAGTGTAGAAACTGGCGGTGAGGTGGGGGAAGTTTTCCACATGCTTGGTGCTAGGCAGATTTGGGAGAGGGATGTCACGGATTTGGAAGTCTGATTCTTACAGCGTCTGCTTGAAGTTTTTTACTTCTTTGTTGCCACGGGCACTGTTCCATCTTCATATTTGAGTTCTGGGATATTGCTGGTGATAATCTCAGCACCGTGTATTTGTTGTAGGTTTTCTGTGGAGGAAAAATAAAGCCAGCTTCCTTATATGCAGCCATTTTGGAACCAAACTCTCACACATTCCATGGAACATTTCTAGCCAGCAAGGTACAATGACTAGCAAGGAAACAAACTTTTTTTTTCCTTCAGTATTTCAGTTGACTCACAAGAACATAAAATGTGACCTATCTTTTCATGTGGCCAACTTTAAATGTTAACTTAATATCTTAGATAAAAATAGTTTAAAATACACATCCATTTAAGTTAAAAAGAATAATTTAAAGTTTTATTATTCTTTGATAGTTTTTCTTTTGATGCTACACCTAGTGACTACCATATTTTAAAACAGACATGTTCTAATTGCTCTTGAATCTTCAACTCGAAAGAAACTATGGTTTTATAAATTAGTGATAACAGTGAGTGTCCTCTTTAAAAAATATCTGCCATTTCTGACAAATGACAAATAGCTGATATTATTTTTTCTTAAAAGGAACTCTATTCTTTTAACATACAGTCTCTCTTGTTTAATAAAACTGAAAGTAAAGAATAGATAGAAATAGTCCTACCTCAGTTCAGGTCAGGTTTTGTTGCCAACAGAGTTATGAAAACTTTTAGTTTTCTACCTGGGTGTGGTAGCTCTCACCAGTAATACCAGCTACTTGAGAGAACTGCTTGAGGCCAGGAGTTTGAGACCAGCTTGGGTAACATAGTGAGACCCTGTCTCAAAGAAAAAAAGGAAAGCTTTTAGTTTTCTGACCATTTTATTTTTGTTTATTTTAATTTTTTTATTTCAATAGGGTTTTGGAGGGACAGGTGGTGTTTCCTTACATGAATAAGTTCTTTAGTGGCGATTTCTGAGATTTTGGTGCACCCATCATTTGAGCAGTGTACACTGTACACAGTGTGTAGTGTTTTATCCCTCACCAGCCCCCACCCTTTTCCCCGAGTCCCCAAAGTCCAATGTATCGTTCTTATGCCTTTGCATTTCTGACCATTTTAGATTCAGAATTATGGATAAGGGATTTTCAGCCTATACTGATCATGTCTAGAAGTTCTGTTTGTTTCTTTAAAAAAAAGTTCATGTAGCAGCAGATAACTAATACAACCAGAAATAAATGAGATATTGTTTCCTCAAATTCTTTTTTTTTTTTTTTGAGATGGAGTCTTGCTCTGTTGCCCAGGCTGGAGTGTAGTGGTGCAATCTCGGCTCACTGCAACCTCTACCTCCTGGGTTCAAGCCATTCTCCTGCCTCAGCCTCCGGAGTAGCTGGGACTACAGGTGCCCACCACCACGCCCAGCTTACTTTTTCTATTTTTAGTAGAGATGGGGTTTCACCATATTGGCCAGGCTGGTCTTGAACTCCTGACCTTGTGATCTGCCCACCTCAGGCTCCCAAAGTGTTGGGATTACAGGCGTGAGCCACCATGCCCAGTCACAAATTCTTGATACTATATTATGTTATTGTTACCAGGCAAAAGGGGCTCACTGCTGGATGTGCTAGAAGCTAATACTATGACACTGGATTTCTAAGAAAAGAAAAGCTCTTTATTATAGGTTGACCAATAAGGAGACAGGAATCTAGCTCAACTGTATCTCCCTGTGCTGGCTTTAAGATAGTAATTTTATTAGAAAAGGTTTGCGGGTGGATTCTGGGATTAGCAGGTGGTTGGTGGAAGGAAAAGGGAGGTCTAGAAAGTCCTCAAATGCACAGTTATGTCCATTCCTCTTCATGGGTCCCACATGCAAATTCAAAGGGAGTTAGTATGAAACATGCAGTGGAAATCGGGCTGTGACATTAACAAGCTTGTTCTGTGCAAACTCCATTTGGTCATGTTGGTTCCAACTAATTTTGGACACTCTTGTTATCTCACAAATGGAGGGAATTTCAGCGTTTCAGCAAGTTATTTATTTTCTTATCTGCTATCTGGCAAACTCAAGATTTCTGTTAGTTATTGGTTTCCTATTCTTTGGGGCACAATTTCAGTTTCAACTTTTCAGCAAGTTGTTTCTTTTTTTATATACTATCCTATAAACTCAAGAATTTTATCATTAAAAAAACTCTTTGGGGCATGATTTTTTCATCAAACTTAAAAAAAAAAATCCCCAATATAACAGAGAATTTCCAGCATTTTAACCTGAAACTGAAGACCATTACTGAATGCAGTTTTCAATTGCCAATCTAGAAGTTTACTAATTCTGTGTATTGGATGTGCATATCCTTGTCAATCATTTTGGCCTAAGGGAGTCTTTCTTTTAATCATCTTTTCAAATAGGAAAAAGCACCAAATTAAGTGTTTTCTCAAACTTTTTCATTATAGTTATTTCATTTCTAACAAAATTTTAGTGCCACAGTTATATTGTGTAACTGCTTATGTACAGAGGCTCTTTGGAGGACCACCAACCATTGTAATACCAAAGATTTTTGCTACCTCCCCTTGAATCAATTTTGCCCCTGTGGGGATGATATCATCCCTGATATGAAGGCATATATTGAGAGAAATAAGACAAACTATTAAACCAAATTTTAATAGATGACAGTACTTTAAAAGAAAATTAATTTAAAAATTTAGTCATTTCTGGGATAAGATAATGAGCAATTTCTTTTATTTCTCTTATTTTCTAGTTTCCATTATGTACTTATATATACCTCTAGGGGATGTTGTAAAGATTCTATAATATTATGTATGTATTCTATAATATGTATGTGAAAGAAAAACTGTATCTTTTCCTTTGCTAACTCATAGATGTTTAAATATATTACATTTTAGGTGTTAGATGATTTATATATCTTCAGTGTTAACACAAACTGAAGATATTGCTCTAATATTCATCACCCAATGAGAATTTGTGATATTCTGCAGATTTGGTAACATTTTCATGGAGATTTAATAAAAAACATTGACATATTCATTCTACAGACATTTATTGGCTATGTAATTCATGTCAGAAACTGATTCGACACAGCAAAATCACGTGAATAAGAAGGTCTATATTGTTGAAAAGCTTACCAATGCATCTTCTTCAAACACACATACAAACAACTAAATAAAAATGGGATAATGCCCTATACTTATATGGTCAGGGTTTTCAAGGACTATAGACCATAGACTGATGAGATTCATAAATACTTTTCAGTTGAGACAAGATTTCAGCAGGGTATGAAGGTTGAATAGAAGGTTTTTAAGTGATAAATGCCTAGCAAGATTTAGGATCACTCATTTTTAACAAAGGAAAATTGATACTCTTTTTTAGTGGCCACAATTTTATCATTCTATACTTTTGTCTTTCTTCCATAGTCCTTATGACACCATGAAGTTTACAGTGTCTTCATGCTTTCCTTATCCTGATTTCACTGTCCTCTCTCATATTTTTTTATGTTTACCAAGGTATGTACAACTGACAATTTTAGAGTCATCTGCAAAGAAAAGATAACTATTAGGTACTGGGCTTAACACCTGGGTGATGCAATAAGATGTATAATAACCCCCCATGACACGTGTTTATGTAACCTTCACATGTACCCCCAAACCTAAAATAAAAGTAAAAGAGGAATCAAAACCTTGAAATAAAGGTATGATGTTCTTGCTGTGGAAATTTAGAAGCCACAGGGTTTAAGGATTGTAGAGACATCATAAGCCCTATTACTCCCATCTTCCTACTCAATTACTTCATGTAAGCTGTGGCTTACTCTGTCTTTGAAATGACATAGCAAGGGCACTATAGATATGGGGAATCTTTCACTTGCAGAGAGGATTTTCAATCTCTGAAATGGCTGATTTGCAGAGAAGTGGAGTCGTTTATTCTCTAGCACAGGGATTTCCAGATTTTGAATGTATTTACCAGTAAAACAAAGTAAAGCAAAGTAAAAACATAAGCTTGCTAAATTTTCTTTTGTCATTTAAGAGCACCAAGCTTTGAGCGTGAATGTGCTTTGGATAAATGAATTGATTTCACTTCTCTTGATAAATGCCAATATTTCTTTAGTGCTCTACATTCTACTTTTTTCCATCTAATTCATGATTCTGCTGAAGATTTTTTCATCCACAGTATTCTCTTCAGTGCACTCTTTACATCTTTGTTTCTTAAAGTGTAGATGGGAAGGTTAAGGCTGGGTGTGATGATTGTGTAAAAGAGTGAAGAACTTCCCTTCATCTTGGGATATGGTATTCTGTGGCTTCATGTATATATAAATGATTGTTCCATAAAACAGAATTACTACTGTGAGGTGGGAGCCACATGTATTAAGGATCTTTTGCAACCTTGTTGCTGACTTGATCCTCATTACAGCTTGAGTGATAACTCCATATGAGATAAGAATTAGTGATAGAGGTACGAAAAGAAATACCACTCCGAAAGCAAAGACAACAATCTCAATTACTTTTGAATAGACACAAGCCATCTTGATCAATGCTGGCATCTCACAGAAAAAATTATCCACTTCCCGGTGCCCACATCTTGGCAACTTCAAAGTCAAGGAGCAAACAATTAAGGCACTGGCAAGACCACTCAACCAGGCAGTGGCAAAGCTGAGGGTGCATTTTAAGGTGTAGTGAAGAGGTTGACAGACAGCAGCATAACGATCATAGGCCATCACAGCCAACAGAAGACATTCTGTGGCTCCCAAGTCAAGGACAAAAAAGAATTGGAGTACACACCCTCCATAAGTAATAGATTTTTTTGGGCCCCATTGATTTGCCAGCATCTGGGGGATAATGCTAGTTGTATAACAGAGGTCCAAGAAAGACAAATTGGATAAGAAAAAATACATGAAGGTATGGAGCTGGGTGTCTAGATAAGATACAAGAATGATGGTTGTATTTCCTACCAGAGTCACAATATAGATGATGAAGACAACCACTGAGATGATGTGCTCTAATTGGGGTCGATCAGAAAACCCCAGAAGGATGAAATCTGTTCCAGAACTTACACTGCTTGTTTCCATTGTTCCTTAAGAAAAGCTAGCAGGCAATATCATGGTAACCAAAAATAGTGTCAGGTTTAGGTAGAACTGAAAATCTCTGAAGTTTCTCAAGGGTATCCAAAACTCTCTTATTTGCATGCTCTCTCTCATTTGGAACATCTCTTTTAACATTTCCCTATGGCCCAGTGCTCACAACTTGTTCATATTTAATCCAAAATTAATAATATGCTAAATCCAATCAGGCTGAATTGTAAATCATTGAAAAAACTTAATTTGCTATGTCATTCATTGTTCTATGTATTTCAATTAAGTAATAAAATCATGAAGTCAATTATGTGATTTTAAGAGAGGCATATGTATTGAGGAGTTGTTCCTCTTTGAAGCTATGACATAAGCATCACTTGATCATGATAAATCCTTGCATTATTGAAGGAGTTAAGCTTGAGGTAAAAAGTTAAATGACATCTTTTTTTGGAATAAACTCCACCATTTGATAGCAGAATCACTTTCAATATTTACTTGCAAATATCTACATTTCAGCCATTATAATTATAATTATCCTCACCACCAACTTACTCCTCCTCCTTATATTTTTTTTACCCCTCAACATTGCAGGCACTGTTGTTATTCTATCAATTTTGGTGTTCCCTACTACACTGCCTTTTTTTGTGAGTGTGTTTTTTGTTGCCAGGAAATAATTATCTTTCTTATTAATATTTACTTACATGTATAAAGGCCTATATGTTTTTTAAACAGCTTTAATGACTAATATTACACCATCTAAACAGCCTTACTGATTTGTTGCAGTTAAATATTGAGGTAATTCCAGAACTATTTGGCCACCACGTACAACGATCTGTGTCCAATCCTACTTACCAGCCATTCAGCAGAATTAGCTGGGCGCTGGGCAGGTAATTCAAACAAAAAGCAGTTCATTAAATAGCCAGAGTTGTTTTAATCTATGGAATTTACCAATCCAACATGAGTGGATGTTCTGATTGCTTTGAAATCCTTTAGGTAAAACCATCACCCCATTGGGCTCTAAAAGAATACAGATACAGATAAAAATGTCATCAATCTCACCATTTCTGATTATTGTATCATATCACTAAGTAGACAAAATATTTAATGACTGACTGAGTTAGTTTTTTTTTGTTGTTGTTGTTTGTTTTTTTTAAAGATAGAATCTTGCTCTGTTGGCCGGATGCAGTGGCTCATGCCTGTAATCCCAGCACTATGGGAGGTTGAGGTGGGCGGATCACTTGATGTCAGGAGTCCAGACCAGCATGGCCTACGTGGGGAAAAATTTTGTATTTTCTACTAAAAATACAAAAATTAGCTGGGCGGTGTGGTGCGTGCCTGTAGTCCCAACTACTTGGGAGGCTAAGGCAGGACAATTGCTTGAACCTGGGGGCGGAGGCCACAGTGAGCCGAGATCGCACCGCTGCACTCCAGCCGGGGCGACAGAACGAGACTCTTGTCTCAAAAAAACCAAACCAAACAAAACAAAAATCTTGCTCTGTTGCCTAGGCTGGAGTGCGGTGACACAGTGACAGCTCATTGCAGCCTGGACCTCCGGTGCTCAAGTGATCCTCTCAACTGAGCCTCCTAAGTAGCTGGGACCACAGATGCATGCCACTGTGTCCAGGTAATTTTTAAATGTTTTTGTAGTGATGAGGTCTCACCATGTTGTTCAGGCTGGTTTGGAACTCCTTGGCTCAAGCAATCCTCCTGCTTCGGCCTGAGCCCTGGTGTCGAGCTAATGGCTGAATTAGTTTAAACATTTTTTCTGCTGATAATTTCTGACCACGAAATTCAGACCTACCATACTTTACATTTATAGTGTCCTTGAGGCCATGGAATAGAAACCTCATTTGTTTCTGGTATATAGTAAAACAAGGGGAAGATAGATCATTTATATATGTCATTGTTATAAGTGTTTCAGTTAGAACAGAATAATGTTATAATCATAAAGAAGGAAATGTTATCAAGTAGTATGAGATAGAGGTGTAGTTTTTCACAGCACAAAAATGGAAATCTAATTAATAAGTGTCCAGTTTTTTTATTTTTCGCAATAGGTTGTCAACTAAGGAATGATAGTGCTTCATTGCACAGATTCTGAACTCAAAGTCCCTGGCATCAAATTCCAGCTTCACCACTTGGAAGCTGTATCCTTGGGCAATTATTTAACTTGTTTGTGTAGGAGGTTCTTTATACATGAAGAAAATATAATAAAATTTCCTTCCTCAAAGGGATGTTGTGAGGGTTAATATTTATAAAAGCACTTGGAACTGAGCTTGGTTCATCTTTAATTCTAAAAATGATAACCTATATTCACCTGTCATTGTTATTCTGTCTACCCCTTAGTCCATTAATTTTTCACACTAGTGATTTTACCGCAATGACCTAGAACTAAACTGGAATGTTTTTTAAAAAATTTGTGTAACTTTAAAATTTAGAAACATTTTTATATACACAAAAATATGCAGAATCACAATATGCACATTGAACTGAAAAGCTTCAGGAGCAGGAGATGACTTGAGGTCTCCAAATGCTTTGATTAAAAAATTCACTCAAATTCTTTTGACTGCTGTTGGGTTTGTGTTGGGAATTAAAAGGTCATGAATTTCAAAGTGGAAAAAAACCTCAGAAGTCATGAATCTAGCCTTCTGCTCTGCATAGGAGATCCTTCAACAGAATCGCTACACAGCTGCTACTGGCATAACTTCAGTGACAGGGAAGTCAATTACACTTGAAGCAGCCTCTCTCCTTTAGTCAATGCTGCTTATATTGAACTCAAAGATGATTCCTTGCCCAGCCCTGGCTGATTTTCTTTATTCTGAAAATAACACAGAGTAAGTCAATTTAACATGGCCTCATAAAAACCCCAGTATTATTATATGAACAGTGCATGGATACAACAAATAAAAAGTAAAGCTTGGTGAGTTTCAGTGTATATTCTTGTAACTATCACCTAAATCAATAAATAAAACATTGATGATTACCCTAGGAGCTTTTCTTTGTGCCTTTTACCAATGATAACTCTTCCCTATCCCCTGAAGTATCCACTATGCTGCTATTTATATTAATCCCCTCTTTGCATGTTAGTAGGTTAATTACCCAAATGTGCACCTCTAGACAATATTGTATAGTTTGGCTTACTAAAAATTTTTTATATACCTTTTAACTCTCTTTTAATATTAGAAACTGTTACCAAATATATGCTTAGATTTCTCTTCCCAGACAAAGCACATTGTTAGCTGTTCCTACCACTACATGCTCTTTTATTACCATGCTTTTTCTTGTTGCTCTCCCTGGACACACCATGATTTGTCAAGTGCTGCAAATTAGTGAGTATAAAAGTAAGCACGATACTCCACTTATGCAACACTACTGAAGAGAATAGTGAATGTCTATGATCTGCATAATTTTCTAAAATATACGTTGGTTATTTTTAGCAGGTATAAGACATTACTGGCTCTCTTTAAACTTTGGATCACGTAAAGCCCTAGGCATTCTTATTAGAAATGCTGCCAAGTCAGGCATGACAATTTATGTAGTTTAATGTTGTGAACTCAAATACAGGACTTTTCATTTAATACTTTTTAACATTTTCATATTGATTTAAGCTTTGGATCTCAAACCAGATATTTTAATTTCAATTTAAAAGTGAATGTGTTATTTGAAATGAGACTTACAACACTCCAGCTGAAGAAATAGATGGCAAAAAAGAGGCATGCTACATTTTAATCGAAACTCAGTTTTTCATTTTTCATAGTATGGACTTCAGAGCCCAATAATCGCGCATAACTTAACATTTTGCTTTCTCCAGTGAAATCTGAGACAAATGAACCAAACATATTTCAACATAATTTATGATATTGAGAGAAAATTAGAAGCACAAAATTTCAAAACTGTCTAAAATTTTATAAAAAGTAAAAATATATGGATCTTTTATTATAAAGCATGAGGTATATTGCTGTAGTCATACAAAATTCAAGATGAAAGGACGAAATAAAAATAGGTAAGACCCTAGACTGGTTCAGACCGCCTGTGATTTTTGTTACAATTGATCTCAGCCATTTCCTTACTCTGTGGACTTGAGCAGGCTAATTAACTTCTTTAGCCTCTGATTCCTCATCTGTAAAATAGCTATTCTAATAGCACCTGCTTTGTAGGATGGCTATGAGGAGGATTACATGCTATGCTAAATATTTAGCATGATGCTTGGTGCATAGAGAGCATTCAGTAACTTCAAAATCCACTAACTGCTCTTGTTGAAGTTTAATCCTCACTCCTGAGGATTAAATTTATATTTAATCCTCAAAATGTTAGTATTATTTATATCTCACATACCTTTCACATTTTTGCTTTCATGTTAGACTGAGTCTTACGCTATCTAGGATCTGTTTTCTACCTGGAGTCATCCTCTGTTAGAGATAGCAGAGAATACTTACCAGAAGCTGAAAAGATTAGAATATATTTTCATGAAGGAAGAATTCAGAGCTGTCATGTTCTCATGTAGTCCAAACATACCCATGTTCCCATTATGACGTTTCTTCATTTAATTAATAAATTAGAAAAAAATTCTTGTTGGATGAGTTACTAATGCCCTGAAGAATTGGATTAACCACTGGTCATACTGACACTACAGTGCCATTCACACTTAAATGCAACAGCTGAAATAAGATTTAATAGAAGTCTCTATTTAATGTGGATATTGGAAGTAAACTAAATGTGGGACTGGTGAAAATCCTTAATTAGGTTTGGTTAAATATATTTTCGGTTGGCTATTTGATGTCTTTTTAATGTATACTCTTGTTATTCATATTTACAGCTAGATTTTTGCCTAATTAAACAAGGAGAACACTGTGTTGGTCAATGTATATTCCAAGAATCATTAACATGTAGCAGGGAAGTATTTATTTACAGCTCTAAAGGCTACCTATGTTGATATGGTTTAGACCTTGAGGACTGATGCCCCACAGAGGTGATTAAGTAAAGCTATGACTGTGGTCAGAGGCATATCCAAATAATAATTTCATGAAAAGTTCTCTTAACACATTAGGTTTCGGCCAGGCACAGTGGTTCATGCCTGTAATCCCAGCACTTTGGGAGGCCAAAGCGGGTGGATCACCTGAGGTCAGGAGTTCAAGACCAGCCTGACCAATGTGGAGAAACCCCGTCTCTACTAAAAACAAAAAATTAGCCGGGCATGGTGGTGCATGCCTGTAATCCCAGCTACTCAGGAGGCTGAGGCAGGAGAATCACTTGAACCTGGGAGACGAAGGTTGCGGTCAGCCGAGATTGCGCCATTGCACTCCGGCCTGTGAAACGAGCGAAACTCTTGTCTCAAAAAAAAAAAAAAAAAAAAAAAAAAAAAAAGACGTTGGGTTTCATCTTTTCTTTTTCTTTTTAAGTTTTTAAATTTAAAAATTTGGAGATTAATTATATATTATATTAAATTTACATTGAAAAATGAATATATGATGTAAACTATATAAAAATGAACACATTTACTTGAAATTTGGTTTATTCAATTGGTAAGATCAAAATTGGATAAATTAAGTTATGTAGGTGTTGTGTCTATAGGACAAAATATTTAGTTTTAAAAAATTTATGGGATAATCATAATTCTAGGTTTATGAATTATTATCATCGTTCTATTTTCAGCAAATTAAAAATAGTATGAACACTCTGGAGCTTATCCCTCAATTTATGGTCTGGAAACTTACCACCATCCCCAGCTTCTGGTAATTACCATTCCACTCTCTGCTTCTATGAGTTTAAGTTTTTCAGATCCTCATTTAAATGAGATCATGTAGTATTTGCCTTTCTGTAACTGGCTCATTTAACTTAACATCATAGCTTCTAGGTTCATCCGTGTTGTTGGAAATGACAGGGTTTCCTTTTTTTGTTACGAGTGAATAGTACACCACATTTTCTTGATTTATTCATTCATTGATGAACACAAAGTTTGATTCCATATCTTTGCTATTGTGAATAATGCTGCCATAAACATGGGAGTGCAGACATCTCTTTAACATACTGATTTCAATTCCTTGGATATATACCCAGTGGTGGGATGGCTGGATCATATGGTAGTTCTATTTTTAATTTTTGGAGTAACCTCCACACTGTTTTATATAGTGGCTCTATTAATGTACATTCCCACTAACGGTGTGCAAGGGTTCCTTTTTTTCCCTACATTCTCACCAAGCTGTTATCTTTGCTTTTTATGACAATAGCCATTCTAAGAGTATGAAGTGATATCTCACTGTGCATTTAATTTACATCTCCCCATTGATTAGTGATGTTGAGCATTTTTCATATACATGTTGGCCATTTGTAGGTCTTCTTTTGAGAAATGTGTATTTGGGTCTTTTGCCCATTTTTATTTTCATTTTTAAAATTTTTAAATTATTTTATTTTATTTTTTATTTTTATTTTTGAGATGGAGTCTCTCTCTGTCTCCCAGGCTGGAGTGCAGTGACACAATCTCGGCTCACTGCAGCTTCCACCTCCCAGGTTCAAGTGATTCTTGTGCCTCAGCCTCCTGAGTAGCTGAGACTAGAGGCACGTACCACCATGCCTAGCTAATTTTTCTATTTTTAGTAGAGACGGGGTTTCACCATGTTGGCCAGGCTGGTCTCGAACTCTTGACCTCAAGTGATCCACCCATCTTGGCCTCCCAAAATTCTGAGATTAGAGATGTGAACCAACACAGCCAGCTCCATTTTAAAATAGAATTATGTTTTCTTGTTTGAGCTTCTTATATATTTTAGATATTAGCCCCTTATTAGATACATCATTTGCAAATATTTTCTCCCACTCCATAGGTTGTCTTTTCATTATTTTATTTGTTTCCCTGACTGTACAGGAGCTCTTTAATTTGATATAATCTCATTTATTTATATTTGCTTTTGTTGACTGTGCTTTTGAGGTCATATCCAAAAAATCATTGACCAGATCAATGTCATGGAGCATTTCTATGATTTCTTTTAGTAGTTTAATAGTCTTATGTTTAAGTCTTTAATGCATTTTGAGTTGATTTTTGTATATGGTTTGAGGTATGCATGTAATTTCGTTCTTCAACATGTGGATATTCAGTTTTTCAACACCGTTTATTGAAGAGACTGCCCTGTCCCCATTGTGTGTTCTTGGCACCTTTGTTGAAAATCAATTGATTGTAAATGTATGGATTGATTTTTACGCTATTTTGTTCCATTGGTTTTTGTGTCTGTTTTTATGCCAGTATCCTGTTGTTTTGATGACTATAGGTTCACAGTAGATTTTGAAGCCAGGTATTATGATGCCTCCCGTTTTTTTTTGTTTGTTTGTTTTTTGATTCAAGGTTACTTTGGCTATGGATTTTTGTGGATCCAGACAAATTTTAGAATCGTTTTTTCTATTTCTCTACAAAATGACATTGGTACTTGGATAGAGATTGCATTGAATCTTTATTTGGGGTAGTATAGGTATTTTAAAAATACTAATTTTCCCAATCCATGAACATGAGGTATTTTTCAATTTTTGTGTCTTTTGTAATTTTAAATATCAGTGTTTTATAGTTTTCAAGTGTACAAATCTTTCACCTCCTCGGTTAAATTTGCACCTAGTTATTTTAATTAATTTATTTTTTAATTATGATTGTTTACTTAATTTCTTCTCAGATGATTGTTAGTGCATAGAAACACTACTGATTTTTGTATATTGATTTTGTAACCTGTAACTTTACTGAATTTGTTTATTTGAATAGCTTTTTTTGTTGTTGGAGTTCTTAGGGTTTTCCAAATAAAGGATCATGTCATCAGAAGAGACAGTTTCACTTCTTCATTTCCAATTTGTATGCCTTTTTTTCTTTTTCTTGCCTAACTGCTCTGGCTAGGACATTCAGTACTATGTTGAACAGAAGTGGTGAGCGTGGGCATCTTTATCTTGTTCTGGATCTTAGAGGGAAAGCTTTCAACTTTTTATCATTATGATATTAGCTGTGGGCTTGTAATATATGGCTCTTATTGTGTTGGCAAAAATAGATTCTCAGAATATAATCTCCAGATTTTGTAATCCACTGATACAATTACATACTGATTACCTACTCTGTAATATGGAATTTAAAAAATTCCATGTGTGATTTTCTAACTCTATCATAGGTCGGTAACCTCTATACATCTGGAAAGGCTAGATGTGGCAAATGTTTCCTTGTAAAAGTTTTGGGGGAAGCTGAGAGCAGCTTTCTCACATTATACACGCAGGTCTCCTATAAACGCCGGTACATCCTCCCAAAGCGTGATGGGAATCTCCAAATCGCTAAATGTGTCCTGTTACTCCGTTTCTCTTTTCCCACATCAACGTCTGGTAGAAGGAAGGCCAACTGCCCCATGGTCGCTACCATTCCACCCGTCCTCATCCGGGACTTCGCTGACCTTCCGGCCGTTAAGGCTGTTGTCTGTTGTCATCAGGACCAGGTAGGTCTCACCCAATTGGGACAGAGAGGTCCCCCGAGGACAGCATCTGCGCGGCGCCGTGGCCTAAAGAGGAGGCCAGGCCTCTCCCTAACTCCGCCTTCGCGGGCCCTGCACCCCAGCAGCCTCTGCGTGTTTCTTCCCGCCCGGCACACCCGCGGCCATCCAAAGGTGCTGTGTGCCGGCGGCCACCAGGTCACCGAGGTGGGGTGGGGAAGACAGGTTCGCCGCTGCTTCAGGCCTGGGATCTCTGCTGGAACTCTCTACATTTTTTAATCAATTTAAAATTTATAATAATGTATGTTTTTTAGGTATTGTTTTTACTGACAAATTTTATTTCTAGATCTTTCATCAGTTTTCTCACGCTGGTCAACAAATAGGCCTTCATCACACACTAATTTGTAATGTCATTCTTTTCATATTTACTGTTGTAATGTAAAACACACTAGGGTCTGTTTTGAGGCAATGTTGTTTCAATCATATGCAAATCAAACTCTTTTTCTTTTTTGAGACAGAGCCTCACTCTGTCACCCGGACTGGAATGCAGTGGCACAATCTCTGTTCACTGCAGCCTCGGCCTCCCAGGCTCACGTAATCCTCCCACTACAGCCTCCCGAGTAGCGGGGACTACAGGCACAGGCCACCACGCCCGGCTATTTGTTTGTTTTTTGTGGAGACAGGGGTGTCTCACTCTGTTGCCCAGGCTGGTCTCCAACTCCTGAGTTCAAGCTATCCTCCTGCCTAGGCCTCCCAAAATGTTGGGATTACAGGCAGGAGCCACTGCTCTTGACCCCAAATCAAACCCTTAGTAATATTTGATAGTATTTCAGTGCTGGCCAGAGCAAATCCTTGCTTATTATTCGTTTATGAAAATGGCTTGACTCTTCTAAGCTGTAATTTGACCAAATAAATCTTGAAATAAATTTGTTACAATCCAAACACAATGCAGACAATTATTTGAAATGTCTGCATTTAAATTTATATTTAAAAGTTATTTTTTGAAGAATGTGGCATGTCTCATTTTATTTGTTTTTCCCTTTTTCTTGGTAAAGATTAATAATACCTTAAAAATGTTCAACATATGTTAAGTTCATCTTTATTGATATCATTTTATTTAATTGCTCATTGCTTATTGTTGTTAGGAGAGCTATATATGTATTTTTTAAATTAAATTTTTTTTTTTAACTTTTATTTTAGGTTTAGGGGTACATATGCAGGTTTGTTACTTGAGTAAATTGTGTGTTGCTGAGGTTTGGTGTTCAAATCATTTTGTCACCCAGATAGTGAGCATAGTACCCAATAAGTAGTTTTTCAATCCTCACCCTCCTTCCTCCTGCCACCCTCAGGTAGGCCCAGGTGTCTGTTGTTCCCCTCTTTGTGTCTGTGTGTACTCAATGTTTAGCTCATACTTATAAGTGAGAACATGTGGTATTTGGTTTTCTGTTTTTGCATTAATTCACTTAGGATAATGGCCTCCAGCTGCCATCCATGCTGTTGCAAGGGACATGATTTCATTCTTTTTATGGTTGCATAGTATTCTGTGGTGTATATATGTCACATTTTCTTTATCCAGTCCACCACTGATGGGCATCTAGATTGATTCTATGTCTTTGCTACTGTGAATAGTGCTGTGATGAACATGCGAGTGAATGTGTCTTTTTGGTAGAACAATTTTTATTTCTTTGGGTATATACCCAGTAATGGGATTGTTAGGTCAAATGGTAGTTCTGAGTTCTTTGAGAAATCTCTAAACTGTTTTCCACTGTGGCTAAACTAATTGAAATTCCCACCAGCCGTGTGTAAGTATTCCATTTTCTCTGCAACCTCACTAACATCTGTTATTTTTTGACTTTTTAATGTCCATTCTGACTGGTGTGAGATGGTATTTCATTGTGGTTTTGATTTGCCTTTCCCTAACGATTAGTGATACTGAGCATGTTTTCATATGCTTGTTGGACATGTGTATGTCTTCTTTTGTGAAGTGTTGGTTCATGTCTTTGCTCATTTTTAAATGGGGTTGTTTTTGCTTGTTGATTTGTTTAAATTTCTTATAGATTCTGGATATTAGACCTTTGTTGGATGCTTAATTTGCAAATATTTTCTCCTATTTTGTAGGTTGTCTGTTTAATCTGTTGGTAGTTTCTTTTGCTGTGCAGAAGATTTTAAATATTTATTCTGTATATTTCTTTTTCACGGAGTCTATAGGGATTTCTAATAACATAATTTTTTTGTGTTAAAAATGGAGTGGATTCTGTTATCTTAAAATAATGATAGTTTTCTTTCTTCTTATTTTTTGGGGGATATACCTGTATTTTTCAGCTAATGTAAAACAACAGAGTAGAAACTCTAGTTGATATTTGCTCTTAAGCATTTTAGTTCAGAGGGACTAAAAGCAAGGTGCAACAAATTAAGAAGTAATGAACAGTGTCTAATGAGAAAAATAGAGTGTGTTTTGAACTAGCCTAACCCAATTTGGTCATGCTCAGCAACAGGGTCATTTTTGGTAGTTAATCATAGTGGCTGAAAAAGGTGAAGTGGGCGTATGGTTAGCATTTACCACCACAATCCTATGTCCCAGTTATGATGAAAATGACTCTGATCAAATTCTGCCATGAATATAGAGATTAGTTAACCAGACATTAGCATAAGACAGTTTATGTCATCTTCTCTGTAAATTTAATAAATCCTCAGCTCTCTGCCCTTTAAAATACTCCAAAGTACCTTGTAGAAAGGTGTATTTGAAGAAGATAAGACAACAGAGGTAGGGTTTTACTTTCATGTCAGCATTGAGAAAGTGGAACTTATCCATAGTAGGACACAGGCCCATTTAGGGAACAAGTCTTGGGCACTACCCCTAAAGTTTAGGCTACACATCTTGCTAGGTTCTTATGCCCTTCATAGAAGAATAGGGAATGTTTCTAAAATATGTTAGATGACCCTCATATATTTGGTACCACTAATTTCAGGATGATAACTGATTTAAACCTCAATTATTATGTGAGTTGGCTAGGCATCAAATGTTGACCAAGAGGTAGATAACTGAAGGTCCTGTGGTAGCTGCCTTGGAGGGCAGCCTTTCTGGCTAAATGCTAGTTGACCTCCCCATCTAATAGTGTACATTTACTGATTAGAGCCACTCATGTCCATAAAATGTTATATATATATATATATTTTTTTTTTTTTTGAGACGGAGTCTTGCTGTCTCCCAGGCTGGAGTGCAGTGTCATGATCTTGGCTCACTGGGCTCACTGCAAGCTCTGTCTCCCGGGTTCACGCCATTCTCCTGCCTCAGCCTCCCGAGTAGCTGGGACTACAGGTGCCCGCGACCACGCCCAGCTAATTTTTTGTATTTTTGGTAGAGACGGGGTTTCATCATGTTAGCTGTGATGGTATCGATCTCCTGACCTCGTGATCCACCGCCTCGGCCTCCCAAAGAGCTGGGATTACAGGCGTGAGCCTCTGTGCCCGGCCCATAGAATGTAATATTTGAATGAATAAATGCACTTATATCAATAGCCTGACAAAGTGTTTTAAAGTATACTACAGTTACCATGACAAAGTGTTTCTCTGAAGAAACTTGTCTATGAAGAATAATGAGATTGGTAAGAAAACATAAATAAAAAGAACTACCAAGGAACATTTCCATCCAACTGATTTTAAAGAGAATAAATTGACCTGGAGTTAATTACCTAGTAGAATTAATTTCTACACAGTGATTTGGAATTTGGGAGTACAATTAGTGAAAACAGGTACTGGAATTGCTCCAGTGTTGGGAATGGACCCACATATTCATAAATGGGTACTTATTGGTACTAGAAAATTTTCTACACAATTACTCTACATTAAATATTACTCCAGGTTTTCAGGACATGGAAGTAGCTTCTTTTTAAAAAATCCTTTTCATGTTACTTCTCCACCTAGATAGTTTCAAAAAGTGTATTATTTTTCAATTTCAAAATTTTATTCATTGAAACATAAACTTGGTCAGTTCTATTCAAGACATCAATATAAAGAGAAATCACTGAATTGTAGAAAGGTTTGTATAAATTAAATTGTAAAAGTGTGAGCTAAAAATATGCATTATTAATACAGAAAGCTTCTTAGTAATAATACCAAATATGTGCTCCTTATAATCACATGGATCAAAATTGTATACTCTTTAGTTAAGGGATGTAATGGGGAAAAATAGAAGATTGGAATTGTTTTAATTGCATCTGTGTTCTGAGGAATGGAGCAGCAGCAGCAGAAGAAAAGGTGTTCTTTTACTTAAAACAACAAATTCTATTTTCTAATGCAAGGTGAGTGTATCTTTACCCCTTATTCTAGTGTTTATAGAAGATAGAGCCAGACAAATATTTCTCTCTAAGTGATAGTGACATTATTCCTTCACAGACACTACAGTTGAAAGAATTGGAGGTCCTAGGTCAGAGACAAAGACAGATTGGAATAGAAGTTGGGACCGAAAGTAAATAAGATCTTCCAAAACATGGAGCAAGGGGGACCTAAAAAAGCAGACATCCAGAGAGCAAAGCTCTGTGGTAGGGATTGCTAAGGAATTTTAAGAAGTCAAATATTCATTAGGCAATGTTTTCCTTTTTATCCTGCAGTATAATCCTCCTTTATTATTCCCAGTTCTTTATGAAAATCCCACTAACTGCATTCCCCACTTGTTAGTGGTACTTTAGAGAATAAAAGAAAATAGGCTTGGTTCACTGGCAAGAGGACAAGAAATAGTCTTTAAGTGGAGAAGAAGCTGTTTCGTACAGTAGAAATTGGTAAGGACAGTGGCCACAGGGACTCAACTGTGAGAGGAGGTTAAAAATTTATCAGGAGCAGTATTTTAAACAAAAATCCTCAAAAATAATAGAATCCTTCTCCCATAGAAAATAATTTTCAGAAATACAATGGAGAGTGTCAGAATTTCTTCAGAAAGTAGAAAGAATTTTAAAATTTAACTTATGCAGGTTGGGCACGGTGGCTCACGCCTGTAATCCCAGCACTTTGGGAGGCCGAGGTGGGTGGATTACCTGAGGTCAGGAGTTCGAGACCAGCCTGGCCAATATGGTGAAACCCTGTCTCTACTAAAAATACAAAAGTTAGCCGGATGTGGTGGCACACGCCTGTAGTCCCAGCTACTCGGGAGGCTGAGGCAGGAGGATGGCATGAACCCGGGAGGTGGAGGTTGCAGTGAGCTGAGATTGTGCCACTGCACTCCAGCCTGGGCGACAGAGACAGACTCCATCTCAAAAAAAAAATTAACTTATGTATTAATACAAAAACCAATATCAGAAATGCCAGAGACCTGGATGAACTGATATCTATAAAAGTGATAAAATGAATCAATGTACTTCAGTAAGTTGGGTACATATTTAGACTTATAAATTATCAGCATCTATACCCAGGTATTGCTTGAAAAATGTTACCAATTAATAATTAGCTTAATTTTTACAGCATGTTTGAAAATTTGATATGCCATATCATTTTTATGCAACATACTTCAATAATACATGTCAGTAAATTTATTTAAGATATAAATATTCATTGTAAAGTAGGTAAATGTATGTACTTGCAAAGATACCCAAACACATCAATTAAAATAATGGGATTAGAATTGGATAATAAGTGCATATATATGTATTTGACCTCTAGAGGTTCCTGTACTTCAAAATTCATCACTATATGACAATTGAGTATCATAGCATCTTCTGCTTGAATCCATTTATAAGTTTTTGTTTAAGAAATGAGAGAAAATTAATAATTGTTATGAATATAAACAGATACAGTAAAAATGGCATTTCATTTTCTCTAGATATTCGTGATTCTCTGAATTTGAATAATGTATTTTTTAGATTATAGTCTTCTAAAGAAGAGAAATATTGAAAGAATTAGCTATTTACTTGCACTGAGGGGAGTCATTATGTGCATTTTCTACTATGGTTTTCTTAGTCCACCACTCCTCAAGTTATGATGGTTGACTCAGAAGGGTTGCTTTTATCTTTAATCATAAATCATTATGAATTTCCTTGTCTGAACTAGTCAACATCTACCATGTTGTGGTTAATTGGTACCAATCAGAGTTGAACTTCTTGTGGAAGAATCTGGAGATGTCCATATGAAAGGAAAATAGGCAATAAACTAGATTGTATTATATTGCATTTTTCCAACACTAGGCATATGTGGTTTTGAAAATTACCTATTTACTGAGTGTTTTGTGAGTGGCAGAAACATTTTCCTGCCCTGGCCAAGGGCTAACCTTAGAAAAAGATAAATGTGATGGGTATAAAATCTAAGAGAGCTGACTTAGTTTCAGGATATTGTTAAGCCCGTTGAGACTGGTGCTCCACAACAGTAATTAAGCATAATTATGATGCAGGTCAAGGTAAGACATTTCCGAAATTTTCTAGGACATGTTTTTGAAGGCTTGGGATATTCTGCTTAGCTCATATTTGTGTATTTTTTTTTTAGTTAAAAATGATAACAAGATGATTTTTGCTCTGTTTACAAACATTTGCATGAACACTGAAAAATTCATCCAAATCGTTAAAAATATTCAATGCCTACTAAGAGTCATGGAACCCTATTATATGATGGTGAATCGAGAAAGAACTATACAAAATTATGCTTTCAAGAAACTTATAATTACATTGGCTAGAGGCTTATCAGTTCTATAAATAATATTTACAAAACAATGCAATTCTAACCTTCATAGAGATTTGTATGGCTTGTTAAGAGAACCATAGTCTAAGACAATGGGCTTCAACGGGGGGGCACACTCTGGGATGCAGAGACTTTTGTAGGGTTATAAAGTTAGTTTTAAGGAAATAACTTCCAGATCCTCCTTGTTCCTTTGTTTTCTTCGCTAACATTTTCTTGAGGAAATGCCAGGTTGAGGAGTTAGACAGGTTCTCTTTCCAGCCTTCACTTTCAAAGATCCCTTCTCCTCCTTCACAAAAGAAAGGCATAATTACCATCTCTCCTGATCTTACTGTAACATATTATCCACATTGTGAAAACCAGTGGTACACCAAAGAAAGGGACAACTCAAAATGCTAGTGGTGTGCTGCTCATCATTAAAGATGACATGATGGAAGAGAAAATATATATTTTTAGATTCTAGCAGTGTGTCTTTCTAGATCTATCTAGATTGGCTACTATTATTAAATAATGGGCACTTTTAGAGAAAGGTATCAGATCATGGCAAAAATAAAAGTTTAATTAAAAAGTAATCACATTGTCCCATAAAAGCTAAATATTATATTATGATAAATAGAAATAAAAAGATTTATTCTGTTATGCAATTCCACTACATATAAACATTACCACATTTCTAAAAATTCACGTAAATCCGCCAGTTCCACAGATGTATGTCAAAAGCCTAACTGGTTTCAAACTAGTCATATTATCTTTCCATTAAGTTGAGACAATCATGGAATAAACATTTAACGAATGAAAGAGAAATTGATAAGACTGTGTCATTACCTTTAAAACCCTTTAATTTGTGGCTTTATATTACGATAGAGTAGTAATAGACTTAAATAGCAGAGACCCTTTACTCAAGATATCGATTTGAAATTTCATTGAAAAAAGAGTGAATTGTTTTAAATGGGGCTTATGACAATTACTGTCTTATAAACTGCACTGTTTGCATCAAACACAAATAAATATTTGGGTGGCATTACAAAAGATTGGGTGTACAAAATCATTATTGTGTATATGTATATTTTTTCTCAAGCTCCAATAGAATGAACATTATGGGTATATTATTTAATATACACACCATAATGTATATGAAACCATTTGCTCAGGTCTATACTTTGGAAGAGGCAAGGATTAACATTGAAAATACAAAACTAGATAACCAAAACAGTTTCTATGTGGTTTTAGAATAAATTAAATGCATTCAAATTTATGTTTACATCCCATTTGTGTTTTATTTCAAGCAAAAATAAAATTTCTAATGATCTGTTTTCTCTGATGATATACCAATGATCAGGGACATAAAGGAGCTAAGTAGAATGGTTGTAATTTTGTTTGCATCTACAAAATGTTTGTATATAATAATTATATTTATGGATCTCCATGACCTAGGAATTACTTGCGTTTGTAAAAATTAAAGAAAATTAGAAAACATATTTAATTGCCTTATTCACTCTAGTCTTTATCTATGACTTGCAATTCCTCTTTATTTTTGTAGATTTGTGGTGAAATCTCATCAGTTTCTTCAGGGCATCCTTCATGTCCTTATTTCTTAAGGTGTAAATGAGCGGGTTGAGACTTGGAGTGATGACGGTGTAAAAGAGGGTGAGGAACTTGCCCTGGTCTTTGGAAGCCCTGTTACCTGGTTGCAGGTACATGTAGATAATAGTTCCATAGAACATAGACACTACAGTAAGATGAGATCCACAGGTATTCATTGCTTTTCGCTGGCTTGCTTTTGACTTCGTTCTCAGCACAGCTTTGGCAATGTAGCCATAGGATATAAGAATAAGGATGAGAGGTGTGAGGACAATTATAATGCCTAAAGCGAAAACAGACATTTCAACTGTTGTGGTGTCTACACAAGCTATCTTGACCAGAGCTGGCAACTCACACAAGAAATGATCCAGAATGTTGTTTCCACATGTGGGCAAATTCAGAGTGAGTGTACATAATACTACAGAATTGGCCAAACTAATACTCCAGATCATGATAATCATCTTTAGACATAGATGTGGGTTCATGACTACAAAATAATGCAAGGGCTTACATATAGCTGTAAAACGATCATAGGACATAACAGCCAGGAGAAGGCACTCAACTGAGCCCAACCACATGTAAACATAGAGTTGGATGATACAACCCACATAGCTGATGGTCTTATCAGGTCCCCACAAGTTGACCAGCATCTGAGGGATGATGCTGGTTGTGAAACATAGATCTAGGAAAGATAAATTTCTGAGGAAAAAGTACATTGGTGTATGAAGCTGGGAATCCAGGAGAGATGCAAGAATGATGGCTGTGTTACCCACCAATGTAATTAAGTAGAAGATGGCGACAACTCCTGACAGGATCATCTCCATTTTTGGATGGTTAGAGAAGCCAAGCAGAATAAAACCATGTAAAGAACTATAATTGCTTTGGTCCATAGTCCTTCAATGTCTAAATCCTAGAGTGAGAAAAGGAGGAGGAGGAGGTAGATGATGATACAAGGATAAGGAGAAGGAAGAAGAAGGAAGAAGAGGTAGAGGAGGAGAAGGAGGAGGGAGAGGAAGAAGAAAAGGAAAAGAGGAAGAAACAATTTGTCAACATGAACTATCTAAATAATTTGATAAAATTAGAACTAAACAAAGAGAGATAATTTATGTTACTAATTGAAAAAATTTAATGGATAAAAGTAAAAATTACAGCCAAGAAATCTGCTATTTGTCATAGATTCTTTTATGGCAATGAGTTTAATATTAGATTTTTTAAAAAAAATCCAGGTGACCTTGGGGAGTTCACTTTTAAACTTGAGGTCTGAATTATCTAACGTGTAGATTTGAAAGTTTGAAATAGATGCTGGTTCTAAAATGACCCTATGATTCTTTATAAGCTAGTTAGCTTGATAAAATGAACATATTCTTTTATTTGATCAGTAAATTCACCTATAAAATTTAAGTACTGGGCTAATGGTAGGATGAGGAAAAGATGTGATAACCTGGAGGATGAACCTGGGGACATCATGCTAACTGAAGTAAGCTGAAAGACAAATATTGCATGATTTTATTTATATATGGAATCCAAAAAAGTTGAACTCATAGAGGTAGAGAGTGGGGGCAGGAGATGGATGGGAAAAGGGGAGATGTTGATCAAGGGTACTAAGTTTCAGTTAGAAAAAAGGAACCAGTTTTAGTGATCTCACAGAATGGTGACTACAATAAACAATAATGCATTGTTTATTTCAAAATTACTAAGAGTAGATTTTAAGTGTTTTCACCACAAAAAATAAGTATGTTAGGTGATGGGTTTGTTAATTAGCCTGATTTAATCATTACACATTATAAACATATATTAAAACATTATATTGCACCCCATAAACATATACAATTGTTGCTTAATTAAAAATAAACCTTAAAAAAGAGTGAGGAAAGATTGTTCTTCTTTTTTCATATCTTAGTGACTAAGCACCTTTGATCTCCTAGTTTGTTATGTAGGACATCTGGTGTTTACCCTTGGACGCCTTGTCTCTCTCATTCTTAACGCCTTATCACCAAAACTGGTAAATTTGGATGCAAATATATATGCTAATTATCCTATCACTTTAAAAAATCCCTACCACCACAACCCTAATTCAAATCACTATGATTTCTTTTCTGGATTCTGGCAATAGTCTTGCATCCAGTCCTTGCATCCAGTCTTATGCCTTTACATTGTTACAACATTTGATGAAATCATGTCATCCATCTCCTTAAAACTTGTCAGCCACTTTACACTACATTTAAGAAATACTATATTGTATACTTAAAATTTTGCTAGGAGGGTAGATCTTATGTTAAGTGTTCTCATCACACGCACACACATACACAACACAATAAAGAAGGTGGGAGGAAACTGTTGGAGGTGATGGATGTATATATGGGATAGATTGTGTTGATGGTTTCACAGGTATATACTCACCTTCAAACTCATCAAGTTGTATACATTAAATCTGTACTGCTTTTGTATGTCAGTCATACTTCAATAAAGTGGTCAAAAAGCTAATATAAAACATTTGGTTAAAAAATAACAGCCATTAGCCAGGTGTGGTGGCGTACTCCTATAGTCCCAGCTACTCAGGAGGCTGAGGCGGGAGGATCACTTGAGCCCAGGAGTTTGAGGTTGCGGTGAGCTATGATTGCACCACTGCACTCCACCCTGGGTGCTGGAGCAAGATCCTGTCTCAAAAACAAACAAAACCCAGATAAATATCAAACTGGTGCTTCTTCTCTCTCTTTATATAGATGTAGTACAAAAAGTTGTGCTTTTTTTGTTTGTTATGCCATTTCAAATATGTTTTTTTGAATGTTATTAAGAAATTACTTCCAACTGTGGCCATGATTCAAAAGTGGATACATTTGTGAGACTAACCGGAGATGGTGGTTGAAATAGCCGTTTTGAGAAAATCATTTTGTGATTTCTTTAGCATTAGCTTTTCAAAAATTATGATTTGATTCTGAGTTTTGCCATTAATCAAATTGGATAGAAAGAAAAATAATTCTCTGAAAGATATTTCAAGCTGTCACACCCCATTAAAGTTCCATAATGTCTGAGCAGGGGCATCAATAATTAATGCTTATTTATTTTAACAGACTCGTTGATGTGTATAATTGTGCCTAACTTCTGAATAAAATAGGGCTTCAGTTAAAATTATATAAAAACCTGAAAATTCTTTTAAAATTAAGATCAATATTATGCTGTTAATTTCTTAACTATTTCATTATTACTACAGTCCATAAAGATTAACTCAGGAAAGAATAAAAATCCTCCTTCTGCCTATTAAAAAGTGACATAGAAAAATCTTCAAATAAATTTTCATGCACAGTATGAGATTTAGAAATGGATACATAAAATCTGAGTCCTTTATGGCTCCACAACCTTCAAGAATAAAATATTTTGCTGACAAGTTTCACAAATGGCATTAAAAAACAAAACAAAACAAAATTAAAAACAAGTATCTGAATTCTTCATTTTCAATTTAATCTATCTTTCTCGCTTTTGTTTCTGCTGGATCAATATTTATTCTCAGACTTCTGAAATAAAACCAGCCCATACAGATCTAAGTTCTTTTTCTTCTACTTTCTACAAATTGTTTTACCAATCCAGGCATACTGTTTCTCCAAGAGATTAAGGATGAACATTACTGTGATCCAGAGGGAGTTCCTTTGCCATTCTACTTCTCGACTTTTGTAGAATCCACACTATGGAAAATAGATCCCGGTTAAGCATTTTTTTCTCCAGGGCTGTAAATTTCTCATGATTTCCCTGCAGTGCCACGGAGAATTCTGCTTTTCCCAAAGTGTGTTAGGGTAGAGATTCTCAACAGGACTCCTCCTTCTCGAATATATGACTTCAAGTAAGAGGATGAAACCTGTCACAAATTCTTACTTCTTGTTCTGAGTTTAAATCAACCTGCAAGTAGGTCTTGACCATAGAGAAACATTAGGAAAAGCAACCGGATAATTCAGAATCAGAATTGAACAAAATTTCCCAGTATTACCTGAAGACTCAGATAATCAAAAAGATTATCTAAACCATTGGGACTGCATCCAATTAACTTTACTAGAGTACAGTGTCATAGAAAATGCCAGCCTAGAATTAGACCATACCCTAATATTTCACTAGGGCAGGTTTAGTAGATGTAAAAGTTATTTAATATGAAGGAAAACTATAGGACAAAGAAATAAGAAAATGTATTTTCATATTTTTTTGGTTGTGAATGTATTATAATATAAAATTTACTCTTAAATAATGTAGATTTCCAACACTACAATTATACTTAGCTACAGAAAAATCTTACCATTCAAAGCACAAATATTGATTGTGGAACTAAACTTGCTCTGAGCAGATATCATTTAAATGAGGTACCTCTAGTGGTTATCTCTGATACCCATGGTCAGAACAGTTGTATTTGAAAGAGATGTTTAATCCCCAAAGCTCTAAACAGTAAGACCAGAATCATAAGATTTACATTTTTTCTCAGTTGTTTTGGTGACCATGAGGGATGATTCAAATACTTCATTGTCTACGACAATTAGTTTTGTTATTGTCTCAGAGGTCACTATTTACACATTAAATTCTAGAGTAAGTATATACTATGAAAATTTTTGTGAGTTGGCTTATAATCATAGGTTTTAACAGCTTCCTTAAATTAAAATTACATATCAGTAATAATTGGTTTTAATAAAATACATAAGCACGAATTGGCTGCCTCATGATACATGTTCAAATGTGGATGACATTACTGATCAATAAAATAATTTTAACTATCTGCTTCTGTACGATAATCAATATATTTTACACTTGAGATATAGTATAGTGTAATGGTTAGATGGATAGATTGTGGAGCCAGACTTTCTGGGCTGAAATCCTGGTGGCTACAGTTACCAGATGTGTGAACTTGGGAAAATTACTTAACCTTCATTGCCTCCGATTTCTTATCTATAATAGGGGATATTATAATACATAATTTAAAGGGCGAATGTAAGGATTCAATAAGTTTAACATATGTAAATACTACAGTACTGGTTGGCACACAGCATCCAAATAAGTATTAACTATTACAATTTCAATCAGTTCAGGGTGTCTGTGTGCTGCAGAAATATTTGGGGAAAGTTTATGCTGATATTTGATAAAACATCTGGAAAATACTCTCCTTATAAGCACTTCCTTTAGGATTTTATATATAATACACACATATATGAAATATATATACTATATACATAGTATATACATATGTATGTGTATGTATTCTTTATAAATGCTATAATAATGATGATAAAAAGAAACATAACATCTACTAATGGTACATTTTTGTCTATCAAGATTCTAAACATCTGAATACTTGAAACTGTTCACTTTGACTGGAGATCTCAGTTTCACTTATGTATTTTTCTCTTCCCCTTTAGTCAAATTTTCTACAGTTCTCCTTTTTCTTTTAAAAACCACTTTAAAGTTATAATTGAATTTCACAATTTCAATTCAACCATAGCAAATATTCAATTTTCATTTGAAAAACAAAAATGTATATAAATTGTCATGCCCACCCATGTTTCTGGTTTAAATACATTCCTACACAGTGACTTTTCTAGTCCCTTGCTCCTTATTCTGTGATTAAAATCCATGGGTTTGTTACTCTGGAGAAATTATAGAGAAATCCTTTGGATTTTTGAATTAATTTTTAAAAAGGTTTTCATTTGTTATCAAAAAATGGATATACCCAGCTTGTAAAGCAGATGCCCTTGCCTTAAACTTTAATATAAGACCTTTCCATACCCCTTTGAATAAATCAAGACATGTTTTCCTGTTTCCTTTTTATTTAACAATTTTTTCCCTTGCTTACTTTAGCCCTTAACTTATGGAAACCATTTAAAGTGAAGTTATTAGCAGTGCTTCCACAACTGGCCGCATATCAGAGTAACTGTATTGGCTGGCATATGTAGAAATTTTAGAAATACAGTGTCCTGAGATTCCTATGCCCTTGCCAAAGGCTCAATTCTTTTCTGTTTATACTGTGTCCCTAGATAGAATCTTAGAGTTTTAAGGATTTGAATCCCATCTACATATTGATGGCTTTCAAGTGTCTATTTCCAGTCTTCTACATTGAGCATGGAATAGGTAGTTCCAACTGCCTAATTTCATGCACAAAATTATGAGTCTAAACATAGCTAAAATAGATCTCTTGATTGCACTGAATCTGCTCTCATTCCAGTCTTCCTCATTGTAGTAAATGATATAAACATGTACCTATTTCTGGCCAGAAACCAGTAATTAAGGAGTTATCCTTAATTACTAGCCTGCCCTCATCTTGAAAATCTGAATGATTCCAAGCTCGACTTCTCTCCATTTCCAGAATGACTAACAAACTGGGCCACCCTATTTTTCCTGGATTACCCAATGGATTACTATCTTGTTTCTCTGCTTTAATTCATTCCCCTTTCAATCTATTCTCCATATGGCGGCCAAAAGCGTTCTTTAAAAAAACCACACGTTGGCTGGGCGCGGTGGCTCACGCCTGTAATCCCAGCACTTTGGGAGGCCGAGGCGGGCAGATCACCTGAGGTCAGGAGTTCGAGACCAGCCTGATAAACATGGAGAAACCCCGTCTAACAATACAAAATCAACAATACAACAATACAAAATTAGCCGGGTATGGTGGCGCATGCCTGGAATCCCAGCTACTCTGGAGGCTGAGACAGGAGAATCGCTTGAACCCGGGAGACAGAGGTTGCTGTGAGCCGAGATCGCACCATTGCACTCCAGCCTGGGCGACAGAGCGAGACTGTGTCTCGAAAAAACAAAAAACAAAACCCAAGAAAACCAAAACCACAAATCAAGTATTTCCATTTGCCAATTTGAAATCTTTTTAGACTTCCTATGCACTTAACTATAAAATTCAGACTCCTTACCAAGAACTACCAGATGCACCTTGCCTGGCTCCTTTTCATCCCTCCCTCCTTCTCCCATTCGTCTCATGCCTTTGTCATTCCAGGGTTGCAGGTGTTAAAGTGTCTTTGCATTGAATTTCATTGGCCTGGCAGATTCTGTCCCCAAATTGAACTCCTTGTTTGTAATCGTTTTTCAGATATAATCTATTCAACGAGATCTTCCTTGACTACTTAATCTAAATTAAAATCCCTCCTCCCCAGCTAATCTCTATCACATTTCCATGTGTTTTTCGTAGCACTTATCACTCTAAATTTTGTTTTTTTAAATGTATCTCCCCACAATTAAAACCTAAGATCCAAACGAATATGGATCTGATCCCCCTTTTTTGCCACGTAACTGAATGAATCAATTCAACAAATTTGATTAGCAATAGAAATATAGCAAACAACTAAATAGACAAAACAGTAAAGTCCCTGACTTAATGGAGCTTACTTTTATTTGTGAAAACAAGCTCATCAGCCAAATTATATATAGTGTTTTATTTGTTCATTGCTTTTTTTTTCTTTCTTTTTTTATATAACATCCCACCAAATAGAAACATTCTCTCTTTAGGAATAGTGTTCCGTGTAGATGTTGATTTCTTACTATGCAATTTTACGGACATTGTCTTCCAATATTTCCGTAGACTAATTGGTCAGGACCTGATAGCCCTGTGATAATGCTGCACTCAGCATTCCTTGATGATGCTATATTAGCTTCCAGTGGCTGTTTGGTGCCTGGAAGGGAGTCTAGCATGTAACAGGGATCAATAATTGTTTGTTGACTATAAAGCAGTTAGAACAATATCTGATGTGTATATTAAATATCCCATTCAGTCAAGGTTATCTAGGGTGATATATTCAAGAAATATAATGCTAACTCATTTATGTGGTGATGGAGATCCGTGTTTAATGATATTGATCATCAAATAGCCTGGATAAAGAGTATGTTCCCAGAAGAAAGAGATTTCTGAGACTGCTTTTATGTTATCCTTTACATTTCTATTTTTTGACTCTTTTTTTTTTGGCTTTTGGCTTTTGGGTCTCACTCTGTCACCCAGGCTGAAGTATAGTGGTGTGATCATGGCTCATTTTGGCCTCAAACTCTTGGGCTCAAGCAATCCTCCCATTTCAGTCTTTCCAGTCACTGGGATTAATGGTGTGTGCCACAAAACTTGGCTCTGTTTGATTTTTTTTTTTTTGGTGGACCATATATTTTACCAAAATATCTGAAATATTGTAAATGATATTTTTTGAAATATCGGAAAATATTTTTGGTATATTTTGGGGAAAAATACAAAACCAAAACAATCTACCTATTTACCTTCTCGTGAACTTATGAAATCAAATATTTTAAGCCTTATTTTCCCCAAACCGTATATGATTCTCTCAATAGTTGCAGAAAAATCTTCTGATAAAATCCAACACCTCTTCATGTTAAAACCCTCAATAAACTAGGTATCCAAAGAACATACTTCAAAATAATAAAAGCCATTTATTTCAGTCCCACAGCCAACATCATACCAAATAGGTAAAAGCTGGAAGCATTCCCTTTAAGAACTGGAATAAGACAAGAATTCTGACACTACTCTTATTCAACGTAGTACTGAAAATCCTAGCCAAATAAATCAGGCAAGAGAGAGAAATAAAAAGCATCCAGATAGGAAAAGAGGAGTCAAATTATGCTATGATTCTATGACTAGAAAACCCCAAAGACTCTGCCAAAAGGCTTCTAGACCTGATAAAACAACTTGTCAAGTTTGAAGATACAAAATCAATGTAAAAAATCAATAGCATTTCTATACACCAATAATGTTCAAGCTGAGAGCCAAATCAAGAATGTAATTCCCTTTAAAATACACACACACACACACACACACACACACACAAAATCTAGGAATACTTCTAACCAAGGAAGTGAAAGATTTCCACAAAAAGAACTACAAAGCACTGCTGAAAGAAATCATAGATGACACAAACAAATGGAAAAACCTTCCATGCTTATGGATTGGAAGAATCAACAACATAAACAAAATGTCTAAATTTTACCGCCTAAAGCAATCTACAGATTCAACACTATTCCTATTAAATTACCAACGTCATTTTACACAGAACTAGAAAAAATGATTCTAAAATTACACGGAACCAAAAAAGAGCCCAAATAGCCATAACAATCCTAAGCAAAAAGAGCAAAACTGGAAGCATCACATTACTGGACTTCAAACTATGCTACAAGTCTACAGTAATCAAAACAGCAAGGTACTGGCACAAAAATAGGCACCTAGACCAATGGAACAGAATAAAGAACCCAGAAATAAAGCAGCATACCTACAACCAACTGATCTTGAACAAAGTCGACAAAAATAAGTAATGCAGAAAGGACTCCCTATTCCATAAATGGTCCTAGGAAAACTGGCTAACTATATTCAGAAGGATGAAACTTAACCCTTACCAAGCACCATATACAAAAATTAATTCAAGAAAGATTAAAGACTTAAATGTAAAGCCCCAAACTATAAAAATCCTGGGGAAAAAACTCAGAAATACCCTTTTGGACATTGGCCTTGGCAAAGAACTTATGACCAAGTCCTCAAAAGCAATTGCAACACACAAAAAATTGACAAATGGGACTTAATTAAACCAAAGAGCTTCTGCACAGCAAAAGTACCTATCAACAGAATAAACAGACATCTTACAGAATGGGAGAAAATATTTGCAAACTATGCATCTGACAAAGGACTAATATCCAGAATCTATAAGGAACCTAAACAAATCAACAAGAGAAAAACAAATAACCCCATTAAAGAATGGGCAAAGAACATGAATGGACAATTCTCAAAAGAAGACATAAAAGCAGCTAACAAACATATAAAAAATGCTCGAACACTAATCATTAGAGAAATGCCACTCAAAACCACAATGAGATACCATCTTGCACTAGTCTGAATGGCTATTACTAAAAAGTAAAATAATGACAGATATTGATGAGGCTGCAGAGAAAATGGAACACTTTTATACTGCTGGTGGGAATGTAGATTAGTTCAGCCACTATGGAAAGTAGTTTGGGAATTTCTCAAAGAACTGAAAATAGAATTACCATTCAACCTAGCAATTCCATCACTGGGTATGTGCCTCCCACCCAAATAAATTGTTCTACCCAAAAGACACATGCATTCACATGTTCATTGCAGCACTATTCACAATTGCAAAGACATGGAATCAAGCTAGGTGCCCATTAATGGTGGATTGGATAAAGAAAATGTGGTACATATACAACATGGAATGCTACACAGCCATAAAAGAGAACGAAATAATGTCCTTTGAAGCAATATGGATGCAGCTGGAGGCCATTATCCTTAGCAAATTAATGCAGAAATAGAAAACCGAACACCACATCTTCTCACTTGATTTAAAATTTAAGGAGATAAATCCTGGGTACATACAGACATAAAGATGGAAACAGTAGACACTAGGGATTCCAAAAGGAAGGAGAGGAGGAGAGGAGCAAGGACTGAAAATTTTCCTATTGTATACTATATTCACTGTCTGGGTGACAGGATTAATATAAGCCCAAACCTCAGCATCACACAATATACCCTTGTAATAAACCTGCCCATGTATCCCCCTGAATCTAAACTAAAAATAGAAATTTAAAAAACCCCTTTTTCATAGTAATCATAAAATATACACTTATGCAATTTATGAAAATAATATAGTTTTACCTCTGTTCTTTTCACTGCAGCTTTGTGAAGGTATAATTAACAAGTAAAAATTGCATACACTTACTATGTGTATGATGTTTTGACATATGTATATATTGTGAAGTGATTACCACAAACCAGCTAATTAACCTATCCATCAGCTGACATATTTTTTCTTGTTTTGTGGTGAGAATATTTAAGATCTACTCTCTTAACAAATTTCAAATATTAAATACTGTATTGTTAACTATATTCACCATGCTGCATATTAAATCCCCAGAACTTGTTCGCCTTATAACTGAAAGCTTGTACCTTCTGACCAACATCTCCCTATTTTCCCCTCCCCCAGCTTTTGGAAACCACCATTCTAATTCTATTCTCTGTTTCTGTGAATTCAGCTTTTTAAGATTTCATGTATAAGTGAGTTCATATCGTATTTGTCTTTCTCTGATTCATGTATTTTACTAAGCATAATGCCAACAAGGTTGATCCATGTTGTTGCAAGTGGCAGAATTTCCTTCTTTTTGATGGATGCTTGGTTTGTTTCCAAGTGTTGGCTAATGTGAATGATGCTACATTGAACACAAGAGTGCATATATCTCTTTGACATACTATTTTCGTTTCCTTTGGGTATATACCCAGCAGTGGGATTGCTGGATAAGATGGTAGCTCTAGTTTTGATTTTTGAGGAACCTCCATACTGTTTTCTAAAATGGCTGTTCCAATTTACATTCCCACCAGTAGTGCATAAGGATTCCCTTTCTTTCTGAATCCTTGCCAATACTTGTTATCTCGTCTCGATAATAGCCATCCTAACATGTTGGCTGATCTCATTGGGGTTTTAATTTTCATTTCTCTCATGAATAGTGCTGTTGAGCATTATCATTATTTCACGTATCTGTTGGCCATATGTATGTCTTCTATTGAGAAATGTCAGCTCAGGTCCTTTGGCCGTTTAAAAATCAATTTATTGTATTATTTTTGCTATGGAGTTGTTTGAATTCCTTGTATTTTTTGGATATTAACTCCTTATCAGATTTGTGAGTTACGTAAGATAATGGTTCAATTTTATTATTTTGCATATAGATACTAAGTTTTCCCAGCACCATTTATTGAATCAAGTATCCTTTCTCCTGTATATTCTTGACACATTTGTCAAATATTAGTTAGTTGACCATATATGTGAGGATTTATTTTTGGGGACTTGATTCTGTTCCATTGGTTTGTGTGTCTGCTTTTATGCCAGTATCATACAGTTTTGATTCTTATGGTTCTGTAATATGGTTTCAAGTCAGGAAATGTGATGCCTCAGCTTTTCTGTTGTTGTTGTTCAAGTTGTTTTGGCTATTTATGTTTTTTTGTGGTTCCATACATATTTTAGAATTTTTCCTCCAATGCTGTGAAAAATATCATTAGAGTTTTGATAAGAATTGCATTGAATCTGTCAATTACTTTGGGTATTATGGACATTTTAGTAGTATTAATTCTTCTATTCCATGAGCATGAAATATTTTAAACATTTATTTGTATTTTCTTCAATTTATTTCATCAATATTTTATAGTTTTAAGTGTAAAGATTAATCACTTCCAGGGTTAAATTTATTTCTAAATATTTTATTCATTTTGATGATACTGTAAATGGCATTTGTTTTTCCAGATAATTCAGTGTTACTGTACAGAAACACAATTATTTTATGGCACATGTATACATATGTAACTAACCTGCACAATGTGCACATGTACCCTAAAACTTAAAGTATAATAAAAAAAAAAGAAACAATTATTTTTTCCATTGACAAATAAAAATTGTATTTCTTTACAGTATACAATCATGGTGTTTTGATATATGAATACATTGTGGAATGGCTAAGTTAAGCTATTTAACATATTTATTACCTCCTTTTTTGTGATGAGAATATTTAAAATATAATATTTTGGCAATTTTTAAGAATACAATATATTGTTATTAAGTATGGCCATCATGATGTACAATAGATCACTTGAATTTATTCCTCCTAACTGAAATTTTGTATCCTTTCACTAAGATCTGTCTGTATTCCCCACCCCCCAGCCTCTGGTAAGCACCATCTTACTCCGTTTCTGTCAGTTTAACTGTTTTAGATTCCATTTGTTTCTCTGTGTCTCACTTATTTCACTTAATGTCCTCCAGGAAATACATGTTATAATTAATGGCAAGCTTTCTTTCTTTTTTAAAATTACTGAATAGTATTCTATAGTGTATATAAACCACATCTTCTTTATCCATTTTTTGTTGATGGACACTTAGGTTGATTTTTGCTATTGTGTATATTTTTGCTATTGTGTATATTTTTGCTATTGTGTATAATGCTGCAATGAACATGGGAGTGAGATATCTTTTCAAATAAGGCTTTCTTTGGGTATATATCCAGAACTGGGATTCCTGGATCATATGATATTTCTATTTTTAATTTTTTGAGGAACCCCCTTACTATTTTCCATAAAGGCTATACTAATTTATATTTCCACCAATAGAGTGCAAGGGTTTTCTTTCTCTGCATCCTCTCCAACATTATCTTTTATTTTTTTTGATAATAGCCATTCTAACATGTGTGAGGTGATCTCACTGTGGTTTTAATTTGCATTTTTCTAATGATTGGTGATGTTGAGCATTTTTTATATACCTGGCCATGTCTTTGAGAAATGTCTATTCAATCATTTGTCCAATTTTTCATTGGGCTGTTAGTTTTCTTACTACTGAGTTGTTTGAGTTCCTTATTTATTTTGCATATTAAACACATCAGATGTATGGTTTGCAAATATTTTCTACTAATATTTCTTTGGGTTGTCTATTCACTCTGTTGATTGTTTCCTTTTCTGTGCAGAAGCTTTTTAGTTTGATGTAATTCTATTTGTCTATCTTTATTTTTGTTGCGTGTGCTTTGAGGATCACCTAAAAAAACCATTGCTCAGGCCAATGTCATGGAGGTTTTCCCCTATGTTTTCTTCTTGTAGTTTTAAAGTTTATGGCATTATGTCTAACCTTTTAGTTAATTTTGAGTTGAGTTTCGTAGGTGGTGTGAGATGAGGGTCTAATTTCATTCTTCTGCAGGTGGACATCCAGTTTTCCAAACACCATTCATTAAAGAGACTGTTCTTTTCTCATTATGTGTTTTTGGCACTTTTGTTGAAAATCAGTTGGCTGTAAATACTTGGATTTATTTCTAGGTTCCTTATTCTATTGTATTGGTCTATGTGTCTCTTTTTATGCCAGTACCATACTGTTTTTATTACCATAGCTTTGTAGTATATTTTCAAATTAAGTACTATAATGCCTTCAGCTTTGTTCTTCTTGCTCAAGATTGCTTTGTCTGTTTAGAGTCTTTTGTGATTCCACATAAATTTTAAGATTGTTTCTCTATTTCTACGAAAAATGTCATTGGAATTTTGATAAGAACTGTATTGAATTTATTGATTATTTTGGGTAGTATGAACATTTTAGCAGTTTTAGTTCTTCCAATCCATGAACAAGGAATTTTTTCATTTATCGTCTTCAATTTCTTTTACCAATGCCTTACAGATTTCACTATACATATCTTTCACCTCTTTGGTTTAATTTATGCCTGAGCATTTTCATGTTTTGAAAATAGGATTGTTTTATTGATTCTTTTAAAAATAGTTTGTTGTTAGTGTAACACTACTTTTTTAAAAAAATATAAATTAAGTTCTAGGATACACGTGCAGAACATGCAGGTTTGTTACACAGGTATAAATGTGCCTTGGTGGTTTGTTGCACTGATCAACCCATCATCTACATTAGGTGTCTCTCCTAATGCTAGCCCTCTCCTAGCCTCCCACCCACTGACAAGCCCCAGTGTGTGATGTTCTCCTCCCTGTGTCCATGTGTTCTCATTATTCAACTCCAACTTATAAGTGAGAACATGCGGTGTTTGATTTTCCGTTCCTGCGTTAGTTTGCTGAGAATGATGGTTTCCAGCTTCATCCATGTCCCTGCAAAGGACATGAACTCATCATTTTTTATGGGTGCATAGTATTCCATGGTGCTTATGTACCACATTTTCTTTATCCAGTTTATCATTGTTGGGCATTTGGGTTGGTTCCAAGTCTTTGCTATTGTGAACAGTGCTGCAATAGACAAACGTGTGCATGTGTCTTTATAGTAGCATGATTTATAATCCTTTGGGTATATACCCAGTAATGGGATAGCATGATTTATAATCCTTTAGGTATATACCCAGTAATGGGATTGCTGGGTCAAATGGTATTTCTGGTTCTAGATCCTTGAGGAATCGCCACACTGTCTTCTACAATGGTTGAACTAATTTACACTCCCACCAACATCGTAAAAGTGTTCCTATTTCTCCACATCTTCTCCAGCATCTGTTGTTTCCTGACTTTTTAATGATCACCATTCTAACTGGTGTGAGATGGTATCTCATTATGGTTTTGATTTGCATTTCTCTAATGACCAGTGATAATGAACTTTTTTTCATATGTTTGTTGGGCACATAAATGTCTTCTTTTGAGAAGTGTCTGTTTATATCCTTTGCCCACTTTTTGATAGGGTTGTTTGGTTTTTTTCTTGTAAATTTAAGATACTTGTAGATTCTGGATATTAGCCCTTTGTCAGATGGATAGATTGCAAAAATTTTCTCCCATTCTTTAGGTTGCTTGTTCATTCTGATGATAGTTTCTTTTGCTATGCAGATGTTCTTTAGTTTAATTAGATCCCATTTGTTGATTTTGGCTTTTGTTGCCTTTGCTTTTGGTGTTTTACACATGAAGTCTTTGCCCATGCCTATGTCCTGAATGGTATTTCCCAGTTTTCTTGTAGGATTTTTATGGTTTTAGGTCTTACATTTAAGTCTTTAATCCATCTTGAGATAATTTTTGTATAAGGCGTAAGGAAGGGTCCAGTTTCTGTTTTCTGCATATGGCTAGCCAGTTTTCCCAACACCATTTATTGAATAGGGAATCCTTTCCCCATTGCTTGTTTTTGTGAGGTTTGTCAAAATCAGATGGTTGCAGATGTGTGGTGTTATTTCTGAGGCCTCTCTTCTGTTCCATTGCTCTATATATTTGTTTTGGTACCAGTACCATGCTGTTTTGGTTACTGTAGCCTTGTAGTATAGTTTGAAGTCAGATAGCGTGATGCCTCCAGCTTTGTTCTTTTTGCTTAGAATTGTGTTGGCTATACAGGCTCTTTTTTGGTGCCATGTGAAATTTAAAGTAGTTTTTCTAATTCTGCGAAGAAAGTTAATGGTAGCTTGATTGGGATAGCATTGAATCTATAAATTCCTTTGGGCAGTATGGCCATTTTCACGATATTGATTCTTCCTATCCATGAACATGGAATGTTTTTCCATTTGTTTGTGTCTTCTCTCATTTCCTTGAGCAGTGGTTTGTAGTTCTCCTTGAAGAGGTCCTTCACATCCCTTGTAAATTGTACTCCTAGGTATTTTATTCTCTTTGTAGCAATTGTGAATGAGAGTTCACTCATGATTTGGCTATTTGTTTGTCTATTACTGGTGTATAAGAATGCTTGTGATTTTTGCATGTTGATTTTGTATCCTGAGAGTTTGCTGAAGTTGCTTATCAGCTTAAGGAGATTTTGGGCTGAGACGATGGGGTTTTCTAAATATGTAATCATGTCACCTGCAAACAGAGACAATTTGACATCCTTTCTTCCTATCTGAATACCCCTTATTTCTTTCTCTTGCTTGATTGTCCTGGCCAGAACTTCCAATACTATGTTGAGTAGGCGTGGTGAGAAAGGGCATCTTTGTCTTGTGCTGGTTTTCCAAGAAAATGCTTCCAGCTCTTGCCTATTCAGAATGATACTGGCTGTGGGTTTGTCATAAACAGCTCTTATTATTTTGAAATATGTTCCATCAATACCTAGTTTATTGAGTGTTTGTAGCATGAAGGGGTGTTCAATTTTATTGAAGGCCTTTTCTGCATTTATTGAGATAATCATGTGGTTTTTGTCGTTGGTTCTGTTTATCTGATGGATTACGTTTATTGATTTGTGTATGTTGAACCAGCCTTACATCCCAGGGATGAAGCTGACTAGCTCATGGTGAATAAGCTTTTTGATGTGCTGTTGAATTGTTTGCTAGTATTTTATTGAAGATTTTCACATCAATGTCCATCAGGGATATTGGCCTGAAATTTTCTTTTTTGTTGTTGTTGTGTCTCTGCCCTGTTTTGGTATCAAGATGATGCTGACTTCATAAAATGAGTTAGGGAGGAGTCCCTCTTTTTCTATAGTTTGGAATAGTTTCAGAAGGAATGATACCAGGTCATCTTAGTACCTCTGGTAGAATTTGGCTGTGAATCTGTGTGGTCCTGGAATTTTTTTGGTTGGTAAGCTGCTAATTATTGCCTCAATTTCAGAGCCTGTTATTGGTCTATTCAGAGATTCAACTTCTTCCTGGTTTAGTCTTGGGAGGGTGTATGTGTCCAGAAGTTTATCAATTTCTTCTAGATTTTCTGGTTTATTTGCGTAGTGGTGTTTATAATATTCTCTGATGGTAGTTTGTATTTCTGTGAGATCAGTGGTGATATCTCTTTATCGTTTTTTGTTGTGTCTGATTCTTCTCTCTTTTCTCCCTTTTCATAAAGCATTTCATGGATTCATTGACTTTTTGAAGGGTTTTTTGTGTCTGTATCTCCTTCAATTTTGCTCTGATTTTAGTTATTTCTTGTCTTCTGCTAGCTTTTGAATTTGTTTGCTCTTGCTTCTCTAGTTCTTCTAATTGTGATGTTAAGGTGTCAGTTTTAGATCTTTTCCTCTTTCTGATGTTGGCATTCAGTGCTATAAATTTTCCTCTAAACACTGCTCTAGCTGTGTCCCAGAGATTCTAGTACATTGTGTCTTTGTTCTCATTGGTTTCAAAGAACTTCTTTATTTCTGCCTTAATTTTGTTATTTACCCAGTAGTCATTCAGGAGCAGGTTGTTCAGTTTCCATGTAGTTGTGTAGTTTTGAGTGAGTTTCTTAATCTTGAGTTCTAATTTGATTGCACTGTGGTCTGAGAGACTGTTTTTTATGATTTCTCTTTTGCATTTGCTGAGGAGTGTCTTACTCCCAATTATGTGGCCAATTTTAGATTAAGTGTAATGTGGTTCTGAGAAGAATGCATATTCTGCTGATTAGGGGTGAAGAGTTCTGTAGATGTCTATTAGGTCTGCTTGGTCCAGAGCTGAGTTCAAGTTCTGAATATCCTTATTAATTTTCTGTCTCACTGATCTGTCTAATATTGACAGTGGGGTGTTAAAGTCTCCCACTATTATTGTGCAGGAGTCTGAGTCTCTTTGTAGGTCTCTAAGAACTTGCTTTATGAAACTGGGTGCACTTGTATTGGGTGCGTATATATTTAGGATAGTTAGCTCTTCTCGTTGCACTGATCCCTTTACCGTTATGTAATTCCCTTCTTTGTCTTTTTTGATTTAAAGTCTGTTTTATCAGAGACTAGGATTGCTACTGCTGCTTTTTTTTTTTTTTGGCTTTCTATTTGCTTGGTAAATATTCCTCCATCCCTTTATTTTGAGCCTGTGTGTGTCTTTGCACATGAGATGGGTCTCCTGAATACAGCACACTGATGGGTCTTGACTCTTTATCCAATTTATCAGTATGTGTCTTTTAATTGGAGCATTTAGCCCATTTATATTTAAGGTTAATATTGTTATGTGTGAATTTGATCATGTCATTATGATGCTAGCTGGTTATTTTGCCTGTTAGTTGATGCAGTTTCTTCATAATGTCAATAGTCTTTACAATACTGCAAAAACAGTACTGATTTTTTTATGTTGATTTATATCCTGAACTAGTTCATTAGTTTTAACAGTTTTTGGTGTAATATTTGGGGTTTCTATATATAACAATAGGTAATCAGTATACAAAGACCATTTCTTTCCTTCCTCCCTCCCTCCCTTTCTCTCTCTCTTTCTTTCTCTCTCTCTTTTGTTCATTCCGATTTGTATGCTTTTAATTTCTTTCTCTTGCCTAATTGCCATGGCTATAACTTCCAGTACTAGGTTGAATAGAAGTGGTGAGAGTGGGCATCTTTGCTTTGTTTCTGATCTGAGAGGGAAAACTTTCAAATTGATGGTCTCAGCTGTGGGGTTGTCATACATGGTCTTTATTGTGTTGTCATACATTCCTTATAACCAATTTGTTGAGACATTTCTTATGAAGAAATGTTGAATGTTTTTCAAATTCTTTTCCAATCTCAAAGTACCAGAATTCTTCCTGAGGTGTTTTTTTTTTTTTTTTTTTGGCAGGGTCTTGCTCTGTCACCCAGACTAGAGTGCAGTGGTGTGATCATGGCTCACTGCAGACTTGACCTTCTGGTCTCCGGGAATCCTGCCTCAGCCCCCTGAATAGCTGGAACTATGGAACTATGAGCATGCACCACCACACTTGGCTAATTTTTAAATTTCTGTAGGATAGGTGTCTCAATACATAGCCCAAGTTGGTCTTGAACTTCTGGGCTGAAGCAATTCTCCTGCCTTGGCTTCCCAAAGTGCTGGGATTAGAGGTATAAGCCACCATGCCTGGTCCTTTCATGAGTTTTTATGCTTGCAATTCAGATTAATAAGTGAATGACAGTGAGAATTCAATTCTCCAATGCCTACTCTCATAATCTAAAGAAAGCAAGGCAGAAGTGTTTTCCTGAAAGGAAGAATCTTTGTTTTTAGTTTTTTAAAGATTAGGTTTACTGGATGTCAGAAAAATATGTTTACATTAAGGCAACATTGAGTATTGATGATGGTATGTAAGTTCTTAGCTGTCAAGCCTCTTAAACAGTGTTCTCTGAATTTTACATATGTGAAAAGACATTAATCCTCTTAGACTTTGGGGTTGTTGTGTGAGGCCTAGGAGGAGCACACTAGCAGTGGCCAGTCTTCTTTAATCAAGAACAGCCTTATACATTCCATGTTATGTGTGCTATGATGTGAAAATATTTGGAAAACTCTCTCTTCCCCCATTGCTGCCAGACTTATGGTCTTTCTTTGTTCCCAGGTGGCTGATTTAGGTTCCAGGCAGAATGGAATTGGGTGCCCTGGAAGCCTGAGGTAGATTTGGTACTATGGAGGGTGCACTTGCTGATATGAAGTTTTATTTTATACAAATCCTGGAGAAGCTAAGTGAGGCCATGTCAGTGTTGCCAGAAGACATGAGAATCATGCCAGATCTCTGTGGCTTAACATTGGAACATAGTGGTAAGTGCAGCTATATTTGTGTTTCTTAATAGTTGAAAGCCAGGTTTATATAAATAGGAAGAAAGAGTTTGCCATAGAATTTATGCTTTAGTTGGAGAAAAATGTAAAGTTGTTGATAAATTAGGCTGATTAAAAAATAATGTGAACACTTAAATTACCTTTAATGGAGTGCAGCCTTGAGAAGAAGATACCACGTGGTCCAAGTCTATATCAAATTTGAGTTTAAAATAGATACTTTCAGAAAAGAATCAAAAGGAAGAAAGTCTTAATGTTCACATTGAGTTAAGGTGATGGCTAGCTTTGGAACTGGAGTTCAGCCAGTAGAAGATGTGTTCAGGTCCTTTTAATCCCAAAAAGTGGATGCGAAATAACCATAAATATATGTCAGAAGAGTAAAAAAAGCCAGCAAGTTAAGATAGCAACAAAATATGGCTAAAATGAGCATTGCAATGTCCAGGAAAGCATAAACTACACGCAAAAAAGCTCAAGAATGGGATGACCAACTGAGCAAACAGTGAACTGAAAAGATATGTAAATTATTGTAACAAGTGCTAAATTATAAGTAAGGTCAGAGCAAATATTGAAACACTTGATGAATATTTTCTACTGCACTTGGAGAAGTTAAATTGATGTCAGGGACTCAGGGACTTAGAATTGGGGAGAATGAAGCAATCAGAAAGTAAGTACCAGTCAATCATCAGTCAAAAGGGGCTTTGAGGAAATTGATTTATGCTTCTGTAAAGACTTTTGATGGAGGAAGAAACAAAATATAAATTAAATTATTTGAACACATTATTAAAGGCTTTATTTGTTTTTAACTGATATACGTAATTGTTTAAGATGATGTAAAAATTTTCCAAGTTCGTTTACAATTTAAAGAGTTTGTATTGTTTAGAAGTCTGTAAAGGATGTGAGAGAAACACTGGGTAATTCTTCTTCATGTATTTTTATTTTCTTTTTTATGTAAACAACATAAATTTATTGCTTACAGTTCTGGAGGCTGGGAAGTTCAAGATCAAGGTACCAGCAAATTTCATTACCTGGTAAGCATTCATTTCTTATGGATGGTGCCTTCTGTGTGTCCGGTGTAAAGGGCAAAACAGGCTCCCTTTCCTCAAGCCTCTTGTCATTAAAGCCTGTAAAAATTACAGTAAAAGTATTCAGAATGGGTTAAGCAATTTGACCGTCAGGAAATTCAATTGAAAAGTGAGGTTCAAAACCTTCCTCAGAAAGTTAAAGTTCTAAATTGTATTGAGAAAATACAATAAAGATTCACAGAATATTTATATTAGAATGAATTAATTAAATACAGAACATTTTAAAGGCAACTAAAAAGATCAGCCATGCTCATTAAGTAACAGATACCTACAGAAAATGTCTGTCTTTGTCTTGCATTTAAAAATTGATATATCATAGTTATACATAGGCCAAACTTCTTTTTTTATTTATTATACTTTAAGTTTTAGAGTACATGTGCACAACGTGCAGGTCTGTTACATATGTATACATGTGCCATGTTGGTGTGCTGCACCCAGTAACTCGTCATTTAACATTAGATATAACTCCTAACGCTATCCCTCCCCCCTCCCCCCACCCCACAACAGGCCCTGGCACGTGATGTTCCCCTTCCTGTGACCATGTGTTCTCATTGTTCAATTCCCACCTATGAGTGAGAACATGCGGTGTTTGGTTTTTTGTCCTTGTGATAGTTTGCTGAGAATGATGGTTTCCAGCTTCATCCATGTCCCTACAAAGGAAATGAACTCATCATTTTTTATGGCTGCATAGTATTCCATGGTGTATATGTGCCATATTTTCTTAATCCAGTCTATCATTGTTGGACATTTGGGTTGGTTCCAAGTCTTTGCTATTGTGAATAGTACTGCAATAAACATGCATGTGCATGTGTCTTTACAGCAGCATGATTTATAATCCTTTGGGTATATACTCAGTAATGGGATAGCTGGGTCAAATGGTATTTCTAGTTCTAGATGCCTGAGGAATCGCCACACCAACTTCCACAATGGTTGAACTAGTTTACAGTCCCACCAACAGTGTAAAAGTGTTCCTATTTCTCCACATCCTCTCCAGCACCTGTTGTTTCCTGACTTTTTTTTTTTTTTTTTTTTTTTTTTTTTTTTGAGACGGAGTCTCGCTCTGTCGCCCAGGCTGGAGTGCAGTGGCGCGATCTCGGCTCACTGCAAGCTCCGCCTCCCGGGTTCATGCCATTCTCCTGCCTCAGCCTCCCGAGTAGCTGGGACTACAGGCGCCCGCTACCACGCCCGGCTAATTTTTTGTATTTTTAGTAGAGACGGGGTCTCGATCTCCTGACCTCGTGATCCGCCCGCCTCGGCCTCCCAAAGTGCTGGGATTACAGGCGTGAGCCACCGCGCCCGGCCTGTTTCCTGACTTTTTAATGATCGTCATTCTAACTGGTGTGAAATGGTATCTCACTGTGGTTTTGATTTGCGTTTCTCTGATGGCCAGTGATGATGAGCATTTTTTCATGTGTCTTTTGGCTGCATAAATGTCTTGTTTTGAGAAGTGTCTGTTCATGTCCTTCACCCACTTTTTGATGGGGTTGTTTGTTTTTTTCTTGTAAATTTGTTTGAGTTCATTTTAGATTCTGGATATTAGCCCTTTGTCAGATGAGTAGGTTGCAAAAATTTTCTCCCATTCTGTAGGTTGCCTATTGACTCTGATGGTAGTTTCTTTTGCTGTGCAGAAGCTCTTTAGTTTAATTAGATCCCATTTGTCAATTTTGGCTTTTGTTGCCATTGCTTTTGGTGTTTTAGACATGAAGTCCTTGCCCATGCCTATGTCCTGAATGGTATTGCCTAGGTTTTGTTCTAGGGTTTTTCTGGTTTTAGGTCTAACATTGAAGTCTTTAATCCATCTTGAATTAATTTTTGTATAAGGTGTAAGGAAGGGATCCAGTTTCAGCTTTCTCCATATGGCTAGCCAGTTTTCCCAGCACCATTTATTAAATAGGGAATCCTTTCCCCATTGCTTATTTTTGTCAGATTTGTCAAAGATTAGATAGCTGTAGATATGTGGCGTTATTTCTGAGGGCTCTGTTCTGTTCCATTGGTCTATATCTCTGTTTTGGTACCAGTACCATGCTGTTTTGGTTACTGTAGCCTTGTAGTATAGTTTGAAGTCAGGTAGTGTGATGCCTCCAGCTTTGTTCTTTTGGCTTAGGATTGACTTGGCAATGTGGGCTCTTTTTTGGTTCCATATGAACTTTAAAGTACTTTTTTCCAATTCTGTGAAGAAAGTCATTGGTAGCTTGATGGGGATGGCGCTGAATCTATAAATTACCTTTGGCAGTATGGCCATTTTCACAATATTGATTCTCCCTACACATGAGCATGGAATGTTCTTCCATTTGTATCCTCTTTTATTTCATTGAGCAGTGGTCTGTAGTTCTCCTTGAAGAGGTCCTTCACATCCCTTGTAAGTTGGATTCCTAGGTATTTTATTCTCTTTGAAGCAATTGTGAATGGGAGTTCACTCATGATTTGGCTCTCTGTTTGTCTGTTATTGGTGTATAAGAATACTTGTGATTTTTGCACATTGATTTTGTATCCTGAGACTTTGCTGAAGTTGCTTATCAGCTTAAGGAGATTTTGGGCTGAGACGATGGGGTTTTCTAGATATACAATCATGTCATCTGCAAGCAGGGGCACTTTGACTTCCTCTTTTTCTAATTGAATACCCTTTATTTCTTTCTCCTGCCTGATTGCCCTGGCCAGAACTTCCAACACTATGTTGAATAGGAGTGGTGAGAGAGGGCATCCCTGTCTTGTGTACATAGGCCAAAATTCTTAAAGAAAAATTGGAAAAAATTACTTGTTCCTATCAAAGACTCACTATTTCCCATATTTAAAAAGCTTATAGTTATTGACTTATAGTTCAGTTGAACCTCAATGAGGTTCAATGAGTTAGGAAAATCCATATGAAAGACCAGAGATCAGCTAATTTTCCCCACAAGAGCCAGATGGAAAATAGTTCAGGTTTTGCAGGCCAGGAAGCAAAATTTAAATATTATGAAATAATTAAATATTAAATATTATGAAAATAAGTAAATAAAATTTAAATATTATGAAACTATAAATATTAAATATTAGGCAACAAGACAGAAAAATTCCCACATAATGTTCTATTGGCTAAAAAAAAAAAACCCTGACAATAGTGAATGCTAGAAAAAAAATGCAGAACAAGGGGAACTCTTATTTATTACTGATGAGAATGCAAAATGTTAAAATCACTTTGAGGAACCACTTGGCAGTTTCTTATAAAGCTTAAAATAAACTCAACATATGACCCAACCCCATCATTCTTCATAGAACTAGAAAAAACAATCCTAAAATTCATGTGGAACCAAAAAAGAGCCCACATAGCCAAAGCAAGACTAAGCAAAAAGAACAAATCTGGAGGCATCACATTACCTGATTTGAAACTATACTATAAGGCCATAGTCACCAAAACAGCATGGTATGGGTATAAAAGTAGGCACATAGACCCATGGAACAGAATAGAGAACCAAGAAATAAAACCAAATACTTATAACCAACTGATCTTTGACAAAGCAAACAGAAACATAAAGTGGGGAGAGGACATGCTATTCAACAGATGTTGCTGGGATAATTGGCAAGCCATATGTAGGATAATGAACCAGGATCCTCATCTCTCACCTTATACAAAAATCAACTCAAGATGGATCAAAGCTGAGTGCGGTGGCTCACGCCTGTAATCCCAGCACTTTGGGAAGCCGAGGCAGGTGGATCACGAGGTCAGGAGATCAAGACCATTCTGGCTAACATGGTGAAACCCCGTCTCTACTAAAAATACAAAAAATTAGCTGGGCATGGCAGCGGGCGCCTGTAGTCCCAGCTACTCGGGAGGCTGAGGCAGGAGAATGGCGTGAACCCAGGCAGCAGAGCTTGCAGTGAGCTGGTATTGAGCCACTGCACTCTAGCCTGGGGGACAGAGCAAGACTCTGTCTAAAAAAAAAAAAAAAAAGATGGATCAAAGACTTAAATCTAAGACCTAAGACCTGAAACTATAAAAATTCTAGAAGATAACATTGAAAAAAACCTTCTAGACATTGGCTCAGGCAAAGATTTCTGACCAAGAACCCAAAAGCAAATGCAACAAAATCCAAGATAAATAGGTGGGGTTTAATGAAACTAAAGAGCTTTGGCACAGCAAAAGAACAGTCAGCAGAGTAGATTACTCACAAAGTGGGAGAAAATTTTTCACAATCTATACAATCTGTACATCTGACAAAGGACTAATAATCCAGTATTTACAAGGAACTCAGACAAATTAGCAAGAAAAAATCAAACAATCCCATCAATAAGTGGGCTAAGGACATGAATAGACAATTCTCAAAAGAAGATATACAAATGGCCAGCAAACATATGAATAAATGCTCAACATCACTAATGATCAGAGAAATGCAAATCAAAACTGCCATGAGATACCAACCTTACTCCTGCAAGAATGACCATTATAAAAAATTTTTAAAAAATATATATTGGCATGGATGTGGTGAAAGGGAACACTTCTACACTGCCGATGGGAATGTAAACTAGTACAACCACTATGGAAAACAGTGTTGAGATTCCTTAAAGAACTAAAAGTGGAACTACCATTTGATCCAGCAATCCCCTTACTGGGTATCTACTCAGAGGAAAAGAAGTCATTATACGAAAAATATACTTGCACATGCATGTTTATAGCAGCACAATTTGCAATTGCAAAAATGTGGAACCAGTCCAAATGCCCATCAATCAACGAATAGATAAAGAAACTGTGGTATATATATATATATATATATATATATATATACACACAATGGAATACTACTCAGCCATAAAAAGGAATGAATTAATGGCATTCACAACAACCTAGATGGGATTGGAGACTATTATTCTAAATGAAGTAACTCAGGAATGGAAAACCAAATATTGTATGTTCTTGCTCATAAGAGGGAGCGAAGCAATGAGGATGCAAAGGCATAAGAATGATACAATGGACTTTGGGGACTGGGTGGGGGAAAGGGTAGGAGGGGAGGGAGGGATAAAAGACTACAAATTGAGTTCAGTGTATACTGCTCAGGTGGTGGGTGCACCAAAATCTCACAAATCACCACTAAAGAACTTATGTAACCAAATACCACCTGTTACCTAAAAACCTATGGAGATAAAAAATTTAAAAAAACATTCAGCTACAAACCTCTTTTGCTACACTCATTGTTTAGTATATGACACATTTTTGCATGATTCTGTTATATAGGTTTTAATAGTAGGTAATTAGGACAGTGGGTAATACTTATCATTCATTCATTTATTTAAAAAATACTTATTTAGAGCCCATTCTCTCAATACAGGTCAGTACTATGAAGGAGAGGTACACAGTGAAATCAGGCCTAGTCCTTACAGACATGTTGGTATGCCAGGGAGTCAACTTTCCTCCAAAAGAGTGATGTTTCCTTGTCTCCAACAATGGCAAAACTATAATATATAATATTTCTTTATCAGCGGTTTGCACATTGTGTGTTAATAGATTTTGTTCTTGTCATTCAGAAGAGCACAGTGGAAATACATGAAGGATGGGCAGATGTGTGAAGGCCTCAAATGAATGTATGTAGTTGTTAGAAAAACAAATGTTTTTCTTAAACACAAGTTGAAAGACAGGGGAGCAGAGGAAGTATAAGAAAAATTATGGATTTATAATGAGGAGAGTTGATGTTATGGATAAAGTCAACAGAACACTGCCTTCTTACATCATTATCCAACTTTCTACTTTGTCACCTCTATCTCAAAATTGACGGTCTGATAGCTAGTTTATTTTATATTTGCCCCAGGTTGTGCTCTACCTTCTTTTTCCATTTTCCTTCTGCTGAATATTCTGATTTTAAATGATGAGACGATTTAATCCTTCGGTTACCTACCAAATACATCTAATTTTCTCATTCTAGGTAGGTTGTCTTCCCATTGAAGGGTGAGTGGCTCTCAATATTAAGAGACAACATAGAAATTTCTGAAGATTTTAACTTCTCCATCTGATAACCTAGAAATAATTACTTCAGTCAAATACCTCAGAAGGAAGAAATCCCATTAAGATCGATAGGAAAGAGTCAGATATTATTTTTGAATTATTTTATTTGTAAAGGATCAGTGAATTTGTGGTTGAGAGGGTCAGTTATGGAATATGAGATATTAACCTATTTGATCTTGCTGGCAATCCATAAAAAGTTAATTTGCAAATAAAAGATTAGCCTTTAAATCACATTCATAATAACAAGAAGGTAAACTGCAGTCTATATTACTCATATATATTTTTCAAAGTAACACATAAAATGATAGGACTTGATTTTTGCTCTGAGTAAATGAGTCAGTCTATTAACATTTATTTATTGCCCACTTTTTAGATGCCTATGGATATTTCTAGATAAATACAAAGGAATATAAGGACATAGTTCTCACTACCATGCAAATTGCAGACAATCTGAGGATTAGGATTCACACTTGAAATGATATCCAACAAACCCCATTGTGTGGTACAAAAGCATATATGTAGACAGGGTGGGTAGTAAAGAATGCTAACAATTTTGGAGGAGGTTAAATCAACATGTAATTTTAGAACAGGAGATCTTCTGACCTGTATATGAAGAATGTGGAGTATAAAAATAATTACTTTTGTTCTCTTCCTGGTGATACAAAAAGACAAGAAGCCTCCTCATTGCCCCTTTTATGTCCCTGTTGCTCAAAGTGTAGATAAAAGGGTTAAGCATAGGAGTCACCAAACTGTAGAACAGGGACATGAATTTGTTTTTGTCCTGGGAGTTGGCAGAGGGCTGTACATACATGCTAATTACAGGCCCATAGAGGAGAGATACAATATGAGAACCACATGTGTTGAAGACCTCCTTCTTTCCCCCTGAGGACTGAATCCTCAGCACAGTAGCTACAATGAATCCACAGTAAGCAAAGATAATTGATTAGAGAACGAGGGACTAAAATATCCTCACAATGGAGAGCATAGATACATTGAATGTGGTGTCAAAACATGATATCTTGATCATCGCTGAGACCTCACACAGAAAGTCGTCCACCTTGTTACCGCCTAGTGGCAGCTGGACGGCAAGGGATGACTGAAGTAGAGTTGGCCAAACTGCTTAGCCATGCCATGGCCACTAGGAGGACACAGAGTTGCTGATGCATGATAGCTGGGTACCTCAAGTGTTTGCAGATGGCAATGTAAGGATCCAAAGACGTCACAGCTAAAATGATGCATTTGGTGCTCCCCTAAAATATCCCCTGGGTACCACAATAATTGAGATGTTGTCCACCAGTATGCAGAGATAAGCAACAAGCCCCATTATGAAGAGAAACATTTCCGGCTAGGGGTGGTCAAAGAAACCCCAGAGAATGAAGATCTTTCGAGCAATTGCATTGCCCAGATTCCTGTCATTGCTCTTGTTGGTGGATTTGAGGGAAAGGAAAGGCTACTTTAGTATTGAATTTTTCTGATACTCCACTTATTCAGTTAAGTAAAATAAACTGAGTTATGAAGGGGTTTTCTCTGTGATGTAACTAAACTGATGTGATTTGACACTTGTAAGCATGAAAAATTTTATCTAAAGGCCAAAATGTTACCTTTCTAGTGCCTCTAAAAGGAAGATCAACAAATCTCTGTATCTTACCCAAGAAATGCAATATAGCAAACTTTTACAGAATAATGATTAAGTAATGGGAAACATAATTAATCTTATATTAGAAAAATGAATCAGATGGAGAAATGAATAATTTTAAAGAATGCCCAAGAACTACCCATGCTAACTAACACGTGTTAATTTCTTTCATCCAAAATCTGTTGGCCCTGGTCATGTTCTGGTTCAATTTGTGAGTTGATGTAGGTGAGTTCAGAACTCACTGAGCTCCACGTGGATCAGTCTGATTTGCATAGAAACAACATAGTGCTATTCCTTACCTCTTCTTCCCAAATCCTGGAATGACGATCGCCAACATAAAACTTTTGTCATAAAAGGAAGCACACAGCTGAAAGGAAATGGTTCCTTGCAACACGTTCAGTACTTACAAGACAAGATAATTCATTGCACAGCCAAGTGATATAAGGTCATTAAAGTATCAGCAGTTATACAGTATGATGTATGTTAGTGCTTTTCACACTGTGAGTTGTAATCTATTACGCAGTTATATACTATTTTATTGATTTATTTTACTTATTCTCATCACTCATTTTATATATGTGTTTGTATGACCTGGATTCTGATGTACAATATATTCCTTACTATAGGTAATGGTAAAAAATTTGGACAATACTGGCATAGTAGAAAAGAAACAAGAATGATATTAGAAAATCTAGATTTAGTCCACTTCCCAATTACTAATACATGTACATTTTAGGTCTTGCTTAAATATTCAGAAACTTCTTTATCTATCTTGCTCCGTTGTGGAGATTAATTAGCACCATATGTGTGAACACGCTTTATTAAGTCCAATACTCAATGTTGGGTTGGTTATTTTTCATGAAATAAAGTTCCCTGTTTGATTTTAAGTCTATATCTGATAGTTAATTTTTCTTTGTATCCAAATATTAACCATGTCCTTATATTCCCATAAGAAGTCTTAGAAGGGTTGTTTTTTCTACCATTTTATTTCCCTACATTACTCAGATCCCTTGCCTTGAATCTGATGTTAATGATTTCTAGATTTTAATATCAGTACACATATGTTTTTAATCAGTGGAAATGCTCACAAATGCAAACAGTACCATAGATTATTTTTCAAAAACATGTTTCAATGTTTTAAATTATAATGATTAGTATTAGTATTAATAGGTGTCAATTTATTTATACTTTTTTTAACTGCTCCTTGCCTAGCAGGGCTATCCTATAGGCAGTGTGCCCACAGTAGCCTTTTTTAAAATAGTTTTTTTAGTATGCAAATTTTCATAAGGAGATCACAACATGCATGTGGTTGTATAAAAAGATTAAATCAATCAAGCTAAATAGATCATTTCTACTCATATGCAACAGTTGCCTAAATCAGTGTTGATATTTTTTAGGGGTACCCTCTTTTCTTGCAAAAAAGAACATTAATCTTTTTCTTCCATCAGAATTCAGTGTTAATTGGGGATAAAGATTGAATGTTCTTTCTGTATTCAGTGGTTTTATGTCATATCAGAGGTCTTTAATAGTTATTTATTTGATTGAAAGGATCCCAAATCTTTTGATTTATTGTTTATTTATTTATTTATGCTTTAACTTTTAATTAAAATGCTTAGGATACAGATTGACTTTCTTTTGTAAATGACTGTTTTACTTTTTCTGAAATAGGACATACATGCACTCTGATAAAACAGAATGAAACATCTTAATTCATGAGAATTCCTGTACAAGGCGCTGATCCTGTGTTTAGAGCTGAGCTCCTCACAGCAGCTGCCCTACGTAGAACCGACAGTTTTCTAGCTTGCAACAAAGTTACTAGGGACAAATAGGGAAAAAAAATCCGAAACTAAAAGTAAGAAAACCAACATGGAAGCAATCATACTTCTCATGTCTCTGATAAGAGAAGTATGGGGAACCTTTAACCAAAGGAAAATTTAAAAAAAATGCAAGTTAACTATCTAGTTCATTCACTGTTAGCTAGATTTGTTCAGTTAAGGCTTTAACCCCTTTCCAAACAATTTTATCTTAATCCAGCTATGCTTGCTAATAAATGAAATGCATGCACTTCCCAGAAATATACTTCACTGAGCCTCTGCATTCAGTACCTGGCAGTGAAAAAGTATGTTTCCCGAACAAGTCAGTACTGAAGACTGAGAACTCCAACTAAATAACTATACTCTCTCCCCAATAATATGTTATCCACATTTTCCCTACCCTCACATTAGAATAAAGATATCCTCCTAACTTTTCATCTCCTATCTCCTGTCTTTTCCTAGGAGATCTTATCTTTTGATCTTTTACTACAAGGGTAGAATTTAGGTTAAGATCATAAAAATCCAATTTCACATGTGACACTAAGAAAATGGAATGCTATAAAATCAATCCTCATCACCGTGGTAGGGATGCTGTTGCTTTTATCCTGAGTCTTTACTGCCAATAAGTGATGCTGCTTCCAAAGGAACAGCTCTACAGAAAGTTTTTGAGTTAGTGTTTCCCCCCAGCTTATTTCTACAATGGGGAAAGGCAATTTCATATTAAAAAAATCCACACAAACACACCTGGAAAAGCTACAGATGTTAACCTTTACTTTAAACACAGCAACGTAGATATCTAAGGAGATAAGATGTAAGACAAAGAGCTCAGGAAAAATCCAATAGAGACCAAATTCTGCAAATGGAAATTTTAAAGCCCAGTGAGTAAATTTTTCCTGCATTCAGACAAGTGCTACAATACATTTAAGTCCTCAACTCCCAGAATTAAGAGCCCTTAAGCTGTTAACTTTGTCCTGTCTTCCTATTCAGAAAAATTTTCCTCTAGAATCTGTGCAAAAGTAACTGACACACCTGCAGTATGTGACAACATAAGAGATGTTCTCAACTTTTTCATGAGGTGAAAGTTACTTTTTATAACTGAAAATGAAAAAGGAAGGTGCTATAGAGGGAAATAAAATTTCACCAAAGTATAAAAGTAAAGACTGGATGAAACCTATAACTTTATAAATAAGAATAATAACAGTAACTTACACTATAATTAACTGCTCAATAGTGAATGATCTGCTACACATTCCTTGAGAAGGAATGACCCTAGCTTACCACAGTGGAAACCTGCCGCAATTACAAGGCCAGGATTCTGCCCCTTTTCTGGTTCTCTGTTCACAAGGTAATGCCACCTTCTCCAAGGCAGTTAGAGAGACAGGTGAGCTCAGGGGAGCTTCTCTCACCAACCTGCTAACTCAGCAGGAGTGAGTTTACCCAAATGAGCTCTGGCCTCCAATGTGTATCTGTTCATAATTTTATGAAGTATCTAAATGTCATTCATTAGTTTAAAAAAGAATAGAAAACTCTGGACTAAGTAAATTTTGAACTCGAAAAGTTAGAAGGGGTATCAATTATATTAACAACACTTTCTTTAAAAATAGAATCACTTTCTTTTGAAATCAACCAGAGTGGTGAGATGTGTTTTTCTTTTCAGGTGCCCCATAATGGCACACAGCTTTACTCAGCAACCCCTGCCAGCTTCCAAGCCCCAGGATACTGACCTGCACCAGCACATGGGGCAGCATTACCTCCCCAACAGTGTGGAGAAGAGAACATTTCACCACTGGGTGATGAGAGTAGACAGTGACTCTTGGCTTCTCAATGCTAGACATGATTGGAGACCTTTCATTGTTCTATTAGAAAAGTCCATGAAGAAGCTGTGAACAGGATCAGTCCAGAGGAGAAAAACTCTTATTTTCTCTGTCCAAACATCAGTCAATACATTGGGAGAGCCAGCAGAATCCCTCGCCCTAGCCTTGCCTCTTGAGCACACTGCACATGAACACTTCAGTGGGGTGAGCGTTCAGCTCCTAAAGGGCCATGTTCCTCTTTCCTGTGGTCTGTCCAGAAAGCCCAAATATCTCAAAGAGTTTTTCTTCACTTATTGCATTGTTCTGTCTATTTTGTTACCCAATATAAGGATTGGCACATTGGATATTATTTCATCAGTCATTAAAGCATTAAGCTCAACTTTAGATTCCATGAGGCCAGAATGATCTGCAGAATCCACCAGAAAAACAATCTCATTAATTGCTTGGAGATAATTTTTTCAAACCTGACATACTTGCTTGTGTCCACCAAGATCAAGAGTTGTAAAAGTCATTCCAGCAATTAATAGCTTTTCTGATGTCGGATGTAGTGTTGGAACATGTTGACCCAATCTGTCATCTTTGAGCATGTGAAGAAGAGTGGTTTTGCCTGCGTTGTCCAAACCGAAAAATACAAGTTTTCCAAATTTCTTGTAGAGTCCTAGGAACTGGAGCACACTGCTGAAGCCATTGTAGATCCACTCAAAGAGGAAAGACATTATTCATGCTTATTATGGCCTGAAGGGCTCCTCCAGCAAAGGTGGGTGGCCCAGGCCCTCCCTCAGAGCACACCCCAAATATTTTCAAATATGAAAACCTACTTACTCTTTAGAGGTAAGGAAGGTACTTTAAAAAATTTATTTTATTTTATTTAAGTTCTGGGATACATGTGTGGGATGTGCAGGTTTGTTACATAAGTAAACGTGTGCCATGGTGGTTTGCTGCATCTATCAACCCATCACGTATGTATTAAGCCCAGCATGCATTAGCTATTTTTCCTGATGTTCTCCCTCCCCTCTCCACCCCCAGACAGGCCCCACTGTGTGTTGTTCTCCTCCCTGTATCCATGTTTTCTCATTGCTCAGCTCATCATTCCATGAGTGAAAACATGCAGGGTTTGGTTTTCTGCATAATGGTTCCTGCATAATGGCTTCCAGCTCCATCCATGTCCCTGCAAAGGACACGATCTTGTTCTAAAGGTACTTTAAAAAAAGTACTTTATAGGGTTGCCACTCACTCTATAAAGCTGTGAAACTTTGTTCTCTGTACAGATAATAGAGTTGAAATTTCTTGGTAAGGGTCATTATAGCAATTCCTTAGTGGGTATGCTTCCCTCTAACTTCCTTGCCATAATAAAATGAAATGATAAATTTTGGCACCTGTTATTTATAATGGACTCAGGTCTGAGAGAAGCCAAGGAAACTGAATCTGCCTTAACAATTTTATAAAAATTTCCTTGGATCACAAGGAGGAAATTAAGATTATTATTTTAGGTGCCAAGATCTAATTTTCTTTTATTTATAGTTTTTCTCAAGATATTATTTCTTTAGATTTCTGCTACCATAGAGCCATCATAATCCTAGTTCCACATACAGACAAAAGAAGTCTTCAATAATTTCTTCCACAATAACCCAACACAGTATAGACTTTTTACCTTCCATTGACTACATTAAAGTTCCTCATTTTATTTAAACCATAAAAACATTGTGTCAAGAAGATATTAACATACATTAATGTTATTAAAACATGATTAAAAATCATGGAATCTGGAATTTTGAAAATATGGGTCCTGAAAACTTTTGGCCATGGGCTTGTTTTTAAAGTAATTGCTTTTTTCACCCATGGTTCACAATTAGCAGCAGATCTAGCAATCTGGAATCCTTCTAGCCAAGTTCACACTGATCATCTCAGGCTTGTTCTTTGCTCCCACTTTTGTTTTCATCATTTGCTGCATTCTATAACTATATTCAGCTTCTGGTCCTTTATTTTTTAAAACAATATTTAATTGACAATAAAGATTGTATATATTCAAGGTGTGCAGTGTGATGATTTGATATACGTATACCCTTTGTTTTTATTTCTTTTCTGTCTGAATCCACTCCCACCCAATTCATTATTGACATTAATGAATACATTTGACTTATTCTCGGTAACCCTCAGCTTTATGTAGGGATACAGTATATATATATATTTTTTTTTTCCCTATTATAGCTTTAATTTTAAAACATGATCCTTTCTGATGGTATTAGTTTCCTTACATCATCCTGCTGGTGTGGAAGTGAAAAGTGAATGATAAATTCTTACTACACAGTTAATCTAGTTAATGAAACTATCATTCTCAGCAAACTAACCCAAGAACAGAAAACCAAACACTGCATGTTCTCACTCATAAGTGGGAGTTAAACAATGAGAACACATGGAACAGGGAGAGGAACATCCCACACTGGGGCCTGTCAGGGATGGAGGACTGGGGGAGGGATAGCATTAGGAGAAATACCTAATGTAGATGACAGGTTGGTGGGTGCAGCAAACCACCATGGCACATGTATACCTATGTAACAAACCTTCACATCCTGCACATGTACCCCAGAAAAACTGTAATAATAAAAAAAGGTAAAATAGCGATATAAAATAGAAATTTATGAGTATATACTGATAAAAATATAAAAAATGAATACATGAAGGGGGAAAAGGGAAAACTCTTAATGGCACATCAGTTAATAAATATAGAGGGCATACTAGGATTGGAGAATTATTAATAGATGTTAAAATTAGTGGGTGAAAGTTTAAGACATTTACATAGTTATGCTGTCTGCCACAAATTACTTATTAATTTCTCAGGAAAAAGGCATAATGAGATCTGGGGGACACCATGTTAGTCAAGTGACTAAAGTTAACAGCATCGATTTTAAGACAAACTATCCTTATACACTTTTCTGAAATGTTGCATCATTATTGGCTCCTGAATGGGAGAAAATATAAAGAACATTTTGGAGATAATTAACAAGATCTGAATATGAACTATTGATTACATAATAGTATTATATGACTGTAAAATGTCCCAGTTTTTATGATTGTACTGGCTATGTATGGAAGTTAATGTCCTTAGCAACTATACACTAAAGTGTATGTAGTAATAAAAAGGTTGGGAAAAATTTCATAGATATGAAAACTACATTTATATATTACATATGTGTAAAAGTAAGGCAAATGTAAATGAATGATGACTCTGGAAAAGGGTATTTAAAGTTCTGTATTATACTTGCAACTTTAAAAATTACATTAAAAATACATTATAAATGTAAAATGTAGTAAACTACATTAAATAAAAAGATGACAATAAAAAGAACACTTGTGGTTATGATACTTCCTGCCAGATCAAGGCCTTAGCATCTACTGTTTTGTCTACTCTGAAGAATTTACTACCTCACTTATAGATCTGAGCCTAAATGACACTTCCCTAGAAGAGCTTTCCTTGAACCTTTCCTGGTTTAAACTAATCACCCATCCATTTTATTCATGAAGCCTTGTCATTTTTACTTTATAGTACTTAGTACAACTTGTAATTACATGTTTAGTATTATTATTTGTTTTCTTTCTCCCACTAGACTATAAAGTTTGTGAGGGAAGGAATTGTGTCTGTCTTATTCACTAACAAATACTCGGCAAATAGCAAAATCTGTATGTATAGTAAGCGATTGAAAAACATTAGGCAAATTTATAACTATTTTAATATCTGTATATACTATATATCTATATATAATATCTTTGCTCTGGATGTGCACTTAGGAAGGCAGAGAAAATTTAAGTGTCTCTGATTTAGGTGGTATGTGATAATAATGTAGATACAAGTAATATAAAAATATTTTAGAACATTGATGGTGATTCAAATTTTAGAGCTCAACCCATCTTATTTTTGTTATTTAAGTTACTAATGCCCCCCAAAGTATAAATATTTATAAAATTATTTTTAAGAAGACTTTGGGAAATTATTAATGGTAAGCTTGAAGGTTGGAGTAGATATTTCTAAAATTAGTTGCCAAATTTATAAATACATTAATAAAAATTTCACTATCAATAATTTTTATTTCAAATAAAATTCAACTTTAGGTTATTATGGCTTTAAGATAGTGTCTAATGGGAAGCAAATAAACATTAATGCAAGACTTTTCAAGGTGAAATAGACTTAGAGCACCAGTTTTATGATGTTTAGACTTTTTCCTAATACTTAAGAAATTGTATGATGAAATCAGAAAATACAGAAAAATAAGAAGCCTGGAATAAAAATTTCCTGATATCCTGTCACTTACCTCACCACAGTTAGCTTGGTGAACTTATTTCTAGTGTTTTCTTACACATATAGGTATACATAAAATTAGGGTCATGTTCTAAGTGTAGAATCGTTTCTTGAGTTTTCTCCACCACTTAACAGTGAGTATTTCTCCATAATATTATTTTTTTTTAAAAAAATGGCCAATTAACATATGCTGGTAAACAAGTCCATCATAAAGGCTTAAACCAACAAATATTTCATTTTTGCTTATGTTTTGTGTTTATTGAATGTTGCTAGGGACTTGTCCATGTCATTGTGCATTAGGGATCCAAACTGATGAAGTAGACACTATCCAAAGTTCTCTAGATTGTTGTGATAGAGGGAAATAAAAGTTGCAAAACACACTCTGCCCTTAAAATGTCTTCCCAGAAGTTAAACAATCACTGTAACCACTGGGCAGTTCTTGTGAGGCGTTCCAAATGTGAGTTTGGAAATGTCCCTATATCCCACTCATTGAAAAGTAGCTCCTCCATCCATTGTTCTTCATAACCCTCGGGTTCCACTCAGTTGTTAGGTTCATTATCTGCCTTCTAAGTTATTGCAGGTGATAGTTTATGAAATGTTTCCTTATTGTATAACATGGATCACTTTATCTCCCTTCCTCCCTCCCTCCCTTCCTCCCTCCCTTCTCTTTTTCCTTCCTTCCTTCCTTCCTTCCTTCCCTTTTTCCTTCCTTCCTTCCCTTTTTTTTCTTCTTTCCCTTCCCTCCCTCCCTCTCTCTTTCTCTTTCTTTTCTTTCCTTTCTCTCTTTCTTTCTTTCTCTTTCTTTTCTTTCTTTTTTCTCCTCTTTCTTTCACCCTCCCTGTCTTTCTTTCTTCTTTCTTTCTTTTTCTTTCTTTCTCTCTTTCTTCTCTTTCTTTCTTTTTTTTGAGACAGGGTCTTCTCTGTCTGTACTCTGCAGTGGTGTGATCTTGGCTCCCTGCTGCCTTAACCTCCCAGGCTCAGGTGATCCTTCTGCCTCAGCATCCCCTAGTAGCTGGGACTACAAGTGTTTGCTCCTACACCCAATGAATTTTTGTATTTTTTTAGAGATGAGTTTTCACTACTTTGCTCAGGCTTGTCTTGAACTCCTGAGCTCAGGCAATCTGCCCACCTTGGCCTCCCAAAGTGCTGGGATTACAGGTGTGAGCCACCAAACCTGGCACCATAATTTCAATCTCTCTCATTTTTTATTAGACTTTTACTTTAGGTTCAGGGGTACATGTGCAGGTTTGTTACGTAGGTAAATCGTATTTCATAGGGTTTGTTGTATAGACTATTTCACCACCCAGGTGATAAGCATAGTATATGATAGGTAGTTTTTTAGTCCTTAAAAAACTAAACCACCCTCAAGTAGGCCTCAGAGTCTACTTTTCCCTTCTTTGTGTTCATGTGTACTCAGTGTTTAGTTCTCACTTATGAATGAGAGTGTGAGGTATTTGGTTTTCTGTGCCTACGTTACTTTGCTTAAGAAAATGGTCTTCAGCTCCATCCATGTTCCTGCAAAAGGCATCATCTAATTCTTTTTCTGTGGCTGCTTAGTATTCCATGGTGTATATGTAGCACATTTTCTTTAGCCAGTCTACCCCAGGAGAGGCCGGCAGACAAGGGAGCACTCAGATTAGACTGGTCCCATCCCACAGGTAAGATAGCCCTGCTCCGTTCAGGTCTGGCAGTTACCATAGGCTGAGACCACCTAGAGGAGCATGGTGAGCTTTGGGGGAATGGGCGTCTCTGGCCATGCTCCACTGCAGCCGTTCCTGTGTCAGACCCTCTGGGCTTTTCACAGGCTGAAGTCCTGTCCTTGCCACCTTTCCAAATAGCTCTCCCTGCCAGCTCAAGTGTCCGCGGGGTCATGGGGTCTCCTGCAGTTGGGATTCTGGAGGTCTGTGGCGAGAGTGGCCACTCCTCGTGTGTTCAACGGACCTCTTCCCCAGGAGTCACTGCGGGCCAAGAACATGGGCCAGAAACGAGTCCGGGTACTCTGCAACTCCGTGCAAAGTTCCGAGGTTTCTCACCCTCCAGCCCAGGTTCTATGTCCTCCCTCTGTCCACCCTCAATGCCTTCCCTCCGAAGATCGGCTCGGAGTATGCCAGTCTTCCTGATATCCTGGTCTGTTGTGGAAGATGTTCTTCCTGGCTGTGTCACTGACCATCTTGGCCCCTCTCAGTTTCAAGCTTTACTATCATATCCCTCATCATCTGCCATGTGATCCTTTTGCCAGTGCCTCATATTTTAATTTCCTAACATTTGTTTCAGGCTGATTGAGAACCTACCTGGAACATTGTTTTGATTGCCAGAGGGAAAGAGAACATGGCAGAGTATGTACTAGATTTTGAAGTCATCAAAAAATAACCCACATCATTTCTCTTCACATTTTATTGGCAAATCATATTAAACAGCCAGGTCTGCATTCGATAGGACAGGGATGTGCAATTTTACCATCTGCCTAGAAGGGGAGAAAAAATAAAATATTTATAAACATTCCTAATGTATTCAATTTATGAAAAATACTCTACTTTCAAAATACTCAAGGAAATAACAAATAGGAACTTGATAATGTTTCTGCTTCTAAAATTGGCATATTCATCAAAAGATGAAACTCTCAGAGTTTGCAAAAGCTCGTGAAGCAACCATTCTCATTTGCTATATACAGTGATCTATCTGGGAATGTGGAATGTTATAAAATTTCTACAGCACAATTTGACCATATCTATTAACTCTTAGATCTTCTAAGAAATTTATAATTAGAGCCAGTAATTCAGTTTTTCAGAATATAAACTGACATTTAGACACAAATTCATATTGAATTATTGGCAGTAGTAGTAACAATAATCAAAACAAGGAGTGTAAATATGCTCAACAATAGGAAAGTGGTTAAATAGATTTTAATACACTTCCTTGGTGAAATTAAATTTGCAGCTTTTTTTTTTTTTTTTTTTTTTGAGATGGAGTCTCGCTCTGTCGCCCAGGCTGGAGTGCAGTGGCGCAATCTCGGCTCACTGCAAACTCCGCCTCCTGGGTTCACGCCATTCTCCTGCCTCAGCCTCCCGAGTAGCTGGGACTACAGGCGCCTGCCACCATGCCCGGCTATTTTTTTGTATTTTTAGTAGAGACGGGGTTTCACCGTGTTATCCAGGATGATCTCGATCTCCTGACCTCGTGATCCACCCGCCTCGGCCTCCCAAAGTGCTGGGATTACAGGTGTGAGCCACCATGCCCGGCCCAATTTGCAGCTATTTCAATTATGTTTTAAATACCAGAAAACATAGGAATATTTTCTGATATAATGCACACGAAAAAACGCAAACTCCGCTGGTAGTGAGTTGGGAGAAGTGCATAAAGGTAGATTGGGTAACAACAGAGATCCAGGTAAAAGGTGGATCCCTTTGTGTTCTTTCATTTTTTGTGTTTTCTGAAGATATGATCGATATAGGAAAAATGATTCCCATTAACATTTCTATAATTAGCTCTATAATTAAGGGGTCATTCCACATGCCTGAGGTAGAACTTGGGACAAATATGGAATTTGACAAAAGGGAAAAACAAGGAGAAATGCTATCCAGGGGAATAAAGAGATGAATTGAAATAGAATTTGAAATAAAACTCAACAGACATTTCTTCAGTCTCTTCTTTTTCCACTTATTTGAAATGTCATCTAAATATTATTATAGTTATATATAATATAATTGTAATTGTATATAAGATAATTATAATTATATAATATAATTATATATAATATAATAATATATAATATAATTATATATAATATAATAATATATAATATAATTATATATAATATAATAATATATAATATAATTATATATAATATAATTATATATAATATATCATTATCATAATTATATGTGATATAGAACTATATATAATATATAATTATATTACATCGTCAACCTCATCTTGCCTGGTTTTGTATTGTTTAACTGCTAAATTACTTGTAATGATGAAATGCTTTGTTTTGTAAAGCTTTCTCTGTTGCCTGAAATGTTGCCTCATCTGTGTCCTTACATTACTAACTGTAAACCATCATTTAAATGTCTCAGTTTAAGAATCATTGCCTTCTGGAACTAGCACATTTCTTCAGCAGAGGAACTGTGATATTTCTCCTCTGGACTACTGCTGTCTTGTGAACAATAAATGTTTATTGAATGACTACCACAGATAAAGAGTAAGCTAATTCAGGTCAATATGAGAAAAAAGGATTCCCATTAACATTTCTATAATTAGCTCTATAATTTAGAAAAGATGCCACATACCTGAGGTAGAACTTGGGACAAATAAGGAATTTAACAAAAGGGAAGAAAGGATAAATGCTATCCGGAGGAATAAAGAGATGAATTGAAAATAGAATTTGAAATAAAACTCAACTGACATTTAAGGTTTCCAGATTGAGATGCACACACTTAGCTGGTTTAAAACCAGCTAGATTGGTTGGGTGCAGTGGCTCATGCCTGTAATCCCAGCAATTTAGGAGGCTGAGATGGGTGGAGCACCTGAGGTCAGGAGTTCGAGACCAGCCTGGCCAACACAAAGAAACCCCGTTTCTACTAAAAATACAAAAAATTAGCTGGGCATGGTGGCGGGCATCCGTAATCCCAGCTACTTGGAAGGCTGAAGCAGGAGAATCACTTGAACCCAGGAGGTGGAGGTTGCAGTGAGCTGAGATCGTGCCATTGCATTCCAGCCTGGGCAACAAGAGTAAAATTCATTCTCAAACAAAACAAAAACAAAGCCAGCTAGATTGAAGCCAAATTACATACCAAAAACAGTTCTGAAAAGGTGCATATGATGAATTTTATCAAGAGATCAGAGGGTTCAAAGTGTTTGAAGACTTTGATTCTGATGGAATAATTTTTGGCTTGGAATAACTGGTAATTTAATTATAAGGATATTAAAATCCCTAACTAAAGGCGTAGACAGGATGGTTATAGAATAATAGTATACAAGTGGAAGGCAATCCATCAAAGTCTCCTGACTACCCTGAAGTTGATAGGAAATTGACATGACTTGTCTCAAGGAACAGAGTACATTGGGGGAACTTCTGAAAAGAAAGGAGTTTCTAACTTTGAAGACATGTCATATGGGTTCAGCATTGCTTCCTAAACAGAAGAAGACTTTTCTTTCTTTCCTTTTTTTTTTTTTTTTTTTTTTTTTTTCCTGAGACAGATTCCTACTCTGTCACCCACGCTGGAGTGAGTGGCGCGATCTGGGCTAACTGCAACTTCTGACTCCTGGGTTCAAGCGATTCTCTTGCCCCAGCCTCCTGAGTATCTGGGATTACAGGCGTGTACCACCATGCCCTGCTAATTTTTTTGTACTTTTAGTAGAGATGGGGTTTCGCCATGTTGGCCAGGCTGGTCTCGAACTCCTGACCTCATGTGATCTGCCCACCTTGGCCCCCACAAAGTACTGGGATTACAGGCGTGAACCACCGCGCCCAGCCAACAGAGGAAGGATTTTCTAATTGTTGACAGAATTTAGTGAAATCACCAGAGCCTGGAAAATAGGAAAATGAGTTCAAAGGTCATTACCATCATTGAAGATAAGGAAAGACTAAGAAGATTCTCATCACAATGGAGTACTTCTTATTTCTTACAGAAAAAGATTCTTGGCATCAGCCTCTTGAAGGCCTCCTTCATATCTTTATTTCTAAGGCTGTAGATGAGGGAGTTCAACATGGATGTGATGATTCCATAGAAGAGGGAAACCATCTTTCCCCAGTCCTTAGAGGTGGATGAAGGTGGTTGAAGATACATATAAATGGCTGTTCCATAAAAGAGGGACACCACAATCATGTGGGACCCACATGTCCCAAATGCTTTTTGCCGTCCTTCTGCTGACCTGATTTTTAATACTGCTTGAGCTATGAAGCCATAGGAGATGAGGATCAATGTCACTGGAATTAGAAGAATTAGTACACTAAAGAAGAAGAGCTCAGCCTCAATAGGCTTTGTGTCAGCACATGACAACTTGAGAAGTGCAGGCACCTCACAGAAAAAGTGGTCCACTTCCTGGTGACCACAGCGTGGCATGTTAAGAGTCAAGGAAGACTGCAGCACTGAGTTGCCGAAACCAATGAGCCATGAGAAGGCTGCCATCCTTAGGCAGAACCAATAATTCATGATGACTACATAGTGGAGGGGTCTGCAAACAGCCACATATCTGTCAAAGGACATAACAGCCAGAAGGAGACACTCTGTAGCACCTAGGGCCAGGAAGATGATGAGGTGGGCCACACAGCCAGCATAGCTGATGGTCTTTTTGTTGCAACCAATATTTACCAACATATGAGGGACTGTAGTTGTGGTATAGCAGAGATCTAAGATGGAGAGATTAGTGAGAAAGAAATACATGGGAGTATGAAGTTTGGGATCCAGAATGCACACCATCATGATGGACACATTGCCAAATATGGTGATTGTGTATGATATTAACAGGACCACAAAAAGGGGCATTTGTAGCCAAGCCCTATCTGAGAAGCCAAGTAGTATAAACTCTTTTGGGGAGCTCTCATTTTCCCAATTCATGATGACTCACTTATTTCGCACTCCTAAAAAAATGTAAGATAGGAAAGCAATCAATGTTTGTTTATTGAATACTCTTACTGGAGCTGAATTAAATTTAATGAATAGCTCAGCATCAAATACAATTTACAGTCAAGTGGATAAAGCCCTTGTAAAGTATAATATGGTTATGTTTAAGCTTAAAAGTAGTTCCTGTGTTTTCAGTAGTGTTTAAATTACTTTAAAGAAAATCATTACATTTAAATGACATAAAGTATGTAACATATGCATAACACATGGAAAATTGTGAGTTCTCAATGCATTTTATGTTCTCTCCTCTTCTTACCTCCTAACCTATCTTAATAAACAGTTTAGAAAGAAATATTACTTTTACTCCAATTATTTTAAATTTGGCCTGAAAATGCTGAGTAATATAGAGGGTATAAGAGTTGAATCTAAATCTGCAATTGATCTAAAGAAATTTTGCTTCTTTTAGTAACATCTTTACGTGTTTTTTTGAGTTGTGTCTGTCTCCTAAATGCCATGCATGTAGGTCCATTTCCACAAAGAACTACCGTGGGTATTAGTAATAAAATTATGGCTACTTGTGATATATAGTAATGACCACAGATGTCATCTCCCCATCTGCAAATACCTTAATTAAAATAGCAAAACTGATAACATAATTGTTGCTTTACTTAACATGTGCCAGAAACTGCTCAGTGTGTGAAATACATTCTTTGTAATTCTCATCAAACCCCTCACAGTCATGGTTTGCATTTTATTGCTTCTGTGATTCAGTAAGAATAAATAATTTGCACACTCATTATTGGTGAGGTCAAGACTAACACCTAGGATTTAAAGATCATTCTTTCTTTTATACCGTATTTCCCCCTAAATACACAGATAGTACAATAAGAATGACTGCATACAGCACAAAAGTGGTCATAAATTAAAATAGAAACAAACCAAAAGTCATATATTCAAGTTGATTTTCTTCAGTCTGTAAAAGTCATCAGTTATTTAGTTATATTACCTAAGTGCACCTAAGTTTCTTCAGTCTACTTTGCATGTTTAAATGAAATGTCATCGAGGTGGTTTACACCATTTGAATTTGCAAGCATAAAAATAGAAAGATAGACTGAAGAGAGAAGAGAAAATAAGTATTGACACAATTTACCACAGAATAAGATAACTTTTCCAGAGTAAAAACACTGATATATAAAGTATAATTTGATAATGGAATGAATAAATGAAAATGAACAGAGATGACCTTGAGATTTTTAACTTCTTCCATTATATATGATTTTTTTTAGCTATAGATACACATTATTTTTTGGCAAATAACAGTAATACACCTTTGGTTGAAAAATAGAAGAGAATATGAGATTAGGCTTTTTTGAATGTCCATGTAAATTTACAAAATGATAAATATGTAAGGTAATACATACATTAGATAACTTGATTTAGCCACTTTATAATGTACACATATATCAAAACATCATGTTGTACACTATAAATATATACAATTTTTACTCATTAATACAATTTTTTATATCAGAAAAAGACTACACAGAAAGATAAAACATAAATGGCAAGATAGAAAAATATACAATGTTTATGGAAAAAATGGTTATTATATTAAAATATAAATAATTATTACATAATAAATAGAAAAAGATCAAAAGTCCAATGGAAAAAAATGAGCAATGGACATAAATAAGCAGTTTGGGGAAGAAAACAACATAAAATGACAGTGAAAGTATAAAAGATTATAACTTTTTCATTATTGAAGAAACACAAATAAAAACAAGAAGAAAGTATCACATTGTCTTCCTACTTAGTAGCATTAAAAAAAATCACTGTTAAAGGTTAGCTGTTAGGTACAGTGCCTCTGGAGCCAGAATCTGCCAGGGTTTTATTACTGGATTGTGTGATCCTGGGCAATGAATGAACATTCTTGTGCTACATTAAAAAACAATCTCTGACTTGATAAAAAGAGAGTATTGTGAAGCTCAAGTGAGACAATGTATACACATCTGAACTTAGGACCCTGTCCCAAGCATACTAAGCATTTAATGAATGTGAGCTTGATATCAATAGCAGTATCATTAATACTAATCACTAATAAGTCATTAATAGTAATACTATATCATTATCTCAGCTTGTCTTGTATATGAGAAAACAGAAAATTTACTATTGGTGGTTCAAGTGATTGTTATAATTTCATAATATTATAACATGAAATTATTGAATTTCATATTATCACTTTGTCTTTGTTTCTAGCATAATATACTGAGTACATAGTTTTCCAGTAAATGGAAGTTAAATCAATGTAGTAGGTGATATCTGGTTATCTAAAGGGCATGGAATAAAAGAGGACCCTATTCAGTAGCTGTTATTTTCTACTCCTATTTTTTCACGTCCTCTTCTCTTCACATTTTATATGGCACTGATAATTTCTCTTATTTTCTTCATATTTTATATGGCGCCAATTTCTCTTTTACGTTATCAGAAAATGAACTTACCTCTTGACAAGAACATGTTGATTCCACTGTCACGTTGACTTTTTGTCCTATTTCTATTTTCTACATGAATCAAAAGAAATCTTAAATCCCACTGACCGTTTTTATGTACAGAGATATAATGAGCAAACCATTCAAAAGGGTGAAAGGATACGAAGGATTTTTGGAATCACTGAAAATACTTCATATTAATTTCAAAGTTCCCAGGAAACAAATTGGGCATTCTGATTATTTAACATGATGCAACTCAGAGGCAGGGATGTAGGTGAGATGTTCTTGAGAGATCCTTCCCACTCATGGTAATATAATACACTGTATTAGACGCCACTCACCTTTTTTCTAAATGTCCAAGAGATATTCACGCCTTTCTTTGTGCTGTGTTTCAAAGGAAGTCTGGTTCAAAGACAGATTAATAAATGCAGTTGAGTTTTTGAATTTTCAATCTTTACGACATTCTAACTCAACTACCTTTTGCCCACTGACCAAGAATGAAATTAGCATGAAACCTGGACTGCATCAAGAACATGTGAGAAAAATACTTATGAGGAGAGGAAAATGTGTATAGTTAGTGTGTCTTCAGTCATTGGGGCATTTTTGACTGACATGGGCTCTCCTCACCAGGTTCCTAGTGGATTTCTACAACGAGAAGTTGACTTTATAGACATCAACAACATTGGAAGTGTCATGGAAAGAAAGTTATGCCTTTAAATAAAGCCAACCAATATTTATTAAGGGAGTACCACTCACACAATTCTGTGTCCTCTTTTTAGCCCTAGAGATTCTAGAGTCCCTCAAGTTTAATTGGTCATTATGTCCAGAGAGTCAATAAGTCAACTCTATTCCTAACTGGGCTGGTTGCATAATACTACCACATATGTCGTTCACAAATTCTAAAACTAGGGTGAAGATTAGAGTAACAAAAATAAACAATGAAAAATAAATTTAAAGTTGTTTAATTAGGAAAGCACAAGGTTTAATGAACTTATAGCCCCAAATTCCTTTTAAATAGTTGCAAGGTCAAATAGGGAGTCCTATGATGGCGTATAGGGAAAAATGATATTTCTATTTTCACTGATTTTAGTAATAAGTGTTTGTAAACTAAAGCTACCAGAGATCTGTAGGTTAAAAATTATGTCATACAAAGTCACTTAACATATTAATATACACATTGAAATTTAAGGTTAGCATTAATTCACTGGGTCAGAACACACAGAAATTACATGAAATTGCAATAGGGGGAATAGTTTTTGAAAGAAGCAGCTGAGGGCTGGGGCGGTGGCTCACGCCTGTAATCCCAGCACTTTGGGAGGCCGAAGCGGACGGATCACCTGAGGTCAGGAGTTCAAGACCAGCCTGGCCAACATGGTGAAACCTAGTGTCTACTAAAAATACAAAAAATTAGCTGGGCATGGTGGTGGGTGCTTGTAATCTCAGCTACTCGGGAGGCAGAGGCGGGACAGGAGAATCGCTAGAACCTGGGGAGACAAGATAAGTCATTGCCCTCCAGCCTGGGCAACAAAAGCGAAACTCCATCTCCAAAAAAAAAAAGCTGATTTATGCAAGTTATGACTTAATATGTGACTTAATAAGTGCTTATCCTAAGATCTTAGTAAAATAAAGAAGTTGTAATTGAATTGAGCATCAGCCTAGATATAATCTTAAGGAAACTAATGTGCTCGTATTTTAATGTATCTATTTTTCCTCATTTTTCTTTTTGTGTAGAATATGATCATTTTCTAAATTAGGACATTTTCTTAGCCTGTGATTTTTGTAACTATATGACATCTGTTGTAGCTAATAATTTATATATAAGTTTAATAGACATATATACATACTTTCTATATGTAATATATATTTGTAATTAGTTTTCAAATACAATTTGTTGTGCTTGGATTATAATAGAAAAGTTATTTTATTTTTTGTGGTTTTACTTTTTTAAAAAAATTTTACCTTAAGTTCTGGGATACATGTGCAGAACATGCAGTATTGTTACATAGGTATATATGTGCCATGGTGGTTTGCTGCACCTATCAACCTGTCATTTAGGTTTTAAGCCCCTCATGCATTAGGTATTTGTCCTAACGCTCTCCTCCCTGTGCCGCCACCCTTCAACAGGCCCCAGTGTGTGATGTTCCCCTTCCTGTGTCCACGTGTTCTTATTTTCAACTCCCACTTATGAGTGAGAACGTGTGGTGTTTGGATTTCTGTTCCCGTGTTAGTTTGCTGAGAATGATGGTTTCCAGCTTCATCCATGTCCCGGCAAAGGACATGAACTCATTCTTTTCTATGGCTACATGGTGTATATGTACCACATTTTCTTTATCCAGTCTGTCACTGATGGGCATTTGGGTTGGTTCCAAGTCTTAGCTGTTGTAAATGGTGCTGCAATAAACATATGTGTGCATGTGTCTTTATAGTAGAATTATTTATAATCCCTTGAGTATATACCCAGTAATGTGATTGCTGGGTTAAATAGTATTTCTGGCTCTAGATCTTTGAGAAATCGCCACACTGTCTTCCACAATGGCTGAACTAATTTACATTTCCACTAACAGTGTAAAAGTGTTCCTATTTCTCCCCAGCATTGCCAACATCTGTTGTTTCCTGACTTTTTTTTTCCCAATGAAATGATTTGAATGGACACTTAAAACTGTTCATGAGTATACAAGATGATAAAGAAAACATTTATTAAATGAATAAAAGCTAAAAAGTGAAATGTTACAAGCAAATATCAAATATCCCGAATCTCTAGAATTTTATTGTTGAATATGCCTTAGTTATTACAAGTGGTCTTTATTCTTGGTGACTTAGGGATTCCCAAGAAATGTGCAATCACTCCTGGCAACTCAAAGTAGTAATAAGTTAACCTCAAGAGAACAATCTTGGTTAAAAAAAAATTTTAAGTGTATTTTATAAATTATTATTATTTTTATTTTACTTTAAGTTCTGGGATATATGTGTAGAACGTGCAGGTTTGTTACATAGGTATACATGTGCCATAATGGTTTGCTGCACCTATCAACCTGTCATCTTTAAGCCCTGCATGCATTAGGTATTTGTCCTAATGCTCTCCCTCCCCTTGCCCCCCACCCCCTGACAGGCCCCGGTGTGTAAAGTTCCCCTCCCTGTGTCCATGTGTGCTCATTGTTCAACTCTCACTTATGAGTGAGAACATGAGGTGTTTGGTTTTCTGTTCCTGTGTTAGTTTGCTGAGAATGATGGCTTCCAGCTTCATCCGTATCCCTGCAAAGGACGTGAACTCATTCTTTTTTATGGCTACATAGTATTCCATGCTGTATAATTGTATTAATAGCACATCCAGGGGTGCAGCATTGCTACATGTCTTCTCTATCCAGGCACACTGATCGATCAGGGTAATTTATTTATTCATTGTTTGCAAGGTTCTATGCCAGCCAGCCAGTGCCAAGGACTTCAGAGATAAGCCACAATACCTGCCTATGTGTCTGGTTGGAACATGAACATGGAAACAAACCATTTAATCATTTACTCAATAAATCTTTATGTCATGGTGATAAGTGTCAGGCACTGTCATGTGCACAGGAGATATATTGATAATCAAAAGAAATAAAGTCTCTGTTCTAATGAAGCTTACATACTAGTAAGGAGATAGAAAACTAATAATAAGTAAATAGATATATAATACAATGTCAGATAGTGATAAATGCTATGAAGAAAAAGAAAGCAGGGTAAGAGAATCAAAATTAGCTGAGGCTGTTACTTTAGACAGCATGGTCAGTCAGTTTCTGTGAGGGGGCAACATTTGACCTGAACAGAGTTAGGGGTTCTCATTCACTTGGAAGATTCTAAACTGAGATTTCGAGTTTGAATTTTTTTTGAAATGTTGCCAGTTAATGCATCAATAATTTATCAGCCGGTGTTCATTATATAACGTTATACTTTAACAAGGACACTAAGCACTAAACTATTTAAAGATCTTCGTCTTTACAAAGGTACTACAAAGGAAACTACAAAGACTGTAGTTTCTGAAGTTAAGAAATGCAGACCGATCCTTTGTTTCTGCATTCATCCATTTGCATTGCTATAAAGGAATACCTAAGACTGGGTAATTTACAAAGAAAAAAGGTTTATTTTGGCTCACAGTTGTTTCCTGACTTTTTAATAATATATATATTTTATATATATTATATATATATATATTTTTTTTATCATTGGGATTAAATTTTGGCCTGGTGTTCACTTTCTTTATATATTTATGAACAATTTAATAATGAGGTGAAATAGCCTTAAGTCTGATATATGATGCACCCACATATAAATGGAAATGGCATGCACAAAGACACTTTACTATTGGAACTGTATTGGAAAATTTATGAAATTTTAGGTAAAATTGCACCTAAAATTGTGTTATTAGTGACTGTAAGTAGCAATGCTAAATTTATTGTACTTGATGAATGAATGTATTTAGGCTAGTCATGGTTACTTTGGTTTAAATGTCTAAATAACATCTTTAGTTTTAAAAATGTGTTTGTAATTTGTACTATTGACAGGAGGATATTCTTGGACTGCAGCGGTTATTGGCAATGTGTGATTTGTGTTTTCTTACTTTATAGAATTATCTAATGTGATATGCTGATTTTTACAGGTAATATTTAGATATTTCCAATAATTGTATATTTGACAACCTACTAAAATGATTTGCTTTGGGAAAAAACTGAAAAACAATACTCAAACATAGGCTGCCTGTAAGAGGCTAACTTTAACTTAAAGAACACACATTGACTGAAAAAAATATTTCATGCAAGTAGAAACCAAAAGACAGCAGGGGTAGCTCTACTTATATTAGACAGACTTTAAGTCCAAAACTGTAAAAAGAGACAGAGAAAGTCATTACATGATAAAAGGGTCAATTCATCAAAAGGACGTAACAATTGTAAATATATATACACCTAATACTAGATCATCTAAATGTATAAAGAAAGTATTAATAGACCTAAAAAGAAACAGACTGCAATACAGTAATAGCAGGGTTTTTCAACACTTCACTTTCAACAATGAACATGTCATCTAGACAGAAATCAATAAGGAAACACTGGACTTGAAACGCACATTAGATCAAATGGACCTAACAGACATATATAGAACATTCCATCCAACAGCAACAGAATACTCATTCTTCTCAAGTGCAAATGGGACATTATCCAGGATCAAATATTAGGGAACAAAATAAGTCTCCACAGTTTTAAGAAGATCGAAATCATATCAAGTATCTTTTCTGACCACAAAGTTATGAAAGTAGAAGTGAATAATAGGAGAAAATTTAAAATATTTACAAACGTGGAAATTAAACAACATGCTCCTGAATAAACAATGGGTTAAATAAAAAATCAAAAGCAAAATTAAAAAAAATCTTAAGACAGATGAAAATGAAAACACAACATACCACAACTTATGGCATGTAGCAAAAGAAGATATTAGCAAGAGGAATGTTTGTAGTAATAAATGCCTATATTAAAAAAGAAGAAAGATCCCAAACAACCTAATGTTACATTTCAAGAAACCAGAAAAAGAGAAGAGCAAACTAATCCCAAAGTTAGCAGAAGGAAGGAAATAACAAAGATCAGAGCAGAAATAAATAAGAAGCTAGAAAACAATAGAATGCATTCACAAAACTAAGACTTGAATTTTTGAAAAGATAAAAACAATTGGCAAAACTTGAGTAGACCAACTAAGAAGAAAAGAAGACTCTAATAAAGTCAAAAATGAAAGAGGAGACATTACAATTGATACTACAGAAGTACAAAAGCTCATAAAAGAATACTATGAACAATTTTACACCAACGAATAGGGTAACCTAGAAGAAATGGTTAAATTTCTAGAAACATAACAAAAATGAATCATGAAAAAAACAGAAAATCTGAACAGACTAATAATGAGTAAGGAGGTTGAATCAGTAATAAAAGTCTTCTACCAAACAAAAACCCAGAATATGATGGATTTTGCATTCATGGTTTGGAAGAATTAATATTATTAAAATATGTGTACTACCTAAAGTGATACACAGATTCAGTGCAATTTCTATAAAAGTTCAATGACTTTTTTGTTTCACAGAAATAGAAAAAGCAATTTAAAAATTCATATGGAATGACAAAAACCCCTAAGTAGCTGAAGCACTTTTGAGCAAAAAGAGCAAAGCTGGAGGCATCACACTACCTGTTTCAAAATATATTACACAGTTATAGTATTCAAAACAGAAAGGTAGTGGCATAACAACAGACACACGGACCAATGTAATGTGATAGAGAGCCCAGAGATAAACTCATGCATTTGTGGTTAACTGATTTTTGCCAAAGATGCCAAGAATGAACACACTATGGAGAAAGGGCAGTATCTTTAATAAATGATGCTGGGAAAATCAAATACCCAAATACAGAACAATGAAATTGAAACCTTATTTCACACCATATGCAAAAATCCTCTAAAAATGGTTTAAAGATTTAAATGTGTGACCAGAAAATGTAAAATTACTAGAAGAAAACATAGGGAAAAATGTTCTTGAAATTAATCTTGGCAATAATTTATTGGTGATGATCTCAATAGCACAGGAAACCAAAGCAGAAATAGACAAATGGGATTACCTCAAACCAAAAACCTTCTGTATAACAAAGTAAATAACGGATTGAAGAGACAACCCATGGACTGGGAGAAAATATTTACAAACCATACATGGCTAATATCCAAAATATGTAAGAAATGCAAACAACTTAAATTTGTTAGCAAGAAAACAAAGAACCCCTTTTAAAACTGAGCAAAACACTTAATGGACATCTTTCAAAAGATGACATAAAAGACTAACAGATACATAACAAAATTTCTCAACATCAAGGAAATACAAATTAAAACCACAATAAGATATCACCTCATACCTGTTAGAATGGCTATATCAATAAAATAAGAGTTAATAAGTATTAGCAAGGATGTGGAGAAGGGAATCCTTATATACTAATGGTAGTAATGTAAATTAATACAGCCATTATTGAAATCAGCATGGAGGTTCCTCAAAAAAAGATAGAATTACCATATGATCCAGCAACTATATTTCTGAGTACATAGCCAAAGAGATTGAAATTAATATGTTAAAAATATATTGGTAGATTTTCCTCTAATTTGGTCTTAACGTCTCTCTTTGAAGAGGAGCCAGAAACTCTAGCCCTGCTCTGATGGGCTCCAGTGGAGGTGGTTGTGGTTGTGGATGTTTTCAGTGTTTTTTTCGTGGAATACTTCTATATCCTGATGGAGAGCTAATGCCTAATTGTCCTATTTATGACCAGGTGTCCCTCTCACTGGAAACTCATTTTCACTGGCAGACACCCTTGTGGCTCTTGTCTGACTAGTGTGTCCAGTTCATTCCTACCAAGATAACCACTCTTTAAGAGAGCCTTGTCCAGAAAAGAAGTTAATTTCACGTATGTCAGTCACGCGAGACGCAAGTAAAAAAAAACACGTAATAGAAGTAGTTTTATTACTTAAAGATCCAGAGAGAAGAAGGAAACTTTCCTCACAGGCCTAACGGGAGAAGGGGCAGCCCTCAGAGACATGCATGCTCAACCAGTGGGTGGGTAGCAAGGGAGAGTGAGTGACAGCCGAGAAGGCCGAAGCCTTTACTGGGGTACACAGCATTTCCTAAGCAGGGAGTAACTGATTGCTGGGTTTAAAGCAAGCAGGCATGAGTTCTTGGGAGTTATGTTGTATTGAGAGGTGTTCACTACTGCAAGTCTGCAGTCCATGTGGGGTGTGGGGATCAGTGGGATAAGTCAAACAGGTTGTATCTAGGTGCTCCACAGGAAGGTGGAAACCAAGAGGCCAAATATCTGGATTGACCACCTTGAGAAACTGGGAGAGGAGAACTCGAAATTGTGTTAAGGGTGACTAAGCCCTGCTTCTGGTATGAGAAAGTTCAACTTATATTGAAAATAAACACTGAGGCAACATAAAATCATAAGAATTCACTACAGATATTTGCACTACCATGTTCATTGTAGCATTATTCACAATAGCTGAGATATGGAAGGAACTTAAATGCCCATCAATGGATAAACAGATAAATATATAAAAGGGATATAATGTGATATATATGAGCCACATTATCTATATAAAATGGAATACTATCCAGCCTTAAAGAAAAAAGGAAATTCTGTCTTTTCAACAACATTCATGAACCTGCAGGACATTATGCAAAGTGAAAGAAGCCAGACACAGAAAGACAAATACCACGTGATCTCACTCATATGTGGAATCTAAAAAAGATAAACTCATGCAAGTGGAGAGTAGAATATAGCTACCTTGGGGGTAGGGGATGGGGAAAGGGGAGATTTTAAACACAAGATATTTTTTAACCTTTTGCAGGAAAAATCTTGGAATTGAATTTAAAAGACAACTGGGATGGCATAAATAATATAGGTCAGTCTCAAAGAGCACGTCATTAGTAAGGAATAGATATACAGTTTAGTCTTTATGTATTCTAGTTTTTCAGTTGAATGGCTCTGAAATCACTCCTTTTTTCCAGTTGTCTTGTAAATTTTACCCTTAGCCCCATGGAAAACTGAAAAAAAATCACATGGCTCAGTAAAACCCATTCCCTTTATTGTAAATATAACTCACAGCATCTTTTCCCATATTTGTAAGTGATAAATTCACTGTCATCACAGTAAGACTATAACATCATACTGAAGATATTTCTGTGAAGAGTTTTGTACTGAGAACACCACACCAGGACAACTTGAAGGGCATTAATTGCAACTTTGGGATTTATACTCCCAAAGGCCCCAGTCAATGAAAGAGTATCCCATTATTCTTTTTGGTTCCATAAAGATTCCATTTACTCTGGGATAAAGGGTCCATCCCCTGATACCTTGAATGCTCTAAAGTATTCCCACATTCTGCTAAAAAGCAGATCTTTTGGACAAACTCAGGCTCTCTTTTCTGTAGCAATGACAATCACAGTTATTTCCAGACTCTGTTCTCCATAGTTAGATTTAAAACATTGGCAAAAATGTTATAAGAAGGCAATTAGGTTGATGTTTCTAGGTTGCATGGCAACCAGAGAGCCCCTTCATCAGTTTATACATGATGAGGTCGTAGGCCAGGTAGAGAGTGACAGGGAACAGGGACAAACACAGGAAGGTCAGTACTGAAAGAAGTTGGCGCACTTCTTAAGGGGTGTACAGCTTCTGTATTTCAAAATTGCAGGAAGTGTAGATTTTAAATGTTCTTACTACAAAAAAATGATGTGTGTGAGGTGATAGGTACATTAACTAGCTTAATATAATCATTCTATGATGTATATACATATCAAAACATTACAATGTACTCCATACATATATACAATTATTACTAGTCAATGAAAAAGTAAGAAAACAAACCAGATATAGTATAAAGGAATGAATATGACACGAATTGGGAAAATGTCTCTTAGTAATAATTGGGGAAAGAAGAGACACTCAGCCATCCATTTTCCCTACAGTGTTTGATTTAAAAGAAGAGAGAAGATATTTTATTCCATAGTTCATAAAAGCTACATTTGATAGGGTCTTCATTTCCCTCTTTTCCTCCAAGAAGAAAATCGAAGCTGCAAACTTTTCTCTACGTGAGTTCTGGGTTTTTTTTTTTTTTTGTCCCTTATTTCCTATCCTTTTTATCGACTCTGGAAGAATGCTGAAAGATGGTTTATACAACAGAAAAATATCAGATTTCACCTTTTAATTACTGTAGTAAGGAAGTCAGGCAGCTGCATTAGGAAAGAAAATTATACCTGCATTAGCAAAAGTATCCACAACATTTGAGTTCAAGTATCTTACAGAATATTACCTTTCAACCTAGCGAAATTTTTAAAAAAATTCTTGCAATTTTTCCATGATTTCTCAAAAGGTAATGATCATTTCATTATCAACAATATGGAAAAGTGTACAGATATCTTTGTACCTGTCTGGAGCATCTGCACAGACTTGGCCCAAGTTCAACGTTCCTAGCTCTCCAGCTGTAACTCAACTAATTAGGCAAACCCTTACATCTTTTTCAAGAGTCAAGATTAGAATATTTGAGTTGTTAAAAGTTTTTCAAAACACTGAAGGTGAGTTGGGTGTAAATAAATTTGTCTTTTGTCATATTTTATCAGAGAGTATGAGAGGAAGAGTTGGCTGTGGCAGGAGGGGAGCAGAAGGGGGATGGCAATGCTATTTAGGAATATTGAAGAAAACCCAGAAATACAAATTATAAGTTGTGACTCAGAATTTAAAGTATAGTTCAGTTATTGGCCTAAAGCATATAAAATTTTTTAGAAACCACATTTAAGTCTTCTTGTCCCTGTCTAACAATCCTGTGTTATACATTCTTTCAATTTCAAATGCCACATTCTGACCTCCTCTTCACTGTTGTGCCTCAAAGCACTCTTCCTTTCTCTCTTACACCTCCCGGTGTTTTTGTTAGACTCTGTAATCTTTCTGTCTTCCAATAATAATTATACCCCCATGTAACTTTGGAAGCACTCTATCACTGATATCTCTACTCTATTTCACTTTATTAATCAGCTTTGCTTATATTGTGAATTTTTATAAGTTGGTGTGTGTGTGCATGTCTGTTTAAACCTTCATTTGCATGTTATTTTATTCGTCTAGAAATAAACTGCTAGCATAAATAAATGAATATCATTTAATTCTTTCTATAATCATATCCAATTATTTCTTTTCAGTTCATATTAATATTTTAAAGTGACTACCTAATTGCTCTTTAACATGGGAAGTTCCTATCTATAAGTAAGATTATTATGGCTGCAGTTATTCCTTTCTCTGTAACTGCAAAATTGGAAATAGTCTGAAAATGCAAAAAAAAATCAATTTAACTTTTTAAAATAAAAAATTATTTTCTTAAATATTGTCTTTCTGATTATGGAATATCTTAGTCTTCATTTATCCAAATGTTAACTCAAGGATGTATATAAAAGAACTCAGTAACTTGAAAAGCTATTACTTGTATCCACAGCTGGACAAATATCTCAATGAAGCATACAAAGGAAACTGTATAAAAATTCTACTGCCATAATGGTGCACACTATCTGGAATTGGGATACTTTTTTCTCCAATCTGTTTGCAAGTGAGCAGTTGGCAATGCATGGACAGACTTTGAGTTTATGCGATTCTTTAGGTACAGGAAAAATAAGAATGTTGATGAAAAAAAATGCAAGTTTTGAAGACTTCTTTATTCTACTTGGATTTTCTAACTGGCCTCATCTGGAAGTAGTTCTCTTTGTGGTTATCTTGATCTTCTACTTGATAACACTGATAGGAAACCTGTTCATCATCATCCTGTCATACCTGGACTCCCATCTCCACACTCCCATGTACTTCTTCCTTTCAAATCTCTCATTTCTGGATCTCTGCTACACCACCAGCTCTATCCCTCAGTTGCTGGTGAATCTCTGGGGCCCGGAAAAGACCATCTCTTATGCTGGTTGTACAGTTCAACTTTACTTTGTTCTCGCACTGGGAACCGCAGAGTGTGTCCTACTGGTGGTGATGTCCTATGATCGTTATGCAGCTGTGTGTAGACCTTTGCATTACACTGTCCTCATGCACCCTCGTTTCTGCCGCTTGTTGGCTGCGGCTTCTTGGGTAAGTGGTTTTACAACCTCAGCACTTCATTCCTCCTTTACTTTCTGGATACCCCTATGTAGACATCGCCTAGTGGATCACTTCTTCTGTGAAGCTCCAGCACTTCTGCGATTATCATGTGTTGATACCTAGGCAAATGAGCTGACCCTCATGGTCATGAGCTCCATTTTTGTTCTCATACCTCTCATCCTCATCCTCACTTCCTATGGTGCCATTGCCCGGGCTGTACTGAGCATGCAATCAACCACTGGGCTTCAGAAAGTGCTTAGGACATGTGGAGCCCATCTTATGGTTGTATCTCTCTTTTTCATTCCAGTCATGTGCATGTATCTCCAGCCACCATCAGAAAATTCTCAAGATCAAGGCAAGTTCATTGCCCTCTTTTACACTGTTGTCACACCTAGTCTTAACCCTCTAATCTACACTTTCAGAAACAAGGATGTAAGAGGGGCAGTGAAGAGACTAATGGGGTGGGAATGGGGGATGTGACAGGGAAATCATGTTGGCTGTTGTTTTTCCTAGGGTCTTATCCATTTTGAAAGGTTGTTTCCCTGCTTCTTTGTGATTTGTGTTTCATCTAACAGCTCACAAAACATGGAATAGTTCAGTTCCCCCATTTGTTGCTCTGTTTAATATTTAGTTCTGAAATATTATGTTGAGATAAAGGTTTTGATTAGTACCATTTTGTTCTTTTACAATTCTATATTTATTTCCATGAAAATTGTGGACTGTGGTTTCAACATAAATAAATGTGTGTGTGAATAATTATGAGGAGATTATTTAAAAAATATTGGCAATATTTCTGACAATGTGCTAAATTATGAACTGACCATTGATATGTATAGGAAGAGAAGGGCAATATTGCAAAGATGTAGGCTGAAGAAGTTTTTGGTTATTAAATAAACCTTAAATGAAGCTAAAAATAGTCACAGCAAAGAAAAATAGTAAACATAATGAATAACACCATTTATTATATGGTAAAGGATATGTCATAATTTTTTGGTTGAAGTTCACTTTTTAAAGACACTAAATTATATAATTTATCCTGTAGGTCTGCATTCTTGTCACATTGAACAGTAAACTAATATCTCTTTAAAATGGCTGATTCGTTCATCTGTCCATTTATTCATTAACTTATTCTTCATTAGCTAAATCTTACTGGACATGTACTCTCTCCCAGTTTGTGAAATTCTTGGTAACATGTATAAATATAACATACTTTGTCTGAACAGAATGCACTCTCTATCGGGAAAAATGGCAACATAAGATAAAAGATGAAGTATCTGTACATGGCTTAATTTGTCACTGGGGTTAATGCTAATAAATTAAGATAGCTTTTAAAAATCAGAAACAATATACTCTGATTACTCTTCAGATTGTATACATCTTTCACTTTTTAAAAATCGAAAGCAAAACAATAAGTTTGATAATAAACTCTGATAATAAATTCATAGCTCCTGTAGGAAGACAGTGCTATTAAATGAAACAAAGCAGAATATGTGCTTAATTTGCTTTAGTTGGCCTAGTTAATGACATATTAAAGATAGCTTAAAACTCTTAACATCCTTGTTCTTTGCTGAATAGCATTATTAAAAAAATTTCTTTATTTTGATTTTATTTTTTCCAGCTTTACTGAGGCACAAATAAAATAACATATATTTAATGTGCACAATGTGATTATATATAAATCAAACCAAATTGTGAAATTATTACCACAGTCAAATTAACACATCCATCATCTCACATCGTTACTGTGTGTAGGGGGAGCGGGGAGGGTCAGGACACTTAAGATCTAATCTCTAAGCAAATTTCAAGTATACAGTACAGTATTATTAACTATAGTCACCATAATCTACATTAGATCTCCAGAATGTATTCATCTTATGACAGAAAGTTTGTACAATTTGGCTGTCTCTCCACTTCCCACCCTCCAGCCCATGGCAACCACCATTCTATTCTCTGCTTCTATGGGTTCAGTTTTTTTATTTTTTTGATACACGGTCTCACTCTGTCACACAGGCTGGAGTGCAGTGGTGCGATCTTGGCTCACTGCAACCTCTGCCTCCCGGCTTCAAGCAACTCTCCTGCCTCAGCCTCCCCAGTAGCTGGGACTACAGGCACCCGCCACCACGCCCAGCTAATTTTTGTATTTTAGTAGAAACTAGTTCTCACCATGTTGGCCAGGCTGGTCTTGAACCCCTGACCTGAAATGATCCACCTGCCTTGGCCTCCCAAAGTGCTGGGATGACAGGCGTGAGCCACTGTTCCTATCCGAGTTCAATTTTTTTAGATTCCACATGTAAGTGTTATCATACATCTTTTGTCTTTCTGTGTGTGGTTTATTTCACTTAGCACAATATCCTCCAGTTCATCCATGTTATAACAAATGGCAGGATTTTCTTTTTATTGGCTGAATAATATTTCTCGCTGTGTGTGTGTGTGTGTGTGTGTATGAGATCACATTTTCTTTATCCATTCCTCCATCAATGGATGCTTAGGTTGTTTCTTCATCTTGGCTGTCATGAATAGTGCTGCAATGAACATGGGGGCATAGATACCTCTTCGGAATACTTACTTCATTTTTCTTGGATAAGTACCCAGTGGGATTATTGGGATCACATCACATCTCACACAGACTTCACAAAATATGAGAACATAGATTCCTCCTGCCTCCGTGGAAATCTTACCATTTGTAATATGTCATGTGTCACTCCAGCTTCTCAAGATCTACAAGACTCTTTTCTTTTCAAATTTATTGAAGTATAATTTATGTACAAAGAAATCTACACATTTTAAGTATATAGTTCAATGAATTTTTTTATATTTTCTTTTTATTGTATTTTTGTTAGACATCAAATATTGGATTTAATAAGCTATCGGAAAAAGTGTATAATTATAATCCTTTATACTGTAACAGTACTACACAACTTATAAAGCACATTAATATATTTTGTTTCATTAGAATTTTGGTCATCATAGAAACCCTAAAGCTTTGTTGACTATTAGCCTCTTGAAACAAAAGAAAAATAAGATATAAACATTATTGTTCCTATGTTAAAGATTAGGAAATTGAGTCTCAGAGAGATTAAGTAGTCTTGTCTAAATGCACGCACTAATAAATGGCAAATTTGAGTCTCAAAGACAGGTTTCTCAATATCAAATTGAAAGAATAGTTCAGTGAGTTTGACAAATGTATAATTGTGTAAATGCCACCACAATCAAGATTATAGGACATTTCTATTACTCCCCAAAGAACTTCCGTTTTGTAGTCAACTTTCCCCTTTTAGTCATAGCCTGAGGCAGCATTAATTTTCTCTAAATGTACTTGGTTTTTCCCACTTTTAGAATTTCAAATAATTGCAATCATGCAGTGTGTAATCTTTGGGTGTGGCTTGTTTCATTTAGCATGATGTTTTTGACATTTATTATGTTGCCACATGTATCAGTTACTTTTTCCTTTTTATTGCTTGTTAGAACTCCATTGTACGAATGTGCGACAATTTATCCATTTATCTGTGAAGGGCTTTGGGAGTATTTAAAATTTTTGGCTATTATGAATAATGCTGCTATGAAAATTTGTATACAAGTGTTTGTGTGGATGCATGTTTTCACTTAATTTGGGTAAATACCTTTTATTTGTACCTCTCCAGGAGGACCACATGCTTAGTGTATATTATCTTTATGAGATACTGCAAAAATGTTTTCAAGTGGCTGTTCTATTTTCACTTCAAACAGCAGTGTATGAGAGTTCCAAATGAACTCACATTCTTTCTAATACTTGGTATTGTCAGTTTTTATACTTTTCACCTCTCAAGTTAGGTTACCTGTGGCTATAATTTGCATTGAGGGGTGTTGACATTGACCATCCTCTTGTGTGCTTTTCATATGCTTCATATATGTTATTTTGTGTAGCTTCTGTTCAAATATTTTACTCACTTTAAAAATTGGGTCATTTGTCTTCTTATTGTTGAATTTGAAGTTCTTTGTATACTCTGAACTCAAGTCCTTGGTCAAACAAATCTTTTGCAAATAGAATACTGTCATATCTTTCAAAGAGAAAAATTTTAACTTTAATAAAATACAGTGTGTCATTTCCACAGAAAAAGCCTGGTGGCATTTTGATTGGGGATTGCATTGAATTTATAGACCAATTGGAGAAGAACTGGCAACTTGACAACATTGACTTTTCTGATCTGGGGACATGATATAGATCTCCATTTACTTACATCTTATTTTCTTTCAGAAGCATTTGAGGTTTTCATTGTATAGCTATTGTCCATATTTTGTTAAAGTCACCTCTATGTATTTCATGTTTTTAGATACCACTATAAATTGTATAGAAATATGACTGATTTTTTTCCATCGTCTGTTTTATTTTATTTTATTATTATTTAAGTTCTAGGGTACATGTGCACAACGTGCAGGTTTGTTACGTAGGTATACATGTGCCATGTTGGTTTGCTGCATCCATCAATTAATCATTTACATTAGGTATTTCTCCTAATGCTATCCCTCCCGCATCCCCCCCACCGCCCCCACAGGCCCTGGTGTATGATGTTTCCCCCCAGGTCCAACTGTTCTCATTGTTCAATGCCCACCTATGCGTGAGAACATGTGGTGTTTGGTTTTCTGTTCTTGTGATAGTTTGCTGAGAATGATGGCTTCCAGCTTCATCCATGTCCCTGCAAAGGACATGAACACATCCTTTTCGATGGCTGCATAGTACTCCATGTTGTATATGTGAATTTTCTAGGCCTTAACTCCAACTGAGCTTCCCATCTACAATGCTTTAATAGTTTGTGATCTACTCTAATTCACATTCCTCCCATACAAAGCACTCAAATTAACAGAAGCTCAACAGAGATCATTTAGTGTCTTTTATTCCTTTTGATTCCTCAGATGTGACTTTCAATGTGTTTTATTTATCTGAGTGTGTATTGTAGAGAAAAAAGTTGAGGGTTGCTTCCTTAGAAATACTTTGCTGTAATTAAATCATGTTATGCCAGCTGTATTTTCACAAGTTACTAACATCACACCTAAAAATGTTAACATTTGCTGGCACCCAGTAGATTGGCAGGGGCCAAAAACTCTCCTACAATTCTAGTTACCAAAACATGAAAAATATTGGAGCTTGGTACAATCTCCTACAGACCAGGATATCAGACATTTCCTGGATTTTGATAACTGATTGAATTCTGCTAGTCCCCACAGGTTGTAGGATCACTGGTCAAATTCCTCTCCAATAAGATAGAGAAGTTTAGACATATGATTATATGACTATTTAATCATATTTATCTTAAAAATAATATTTAATATATTTTAAAGTAAACTGGAATGATATATACCAAGCTCATGGTAGTTGTCTCTGGATTTAGTGTTGGGTCAGAGAGTGACAGTTGAAGGGGATATGAACTTTATCTGTGATACTTTATGTGCTAAAAATTCTGAAAATAAAAATGACAAAAGTTATGGTTGATGATTCTGAATGATGGGAACATAAGGGTTTATTTTTAATATTTTAAATATCTAAAATAAAGGATGAAGAAATAATATAGAATGACTTGTTAAAATATCACTTCAAATTAAAATTCACTATAATGGTAATAGCAGCTAACATGTATTGAATGATTATGCACTAGGCATCGAGGATAATGTTTACGTATTTTTCACATGGAGTTTTCACAACAATCAAGACTACTGAAGCCAAGACTGTTTTCAGTTGCTTCACATAAGTGGACAGGAAAATACCTGATCATGCTCTTAAAAGTACTGACTTTAAAATATAATTGTATTGTAAATGTGACTTGATTTTCATACCAAGACTTTGTCTGGTACACATGGAATATATCACCTAGACACAATGTAACAATTGAAAAATCTTCATTAGTTTATAAACTCACGATGTGCTTTTTTTTTAAAACATGGGATGTAGGCTAGCTATCACAGCTAATTTAGCTTTTTTATATATTTCTGCAAAGCTTTTAACAAGACATCAAAAGAAATTATTGATAACAATATTTTGGAAATATTAAATAATTTTGTTAAAAGTTTTCTGAGTTTGGTAGTGACCTTCTGAGTATAGTTTGAATGGTCTTCAAAGGTAATTTTTAACACTTTTGCAGGGCTGAACTTGGCCTTGAATTTTAGAGATGTTAGACACAATTAAAAATTCAAATTAATAAAACAAATATGTATAATGTAGTCATTATATTTCCTTTTAAAAAATGTTTCATGCCTTTTCCCATTCCCAAATTAGACTACCTAACAAGCTATATCTCAAATTTGGCCTCTAGCATACTGAAGAATTGGGGAAGAGGTTTCAGGTAACTCAAGATAACCCATTCCCTTCCCTGCAGATACAGCTCAAAGTATTTTTCTCTGCTATGGCTGGACTATAGATTCCTTGTCATCCTCGTACAACAATGTGGCATCATGCCAAGAACATCACTGAGAAACTGTTCTAACCAGGATAACTCCTTGAAGGGCATTAATTGCTACTTTGGGATTTACCCTCCCAGTGGCCCAAGTCAAGGAAAGCAAGTCACATTCTTTTGTTTCCAAAAAGGGCCCATTGACTCTAAGATAAAGACCCATCCCTTGATACACTGAAAGCTCTAATAAGTTTATCTTTTGGGTAAAACTAAATTTTTTTAGTAGACTCAGAGCTTTCTCTTCTGTAGCAATGATAGTCATAGCTACATTCAGACTGTTTTCCTAATTGATGTAGTAGATGAGGGAAGTGTAGGCATTTATGTTGGTGATTTCAAGGTGATCAAAATCAGAGATCAGATCAGTCTGTGCATGATGAGGGCATCAGCTAGGAAGACAATATACAGGGAATGTGGACAGATACAGGAAGGACAGAGTGAAAGGCATTGTTTGAGTACTGCTTAAGTACTAGGTAATATATAAAGAAATATTATGGTAAGAATAAAAAAACTTGGCCAGTGACATGGGGATGGGGAAAAGAGATTATTTTCTCCCTCCGTTATACCTGATTTCCAAAACTAGAGAGGATCACTTATTCCTAGTCCATGAAAGCAACTTTTAACTTTTAATTTTTGTGGGTACACAATAGGTGTATGCATTTATGGGGTACATGAGATTTTTTTTGATAATTTCTTTCTTTTTATTTTTTGTAGAGACATGGTCTCACTTCATTGCCCAGGCTAGTCTCGAACTTCTGGGCTCCAGAGATCCGCCCACCTTGGCCTCCCAAAGTGTCAGGATTACAGGTGTGAGCCACGGCACCCGACCCAGGTATTTTTGATACAGGCATACAATGTGTAATAATCACAGCAGGCTAAATGGGGTATCCATCACCTCAAGCATTTATCCTTTCTTTGTGTTAAGGATAACTTAAACTTTTGATATGGCTTTTGATAAGGCTTTTAACTTTTGATAAGGCTTTTATTTTCTGCTCCACCAGGAAGAAGAAAATTAACCCAGAAAAATTCCTACCTTTTCCTTGCTTGCATCTGGTAAGTTTTTGTTTGTTTGCTTCTTATCTCATATCTCATTCTAACCTCTCTATGTAAGATTGCTCAAAGATGGGTCATGCAATTGGCAAAGGTATCTCACAGCTAAATGTTGTTTTAGTTAATGTAATAAATTATCGAGGCAACTGTACAAGAAAGAAGAAAATTTTATCTGCATGAGAGAAGGTAACTATAACATTTGTGTTCATATTTCTCATGATGTATTATCTCCTATTCTAGAGAAATTTTTAAAAATCTCTTGGAAAATTTTCATCTTCCCTCAAGGGCTGTGACCTCTAAGTCAAGTAATCTTCATGATTTACTCTTTGACTATTGCTGCTTTTTGATTCAGCTATAGCTTTTAAAATTTTCTTTTAAAACAATGTGCAGACTGATTTTCCTGGATGGTTGTTTAAGTTGTTGAAAGTAATCTAGATTAGTGTAACAACTGGCTAATGATTATTTACATTACCAAGTCTGTTAAAAGGTCTGAGGTCAATCTTTTAATCTTGGGACCAAACTGAATGTTCCAAACTTTTCTGCTGAAACTCAACCAATTAGCTACTCCTGACATTTCTTTCAGGCATTGAATTTATAAAACATGAGCGATTAAGAGACCCCTAAAAGAGGCAATCACAGGTGGCCCCACAATGATTTCTTTCTTCCTGTGCCATAGCCAATTGGGAGGTATAAGAAAAATAACCGACTGTGGAAGGAATGAAATAGAGGGCATGTGGCAAAGCTGGAAGAGGCAAAGAATTCAGAGAAAATGGGGTATTTAAATGGTGGGTTGCTATGCCTGACACAATAACTATATAACAAAAATAAGTATCATTTTTTTCTATGAAAGATTGAAAACTCACTGGAGAAAAAGCATCACCTAGGAGTCATAACTATTTGTAAGATATATTTTATTTTTAACAAAAAAAGTAACATGAGATTCACTGGGCACAATGTATTAAATGATGAACAGCCACTTAATGATTCATTAAATATTCAGAACTCTCTAACTTGGAGAATAAATATGTACTAATTATAGCTCATGCTCAGAATTTATATACTATCTAAATTATTGTCCTGGAGAAAAATACATCATGTAGAAACCTTCTTCAGGCCCTGTGGTTCAGCTTCTTGAACCCTGTGATAGACACACCTGCAACTCTAAGAACTACACTCAGGTTCTCCTCCATTTTCCTGCCCCTCCCACTTTTCCTTCCTTCTCTGTTCTCTCACTGAATTTTTATCTTCCTTTCCTTTCTGTAAAGTTTGAATCTTTTCAAATTCAGTTGTAGTCACACATCCTTTAGAAAGCATTCTATCACTGTTCTCCCCAGATTTTTAGCTTAGTTCGTATCATGAATACCCATATATTGATGAGCAAGTGTCTGTGTCTTCTCTACTTGTATTCAATTTTTCAGTTTAGAAATACATTTTGAGTCCAAGTAAACAAATCACAAGATAAGATTCTTATCTAATTGAAGCTAAACATTTTTTCTTTAGGTGAACATTTTGAAATGACTAAATTCAATATTTTCCACATATCTTTTCATCCATATGTAAGATTATTGTGATTGCAATGATTACGTTTTCCACAATCACATTTAAGAAAATAACCTGAAAATGCTGAAAAGAAAACTAAAGTTCCTTATTTATTAACAAAGAAAGATTTTGTGTTTTATGGAAATTATCTTCCTTAGCTAGGTTAGGAATTTCCTTCAATTACCATTTACCTAGATGTCACCCTAAAATGAATGAGAACTTGATAGTTATTTTTCTATAATAAGGCAAACATCTAAATAAAATATAAAATTAAAAAATTATTTTGTATTTTTGTGACTTTTTATTATGGTAAAATTTCAAACTTAGAGAAGAGTTGCAAAAAAGTAGTACAAAAGACTAACATTTACCCTTTTACCAGATTGAGTATTAGTTTACATTTTCCCCCAAAGCTTTGTTATATCATCTATCAACTATCTATCTATTTATCTATCTATCTATCTATCTATCTATCTATCTATCTATCTATCTACCTATCTATCTCTTTTTCTGGGCTAGTTGAGAGTAAGTTGGAGATGACACGTTCCTTTATGCCAAATACTTTATTCAGTGTTTTTTGTCTAAGGAAAAGGATGTTACTTTACATAAGTCCAGCACAGTACCCAAATCAGCAAACTTAATATGGGCACAATATTATTATCTAATCCATAGTCCACACTGAGATTTCTTAAATTGTCTCAATAATTTTGTTAATAGCTAGTTTTTGAAAAAATCCAGGATTGTACACTGAGAAATCACATCTCACTAGTCTCTTTTCATCTGGACCAGTTCCTCACCCTTTGTTTTTCTACTTAAACTTGATACTTTTCTGAATTGTATAGGCAAGCTATTTCTCTCAATTTGAGTTTTTCTCATGTGTCTTCATTATTAGAATTAGTCTTCATTATTAGAATTTTTAACACAAATATCACTGAAGTGACAGCATGTCCTGTTCAGAGCATCATCACAGCAGGCTCATGATGTTGGTTTGTGCAAATACAGTTGATCTTAAGATCAATAAAATCACTGGTTATGGTGGTGTCTGACAGGTTTTTCTACTACAAACTTTACTGTTTTTCAGTTTGAAATTAACTAGAAAGTTGTGAGGAGATATTTTAGACTATTTTAGATATTTGTACATATTCTGTTCCCCATCAAATTTTTATCCACTAGTTTTTGCAATCATTTATGTTTTTCTTAACACCGTCACCCCTTCTATATTTGTTAATTAGGGATCTACTGTAAGGAATAGCTTTATCTTCACCATTCATTTATTTATTCTTTTACTTTTTATATCAGTATGAGCTTTATAATTCTTCTTTTGTTAAATTCATTACTACTAATGGTTAAATTGTCCTACAATTAAATGATGGCAAGCCCTTCAAACTGGCTTTTATTTTTTATTCATGTGTGCTGATATTTTTGGATCATTTGTTTACTCGTTTTTTGAGTTTACCTTTCTTTTTTTTCTCTCAGGTAATAGGAAATGAATGATGATGGAAAAGTCAATGCTAGCTCTGAGGGGTACTTTATTTTAGTTGGATTTTCTAATTGGCCTCATCTGGAAGTAGTTATCTTTGTGGTTGTCTTGATCTTCTACTTGATGACACTGATAGGAAACCTGTTCATCATCATCCTGTCATACCTGGACTCCCATCTGCACACACCAATGTACTTCTTCCTTTCAAACCTCTCATTTCTGGATCTCTGCTACACCACCAGCTCTATCCCTCAGTTGCTGGTCAATCTCTGGGGCCCGGAAAAGACCATCTCTTATGCTGGTTGCATGATTCAACTTTACTTTGTTCTCGCACTGGGAACCACAGAGTGTGTCCTACTGGTGGTGATGTCCTATGACCGTTATGCAGCTGTGTGTAGACCTTTGCATTACACTGTCCTCATGCACCCTCGTTTCTGCCACCTGCTGGCTGTGGCTTCTTGGGTAAGTGGTTTTACCAACTCAGCACTTCATTCCTCCTTCACCTTCTGGGTACCTCTGTGTGGACACCGCCAAGTAGATCACTTTTTCTGTGAAGTTCCAGCACTTCTGCGATTATCGTGTGTTGATACCCATGTCAATGAGCTGACCCTCATGATCACAAGCTCCATATTTGTTCTCATACCTCTCATCCTCATTCTCACTTCTTATGGTGCCATCGTCCGAGCTGTACTGAGGATGCAGTCAACCACTGGGCTTCAGAAAGTGTTTGGAACATGTGGAGCTCATCTTATGGCTGTATCTCTCTTTTTCATTCCGGCCATGTGCATATATCTCCAGCCACCATCAGGAAATTCTCAAGATCAAGGCAAGTTCATTGCCCTCTTTTATACTGTTGTCACACCTAGTCTTAACCCTCTAATCTACACCCTCAGAAACAAAGTTGTAAGAGGGGCAGTGAAGAGACTAATGGGGTGGGAATGAGCCTGTGTATGTGTCATATTAACAATATAACAGAGTCTCCCCTCACAATGATTCATCCTTCTATTTATTTATCAACCATTCTTTTATTCACTCACTCTGTTAGCACTTGCTGAGCATGTACTCTAACAAGGTCGTGGAGTTCCTGGTAACAGGTAGGAATAAAACACAGTCAGCCTAAATACCATTCACTTGTGGAGAAAACAGCTATGTAAAATCAAGATAAAACATCTATAGTGATGTTTTTCCATGGTACAAACCTAATGTATCCAAGACAGACATTTCTCGATTGAAAATAAGGCATGAAATTTGTTGTAAATCTTGATAAAAGCGAAGCTGTAAATCCTATGAAAAGATGATACTCTCAATTTAAAAATCTCTACAATATGTCTTTTAATTTCTTGCTTTTTGGGCAGAATACTTTTGTCTTCTATCTTTAGTTTAGTTAAATACACAGCAAAATACTTCAAATCCTTTTCTCCAACAATGCTTATTCTTTGTCGGATAGTAAATTTTGAGAGGAATTTTGGTCCATATTCTTTCATATCCAGTATCAATAGTAGAACAATAAGTTTTATGAATTGTAGTAAGAGAGGCTTTGAAACAGTATAGCAGAAGTCAGCATCTGAGATCCCTCTTTTTTGCAAGGCAGTGAGAAATATATAGGAAGTAAAAGGAGCTGGTAAAGCTGAGCTATGGAGCTTATAAACAAATGGTCATCATAGGCTAGGTATACTTAGGTGAGGTAAGTGCTTGGAGCAACTGCATTACCTAAGGAACTAAGGAAAACATTTGAGGCAAATAGAGAGGCTCTGAAAATGACTTGAAGCCAATGGGTGTATGAAAGAATTATGTGAAAATATATTGGAAAAATTTTATGATAGAAACTGTCATATGGAAAATGATAGCTTATTTTTATTTTAAAGCTTGATCTAATTTGAGTATTTATGGTTAATAAGTATATTATGTATGTCAATATATGTGTTTCAAATAAAGAAATCTATTTTATAGAAGTAATCATTTTGTTTTATATATTATTGTCAACCATCTTCATTTGAAATAATTGCGCTATACCTAGAGCAATTTAAACTGACAGTCATAGTCAAATGAAGCGGAAAAATGGCTAAAGGAGAATTCAGTATAAAGTAACGTACTTGCAATGCCTGAGTTTTCTCTATAACTCAAATGTCAGCTGTAGCTTTTGAGGCCTGTGAGATTTAGATATGATTGATTCACACACTATTTCCTAAATTATTATAAAAATAAAAACGCATCTCAGAACTTCCCTCCAATTTCTAGTGTGACTTGCAATTGCATTGATTCTGCTGACTTTATCTTCCTTCTGCATCTCTGACTCTTCCTTTATTTCTAACTAGGCATGAAAAATATGAGGCATGTGCCCTTGTCCTTAACCTTACCCAAGAAGTGAAGAACCAAGAATAATGTATGTAAAATGACTTTTAGCAAGAATTGGGACCACATACGGTAAAACATCACATAAAAACACATTTTTAAAAACTTAAAGAACATAACTTCGCCCTTTGAACTGTTTTCTACTATGGAAATCTTACGATTTGGAGCACTTACGGTAGCATCCTGGTTTCTCACCTACTCAAATATCCCCCCCCCCATCTTTATTAAGGATAAGTGAAAAAAATGTATTTATTTATAATATACAGCATAATGTTTTGACATATGCATAATTATGCAATTATTACTCAAGCTAATTAACAGATCATTAACTCACATACTTACCTGTTTTGTGGTGAGAACATTTAGGATCTATTATCTTAGCAGTTTTCAACTATGCAGTACAGTATTATTAGCTATAGTCACCATACCGTAGAATAGATCTCTTGAATTTGTTCCTTCCATCTGAAACTTTGTACCCTTTGACCAATATCTCCCCATTTTCCCTATTTCTCTCCACTGCTAACCCCTGACAAGCATCTTTCTGCTACTCTGTGCTTCTATGATTCATTTTATGTCGATTTCACATATGAGATCATGCAGTATTTGTTTTTCTGTGCCTGGCTTATTTTACTTAGCAAAATGTCTTCAGGTTTGCCATGTTGTTGAGAATATTAAGACTTCCTTCTTGTTTTCAGGCAGAATAGTATTCTATTATATATATACTACACTTTCTTTATTCACTCATTCATTGACAGACACTTAGATTGATTCAATACCTTGGCTATTATGAATTTGCTGTCATAAAGATGGGTGTATAGATAGCTTTTCAACATAGTGATTTAATTCTTTTGGATATATACCTAGAATATATACAAATGGATCATACGGTAGTTCTATTTTTATTCATTTATTTTTAATTTATATATTTATTTATTTATTTATTTATTTTTTATTTATTTATTTATTTATTTTTATTATACTTTAAGTTTTAGGGTACATGTGCACATTGTGCAGGTTAGTTACATATGTATACATGTGCCATGCTGGTGCGCTGCACCCACTAACTCGTCATCTAGCATTAGGTATATCTCCCAATGCTATCCCTCCCCCCTCCCCCCACCCCACCACAGTCCCCAGAGTGTGATATTCCCCTTCCTGTGTCCATGTGATCTCATTGTTCAATTCCCACCTATGAGTGAGAATACACAGTGTTTGGTTTTTTGTTCTTGCGTTAGTTTACTGAGAATGATGATTTCCAATTTCATCCATGTCCCTACAAAGGACATGAACTCATCATTTTTTATGGCTGCATAGTATTCCATGGTGTATATGTGCCACATTTTCTTAATCCACTCTATCATTGTTGGACATTTGGGTTGGTTCCAAGTCTTTGCTATTGTGAATAATGCTGCAATAAACATACGTGTGCATGTGTCTTTATAGCAGCATGATTTATAGTCCTTTGGGTATATACCCAGTAATGGGATGGCTGGGTCAAATGGTATTTCTAGTTCTAGATCCCTGAGGAATCGCCACACTGACTTCCACAATGGTTGAACTAGTTTACAGTCCCACCAACAGTGTAAAAGTGTTCCTATTTCTCCACATCCTCTCCAGCACCTGTTGTTTCCTGACTTTTTAATGATTGCCATTCTAACTGGTATAAGATGGTATCTCATTGTGGTTTTGATTTGCATTTCTCTGATGGCCAGTGATGATGAGCATTTTATATATTTAATTTAACTTAATTTTTTGAGATGGAGTCTTGCTCTGTTTCCCAAGCTGGAGTGCAGTGGTGGGATCTCTGCTCACTGCAAACTTTGCCTCCCGGGTTCAAGCGATACTCCTGCCTCAGCCTTCTGAATAGCTGGGACTACAGGTGTGTGCCACTGCACCGAGGTAATTTTTGTATTTTTAGTAGATATGCGGTTTCACCATGTTGGCCAGGCTGGTCTCAAACTCCTGACCTCGGATGATCTGCCCACCTCGGCTTCCAAAGTGCTGGGATTACAGTTGTGAGCCACCCTGTTTGGCAATATTTTTAATTTATTTAGGAACCTTCACAGTGGTTTTCCTCATGGCTGTCCTAATTTACATTTCCAAAAACAGTGTATAAGGATTCCCTTTTCTGCATATTCTTCTCAACATCTGTTATCCTTTGTCTTTTTTCATAATAGACATTCTAACTGATGTAAGGTATGAGGTGATATCTACTGGTGCGGGCCTGGACTTTAGGTCCACTGGAGCCTAGAGCAGTGGGGACCATCCCCCTGAAGCCTGGAGCTGGTGTGGTGCTAGAGTGGAACTTACTGCCTTGGGGGCTGGTCTGGAGTCCGGGTTTATGGGGCCCAGCTTATATGTACTGGTCTGGAGGCTAGATCCTTGGGTACTGGCATGGGTCTTGGGGCTACAGAGTCTGACCTGGGGGGCCAACTGGCACTGGAAAGTCCTATTTTGCCATTTTATTGATACCACTTCTCACTATCTAAATTCTTTTTTTTTCTTTTTAACTTTCTGTGCTCTTTTCTCCTTTTTCTCTTACAAAACATATACATTTTCTTTTATATGTATAGACTTTTCATTTTCTTTTGGGAGGTTATAATTATAGTATATCTAATGTTGAATCCTAGCCATATTAGCCTGTGCTGTGTAATTTGTAATCTGAGAAATAGATCAGTTACCAAAAATTCCACCAAAGATTAACACTGGTATTACTGTTTTTATTGTTTTGTACTTTTCAAACCAGTCGAACAGACTTTATGCAGTATTATCACAGATAGGACAACAGGAATGAGTTTTCTCACTTTATCAAACTGAAGGGAAGAAAATAGGTGGCTTGTATAACTTCTGGCAACTTGTATGTGAAAAAATCAGGGTAAGGACAATACATTTTTAGCTCTGACAACCCATTCCTATGTCAACAACACTGAAGGCAAAATAGAAGCCCTGAGATGCTCCCCTTGTCAGCCCTAAACCTTATGAAAACATTTGTGAACTGGGATTTCCAAAGCACACATGAATTTGTATGGCAAGCAACTTTACTGAAGAACTAACAGTGAAGCCAGCTTTTTCCCAGATAGGAATGAAGGCTAACCTCATGGAAGCATCAGCTTCTTTTGCCCTGTAAATTTCTCCTCCCCATTCAGACAGATGTCTCCCAGTCTTTGTCCACTGTATCTTATACTTGTTGCTGTGCAGCATATTCTTATATACATACTCAATTATCTTTTCTTATTTTAACTCTGCAGTACAGAATTGTTGGCACAAATATGTCATCCAGGTAATCACAGAAAGTAGCTCTGGCTTCCAGCCTAGGTACACTCCGTCTGTATTCTGCTATGTAGCTCAGGTTCATATCTCCTATTTTACATATGTGAGGCTGGAAAGGTGATTAGTGATCATATATTATGAAAACACTACATGATTTCAAACATAAGTTTCAAATACAAGTGATTATATACCAAGTATCATCCAACAATCACAAAAAAACTCATGGAAAAGTTATAAAAATAGTAGAAAGACTTACCATTGAGCTTCACCAGATTTAAAAAATCTTAGCATTTCAACATGTATGGTTTATCATTCTCACTTTATACTAATGTTAATATGCATTTAAATTTTTTTTCTAAACTATTACGCTGTAATGCACATGTTCCCCTAGGTTGTCACAAGAATATTTCCTAAAAAAGTATCTAATCCAGGATCATAAGGTGGCAGTGTGATGTCTCTTTTTTCTCTTTAATTGGGAACCATTCCTCAGTCTGTCTGTCTCTTCAATGCACCTTATAGTTTTGAAGAGTGCAGGCCGGCCATTTACTTTAACAAAATAATTGTTTTTAACAAATAAGGGGGATTTATTGCTTATAAAACCAAAAAGTTCAGCAGTAGTGTGGGCTTCAGGTATAGCTTGATCAGTGCTCTGGATCAATATCTCTGCAGTTTCCTCAGCTATGTCCTCTTCCATGTATTGGATTTGTCATCAAGTTGATTCCCCTCACAATCACGAAACATTGTCAGCAATAATCAGGCCTATATGCTTCCTTGTTCACATTCAAGAGGTTGAATATCATCCTATAATCAATGAACAAAAATGGCTCTTTATACAGAGCTTCATACTGACGCATAAGTTGTCTGCACATTCCTGGCAACATGTTTGGGACAAGGGGCGAAAATGCAATGATTGGCTGAGATTAATTGGGGGCCACTTCTGAAGCCAGGTTTTCAGTGAAAGGGCCATATATGCAAAGCCATCTCTCAAATGCACAAAGAGCAGATAAATCAAAGAAGGAGGCAGACAAATCTAGCTTGTTGGTTTGGGGTGATTTACTAAAGGAATTTACAGACATATATGTTGTCTTGGGTGGCCACAACATAGTTAGATTTTGCACTGCAGTCCTCCAGATCTAGGGCTTATCTTTTGAGGAAAGTATACTTGCTCTGAAAGAAACATGTAGGTAGCTACAGGTGCCATGGACTATGCTTCCTACAACAGCGTCAAGGGTTGTTTTGGAGGAAACTTACAGTGAATACATGTTCCTACATAAAGAGTAATATATCAACTTAACATCTTATAGGGACTCAGGGTTATTCAGAAGTTACACGGCAGATTAGCATTTAAAATAAAGTCACTCTTGCTCCTGCACTGGGGGTGGGGTTAATTTCATCCAAAGCACATGCTACACAGTGTAGGTGAGATGGGATAACTATTGGGAGGCAACAGTAATATCATAGTCTCTATTGTCTGCATGAGAAAACTGACCACAACAGAGCTAGTAAGTGATGAAGCTTGGATTCAAATGTGGGCTTTCTAACTTCATAGTTTGTTCTTAATCACTAGGCAATTGTTCCTCCCTATAGACATCTGAACTCTTTAAAACAAGAAGGTGAGGATTCAGTATGTACATTTCTTGGCTCTTTGCAACTTGTCATGGGAAGGTCTTCATTTTCTCCTATTCTTTGTTTTAACACCTAATATTTGAACCACACTGAATTTATCTTACTCTCTTACTGTCCTGAGGATGTTCACAAGAACTTTTCCTTCAAGGTTAAAATGTGTCACTTATACCTCAACCAAACATTTCATATTTGCAGCAATTATGCTTATTCACATAAGGTTGTAAATTCCTCAAGGCTCAACCAATGGCTGAGAAGTGTTTTGGGCCACTGTACCTTTAACAGGCCATTGGTGCATGAAGAACATCAGCGACAATGTCATTCTCCTAGACCACTGGGCAGTATCTGCCATATGTAGGCCAGTCGTTATTTTTTATTACCATTATTACTAATTTTTACTATTATTACTATAGTGGTTTCCAAATAATGATTCTTAAAGTTCCATCATTCCTTCTAAACTTATTAGTTTGTGTGGTAGGCTAAATACTTCCTCTCCTTGTCGCAAATGATCACACCCTAACCTCTGGGACTTGTTATTATATGTTACTTTACATGGCAAAAGGATTTTTATAGATGTGATTAAATTCAGAACCTTGAGTTGGGATTATTATCCTGAATTAGCCAGGTGGGCTGACATAGTCATATGTGTTCATATAAGAGGGAGGCCAGAGGTCAGAGAGAAGATAGTCTGCTGCTGACTTTAAAGAAACAGGAATGGGCCATGAGCCAAGGAAAACAGGTTGCTTCTAGAAGCTGGAGTAGTTGAGAAAACAGATTCTCTCTGAAAGCCTACAGAAGAAATGCAGCCCTGTAGACCCAATTTAGTATTCCTATCTCCAGATACATGATATTTTTGTTATTTTAAACACCAAATTTGTAGTAATTTGTTATAGCAACAATGGAAAACTAATAGAGTTGGCATTCTATATGAAGGAATAGCTTTCCTTTTTCCTGTGTGTGTGTGTGTGTGTACGTGTGGGTATCAGGTATTATTTATCTATGTGTCTACCTATATATCATAATATGGTCTTATGCATTATTATTTCATTCTGTCATTATTTTGATGCTGAAATGGTCACTGTTTTGGCTAGAGAGGACCCCTTCCAGTTGGCTCATATATCTTTTTTATATGTCTCCATACTTCTTAAGGCCAAGATGGGCAGATCACAAGGTCAGGAGGTCCACACCATCCTGGCTAACACGGTGAAACCCCATCTCTATTAAAAATACAAAAAAATTAGCTGGGCGTGTTGGCGGGCGCCTGTAGTCCCAGCTACTCGGGAGGCTAAGGCAGGAGAATGGTGTGAACCCGGGAGGCGGAGCTCGGTGCCACTGCACTCCAGCCTGGGCAACAGAGCGAGACTCCGTCTCAAAAAAAAAAAAAAGAATTTCTTACTGTTGGCAAACTGAGACGATCTTAACATATCTGACACTTTTCTTTGGGAGGAATAGATAACTTTGTTTATCTTAGGTCAAATGACAAAAACTTTGAATAAAGTACTGGGGTTTCCTAATGAACAATTCACTAGAAATGCATGGAATAGATAACACCAAGGCATGGTAATATTGTTGACAAATATTTATTTAGTTATAACATCACATTTCTTTACCCACTCAGGAAATGGAAAGTTTTTGTATTGTGCTTGAGAGTGAGGCAATGGTGAAGAACAGTGACTGGCTATGGGTTTGGGGAGTCATTTGGCAGGAGTGTAAATCCTTGAAATTTGAAAATCTTTCAAATTATCTTGATTCTCCTCAACAAAATACTAGCAAACCAAATCGAACAGCACATAAAAACCTAATTTCTTAGCTTTTTGATGAAATAGCTGTTTCCTCACCTTTTCTATCGTCTAGAGGTAACCTACATTCCTTGGCTCATGGCCCATTCCTCTATATTTAAAGTCAGCAGTGGAGTATCTTCCCTTTGACTTCTGGCCTCCCTCTTATATGGACACGTGTGATTGTGTCAGCTCACTTGCCTAATCCAGGATAATATCCCCATCTCAAGATTCTGAATTTCATCACATCTATAAAGTCCTTTTGCCATGTAAAGTAACGTATAATCACAGGCTCCACAGATTAGGGTGTGATCATTTGCATCCCAGGGAAAAAGCCTACCATGATCCCTTGTGTCCCAGGGATAAAGCCCACGATGATCAAGTAGGCTTTATCCCTGATAGGAAAGGTTGGTTCAACATATGCAAATCAATACATGTGATTCATCACATAAACAGAAATGAAAACAAAAACCACATGATTATCTCAATACACGCAGAAAAGGCTTTCAATAAAATTCAACATCCCTTCATGTTAAAAACCCTCAATTAACTAGGCATTGAAGGAACATACTTCAAAACAATAAGAGCAATCTGTAAAAAACCCACAGCCAACATCATACTGAATGGGCAAAAGCTGGAAGCATTCCCCTTGAAAACTGGCACAAGACATGGATGCCCTCTCTCACCACTCCTATTCAACATAGTACTGGAAGTCCTGGCCAGAGCAATCAGGCAAGAGAAAGAAATGAAAGGCATCCAAATAGAAAGAGAAGAAGTTAAACTATTCTTGGTAGCAAAAGACATGATTCTGTATAAAGAAAACCCCATAATCTTGGTCCAAAAGCTCCTTGATCTGATAAACAACTTTAGATAAGTTTCAGGATATAAAATAAATGTACAAAAATTTAGCATTCCCATACATCAACAACATCTAAGCTGAGGCCTAAATCAGGAATGCAATCCCATTCACAACTGCCACAAAAAGAATAAAATACCTAGAAATACTGCTAACCTAAAAGGTAAAACATCTCTACAATGACAATTACAAAACACTGCTAAAAGAAATCAGAAGTGACACAAGGAAATGGAAAAAACATCCCATGCTGATGGATACTAAGAATCAGTATCATTACAATGACCATACCGTCCAAAGCAATTTATAGATTCAATGCAATTTGCTATCAAACTACCAATGACATTGTTCACAGCATTAGAAAAAAACTATTTTAGAATTTGTATGGAATTAAAAAAGAGCCCTAATAGCCAAGGCAATCCTAAGAAAAAAGAACAAAGTTAGAGGCATCACCTTACTCAAATGATACCAGAGAGCTACAGTATCCAGAACAGCATGATACCGGTACAAAAACAGATATATACACCAATGGAATAGAATAGAGAACCCAGAAATAATGCCACACATCTACAAATATCTGATCTTCAACAAAGCTGACAAAAACAAGCAATGGGGAAAGGACTCCCCATTTTATAAAGGGTGCTGAGATAAGTGACTAGCTCCATGCAGAAGATTGAGACTGGATGCCAAACTTGCACCACATACAAAAATCAACTCAAGATGAATTAAAGACTTAAATGTAAAAATGAAAACTGTTAATATAAAAACTCTGAAGATAACCTAGGAAATATCATTCTGGACATAGGACTTGGCCAAGATTTCATGCCGAAGATGCCAAAAGCAATTGCAACAAAAACAAAAATTGACAAATGAGGCCTATTTAAACTAAAGAACTTCTCACAGTAAAAGAAACTATCAACAGTGGAAACAGACAGTCTACAAAATGAGAGAAAATATCTGCATACAATGCATTTGACAAAGGTCTAATATCTGGCATCTAGAAAGAACTTAAACAAATTTATAAGAAAGAAACAATGCCGTTTAAAAGTCAGCAAAAGACATAAACAGACACTTTCCAAAAGAAGATACACATGCGGCCAAGCATATGAAAAAATGCTCAATATCATTAATCATTAGAGAAATGCAAATCAAAACCGCAATGAGATACCATCTCGTACCAGGTGGAATGGCTATTATCAAAAAGTCAAATTATTAATAACAGATACATCAAGGCTATGGAGAAAAGGGAATGCTTATACACTGCTGGTGGGAATGTAAATTACCTTAGCTATTGTGGAAAATGGTGTAATGATTCCTCCAAGAACTTAAAACAGAACTACTCTTCCACCAAGCAATCCCATTAGCGGGTATATACCCAAAGGAATATAAATCATTCTACCATAAAGACATATGCACGAGTATGTTCATTGCAGCACTGTTCACAACAGCAAATACATGAAATCAACCTAAATGCCCATCAACAGTAGATTGGGTAAAGAAAATGTGGTACATAGACCCCATGGAATACTATGCAGTCATAAAAAGAATGAGGTCATTTCCTTTGCAGCACCATGGATGGAGCTGCAGGCCATCATCCTAAGCAAACTAAATGGAAAAGAGCCAAATACCACATGTTCTCACTTATAAGTGGGAGCTAAACATAAGAACACATGGATACTAGAAGGTGAACCACATGCACTGGGGTCTACTTGACGGTGGAGGGTGGGAGGAGGAAGAAGATCAGAAAAAATACCTATTGAGTACTATGCTTATTACCTGGATGATGAAATTATCTGTACTCCAAACCCCTGTGATGCGCAGTTTACCTGTATAACAAACCTGCACATATACCCATGAACCTAAAATAAAAGTTAAAAAAACCTAAACCCCAAATTACCTTCAACCTTCATGAGTTTTTACATTTGAAAGTTAAATCGATAACTTAATGACAATAATTCAACTCTCTCATGCTTATCCCCCTCATCTAACCCAAAACAAAACAAGATTGGATACTGAGGTGAGGAACCTTTGAATTTTTAAATAGTATTAGGTCTAGCAGAACCTCAGAAAGACACGTTTACATTAAGAGGACTTTGACTATTGATATGGGCATGTAAGTTCTTTACTGCCACGTTCCTAGTAATTCCTGAATTGCACATGTATGAAATGACATTAATTCTCTCATACTTTAGGGTTGCTTGTCAGTGCCTAGAAGGAATACAGTCTCTGTGGCCAGTCTTCCTGGATCAACAAGAGCCTTGTAGTTTCCCATTTTTCATGTGCTAATAGTGAAAATGTTTAGAAAGCCCCATCTATCCTCCCACATTGGCATCCCACTGATGTGCTGTCCTGGTTGCTAGGTGCAGATTTAGGTTCCAAGCAGAACACTGCTAGTGTTCTCTGCAGTTTGTTGTAGAATCATAGTGTCTTGGCAACCAAAGGCAGATCTGGTGCTATGGAGGACCTGCTTACTGCTATGAGGTGTTACTTTATAGAGGTCCTGGAGAAGCTGATTGAGGCCACGTCAATGTTGCAAGGAGACATGAGACTCACATCAGAGTTCTATGGCTTAACATGGGGGATGGTGGTAAGTGCGGCTCTATTTGGATTTTGTAATTATAAAAGCCCACTTTATGTAGAGAGAAAAAAAAGAGTTTACCAGAGAAGTTTCTTCTGTAGTTGAAGACAAATGTAATGTTTTAATAAATTAGGCTGATTAAAAAAGAATATGAGTTTGGCGTGCTGGCTCATGCCTGTAATCCCAGAACTTTGGGAGGCAGAGGCGGGTGGATCACCTGAGGTCAGGAGTTTGAGACCAGCCTGGCCAACACGGTGAAACCCCATCTTTACTAAAAATACAAAAAATTAGCCGGGCTTGGGGGTGTGTTCCTGTAATCCCAGCTACTTGGGAGGTGAGGCAGGAGAATCGCTTGAACTTGGAGGCAGAAGTTGCAGTGAGCCGAGATAGTGCAATTGCACTCCAGCCTGGGCAACAAGAGCAAAACTTTGCCTCTTGAAAAAAAAAAAAAAGTGTATGAAAAGGTAAATTATTTTTCATGGAGTCCTGCCCTGAGAACAAGGCATCAAATCCTCTAAGTGTATAGGAAATTTGAGTTCAAAATAGATGCTTTGAAAAAAATAAAGAAAATGTTTTTGAAAAATGCAAATTTTAACAGATTTAGGGTATAGAAGTGCAGTTGTGTTCCATGGATATATTTACATAGTGAAGTCTGAGATTTCAGTGTATCCATCATCCAAATAGGATACATTGTCCTCAATAGGTAGTCTTTCATCCCTCAACCCTTTCCCAACTTCCCACCTTTTGGAGTCTCCAATGTCATTATTTCATTCTGTATCCACATGTACCCATTGTTTAGCTCCCACTTATAATTGATAATATCTAGCATTTGGCTTTCTGTTTTTGAGTTATTTCACTTAAGCCAATGGCCTCCAGTTCCATCCAAGTTGTTATAAAAGACATGACTTCAGTCTTTTTATGGGGAAGTAGTATCACATTTTAGAAATCCAATAGTCCATTGATGGACACTCAGGTTGATTCTATTACTTTGCTATTGTGAATAGTGCTGCGATATACATAGACATGCAGGTTTCTTTCTGATATAATGATTTACCTTTAGGTTGATATCCAATAATGGGATTGCTGGGTCAAATGGTAGTTCCATTTTTAGTTCTTTGAAAAGTCTCCATACTGTTTTCCACAGGGCTTGTACTAATTTACATTCCCACCAACAGTGTATGTATTCTTTTTTTCTCTATACCCTTGGCAAAATTTGTTTTTTTTTTTTGTCTTGATTTTTTTAATCATGGCCATTTTGAATGGCATAAGGTAATATCTCATTGTGGTTTTAACTTGCAATTCTCTTATGATTAACATTTGTTCATATGTTTATTGGCCATTTATATGTGATCTTTGGAAAAAAAAAGAACATCTTAAAGTTCAGAATGGGGCCAGGTGCAGTGGCTCATGTTTGTAATCCCAGCACTTTGGGAGGCCGAGACAGGTGGATCACAAGGTCAGGAGTTCAAGACCATCCTGGCTAACACGGTGAAACCCCGTCTCTACTAAAAATAGAAAAAATTAGCCGGGCGTGGTGGGGGGTGCCTGTAGTCCCAGCTACTCGGCAGGCTGAGGCAGGAGAATCGCTTGAACCTGGGAGGCAGAGGTTGCAGTGAGCCGAGATTGCATCACTGCACTCCAGCCTGGGTGACAGAGCGAGACTCCGTCTAAGAAAACAAAACAAAACAAAACAAAACAAAAAACTTCAGAATGTATTACATTCATGGCTAGGTTTAGAATATGGGTTGAGTCACTGGAAGATGTGTTGAATGAAGTCTTTTAAATAGTGAGAACCTGATGCCAAAATGACCTTAAAACTATGTCAAAAGAGAAAAACCCCACTTAAGACAGCAATAAAATAGGGTTTGGATGAGCATTTCAATCTTGAGGAAAACCTAACCTGTTTGCAAAATAAGCCTAAGGATTGGATGACAAGTTTACCACTGGGCAAAAAGATATTTATATCCTTGGATTAAGTGCTAAATGATAAGAAATCAAACCAAATATTTGAGTGAACAATTGATGAATATTCACTACTATACTTGGAGAAGATAAAATGGATGTTGGGACTTAGAACTAGATCAAATCAGAATGAGTATCGATCAATGTTCAGTCAAAGGGGGTTGGAGGAAATTTGTTTATGCTTCTTAAAACGCTTTTTTTTTTCTTTTTTGAGACGGAGTCTTGCTCTGTTGCCCAGGATGGAGTGCAGTGGTGCCATCTCGACTACTGCAACCCCCATCTCCCGGTTTCAAGTGGTTCTCCTACCTCAGCATCCTGAGTAGCTGGGATTACAGGCATGCACCACCACTTCTGGCTAACTTTTGTATTTTTAGTAGAGACAGGGTTTCACCATGTTGCCAAGGCTGGTCTCGAATTCCTGACCTCAAGTAATCCTCCCAATTTGGCCTCCCAAAGTGCTGGGATTACAGGCATAAGCCACCGTGCCTGGCCTCTTAAAAGACTCTTCACGGACAGAGAAATAAAATATAAATTAGGTTATATGAAAAACATTGAATCGTGAAGCCTTTAAAAATCACACTGAACATATTCAGCATGAATTAAGCATTTTTCTAGCACGAAAATGTAGCTTGAAAGTAAGTAAGGTTCAGAACATTTAGCCAAATGTTTAAGTAATTTCTAAACTGTATTGAGAAAATGGAATAGTTTCATGGATTATATGTATTAGAAAAAGTTAATTAGAAAGTTTTCAAATACACATTAAGTGATAGATACAGAAAAAAAAAACAAAATTCTTAGAGAAAAAATGAAAAAACTGACCTGTTCTTATCAAAGACATGATTTCCCATATTTAAAAAAGCTTGTAATAATTGATTTACAATTAAGTTGACTGAAGAAAATCTCACTGATTTAAGAAAATCTATATGAAAGTCCAGATGCCAGTATTTTTTCCTATAAAAATCTTCATAGTCAATATTAAGGCTTTGTAAATTGAGATACAAAATTGAAGTATTATGAAAGTACTCATGTAACAAGATTGAAAATAAATTCTCACAAATTCCTTTGTCACTAAAACAAAAGCACTGAAAATTTATGCTAGCAAGAATGCAAAGTGAGGGAAACTCTCTTTGATTGCTGGAAGAAATGCAAAGTGGTGCAACTAATTTGACCATTTGGCAATTTTTATAAAGTTTAATATAGTCTTGCCATATGACTTAACAATCACATTCCTAAGTATTTACACCAGTGAATTAAATCTTATGTCCATGTAAAAATTTGCATGCAAGTATTTATATCAGTGTTATTCATAATTACTCAAAACTGTAAGCAACCCATGCCCTTCAATAGGGGAAAAATAATCTTGGGTATTTCCATACAATGATCTATGATTTTGTGGAAATTGATTGATGAATGAATACTATTGATCAAAGGGATGGAATGAGCTACTGATACATGCAACAACATGAATATTTGTTAAGTGTATTTCACTAAATGAATGAAGCCAGACTTCAAAGTCTGAATATTGTATGAGTTCATTCATAAGACATCTGGAAAAAGAAAACCTGTTGGGATGGAAACACACCAGTGTTATCCAGGGCTTAGTGTAGGGGAGATTAGTTGATTACAAAGAATACACGCAGGGGACATTTTAAATGATAGAGTTGTCTTGTATGGTGCTGCACTAGTAATATGCAAGTCTATGATTTATTAATCCCCAAGAAGTGTATCACAAAATTGCACTCAAATGCATGCAAATAAACAAGCAAAAGTTTCACCAAGATGCAGGAAGATCCTAGAATGGTATGCAGACAGTGACAAATCAATCTCACATTATATAAATGTGTAAGCTAACGACCCTGAAAAGGGTAGAGAAGAAGTAAATACTGACTTTGGTTATTTTGAGAAATAATATTTTGATTAAAAAATGTCAGGCTAAAGAGAAAAGTAACTGTGCATAAGTACTGTATTCTAAATGGTAATTTTTTTCTCATGTGGGTACAGCTAATTTTGTAATTGCTTCACAAGCATACTAGTGTTGAACAAAAATGTTAAAAGATGAACAGTGGCATCCAGGTTTCTCACTGTTGGTATGAGAAGTTATAGGTAAACAAGAAAGGAAGGCCAGAATGATCATGAGGGACTGTGCTAGAGTCAGAGTTACACTGTGACATCATGTTTAAACACAAGCACGAATACACACGGACACACACATAGATGGACAAATATAGAAGCAATGACAGATATGTGTGTATTCAGGGCTTACTGTGTGAACACACATTACCTAGCCCTTTCTGCTGAAATAATCTAGAAACAAAGTTACCCTCACAGCAGTGTGTGCATGTCTGCCATGTCCAGTGAAAAGAACCAGAGATCCTTGGGGAAATGTCTGATTCTAAGATATTTCTAAGGCTGGTGAAAAAATATATAAGATAAGCCTGGAGGAGAAGGACCAGTAATACCAGAAATCAAGGAGGGGCCTTGAAGAGAAAAGGATAGCAAAAGGATGAAGACCTGTCCAAGACCCAGCAGCCAGCATGAAAGAGCTCTCAATGGGGAAAGCTGGAACAATTTCAACAACAAAATAAATAACATATCACTGGATTATAATCTGAAGTATAAAAAGTATGAGTCCATACTGTTAAATGATTGAATAAATACATAAATGGAGAAGAAGAGAGAAATCTTCCTTACTGATCTATTAATAGTCTCCACTTTTGGGGGTGGAGCTCGTGATCTCCTTCATTAAGTATAGGCTGGATTCAGTGACTGTCTTCCAAGGAATAGAGTATGGAAAGGTAACAATTGTAAGTTTAAGTTTTATTTAGTGCAAACACTACCTTAAGCAAGTGATTAAAGTCAGCACCATCAGTAATGCCATGTAGATATTATGTAACCCCTGCTCTGATGGGATAAAAAGGGCACTTTACCTCTGTGGTCACCTCTTCAAAAATTCAAAGGCCCAGTGTAATTGATGGCAGCTGTGGCCTGTGTGCAGTGGCTGCTGCCATGACGTTGGCTGCAGTGGGAGAGGTGCGGGTGGGGCTGTGCACTCGATGGAGCCCGAAGGAGCTGGGAACAGGCAAAAGCCCCCACCCCTTATGAGTTGGCAGGCAGGTGCCTTGTGCTCCCCAGGCTCAGTTGCAGCTGCCCAGCTGTGGCTGCAGACCCGGGTATCCCTGTGCTCTTGGGGTCCGGGAGCAGGCAGAAACCTCACCCTCCCGGGTGCAGCTGCAGCTGCTCAAGATGTGGCTACAAACCTGGGCATCCCTGTTCTCTTGGGTGCCAGGAGCCCTGCCCTTCTGGGTGCAGTTGCAGGTGCGCAAGCTGTGGCTGTGGATCTGGGCATCTCCACACTTTTGGGGACCCGGGAAAGAACCCTTGCCCCCGTGCAGACTCGGAGGTGCCTGCTCCTGCTGCCTGGCCTCTGCCTGCTCCTGGCACCAGCTCTGATCTCGGAGCGGAGTTGAGGCTGAGCCCTGGGGCTTTTGCAACCTGGCCTGGTGTGTGCATGCTTGGGGCATTGCTGACACACCAGCATCCTGCTGCCTGAGCCCCGCTCTGGACTTTGGGCACCAGTAAGCAAGGAAGGGAGGCTGGGGAGGTGCTGAAGGCAGCTTGGCCCTGGCCTGCAGGTGACCCTCGGCAGGAACAGCCTGGGTGCCATGAACAGTGGCAGGAGGCAGACAGGCTCCTGGACAGAGAGGGATGGGTCCCCAGTGAGGCCCCACCTTCAACCCAGGGAAGGCTTGAAGCCTGAGAGCCGGGCTGCCAGCCTCGCAGACTGGAGTGGGAATTTATGATGCTTTTTCTGGGCCTGCACATGGTTGCCCAAGGGCCAATCAGCACCTACTTCCTCTCCTCTGAAGCCCATAAAAACTCCCGGACTCAGCCAGATTGAAAAAGATGACAAGACAACCAGCTGCAGAGAGGAGGTACCCACCCTAGGGTCTCCTCTCTGCTGAGAGCTGAAAAGGCAATGGTACGGCCAGCTGTGAAAGGAGCTATCCACCTCAGGGTCTCCTCTCTGCTGAGAGTTGAACACTGGTCAGGACACCCTGGCTGTGGAGAGGAGCTACCCTCTATGTGTCTCCTCTGAGCTGTTCTGTTGCTCAGAAAAGCTCCTTTTCACCTAACTCACCCTCCACTTTCTGCATATCTCATTCTTCCTGGGTGCAGGACAAGAACTTGGGACCCACCGAATGGCATGGCTGAAAGAGCAGTCACACAAACAGGGCTAAAACATACCCTTTCCTCACTCACCACATTGCAGGCGACAAAAAGGAGTGAAGAACTGCTGCCCTTCGGGGAGCCCAGACCTAAGAGCTCCCTGAGTCAGGGCTGTGACAGCCTCTTTGGCTCTGTGGTTCCTGGTGTCTCTTAGCTTCTGGGCACCACTGCATTCTGCAGCATCAGCCATGGAAGCTGCTTGCAGTACACCTGCTCCAGCTGCAGCCTTGCAGGGAGCTGGTGCCTGTGTTGGTGCCTGGAACTGCCTGCCCTGCCACAGCAAGCATGCCTGGCTGTGTGCAGTAGGTGGACCCCACACTTTCTCGCTCATACACGCCTCGCTGCTCTGCTTGCCCTTGGCAGGTATGGGATCCAGGCTGGTATTGTGAGCTGAGCACAGCCTGCTAGGCTGAGTGGGCCAGTGGGCCTGAGGAAAACTTGGGCATAGGTGCCACTAGGGACAGAGGTTTTCGCTGGTGAAGTGATACCCGAAGGATCCCATAACATAATCATGAGAAAACATCGGACAAACCATGATTGAAGTGCATTTTATAACATACCTGAGCAGTACTCAAAATTATCAATATCAAGAAAAACAAGGAAACAGATTCAGGAAACTGAAACATGACAACTAAATGCAATGGGGTGTTCTGGATTGAATTTTGCAACAAAAAAAGAACATTAAAGAAAATCCTGCTGAAATCCAAAGATAGTCTGGAGTTTCAGTGATAGTAACATACCAATGTTAGTTTCCTAATTTTGAAAAATAAACCAGAGAAATGTAACATTAAGGGAAAGTGAAACTGGGTAAGGGGTATTTGGGAATTCTCCATGCCATCTTTGCAACTTTTCTGTAAAGCTAAAATTATGTCAAAATAAAGCATGTATGAAAAATGTATTACACAGATGGGAAGGAACAAGATGTCCAACTAGATGCAGCCAGGAAGCACCGCTTTCACTGAGAGAGACCAAATTATCGAGTAAATCAACATAAATTGGACAGATCTTAGGAAAGAAAATGCTGAGCGTGAAGAGGCAAAGCTAAAGCTGAGGCTGTAGAGACAGAAAGCTGGGGACCCTGCTGTTGGGATGGCTTCTGGGAAATTGGCGAATGAGGGAACTGAGGGAATGCTCACTCTTGTCATGGACCTCTGGGATCCTAGCTACAAGAGACTGAATGCCCCCCATAAAGGTGTTAGCTGACAGGGGGATCTCCCTGGCGAAGGTTAACACCGCTTCCTCAACCCCTTCACACACAGACACTTACAGATCACGTAAATGGAAACTCTTCAGGGGATGAGGGAGAATGCAACTCTCTGAGTGTCTTGGTATCAGCAACAGCACAGGTTAGTAATAAGCCCTGAGGCAGGGAAAGTGATCTCATATCAGGAGTAATTGAATGTGAATCATGGGGAAAATTGAGAGATGTATTGGGATCAAGTGGTACTTCAGTTTTCCCCTTAGCCAAAATACATCCCAGAACTTTCTAAATCAACTAGTGCAATGAACTATACTGAATTTTTATTCATGACTTCATTACACTACTAAAAGATAAAGTCTCTACTCCGGCTTCTAGGTTAATAGTAGCAAAGTATAATATGCCTATTTAAAATGGTCCTATTACCTAAAAAAGTTGATCTCATGGAAGTAGAGAGTAGAAGAGTGGTTACTAGAGGAGCTGGATAGGGTAGGGTGAAGAGGGGAATGAGGAGAGTATGATCAATAGGTACAAAGTTAGAGTTAGCATGAATAAGTTGTAGTGTTTCACTGTACCATAGCGTGACTGTTGTTAACAATAATATACCGTATATTTCAAAATAGGTAGAAAAGAGGATTTTGAATGATCTCGTCACAAAGAATTGATAAATGTTCAAGGAGATGAATATGCTAATTACCCTAATTTGGTCTCTATACATTGTATATCTATATCAAAACATCATATCTCATAAGCATGTACAATTATATGTGAACTAAAAGGAAAATGGAACTAAATAAAGTAAAATAAAATGGTCCTGCAACATTTTAGCCAGAAAGAAAGGAAAACATATTTTAGGCAGAAGGACAGTGGAAAAGAGAAGACAATATTTGATGTTTAATTTTCACAGTTAATGCAAAACAAAAGCGATAGAACAAAAGTTTATGCCATTTTCACCAATAGAACCATTTTGGAATAGGATCATAAAAAATCAGGTTATAAATTACTGCTAATAATAGCTGACAATTGACTACAGCCAAATAATGAGTTCAAAAGCATTTTATCATGTTCCATTTTCAGATTTTTTAGATAGTAATTAAAACAATGAATAATTTAGTAGCAACTTTATGTTAAAGGCATAGTTAAATGCATAGATAGAACTATTCACAGGAGTTTCACAGACAATAGACCATGTGTCAGTCCTTTATTATAAATATTTTAAAAGGAATGCATCTCAAATTTTTTCCTTCAGCCATAAAATCTTTGTTTCAAGTGAGATGTTTGTTAAAGTACTTGGTATACCGACTGTCATTTAAAAATCTAAAGACATTTTTTTCAGATAGTTTTCTCAAATAGAAAAGACAACCTGGCCATTTCTTGCCAATTATGAATTTTAAAATACAGTCTTAATTATAATATGATATAATGTTCATACTAAGAATTGTGCTCATGCAAATTGAACGTATTAATCAGAAAATAATTTATGTTAACATATTCCTTAGTTCATATAGAAAAGCCACATAATACCTATATACTAACAAAGCTATTGATGTACATAGATGACCAGTCAAAATTACTTATTAATAGCCTTATAATGTGACTTGTCAGATGTGCCCATTTGCCTAAGAGTCACATAGTGAATTCAGATTCAGTCATTAGTTGGTACTCTTTCTAGCAAAATAGCTTCTATGGATTCAAGAAAGAAATGATTAGAGGATTTGCTGCACTTAAGAATTTGAGATCTGAGATAATGAATCCCCTGAGATAGAAGAAGATGATGTCCCCATGGTGCAGTTAACTCTACTGTTTGCTCAGTGGAAGGATATTGGAATCATAGCAAGGGGAGAAATTCCAGAAGCAAATTTTAAAGCAGTTTCTCTGCAAAAACATTTGAATCCTCTCTATTGCCCACTGAGCCCTGCCTCCTCACTATCCTAATGCAGACAGCATATCACATATCACATATATTAAAACAACCTTAAGTTGGACACTTATCAGTGTTTCTTATAAATACTATTATTTTACTTTGAAGAGTTTTTCTGGGGAAAGGGGATTACAGACTCTAAGACTTAGAAGTGTCTGCAGAAACTACTGTTGTCCACTTCCCAATATTAATTCTTGTTAAAATGTATATTATATATCATACTAAGTATGGTATGCATAAACCCTTTATCTTAATATAACATCATGTTAAATTGTTGGATATCTTTAATGTCTCCAAAAAAGAAATGCTAAAATTTCATTTAGATTTATCCTTTATAAATAAAATTTTTGATAACAATTAATTCTCTTTTTGCAAGTAATGTCTTTTTTTTTTTTTTTTTTTTTTGAGATGGGAGTCTCACTCTGTTGCCCAGGCTGGAGTGCAGTGGCACAATCTCCACTCACTTTAACCTGTGCCTCCCAGGTTGAAACCATTCTTGTGCCTTAGCCTCTCAAGTAGCTGGGACCACAGGCACATGCCAACACACCTGGCTAATTTTTATAATTTTAGTAGAGATGGGGTTTCACCATGTTGGCCAAGCTGGTCTTGAACTCCTGACCTCAGGTGGTCTGCTCATTTTGGCCTCCAAAAATTCTGGGATTATAGGCGTGGGCCACTGCTCCCGGCCAACTGATGTCTATTTCTTCTTGTAGATAATTAGTAACATCTTCCGCGGAATTTGACTTCAGTTTTTCTAGAGTCCTTTTAACTTCTGTTTCAAAAACTACTTTCCTTGATATTAAAGTCGTTGAAATAATCTACACCTTCTGCTCAATCCTGCAGACTTAAAACATCATCACCACTGTCTTTGGCTCATCTCTTTCCCAGAGGACACACATTTAACAAAATTTCCAAGTTAACCTCCTATGTTAATCTCTCACACTTCCCCCATCTTTTTCATTTTTACTTCTCTTATCCTACTAGAGAGCCTCATTATCTATTGCAAAGATTGTTGCAGTACATTTAACTAATTTCCTATGTTTTTGTACTCCAAGTGGTTTTTTACTTTGCTAAATGTAGTCATAAAATAAAGGTCTTACATTGTCTCAGGGTTTAAAATCCTTCAAGTTCTCATCTCCTATAGAAACACACATTCTTTAATATCAGCCTTGGTTCTGGTTCCTGGTTCTCATTCAACATAGATCCTCCTTTCAGTCTCCCATATTGCCCCATGGAATTTCAGATGGAAACATTGAATTCTTCATGATTTTGAATGTATAATTTTAAATTTCCATCATTTTTGCAAGTAGTTTGTTATAAGGTGGAAAAAGCATGAATTTTTGGTAATTGAAAGCTTTCAAATTCTAGTTCTGACGTACACTATGCAAGCTCAAGAATTAGTGAACCACATTTTCATTATCTATCAAATGTGGCTGATACATACCTTAAAGGGTTATTGAAAGATTAAATAAGACCATACATACAATATGTTTAACACTTTTACTAGCTCATGGCAGCTTTTCAATAGTTGTGAGTTCTCCTTTTTAACATGACTTTTTGATTATGATTATGATATTTCCTCAGCCAGTGATGTATTACTATATACTCCTATTAAATATTACAATTTTTATTTGCCTTTTGAAAATATTTTTAATTCTTCTTTGAGTACTTTAATTAGTCTTCTTTTTTCATTCCAAAGGCACATTCTTTTTTTTTTTTTTTTTGCTTCTGTGTCTATATTATTATTATTTTTATTATACTTTAAGTTCTAGGGTACACTTGCACAAAGTGCAGGTTTGTTACATAGGTATACATGTGCCATGTTGGTTTGTTGCACCCATTAACTCATCATTTACATTAGGTATTTCTCCTAGTGTTATCCCTCCCCCTGCCCCCCAACCCATGACAGGCACCCGTGTGTGATGTTCCTCGCCCTGTGTCCAAGTGTTTTCATTGTTCAATTCCCACCTATGAGTGAGAACATGTGGTGTTTGGTTTTCTGTCCTTGTGATAGTTTGCTCAGAATGATGGTTTCCAGCTTCATCTATGTCCCTGCAAAGGACATGAACTCATCCCAAAGGCACATTCTTGAAGGTGCATGTTAGCACTTCTTGCCTTGCAGTTATTATGCTATGCAGATCTTAGGACATCTCTAATATGGAGAAAGCCACTGTTAAACCTTCTTGAGTTCTACCTTAAATATTTTTCCAAATACATTTTTAGTGACTTTAAATCTAGGGTTAAAATGCTTTGTTTTCTTCCATTTGTTATTTAGGAAAGGCCTACTTGCTTGGGGAAATAAGAACTTTAGATCACTTTCCTTGAAAGGCAATCTCAGAATTGCTCATGCTTTACACAAAAGGTAGAGCACGCTTTCTCTTTCAAGTATAATGCGTCCCTTCTCTTCTACAGAATTTTTCAAAAGTTGACTGAAGTATCCTTCATGCTGTAGCATACTGAGCAGTATATATTCCCTGGAAATGCAAAGTCCAAATAAAACCTTTCTGTGGGTTTTCCAGTCCACTGTTCTGAGTATTCTTTATTCTGAGATTTTTGCATATAATTCTTAGGAAATCCTGATTTTTCACTGTGTCTAGATTTCACTCATGCCTCTGAAATGAATGTTTTTTACAGGACTTGAAGGTAGTATATACATTAGCCAAGGACGGAGGATAATTTGAGAGAGTCAGATGAACTGTAATGGGTTTTTATAGCAAAGCTTTTGACAAAAATCGTTCTGTGTTTTGCCTTCAAAACTAGAAATTACTATATACTTCTGTATATAAGACTAAGTTAGACAAACTATACCTTAACTAATAAAAATGATCAAAGCTATTGTCTAACACCACAGAATTAGGTCATGTGTTTGTGTGTGCATGTGTATAAAATTTGAAAACATTTTTCTGGCAATCAACCAGAAATATGCCAATTTTTAAAGTTACTTAAATTTTTTTCCAAACTAGATATATAAAAGTTCAATGATTTGAGGATCTGTATCAGCACCAGATGATCTGTTATTTTTCAGCAAGTGTATCTGGTTTGCAGTTGATTCTTGTTTGAACTAACATGAGGTTTTCCTTCCAATTATTGGCTTAGATCTTGATCATACCAGAAGTTATGCCAGAAAAGTCCAAATGACCTTTTGTTTTTCTTACAAGTATTTACTTCTTCACTACACAACACCGTGTTGAACTCTCAACATATTAATTCAACACCAAGTAAATATAAAATCTATTCATTTGCTCTCATAAATTGTAACTAATTTCGTGACAAAGTTTTAAGTTTTGGGGTGTGAGTCCTAGAACTAAGTTTTAGCACTTCCAACTTTTAATGATACAGGTTTTGTACATCATTTGCATTTAACATTTACATCAGTAAAAAGACATATTGTTTGTTGAGGTAATCAAGTTGCTTTTTGTTCCAGAAATGCAAATTATTTTTTTCTCATACTGATTCTGATTCTAACACAGTTAGTTCCAAAAGGCATTCCTGGCTGTTCCAAATTGTGCACGGAAATGCTTCCAGGTTGTGTTTCATTATTAATATCACTTCCTTGTTATCTCACTGATTCGAAGACTCATTATTATAGTATGTAAAAGGAAAGTATCAGAAACTTTTTCATACTTTTTGTCCCACTATTCCACTCATTTCAAAATTTAATAATAAATTATTTAATTAAAAATACAAAATCACTGCATACTTATTTGTTAAAAAAGAATTACACTGAATTTTTAAGAAGCAATAGTATCTACATAAATTGGGGTTGATAAGCTTATGAGACTCATGATTATTCCAAAGTATAATGTGCTTCACATTGAATGCCCAGTGTAGCCACACTGCCCATTTAGACTTGGGACAACATGCAGAGAGTGATGGAATGTTTCTCAGGTGACTCTGACAGGAGGCTCATTGATGAGTGGTTGCTATACTATTTTTACAATTAGCTTGAACTAATAAATTCATTTTACTAATTTTTTTACTACTTAACACAGTTACTATCTCTGTATGTACCAACCAGTATAGAACTATTTTAATATATTTCCATAATATAATGTGCCTACTAGCCAAGTATAATCCTTGCTGAACATGTTTACAAAGAGTCTCGGAGACATAACATATTTTGCAAGAACATGTAAAGCGATATTTGATTATGAGACAAGAATTTGTTAGATAAAACCATAGCAACCTACTCTAACTGTTCAATAACTTCATTTTATGTCTACCCACTATCACTTAAAGCTGAAAATGCTCCTCACCAAGTTGCGTAATGCCCCCTTTACATTCTTATTCCGCAGGGTGTAGATAAAAGGGTTGAGTGAGGGAGTCACCACTCCATAGAAGAGGGCCATGAACTTGGGTTGATCCCTTGAGATGGAGGAGGGGGGCTGAAGGTACATGCTGATGGCTGGGCCATAAAATAAGAAAACTACAATAAGATGGGAGGAGCATGTCCCAAAGGCCTTTTTCCTTCCCTTGGAAGATTTGATCTTAAATACAGCACTTCCAATACTAGCATAGGAAGCAAGAATTAAGCATAGTGGGACAGCTAACATAAAAATGCATACCACAGAGAGTGTGAGCTCGTTAGAACCCTTTTCACCACAGGCAATCTTTATCAGAACAGGAATCTCACACACCAAGTGGTCCAGTTTATTGAGACCACACAGTGGCAATTGTAATGTGGCAGTGGCCTCTGAGACAGCATAGATTATTCCAATTAGCCACACGGTGGAAACTAAGGATACAGACGCGCTGATTCATGATGAGGGTGTAGTGAAGAGGTCTGCAGATGGCCACATAGCGATCAAAGGACATAATAGCCAAAAGCAAACATTCTGTTCCCCCCATTATGTGAAAGAAATAAAGCTGAACCGCACACCCCATATAGCTGATGGTCTTCTTAGAGCTTCCCAGGTTAAACAGCATCTGAGGGACAATGCTTGTGGTATAACACATGTCCAAAAAGGAGAGGTTGGTGAGGAAGAAATACATGGGGCTATGAAGACGAGAGTCTAACCTGGACATGAGAATGATTGTGATGTTTCCCATCACGGCTATAGGGTACATTATAAGAAGACTAGTGAACAGAGGAAGCTCTAGCCAAGGGCGGTCTGCAAAGCCTAGCAGAATAAATTCTTCAGGGTGGCTTTCATTAGTTAGTGGCATTATCTTCAATTTGTTTCACCTGTAGTAGGGATATGCCAAAGAAGGTAGAGCTATGGGTATCGACAAAACATGGTGATGCATTGATTGTCTACTTATAGATGACAGGGTGCAGTAACCTGGGGTCAGAATAACATAAAACATCTGGTATCAGGTGATCTTATTTTCCTATGGGACACTACAAATTAAAGGCAGATATCTTAATCCAGTAACCCAACCATTCTGAAATGGAATTTCTTCTTCTGTGTAAGAAGGTTGACAATAACTACCATTCTTGAGTGAGGTGAGGATTAAATACAAAGTAAAAGTGACCGTATAGTTTTCAAACTTTGAGTTGCATAAAAATCAGCTGAGAAGGTTGCTAGAATGAAATTTATTGTTTCCTATCTTTAGGTGTCTGATAGAGTAAATGTGGCCTGGGGCTGAGGAACAGGATGGTTCATTTTCAGAAACAGTGCTGCAAGGCATTACTGAAATGCTAAGAAGAATAAACATATTGAGGTAGCAATGGTAGGAGAAAAAGGAGGAGAAAACCTGGAGTCATAAGAATCATCAAGATAGCATTGTCCAGCTCCAACTAGTTAGTTAAATAATCATATCATCTCCAAGGGAGGCAAGAAGACTTTTGGATTTAAATCTATCTCAGCGATTTGAAATTGAACAAGAAAATTAAATACTTTTATTGTCTGTTTTCTCAAGTATAAATTGAGAGAGTTAACCTACAATGACAAAGTTTCCCTATGCTCAGGAATTCGATTTTGCATTCTTGGGCTTTTATTCATTACGATTTAGTTCAACCTTTGGGCATTTGATATTTTATGTTAAATTTTAGCTAACATCCATTTTGAAAAAAATTTTTTTATTCAATGAGATTATCATCTTGCTTTAATATAAGAGTTTGGATAGTTGTCATGACCCACTGATTGCACATAACTACAAATATGTCTTTTAGTTCTGAGTGACTGCAGTCAGGACAAAAGTTGATGTCCCAATTTAGGCTTAGAGACAGTCAAATCTGAAATTATTTTACATTTTCAAGACCTTTCCTTTTTTTTCAGCTAGAAAGTACATTGATATACCAACCTCAACTAGTTTAGTGAAGCAGTATTTTGAGAAAGATTAATTTTTTGCTCATATGCTTTTCTTTTAGTGGTGACATGTGTTTTATGAATATCACAATTTTCTGCAGGATGAGAAATATTCGGTTGAAAAGTTAAGATAGCATCTCAGTGACAACATTCTGAGTAACTCTGCCAGTCAATTAGTTGTTTAATGGTAACAGATTACATTTATAAGTTTATAAAGCACAGCTTCCACATTCTCTGTTTCATTACATCTTCAAAGTCATCCTGTGAGGTGTCATACAAAGCTCCTCAGGGCTAACATGTGAATGTTGCCCTTTGATTATATGCTATCTCACGCCGGAAGTGTGCAAAACAATAATAACACTCTTTCCAACTAGTCCTTAGTGAACCCTCTGTGTCAAACACCCCCATATGCTTTCTACACCATTAAATCATTTAGTATCCATCCCCAAACGCTATGACAAAGAAAATTTTACTATCCATATTTTAAGATATTGTTAATCATTTGTTTCCATACTCTGCTAATGACTAAGAACATCCTAAAGATTGAAAAGTAATTGCTGCTTTAAATGAGGTAATAAAATATTGAGACTATAAACTCAGAGTTTCAAGAGCCCCAGAAAGCATCTGTACTCGAGGGTTGTTCCTGAATGAGTGTGACCCCCTTCACATTATTTGACCTTGATTTAATCAAGATGTTATATGAGTGCATCAAATTTAGAAATATGTCTTGGCCTGAGTGCTTTTTCAGATGAAAATCCGTATTGGAAATGAAAGATGAAATAAAGGCATGATATAAACTAATTTGATGTCAAAATAAATACAGTCATACATAGCTTAACAAGAGGAATATAGTCTGAGAAATGTATTGTTAAGTGATTTTGTCATTGTGTGAATATAATAGAGTGCACTTACACAAACTTAGATGGTATGGCCTAGTACACACTTATGCTATGTGATATAGCCTATTGCTCCTAGGCTACAAACTTGTGCAGCATGTTACCTTACTGAATACTGTGGACAATCATAATTCAATGGTAAGTATTTATGTATTAAGCGTATATAAAAATAGAAAAGGTACAATAAAATATGGTATAAAAGATAAAAATGGTATACCTATATTGGGCACTTACCATAAATGGATCTTGCAGGACTTGAAGTTGCTCTGGGTGAGTCAGTGAGTGAATGGTGAGGGAATGTGAAGGCCTAGACCACTACTGTACACTACTATAGACTTTGTAAACACTGTCTATAGCCTACACTAAATTTACTAAAAAACACTTTTCTCTGTTTAATAATAAATTCATTTTAGCTAACTGTAACATTTTTACTTCATAAACTTCTTAATTTCTTTAACTTTTTGATTATTGAATAACACTTAAACCCATCATACAGCTGTACAAAAGTATGTTCTTTGTTTATATCCTTATTCTATAAATTATTTCTATTTTTTTAAGTTTTTTAACTTTTTTGTTAAAAATGAAGACACAAACACACACATTAGCCCAGGCCTACACAGGGTCAGAATCATCAATATCATTGTCTTCCAGCTCCTTGTCCCACTGGAAGGTTTTCAGGGGCAATAACATGCATGGAGCTGTCATCTCCTATGATTATAATAACAATATCTTCTTCTGGTATACTTGCTGAAAGACTTGTGTGAGGCTGTTTTACAGTTAACTTTTTAAAAATAAGTAGGAGTATAAAAAATCATAAAAAGTATAGTATAGCAAAAATATAAACCAGTAACATATTTATTTATCATCATCAAGTATTATGTACTGCACACAATTTTATGTGTTATTCTTTTATATGACTGGCAGTGCAGGTTTGATTATACCGTCATCACTGCAAACACTTGAGTAATGTGTTACATTATAACATTATCATGGATACAGTGTCACTAGGCAACAGGAATTTTTTAGCTCCATTGTAATCTTATGGGACCACTGTTGAACACATGCATGGTCAGTCATTGATGAAAATGTCATTATGTGGTGCATGCCTGTATTCTGAGAATTGCAAATTACATTATTAAATAATTTCACTATTAGATACCTGCTATCTTTATTTAACATTGTTATGTTCACCTTTTATATTTTTTCTACCAGGGACCATCCTTGAATTTTTTAAAAAGCAATTTTAGATTTGATCCTCCATGAATTCTTCCATAATTATAACTAATTATAACTACCTTTAATGACAATATTCACTCCAGTATGTCTTCCGCAATTTTATTAAATTTATATTATTTGGGATTTTGTTATTAACTTTATTAAGTATATTTTGTCTGTGAGTGGTGGTCACCCAGAGCTCCTCCATTTCTCTGGACATTTCCCTGAAGACATCAGACTAGGAATGACTAATCAATGTGATTTAATTTTGAAGTATATTTAAGCTCTGTAATTCTATTCTTAGATCTCATATTTTTTTCTCATGTCATTCTTGTATTTTATTTCTTTTAGCTTTGGGATTTTATCTGTCTTTTGGATCTTATACTTCAAGAAATGTTTCATCACTATTTTACTACATGGGGATTTACTTAATCACAAATGTTTAAAGCCACTTTATTAAAGTGCCAGACCCATGAGTTGAGTAAATTCCTCTCCTCATGGGGTCCCAAGATAAAGCAGGAATCCTTGGAATGTTAGAAAATGACATTCTTTACTTACCACAGGCCAGAAACCCTGTATAGGGACTGTGTAGGCAAGGTAGAAGGTCAGTTCCCCAAGGGGTTTTTATTGGCTCTATAAGTCAAGTTTCATTCCTTAAAGGAAAACACACCATTCCAGTCAAAGCCTTGGTAAAATAACCAATTTCTCCAACTGTGTCCTGCTACAAAAAAAAAAAAACAGATTCTTATTGCACTTATGCAAATAAATATATTGCCATCAGTTAAGAATACTCACAAATAGTCTCCAAATTCTGGAGAAATCAGGTAGAGAGAAACAAATATGGTCCATTTTTTTTTTCCACAGAAGTATACTTTACTCAATTGCTAAAGGCTGTAAATAGCTCAAAGTAAAAGTTTTCTTAACTCTGGAAAACAAAACAAAGGGTTAGCAACGTTTTAAGCAAAGTCAAAAAGATTAGTTTATTCTTTTAGTTTAGTTTATGCAGTTAACTCCTGTTCTGTTTGATATTCATGAACATTCCTGTTCTTCACGAGAGTTGCAAAAGTTGTTTCCTCTATTCTAATGTCACAATTTCCAAAGTTATCAGAAACCTGCATTTAAGAACATCCGTTAGAGTTGTATAGCTGACTATAAACCACCTTTTGAAGAGGATTAAAACAAGACAATTGTCTGTGTATGACAAAACTCGTTACCACAGCCACTGGCAAAAACGTGATTGACAAAGAAATTTTGGTAATGTATAAAATAATTATTCTTGTTCCACTTTATACAAATAATCAGGCCAAGTGCAATAAAGTAAATCAGTCTTATCATAATTTGTCTTCAGTAAAAATGAGAAACTGAAGTGAGAAAAATTATGTTTCAAGAAGTATGGTACACTTGTTATTAAATTCTAGTCTCATGAGTTGTTTTTAAGTTTGTTTCTACAATTTAGGCTAAACCTGCTTATTCCTGTGAACCAACCAGTGATCTTAGACTGTTACTCAGAAGATACAAGAGGTTTGGGTAATGTAAAAATCTGGACCAATATTCTAATCATGGGCACATATTGGAATCATCTGGCAACCCTGTATCAGCTTGGTTTTAACAGTTGCTCAGTTCATGGGAAGCCTTTAAATTTAGTTTACCTGGAATAATTTTACTTATTTTGCTTTGCTGCTGTGGAATACATTGCATTTGTACTCTTTGCATACGGATGCAGAATATGCTTAGTGAATGTTTTCTTAAATGGAACACTTATCAATCTTTCAGATAGCACCTCTTGTTGAAACTCAGAGTTATGAATGGCTCTCATCATACCAATGCTTTTTGACGAGCTCCTCTCTACCCCAAATACGAGAGACTCTAATTGTTAGGCAGGAATATCATTGCTCCTCTTAAGCCTGAAGAAGCTACAGAAGGAGATGGATCTTTGTCCCTCTCCAACCCTTAGGATTAAGGGTTCTCTTGTAAAGGGGAGGGAGGAAACGTCAGAGGCATGTGAGCCAGAGCAGCTCCATCTTGAATAGCAGCTGGGTAAAATGAGGTTGAAACCTACTGGGCTGCATTCCCAGATGGTTAAGGCATTCTAAGTCACAGGATGAGACAGAAAGTCAGTACAAGATACAGGTCATAAAGACCTTGCTGATAAAACAGATTACTCTAAAGAAGATGGCCAAAACCCACCAAAAACAAGATGGCGATGAGAGTAACCACTGGTCATCCTCGCTGCTACACTCCCATCAGTGCCATGACAACGTCAGGAAGTTGCCCTATATGGTAGAGTACATTTGTTTACAAATGCCATGGTAACATCAGGAAGCTACCCTGTATGTTCTAGAAAGGGGAGGCATGAATAATCCACCCCTTGTTTAACATATCATCAAGAAATAACCATAAAAATGGGCAACCAGCAGCCCTTGGGGCTGCTCTGTCTATGGAGTAGCCAGCCATTCTTTTACTCCTTTACTTTCTGAATAAACTTGCTTTCACTTAAAAAAGATAAATAAAGTACCAGACCCTATTCCTGTTGATGTCTCCTGTTTTATCTCCACTTCCATCTTCATTCTAGTGTAGCTTATACTTCATTTTTACCATACACAATATTTTCTTTATATGTACTGCACTTGTAGACTTTCTATATAGTAAAAGATCATAAGAAGAAATAAAAGTTATTTTTATCTGACATTAGGAATCTGCATGAAACACACAGACAAATCAATCCATCCAATTTTGAACATATATTCTAAAAATCCACCTGATTGAAAGAAGGCTTCATATTTGTTTTGGGCATTTAATATTTCTCAGATATAGTGTATAAATCTCCCTCTCAGTCTCTCACTGAAACCAAATTTAAAATCATAATGATTTTAAATGGGTTTAATGTTTTTAAATTTGGTTTCAGTGAGAGATTGAGAGATAGATTAATTACAAAGAGAAATCTAGTTGCTTCTTAGAACCACTGAGCAGCTGTTTCCAAAGGTTAGAAAAGGCTCCCTGAAATGAAATGCTCTCTGCCTTTCAGATGTATATTAGGCAGTGGCAGTATGATCTACACATATTTCAATTTCCCTAAGAATGCATGGACTTGAAAACGTGCCTTTTTACTCACCTTTTGATAAATATCTTTCAATAAAAAGGAATTATGAAGGAATACACTTGAATTTTTCAAACGTTCAGAGGATGGATAAACTGTAGTATACATGAGTATTTAAGAATTAGCTTCACAACTTAGGTTTTCAATTGTTACAGGGTTCCAAAGAGAAGAAAACATGGGTTAGGAAGACAATAGTAGAAAATATCAGAATGCTTTGTGGATGTGTTATTTGTAAGCTCTTCCTGAGACCTCTTGGGCATTGTTTTCCAACAGGCCATTAATCCTTATCCCAGATGAGGAGTTAGCAGAGAAAATTCCTTGGGACAGAGATCTCTATGGAAATGCTACTTATGTACAATTAGTTTCCTACTGAACTGAGGTTGGTAGGAAGTCTCTTCTGTTGTCAGATGTGTTTTAAAATACATTTACTCAATTTCCCAAAACAGTAGACACTAATTTTAAATGAGATGCAATTAGAGATGAGCTAGTTTGAATAAATGATTCTGGGGAACTTAAATGAGAATTCCCTGAATACCTTACCTCATTAACTTCTAGACTACCTCACATAAAATTTAATCATTTCTAGTTGTAAGAATAAAGGGGCACAAAAATGAGTTGAAAAGGAAGAAAGATAATAAAAAGATATTTCCAATGAGAAGGAATCAAGTGATAGTTTAAAACATTTCATAATATTTAATGCTTTCATATTAAAATGATGAAATGATAATTTCTTCACTCTCACCAAGCACATACCACATAACATTAGGCAGATACACAGATAACTTTGAGATTTTAAAAATTACATACAAAATGCATAAATACATTATGTTGAAAAACAAATTCAAGTGCATGGGATAGCAAATACAAATTTAAAGGGTTTTTTTTTTAAGATGGAGTCTTGCTGTGTTGCCCAGTCTGGAGTGCAGTGGTATGATCTCAGCTCACTGCAACCTCTGCTGTACAGTTCAAGCGATTCTCCTGCCGCAGCCTCCCAAGTGGCTGGGATTACAGGCATTCCCTTTGATGACCTACTGTCATGGTCTGTTGTCCCTCTCCTTTCTTTAAAGGTAACCGTTAGTGTCATAAGGGTGTGCATCTTTCCACATTACATATGTGCTGGATATTTTCCACTCCCCCTTCCTTCCCCTGCCCCAGATTCACTCTCTATCCAACCATGTTTGTTTCTACCCTGTGTTGTGCCTCTAGAGGCGAAATCAAGAGAATTCCATGATATTTGACTTCTGGTTGTGTTCAGCCAATGAGTCACCAGCTGAGGATTAGAGTGAGGCAGCAGCTAGTTTGAAGTATTTTCCCCTACCCTCTCCTTCAGATGGGACAAATGAGGCTACTTGTATTGCTCAACCAAAGATCACAGGTCATGGATGTAGCCACGTACAGGTTCTCTCTCTTTCTGCTTTGTAATAGTACTTTCTCCCTTTGCTACTTCAGGCCTTGTGTTGGTTGCTAAGCCTCCCAACTGTTGCTAGATTCAGAGTAGTCCATATATAATACATATACAGAAATCCCTTGTTGATGTTCCTAAATCCTTCTCACAACTTTGTATTTACTTCTTTTGTTAAACCTCTTTCAGTTCCCATAGGAGCATGCCATCTATTTTCTGCTGGGACCATAGGTGACTGTAACTTTCCATTACAAACAAAGGTCATTTCCTGCTTTAGGACTTTTGAATTAGATGTTTTTAGGTCTAAAATGCTCTTTCTTTGATTTTATCACGACTGGCTCCTTTCTGTGTTTCAGGTTGATCTCAAATGTCACCTAAGAAGGAATATCTAATATGAATATACTACACAGTATCTCTATATCATATTCTCTTTTAATTTTCTGCAAAAGAATGAAAGCTTTCTTAGTTATTTTGCTTTTGAAGTCTCCCCCTCTAGTATGCATAGTTTTTGACAATAGCAACTTAAATAATACAATTAAATCATCTTGAACATATTGTTACTTGATTTTTACATACATATGTACACGCACACACACGCACACACACTTTTTGTCATTTCAGAGACAATGACTGATAAAGGAATTTTTTTCTTTTAAACACATCTCTAGCTTATCTACTTTTGCTGAATTCCATAAACTTTGGTATGTTGTGTTTCTATTTTCATTCTTTGCAAATTATTTGCTATTTTCCCTTGTGATTTCCTCTGAGCCATTCATTATTTAGGAATGTGTTGTTTCATCGCCACTTACTTGTGTATTTCACAATATTTTGCCTGATATTGATTTCTAATTTTATTCCATTGTGGTTAGAGGACATCCTTTACATTATTTTAATCTTTTAAATGTATTGTGATTTGCTTTATGACCTTATAGACTAATCTGTAGAATGTTTCATGTGCCCTGAGTAATATATGTATTCTACTACTATTGGGTGGAGTTTTCTGTAGAGGTCAATTAGCTGTAGTTAGTTTATAATGCTGTTCACATCTTCTATTTCCTTGTGGACCTTTATCTAATTGTTCTATTGTTATTGAAAGTGGGATGCTGACATTGAACTATAATTATGGAATTATCTATTGCTCCAAACAGTTCTGTTAGTCTTTGTTTTATGTAGTTTGGAGATCTGCTGCAAGGTGCATATGTACTTATAATTGATGTATCTTCTTGATGGACCAGCGATTTTATCATCATAAATTGTCCTTCTTTGTTTCCAGTAATAATTCTTGTCTTTTTGTTGATATTGTGTAATATCAGTATAGCCATCCATTAGCACTCTATCTTGCTTACTCTTTGAATGGAATACTTTTTTCATCTTTTCAGTTTCAACCTATTTGCATTTTTGAATCTAAAGTGAATATATTGTTGACAGTATATCATTGGATTGTCTTTTTAAATAAACCTTGTCAATCTCTTCCATTTTTTAAATGAATAGACTATTTTTCAGAAGCTTTAGGTTTACAAAAAATTGAATGGAAGGTGTAGAGAACTCACATGTAACCCCTTTTACTCCCTCCCCCAGAGTTTCTTTTATTATTAACAACTTGCATTCATGTGGTACATTTGTTATAATTGATAAGCCAATATTAATACATTATTAGTAACCAAATTCCATAGTTTACATTAGGGTTGATGGTGTGTGTTTTACATTCTATGGGTTTTGACAAATGTTTAATAACATGTATTCCCCCATTCAGTATCATAAAGAATGGTTTCACTGCCTTAAAAATTCCCTGTTCTCCTTCCATTCATCATTTCCTCCCCTCCTCCCCGGGAGCCCCTGACAACCACTGATTTTTTATTGTTTCCATAACTGTGCTTTTTCCAGAATATCATACAATTGAAATCATATATAATGTAGACTTTTCTGACTGGCTTCTTTGACTTAGTAATATGCATTTAAATTTCTTCCAGGTCTGGGCTTTACAACTCATTTTTTATAATTGAATAATATTCCATTCTATGAATGTACCACAGTCTGCTTATTCATTCATTTATTAAAGGACTTTTTTTTTTTTTTTGCTTCCAAGCTTTGGAAATTAGGAATAAAGCTACTGCAAACATTTGTGTACAGGTTCTGTGTGGACATAACGTTTCAGATTATTTGGGTTAATACCAGGACACGTGAGTGCTGGATTCTATGGTTAAGATGTTTAGTGTTGTATGAAACTGTCCAGTTGTCCTCTAGAGTGGTTGTACACTTTTGGATTTCTGTAATCAGTGAATGAGAGTTCCTGTTATTTATCTCTTTGTCAACATCTGATGTTTTCAGTGGTTTGCTATGGTTGATAATGTCTCAGATTTCTTTAGGCTGTTTTATTTTTCTTCATTCTTTTTTCTTTTTATTACTCTGACTAGATAATCTCAATTGACCTATCTTGTAGTTTGTTGATTCTTCCTTCTGCTTGTTAAAATCTGGTGTTCAGGTCTTCTGCTGCATTTTTTATTTCCATCACTGTACTTTTTCATCTCTAGAATTTGACTTGGTTCTTTAACAACAAATAATGTCTATCTCTTTAATAATTTTCTCTATTTAGTGAGAAATAGTTGTCATATCTTCCTTTAGTTCTTTAAACATGGTTTATTTCAGCTCTTTGACCCTATTTTTAAAGTAGCTGATGTAAGCCTTTGTCCAACAAGTTCAACACCTAGATTTGCTGCTATTGATTGCATTTCCCCCTCCTTTTATGACCCATACTTCCTGTGTCTTTCTTCACTTGTATTATAATTTTATGTTGAAAACTAGATACTTCATTTCATTTATTTTTATTTTTAAAACTTTTATCTTAAGTTCAAAGGTACATACGCAGGTCATGGGGGTTTGTTGTAGAGATTATTTCATCACCCAGGTATTAAGCATAGCATCCATTAGTTATTTTTCCTGATCCTCTCTGTCCTCCCATCCTCCACCCTCCACCAGGCCACAGTATGTATTGTTTCCCTCTATGTGTCCATATGTTTTCATCATTTAGCTCCCAGTTACAAGTGAGAACATGTGGTATTCAATTTTCTGTTACTGTGTTAGTTTGCTAAGGATAATGGCCTCCAACTCCATCTATGTTCCTGAAAGGGACATGATCTCGTTCTTTTTTATGGCTGCATAGTATTCCACGGTGTGTATGTACCACATTTTCTTTATCGAGTCTATCATTGATGGGCATTTAGGTTGATTCCATGTCTTTGCTATTGTGAGTAGTGCTCCAATGAACATATGTATGCATGTGTTTTCACAATTGAACAACTTATATTCCTTTGGGTGCTTACCCAGTAATGAGATTGGTGGGTCAAATGGTATTACTGTCTTTAGAACTTTGAGGAATTGCCACAATGCCTTCCACAATGGTTGAACTAATTTACACTCCCACCAACAGTGTATACATGTTTGTTTTTCTCCATAACCTTCCCAGCATCTGTTCTTCTCTGACTTTTTAATAATAGCCATTCTGACTGGTGTGATAAGGTATCTCCTTGTGGTTTTGATTTGCATTTCTCTAATGATCAGTGATGTTGAACTTTTTTCATATGATTGTTGGCTGCATGTATGTCTTCTTTTGAAAACTGTCGGCTCATGTTCTTTGCTCACTTTTTAATGGGGTTGTTTTTCTTTCTTATAAATTTGGAAAACTAAATATTTTAAATACTAGAAATGGCAACTGTGGAAACCAGATTCTCCCTGTCTCACTAGAATTTGTTGTTGCTGCTTATTAATGTAGTTGTTGCTGCTTATTAATGTAGTTGTTGCTTGCTTGTTTAGTGAATACTCCCAAATAATTCTCTAAAGTCTGCCTTCTTTGTGGTGTAGGGCCATTAAAATCTGTACTCAGGTAGTCTAGTGGCCAGCAAATAATTGGACAGAAATTTCTTTCAATGCCTGGGACTAATAAATCTTCCAGTTTCTGTCAAAGACCTCTATGTTCATATTGAGGCATGACTCTGACACCTAGTCAGGCAGTTCACATCTCTACCTTAGCCTCCACTTACTTCTTCCTGAAATACTGAAGGTCAGCCAGAGACAAGAGTTTAGAATCTTCTCAGTTCTTGCTTGAGCATTTATAGAGTCCTGAATCTGAACACAGCCATATGCATATACATGAAATTCCTGGCATATGGCAAAGATTTTCAAAATCCCTATAGACATCCCATTCCTTACATTTTTTAAGCTCTTTTATTGCTTTATGGTCTGCCCCAAATTTTATCAATTGCTTTAGTCAGAAGTGAAGTTAAAGCAGTCACTTGAAATTATTTTCAACAAATACCTGCTGAGAAAATGCTTTTTGCATTGGTCGAGGTCTGAGTCATGGTCAAATACAGACAGACTCATGAATGAAGTCTTCCAAAAAGCCCCAGCCAGGTAAATTAAAGACATATCTTTATAAGTTTATACATATATCTTTATAAAAGGTATAGAAAATATTTCACTTTTCATTCTTTTTTGGTATTTTGGTATTTCAGGAGATTTGATTTTTTTTGTTTTGATGCTTATATTTACACATTAGTCCCTCTTTTAGGCATCATTGATTGGTTTTCTAAAATGAGCACTATATTTATTTATTTATTTAATTTTTCAATATATTATAGTTGTACATATTTTGGGGTAGATGTGTTTTCTTACACATATACAATGTGTAATGATTAAATCAGAGTGATTATAATATCTATCACCACAAACACTTTGTGTTGTGAAAATTACAATTTTTTTCTAGCTATTTTGAAATATACAATATATGTTATGCTAATATTAATAAATGTTAGTTGTATTTTCTCTACTGTATTATCAAATACTAAAAATTATTCCTTGTATCTAACTCTATTTTTGTATCCACTAACAAACTCTTTTTCATCTGTTTTTCCTTGCATCCATTTGCAGACTCTGATAAGCACCATTCTACCCTTGACCTTCATAAGATCCACTTTTTTTAGCTCCTGCATACCAGTGAGAACATGATATATTTGTATTTCTGTTCATGGTTTATTTCACTTAACATAATGACTTCCAATTTTATCCATGTTGCTACTAATGAAAGGATTTCATTATTTTTTATGGTTGAATGATATTCCATCATGTATATATATTACATTTTCTTTATCCATCCTTCTCTTGCTAGACACTGGTGTTGCATTCTTTGTGTGTTTCTATAGGTGAAGTGAGGTTCTTTTTTTCTTTCCAATTTTTTTTTTGCTTTTTTTTATTTTTAATTTTTTTATTATACTTTAAGTTTTAGGGTACATGTGCACAACGTATTTCAGGTTCAAGTGGTACATGTGCAGGTTTGTTACATCAGTAAATTTTTTGTTATGGGGGTTTGGTGTACAGATAATTTTGTCACCCAGGGAATTAGCATTATACCCATTAAGTAGCTTTTCTTTTTTTTTAAACTTTAATTTTAGGTTCAGGGTACCTGTGCAGGTTTGTTATATAGGTAAATTGTGTGTCACATGGGTTTGGTGTACAGATTATTTTGTCACCCATGTAATAAGTGTGGTAACCAATGGGTTGGTTTTGATCCTCACCTCCCCCATCATAGGCCCCAGTTTCTATTGTTCTTTTCTTTGTGTCCTTATGTACTCAATATTTAACTCCCAATTATAAGTGAGAACATGCCATACTGGGGTTTCCATTCCTTCACCAATTTGCTTAGGATGATAGCTTCCAGCTCCATCCCTATTACTGCAAAGACCAAAGTCTCGTTTTTTATAGCTGCATAGTATTCTGTGGTATATATGTTTTCTGTATCCAGTCCACCACTGATGGACAACTAGGTTGATTCTGTGACTTTGATATTGTAAATAGTGCTGCACTGAAAATCTGCATGCATATTGCTTTATGGCAGAATGATTTATATTACTTTGGTTATACACCTAGTAATGGGATTGCTGGATCAAGTGGTAGTTCTATTTTAAGTTATTTGAGAAATCTCCAGACTTCTTTCTACAGTGGCTGAACTAGTTTTCATTTCCACCAGTGGTATATAAATGTTCCCTTTTCTCCACCACCTCACCAGCAAATGTTATTTCCTAACTTTTTAATAGTAGCCATTTTGACCGGTGTGGGACAATATCTCATTGTGGTTTTGATTTGCATTTCTCTGGTGATTAGTGATATTGAACTTTTTAATATACTTGTTAGATGTGTATATCTTCTTTTGAGAAGTGTCTGTTCATGCCATTTGCTCGTTTTAAAAATAGAGTTGTTTGTTTTTCACTTTTTTATTTGTTTAAGTTCCTTATAGATTCTGGATATTAGACCTTTGCCAGATGCATAGTTTGCAAATATTTTCTCCCATTCTGTAAGTTGTGTGTGTATTCCGTTGATAGTTTCTTTTGCTATGCAGAAGCTCTTTAGTTTAATTATATTCTATTTGTCAATTTTTGGTTTTGTTGTGATTGCTTTTGGAGTCCTCGTCTTGAAGTCTTCGTGAAAGTCGATGTCCAGAATGGTATTTCCTAGAATTTCTTCTATTGTTTTTATACATTTGGGTTGTACATTTAAGTCTTTAATCTATCTTGAGTTTATTTTTGTGTATGGTAAAAGGAACAGGTTCAATTCCAGTCTTCTACATATGGCTAGCCTGCTATGCCAGCACTATTTATTGAAGAGTTTCTGGCAGGCAGCAGGCAGCATATAATTTGGTCTTGTTTTTAATTCATTTAACCATTGTATGTCTTTTAAATAGAATGTAGTCTGTTTACATTCAATTTTATTTTTGATAGTTCATGCCTTAGTACTGCCATTTTGTTACTTGTTTTCTAATTTCGTAATTCCTCTCTTCCTTCCTTCCTTCCTTTCCTTCCTTCCTTCCTGCCTTCCTCTCTTTCTCTCTTTCCCCCTCTCCCTCCCCTTCCCCTTCCCCTTCCTTCCTTCCTTCCTTCTTTCCTTTTTTCCTTGTTATTTTCCTCTGGTAGTATGTTTTAATTTGTTGCTTTTTATTGTTAGTGTATCCATTATAAGTTTTTGCACTGTGGTGTCCATGAGGCTTACAAAAAGTATCCTATAATATAACATGTAGTATAAAACTGATAGCAACTTAACTTTGCTCTCAAAAATAAAAACAAACTTCCAACTAAAAACTTATACACATTAACTCCATTCTTCACCCATATTTTGAATTTTGATGTTGCAATTTACATTTTTTATATTGCCTATCTCTTAAAAATTGTTGTAGTTATTATTTTAAATTGTTTTTAGTTTTCTTACTAAATAGGTAAGTGGTTTAAATATAATACTTCATTTTTAGTATGACAATCACATTAACATTCTTTCAGTTTGGTGAACTTCCTTTAGCAGTTCTCGTAGGACAGGTTTGGTAGTGATAGAATGAGCATTATTGAAATAGTTAATAACCTCTTCTTTCCTCCATTTCTCCAGCATCTATTTCAAAATGACAATTGATACAATATGTACTTTTTATTTATACAATATATACATACATACTTTTTACACAATTTATTTATACAATATATACATATTTATACTCTATATATATACAATTTATACAATATATACTTTTTAAAAGTTTGGAATGTTGTTATCCTCCTCTAGATAGAATTTATTTTTGCTTTTGGGAAGTAATTAAAGTAGGAAAACATCCCTAATTTTGAATGGGGTGGATAGAATTGGGTCATACATTGCTGGTAGGAGCGTAAAATGACACAGACACTTTGGAACACTGTTTTGTGGTTTCTTTAAAAGTTACACATACCTTATGGCCCATTCATTCAACTCTTAAATATCTGTTCAAGAGAAGTAAAAACATTTGCTCAAATGAAGACCTGTGCTGAATATTTATAGCCACTTTTTTCAAAATACTGTGGCGAAAACCTAGAATTACTGTAAGTATCTGTCAACGGATGTAATGAATAAATTATACTATATCCTTATTATTGAACATTACTAGTAATGAAAACAAAACAATGTGCTGGCCTGCAACCATTTTAGATGAATTTCAAAATATTTTTGCTGAATGCAGAAAGCAAGACTCAAAATAATACACACTATGTAGATCTATCACTAAGAATTCAAGAACATGCAAACTTATCTATGAGGGCATAAATTAGAGTAGTAGTTGACTAAGTCTGAAATCAAAAGACAAAATAGATTTTGGAGAGTGATGGAAATGTTCTCTACCTTGATTGAGGTATTGGTATCATGGGTATATACAACTATAAAAATACTGACTTGCATACTTTAAATTATGTAGTTTATTTTGCATATGCTATCATCAGCAAAGGTGATTATATACTCTAGATTGCAGTCATTTTTAGGGCTGGCCTATATTCAGTCTATGGTTATTCATAGGTTGCAGCCATTCACCCATTCTAGCTGAAAGTCTTGGGTATTTATATGGGCCAAAATTTCCATTATTTGTCTCCCCAGAAATGTAAAATCATATAAGCCCTGTTTCTTAGCCTCTTAGTCACCAGATTCTGTTCTGATGTATAGCTGGTGCAAAAAACAAATATCTTTTTAAAAATATTTTTATTATACTTTAAGTTCTAAGGTACATGTGCACAATGTGCAGGTTTGTTACATAGGTATACATGTGCCATGTTGGTTTGCTGCACCCATCAACCTGTCATTTACATTAGGTATTTCTCCTAATGCTATCCCTCCCACAGCTCCCCACCCTCTAACAGGCCCCAGTGTGTGATGTTCCCCATCCTGTGTCCAAGTGTTCTTATTGTTCAATTCCCACCTATGAGTGAGAACATGTGGTCTTTGGTTTTCTATCCTCGTGATAGTTTGCTGGGAATGATGGTTTCCAGCTTCATTCATGTCCCTGCAAAGGACATCAACTCACCCTTTTTTGTGGCTGCATAGTATTCCATGGTGTATATGTGCCACATTTTCTTAATCTAGCCTATCATTGATGGACATTCCAAGTCTTTTCTATCATGAATAGTGCTACAATACACATATGTGTCCATGTGTCTTTATAATAGCATGATTTATAATCCTTTGGGTATATACCCAGTAATGGGATCACTGGGTCAAATGGTATTTCTAGTTCTAGATCTTTGAGGAATCACCACACTGTCTTCCACAATGGTTGAACTAATTTACGTTCCCATCAACAGTGTAAAAGTGTTCCTATTTCTTCACATCCTCTCCAGCATCTGTCCTTTCCTGACTTTTCAATGATTGCCATTCTAACTGGTATGAGATGGTATCTCATTGTGGTTTTGATTTGCATTTCTCTGATGACCAGTGATGATGAGCATTTTTTATGTGTCTGTTGGCTGCATAAATGTCTTCTTTCAAGAAGTGTTTGTTCATATCCTTTGCCCACATTTTGATAGGGTTGTTTATTTTTTTCTTGTATATTTGTTTAAGTTCTTTGTAGATTCTGGATATTAGCCCTTTGTTAATTGGGTAGATTGCAAAAATTTTGTCCCATTCTGTACATTGCTTGTTCACTCTGATGGTAGTTTCTTTTGCTGTGCAGAAGCTCTTTAGTTTAATTAGATCCCATGCATCTATTTTGGCTTTTGTTGCCATTGCTTTTGGTGTTTTAGTCACGAAGTCTTTGCCCATGCCTGTGTCCTGAATGGTATTGCCTAGGTTTTCTTCTAGGGTTTTTATGGTTTTAGGTCTAACATTTAAGTCTTTAATCCATCTTGAATTAATTTTTGTATAGGGTGTAAGGAATGGATCCAGTTGCAGCTTTCTACATGGTGGCTAGCCAGTTTTCCCAGAAAATATTATAAACAACTCTATGGAAATAAACTAGAAAATCTAGAAGAAATTGATAAATTCCTGGACACATACACCCTCCCAAAACTAAACCAGGGAGAAGTTGAATCTCTGAATAGACCACTAACAGGTTATGAAATTGAGGCAATGATTAATAACCTACCAACCAAAAAAAGTCCAGAACGAGATGGATTCACAGCCGAATTCTACCAGAGGTACAAGGAGGAGCTGGTACCATTCCTTCTGAAACTATTCCAATCAATAGAAAAAGAGAGAATCCTCCCTAACTCATTTTATGATGCCAGCATCATCCTGATACCAAAGCCTGTCAGAGACACAACAAAAAAAAAGAGAATTTGTATTTCTGTGGGATCAGTAGTGATATCTCCTTTATTATTTTTTAATAGATCTATTTGATTTTTCTCTTTTCTTCATTATTAGTCTTGCTAGCAGTCCATCAATTTTGTGGATCTTTTCAAAATCCACCTCCTGGATTAACTGATTCAGATTTTCTATTTTTTCATGATTCATTGTTGTTATGTTTCTAGAAATCTAACCATTTCTTCTAGGTCATCCTATTTGTTGGTGTAAAATTGTTCGTAGTATTCTTTTATGATCTTTTGTACTTCTGTAGTTTCAATTTTAATGTCTCCTCTTTCATTTCTTATTTTGTTAGAGTCTTCTTTTTTTTCTTAGTTGGTCTGCTAAAGTTTTGTCAATTGTTTTTATCTTTTCAAAAACTGAACTGTTAGTTTTGCAAATGTGTTCTTTTGTTTTCTAGTCTCTTACTTATTTCTGCTCTGATCTTTGTTATTTCCTTCCTTCTGCTAACTTTGGGATTAGTTTGCTCTTCTCTTTTTCTAGCTTCTTGAAATGTAACATTAGGTTGTTTGTTTGGGATCTTTCTTCTTTTTTAATATCGGCATTTATTACTATAAACTTTCCTCCTGCTAAGAACTTCTTTTGTTACATCCCATAAGTTGTGGTACGTTGCATTTTCATTTTCATCTGTCTTAAGATATTTTTTAATTTCCCTTTTGATTTCTTCATTAACCCTTTGTTTATTCAAGAGCGTGTTGGTTAATTTCCACGTATGTAATATTTTCAAATTTTATCGTATTATTTATTTCTATTCATTTCTACTTTCATACTTTTGTGGTCAGAAAAGATACTTGATATGATTTCAGTCTTCTTAAAACTGTTGAGTCTTATTTTGTTACCTTATTTGGATAATGTCCCATTTGCACTTGAGAAGAATGAATATTCTGTTGCTGTTGGATGGAATGTTCTATATATGTCTGTTAGGTCCACTTGGTCTAAAGTGTATGTCAAGTCCAGTGTTTCCTTATTGATTTTTGTCTAGATGATATGTCCACTGTTGAAAGTAAAGTATTGAAATCCTCTGCTATTATTGTATTGCAGTCTATCTCTTTTCAGGTCTACTAATGCTTTCTTTATATGTATAGGTGATCTTATATTAGGTGCATATATATTTACAATTGTTAAGTCCTTTTCATGAATTGACCCTTTTATCATTACATAATGACCTTCTTTGTCTCTTTTAACAGTTTTGGACTTAAAGTTCATCTCATAAAAGTACAGCTACCCTTGTCTTTTGCTTTCCACTTGCATGAAATAATTTTTTCAATCAATGTGTGTTCTTCAAGTTAAAGTGAACCTCTTACAGGCAGCCTACGTCTGCATATTGTTTTTCAGTTTCTTTCCAATGCAAAGCATTTTAGTAGGTTGTCAAATATACAATTATTAGAAATATCTAAATATTACCTGTAAAAACTAGTATATCACATTAGATAATTCTATAAAATAAGGAAACACAAATCACACATTGCCACAACCTCTGCAGTCCAATAATATCCCCCGTTGATAGTACAAATTACAAATACATTTTTAAAATAAAGACATGATTTCGACATTTAAACCAAAGTAACTATGGCTAACCTAAATACATTCATTCATCAAGTACAATAAATTAAGCATTGCTACTTATAGTCACTAATAACAAAATTTTAGGTTCAATTTTACCTAAAATTTCATAAATCTTCCAATACAGTTCCCATAGTAAAGTGTCTTTGTGTGTGCCATTTTAATTTATATGCGGGTGCATCATATATCAGACTTAAGACTATTTCACTTCATAATTAAATTGTTCATACATATATATTGAAAGTGAACACCCGGCCAAAATTTAATCCCAATGATGACAAAATGTAAAATTGTTTTAAATTCTTGAATGCATATACTGATTTGTTTAATTGCCTGCATACTACTTTTTTTAATTAGAGACTATCAAAGTAAGTAATAAGAATTTAAATATTAACTCAAAAAAAGATGAAGCCTTCAACCTTCCTACAATAGTAACAAGCATTTTAAATAACAATACAAGGAGTCTGTAAGCTAAAAAGTAACTTCATATTCATTGCAAAACTTAAAATACCAGTGAATTGAAGATAAGATTGAGGTCTAAAATATTTGTACTGTATTGTAAAATACAATTTAAAATGTGCAGTTAATTTGCTTGTGGACATGTAATGGAATGTTTTTCAACAGTAATGTTATGTTAAACACACTTTAAATGGTCACTCTAAGCAAACATAACCTTACTAGCAAGAAAAGCGAAAAATTAAGGCTTTCATGCTATCTATATCTACTACACAAAGTCAAAAGTCAAATAGAGCTTACAATGTGGCAAAATATTTCTAACTTCTGTGACATTAGTTGCTTCACCTCAACTCAATACTTATCATCTTATCTTTATACAAACTCAAATGCTAGTTATCTTTACTATCCATAAATACAAATTAAACTAAGGAGCTTCCGCACAGCAAAAGAAACTATAAATAGAATAAACAGACAACTTACGGAAGGTGAGAAAAGATTCACAAACTATGCATACAACAAAGGTCTAATATCCAGAATCTATAAGGAACTTAAATCAACAAACATAACCCCATTAAAAAATTAACAAATGACAAAGGATGAACAGACACTTCTCAAAAGAAGACATAAAGGTGACCAATAAACATATGGAAAAAATTGTTCATCATTACTAATCATCAGAGAAACGGAAATCAAAACCACAATGAGATTCCATCTCACACCAGTCAGAATGGCTGCTATTTAAAAGTCAAAAAACAACAGATATTGCGGAGGCTGCAGAGAAACGCGAACGCTTATACACTGTTGGTGAGAATGAACATTAGTTCAGCCACTGTGGAAAGCAGTTTGGAGAATTTTCCAAAAGAACTAAAAACAGAGCTACCATTGGACCCAGCAATTCCATTACCGCGTATTTAGTCAAAGGAAAATATATCATTATACCAAAAGGACACACGCACTCATGTTCATGGCAGCACTATTCACAATAGCAGAGACATAGAACCAACCTAGGTGCCCATCAGTGGTGGATTGGATAGAGAGAATGTGGAGTTCCGGCAGAGACCCGGGTGAGACGCGCTGACCATGGGCCTGCGGAGGGGCTGGGGGTTCAGGACCTCCCGCAGCCTCTGCCCTGCAGGCTCCAGGTGCCCTCGCTGTGGCTCCCCTCGCGGGCCCAGGCCTGAAGAAGCCGCGAACCTCTCTTCCCTACCCCACCTCGGTGACAGATGGCAGCTCCTCTCTCAGCCCAGACCCCGCCGGCCTCCATGTCTCCCGGCCCAGCCCTGCGGGGCCTAAACTAAGCCCCTGCCGAGCTGCTAGGATGCAGCGCATTTGAGTGGCTGCGGGCGTGGGGGGCCGGGAAGCATGGCGACCGCCCCAACTCGCAGCGGAGGCCGTTAGGGTGTGGAGGGCGCGGGAAGGTGGGTCGCCTGCCACTGGGGCGCGGGCAGATCGGACCGCTCTGTCCCAACTGGTCGAGACCGACCTAGTCCTGACGACAGGAACAACGGCATTAACAACGGCCGGAAGGTGAGCGGTGTCCCAGACAACGACGGATAGCGGCCACCTGGCCACTGGTCTTCCTTCTCTACCAGACCTGTATGTGGGAAGAGAGAAGTGGTGGAACAACAGGCCACATTTGGCGCATTGGAGATGAAATTCTTGGTTGAAAATTCTTTTCTTTAAGAATGTTGAATATTGGCCCCCACTCTCTTCTGGCTTGTAGGGTTTCTGCAGAGAGATATGCTGTTAGTCTGATGGGCTTCCCTTTATAGGTAACCTGACCCTTCTCTCTGGCTGCCCTTAACTTTTTTTCCTTCATTTCAAGCTTGGAGAATCTGACAATTACGTTTCTTGGGGTTGCTTTTCTCGAGCAGTATCTTAGTGGTGTTCTCGTATTTCCTGAATTTGAATGTTGGCCTGTATTGCTACCTTGTGGAAGTTCTCCTGGATAATATCCTGAAGCTGTTTTCCAGCTTGGTTCCATTCTTCTCGTCACTTTCAGGTAAACCAATCAAACATAAGTTTGGTCTTTTCACATAGTCCCATATTTCCTGGAGGCTTTGTTTGTTCCTTTTCATTCTTTTTTCTCTAATCTTGTCTTCACACCTTATTTCAGTAAGTTGGTCTTCAGTCTCTAATATCCTTTCTTCTGCTTGATCGATTTGGCTATTGATCCTTGTGTATATCTTACAAAGTTCTCGTGCTGTGTTTTTCAGCTCCTCAGGTCATTTATGTTCTCCTCTAAACTGGCTAGTCTAGTTAGCAGTTTCTGTAACCTTTTATCAAGGTTCTTAGCTTCCTTGCATTGGGTTAGAACATGCTCCTTTAGCTCAGAGGAGTTTGTTATTACACACCTTGTGAAGCCTACTTCTGTCATTCATCAATCTCCTTCTCCAGTTTTGTGCCCTTGCTGGAGAGGAGTTGAGATCATTTTGAGTAGAAGAGGCATTCTGGTTTTTGGAATTTTCAGCGTTTTTATGCTAGTTTTTCCTCATCTTTGTGGATTTATCTACCTTTGATCTTTGAGGCTGATGACTTTGGATGGGGTTTTTGTGTGACGGTCCTTTATGTTGATGTTGACGTTGTTTCTGTTTGTTAGTTTTCCTTATAACAGTCAGGCCCCTCTTCTGCGGGTCTGCTGCAGTTTGCTGGAAGTGTACTCCAGACCCTGTTTGCCTGGGTATCACCAGCAGAGGCTGTAGAACAGCAAAGATTGCTTCCTGCTCCTTCCTCTGGAAGCTTCGTCCCAGAAGGGCACTGGCCTGATGACAGCTGGAGCTCTCCTGTGTGAGGTTCTGTCAACCCCTGTTGGGAGTTGTCTCCCAGTCAGGAGGCATGGGGGTTAGGGACCCACTTGAGGAGGGAGTGTGTCCCTTAAGAGAACTGGTGTGCTGTGCTGGGAGAATCCCTCTTGTCAGGATCAGCTGCTGTCTTCAGAGCAGGCAGGCAGGAACGATTAAATCTGCTTGTGCTGTGCCCACAGCCACCTCTTCCCCAGGTGCTCTGTCCCAGGGAGATGGGGGTTTTGTCTGTAAGCCTCTGACTGGGGCTGTTACCTTTCTTTCAGAGATGCCCTGCCCAGTGAGGGGGAATCTAGAGAAGCAGTCTGGCCACAGCTGCTTTGCTGCACTGTGATGAATTTGCCAGTCCATACCTCCGAGACTCCTTGGAACTGTCAGGGAAAATGGCCTACTAAAGCCTCAGTAATGGCAGACGTCCCTCATCCCATGAAGCTCAATTGTCCTAGGTTGACTTCAGACTGCTGTGCTGGCAGTGAGAATTTCAAGCCAGTGGTTCTTAGCTTGCTAGGTTCTGTGGGAGTGGGACCTGCTGAGCGAGACCACTTGGCTCCCTGGCTTCAGCCTCCTTTCCAGGGGAGTAAATGGTTCTGTCTCGCTGGGGTTCCAGGCATCACTAGGGTAGGAAAAATACTCCTTCATCTAGCTCTGTGTCTGCCCAAATGGCCACCCAGTTTTGTGCTTGAAACCTAAGGCCCTGGTGGTGTAGGCACACAAGGGAATCTCCTGATCTACAGATTGCAAAAACCATGGGAAAAGTGTAGTAACAAGCTAGGCAGCACTGTCCCTCATGGCTCCCCTGGCTCGGGGAAAGAGGTCCCCTGGCCTCTTGAACTTCCTGGGTAAGCAACTCCCCACCCTTCTTCTGCTTGCCCTCCATGGGTTTGACCTGCTGCCTAACCAGTCCTAATGAGAGGAACGGGGTACCTCAGTTGGAAATGCAGAAATCACCTGCCATCTGGATTGGTCTTGCTGGGAGCTGCAAACCAGAACTGCTCCTATTTGGCCGTCTTCGGCTTCATCCTTTTGTGTTTTTAAGAACAGTCCTCCCTGTGAATTTTACCAAAAAGTGTACTCAGTACAGTAGTTTACTAACTCTACTTTTGTCATACACTAGAAACATCTTAATATCTACAAAGACTAGATGTTGAAAATTAGGACTAATTTGTCCACTTATATGCACTATATACACAGCACAGTAAAAGAAAATGCAGACATAAGGGACAATGGTAAAGTGTGCCTCACCATAAACACACTGGTATTTGAATTACCCTTTGCCCTTTCTGCTCCTCTTTCCTCCCTGAGCCAACACACATATAGTAATGTGTACTGCTCAGATAAGTGGTTTGATCCATTTCCCAAAGACAATATTTCATATGAATCAAAAGGATATCTACAAAGTGTTATTTACTCCCTCTACTTTTAACATACTTTGTGCACTTCTAGAAAGACTAGATGTTTCAAATAAGGACTTAAATTTGTCCACTATATACACAGGTAACAATGGTTATATCTGAAAGTGTCTTCTAAATAGGAACATTCTGGTCTAAAATCTTTCATTCCTTCTAACTCCTCTCTACCACCAACCTAGTGGATATAGGCATATGTGTCATTTAGAACTGATGTTATCATTTCACTTCCAAAAGTCCTTTTCAGAAGATAGCCTTTCTATGAATTTCAACAAAGTGTACAAAAATAGAGTTAGTAAACTAACTCTCATAAATTGTTATAAATTGGCAACCTCTTTAATATCTAGAGACTAGACTAGATATTATAAAATTAAGACTACTTCATCCAGTATACACACAATATATACAGTATAGCAAAGTTAAATGCAATGCATGTAACATATAGGTAATGGATTAAGCTGAAATTTTCTAGTAAACATTAGCAAAACACTTTTTATTTTTTATTTTTTATTATTATACTTTAAGTTTTAGGGTACATGTGCACATTGTGCGGGTTAGTTACATATGTATACATGTGCCACGCTGGTGCGCTGCACCCACTAACTCGCATCTAGCATTAGGTATATCTCCCAACGCTATCCCTCCCCCCTCCCCCCACCCCACAACAGTCCCCAGAGTGTGATATTCCCCTTCCTGTGTCCATGTGATCTCGTTGTTCAGTTCCCACCTATGAGTGAGAATATGCGGTGTTTGGCTTGGATGAAATTGGAAATCATCATTCTCAGTAAACTATCGCAAGAGCAAGACACTTTTTGCAATATCTTCCTTCCAATCTCCCTCAACCCAATGAACATGTACAGAGAGGACGCTGTTCACAGAGGTGGTTCAACAATGCCAGTTCCAAAAAGTATTTCTCATTACTTTTAAAAGATATTTACAGAAAGTGTTATTCTACTACTTCTATTTTTAAATACACCAAGCACTTCCAAATATCTAGAAAGATTAAATATTTCATATAACTTGTCCACCATGTACATGGCACTGTTAAATAAAATTGCACACACATAACAACAGTTATAATCTGAGGTATCTTCTAAACATGACCATTTTGGCCTTGAAGTAGTCCTTCCTTTCTTCTCTCTGCCTTTATTTCAGTAGACAAGTATAGGCATGTGTCATACTTTAGAAATGGTTGAACAAATTTAGATCCAAAAGTTATTTACAGAAGACAAGGTTTCCTATGAATTTCAACACAAAGCTTACAAAAAGTGCTAATTTTACTAAGTACTTTGTCATACACTGCCAGCCTCTTTAACATCTAGAGACTAGATGTTGCAAAATTAGGACTCATTTGTTCATTATATGCGCTATATACAGAGCAAAACACAATGCACAAAACATACAGAAAAATGGTGCCTGAAAATGTGCAAGTATGAGCACACTAGCATGTTACCTTTTGCAGTTTCATCCGTCCCAGCTCCTCTAAACTACTGAGCAAGTATAGACAGTACTATACCACTCACAAAGATGGCTTAATAATTCAATTTCCAAAACACAGTATTTCCTATGAATTTCAGCAAAAAGACATTTACAAAGTGAAATTTTGCTACCTCTACATTTAACATACATCAGGCCCTTCTAAACATCTAAATAGACTAGCGGTTTCAGGTAAGAAGTTAATCTGTCCACTATGTACACTGCAGCCTTGAATAAACTGCATACATGTAACAATAGTTATAATTTGAAGGAGTCTTCCAAATGTGAACATTCTGGCCTAAAAATCTTTCCATCTCCATCAACCCAGTGGGCAAGAATGCTCAAGTTTTCAGAAGACAATCTTCCCTAGGAATTTAAAAACAAAATGTACAAAAATATTAGTTTACTAACTCTACTTTTGTAATTCACTGGCAACCTCCATAACATCTAGAAAGACTAGATGTAAATTAGGACTTGTTTTCCTCTATATACACTTTATACATAGATAAGTAAAAGAAAATGCACAAACATAAGATATAATGGTTAATCTTGCCTCACTGTAAGCACACTGGTGGCACAGAGCTCTCTGCACAGCCTCCTCCTCCTCCTCTCCTGAACTGGCGCATAATACAATGCATATTACTCAACTTGTGGTTTGGCCATTCCCCCTAAAACAATGTTTCATTCGAATTTTAACAAAAAGATACTTACAAAATGTGTTATTTTACTACTTCTAGTTTAAACATATATCAGGCACCTCAGAACATCTAGAAACACTAGACATTTCAAAAAAGTGTAGCATTGTCAATGATCTATACAGTAGTAGGGAATAAAATGCACACAAAACAATGGAAAGAATATGAGAATGTCTTCTGAATATGACTAGTCTGGCACAGAACCTTCTTCTTTTCCTTCTCAGGTCTTCTTCTTCATGCCCTCTAACCCACTGAACAAATGTGGTTGTGTCTGTCGTTCCTGGTATGGCTTCCAGAAGTGGTCCAACAATTCCATTGCGAAAAGCCATTTCCAGAAGACATCTATTTTCTATCATTTCTTTTTGAACAAATGAGAATTTATAAGATGTGTGATTTTCTAACTTTATCATACATCACAACCTCTTTCCATCTAGAAGGGCTAAATGTGGCAAATGTTTTCTATTTAAAAGTTGGGGCGGGGGCAGTTGAGAGCCGCTTTCTCACTTTACACACGCAGGGCCTTCTATAAACGGTGGTAATTAAATCTTCCCAAAGGGTAGTGGGCATCTCCAATACGCCAAATGTGGCCTGTTCCACCACTTCTCTCTTCCCACATCCAGGTCTGGTAGAGAAGGAAGACCAGTGGCCAGGTGGCCGCTATCCGTCGTTGTCTGGGACACTGCTCACCTTCCGGCCGTTGTTAATGCCGTTGTTCCTGTCGTCAGGACTAGGTCGGTCTCGACCAGTTGGGACAGAGCGGTCCGATCTGCCCGCGCCCCGGTGGCAGGCGACCCACCTTCCCGCGCCCTCCACACCCTAACGGCCTCCGCTGTGAGTTGGGGCGGTCGCCATGCTTCCCGGCCCCCCACGCCCGCAGCCACTCAAATGCGCTGCATCCTAGCAGCTCGGCAGGGGCTTAGTTTAGGCCCCGCAGGGCTGGGCCGGGAGACATGGAGGCCGGCGGGGTCTGGGCTGAGAGAGGAGCTGCCATCAGTCACGGAGGTGGGGTAGGGAAGAGAGGTTCGCGGCTTCTTCAGGCCTGGGCCCGCGAGGGGAGCCACAGCGAGGGCACCTGGAGCCTGCAGGGCAGAGGCTGCGGGAGGTCCTGAACCCCCAGCCCCTCCGCAGGCCCATGGTCAGCGCGTCCCACCCGGGTCTCTGCCGGAACTCCACATTGTCTCTATCCAATCCACCACTGATGGGCAGGCCTATGTCTCTGCTGTTGTGAATAGTGCTGCCATGAACATGAGTGCGTGTGTTCTTTTGGTATAATGATATATTTTCCTTTGACTAAATACGCAGGAATGGTATTGCTGGGTCCAATGGTAGCTCTGTTTTTAGTTCTTTTGGAAAATCTCCAAACTGCTTTCCACAGTGGCTGAACTAATGTTCATTCTCACCAACAGTGTATAAGCGTTCGCGTTTCTCTGCAGCCTCCGCAATATCTGTTGTTTTTTGACTTTTAAATAGCAGCCATTCTGACTGGTGTTAGATGATATCTCATTGTGGTTTTGATTTGCATTTCTCTGATGATTAGTAATGATGAACAATTTTTTCATCTAGACAGAAATCAATAGGGAAACACTAGACTTGACATACACTTTGGACCAAATGGACCTAAAGACGTTATAGAACATTTCATCCAACAGCAACAGAATATTCATTCTTCTCAAGTGCAAATGAGACATTATCCAGGATCAAATATTAGGTAACAAAATAAGACTCAACAATTTTAAGAAGATTGAAATCATATCAAGTATCTTTTCTGACCACAAAATTATGAAAGTAGAAATGAATAGAAATAAATAATAGGGGAAAATTTGAAAATATTACAAATGTGGAAATTAACCAACATGCTCTTGAATAAACAATGGGTTAATGAAGAAATCAAAGGGAAGTTAAAAAATATCTTAAGACAGATGAAAATGAAAATGCAACGTACCACAACTTATGGGATGTAACAAAAGAAGTTCTTAGCAGGAGGAAAGTTTATAGTAATAAATGCCGATATTGAAAAAGAAGAAAGATCTCAAACAACCTAATGTTACATTTCAAGAAACTAGAAAAAGAGAAGAGCAAACTAATCCCAAAGTTAGCAGAAGGAAGGAAATAACAAAGATCAGAGCAGAAATAAGTAAGAGATTAGAAAACAAAAGAACACATTTGCAAAACTAACAGTTCAGTTTTTGAAAAGATAAAAACAATTGACAAAACTTTAGCAGACCAACTAAGAAAAAAAAGAAGACTCTAATAAAATAAGAAATGAAAGAGGAGACATTAAAATTGAAACTACGCAAGTACAAAAGATCATAAAAGAATACTACGAACAATTTTACACCAACAAATAGGATGACCTAGAAGAAATGGTTAGATTTCCAGAAACATAACAACAATGAATTATGAAAAAATAGAAAATCTGAACAGACTAATGAGTAAGGGGGTTGAATCAGTGATAAAAGTCTCCTACCAAAGAAAAGCCCAGAACCTGATGGTTCATGGATTGGAGGAATTAATATTATTAAAATGTCTGTGCTGCTGAAAGTGGTATACAGATTCAATGCAATTCCTATAAAAGTTCTAATGACCTTTTTGTTTCACAGAAATAGAAAAAGCAATTCAAAAATTCATATGGAATGACAAAAATCTTAAGTAGCTAAAGCACTTTTGAGCAAAAAGACCAGAGCTGGAGGCATCACACTACCTGATTAAAGATATATTACAAAGTTATAGTATTCAAAACAGAAAGGTACTGGCATAACAACAGACACATGGACCAATGTAATGTGATAGAGAGCCCAGACATAAACTCATGCATTTGTGATTAATTGATTTTTGCCAAAGATGCCAAGAATAAACACACTATGGGGAAAGGACAGTTTCTTTAATAAATGATGCAGGGGAAATCAAATACCCACATACAGAAGAATGAAATTGAACCCTTATCTCACACCATGTGTAAAAAGCCCACTAAAAATGGTTTAAAGATTGCGAGACCTGAAAATGTAAAACTACTAGAAGAAAGCATAGGGAAAAATGTCCCTGAAATTAATCTTGGCAATACTTTCTTGGTGATGATCTCAAAAGCTCAGGAAACCAAAGCAGAAGTAGACAAATGGGATTACCTGAAACCAAAAGCTTCTCTACAACAAAGTAAATAACAGATTGAAGAGACAACCCATGGACTGGGAGAAAATATTTACAAACCATACATGGCTAATATCCAAAATATGTAAGAAATGCAAACAACTTAAATTTGTTAGCAAGAAAACAAATAACGCCATTTAAAACTGAGCAATGGACTTGAATGGACATCTTTCAAAAGACCAATAGATATATAAAAAAGTGTCTACATCACTAATCATCAGGGAAATGCAAATTAAAACAAAACAAAGAGATATCACCTCATACCTGTTAGAATGACTATTATCAGTAAACTAAAAGGTAATAAGTACTGACAAGGATGTGGGGAATCCTTATATACTAATGGCAGGAATGTAAATTAATACAGGCATTATTGAAATCAGCATGGAGATTCCTCAAAAAACTAAAGATAGAATTACCATAGGATCTAGCAATTATATTTCTGGATACATAGCCAAAGAGATTGAAATTTGTATTTTAAAAATATGTTAGAGACCAGCCTGACCAATATGGTGAAACCCCATCTCTACTAAAAATACAAAAAAATTAGCCGGCTGTGGTTTGCACCTGTAGTCCCAGCTATTCAGGTGGCTGAGACAGGAGAATTGCTTGAACCTGGGAGGCCAAGTTTGCAGTGAGCTGAGATTATGCCACTGCACTCCAGCCTGGGCTACAGAGCAAGACTCCATCTCAAAAAAAAAAAAAAATGGGTAGATTTTCCTCTAATTTGGTTTTAACGTCTCTCTTTGAAGAGTGGCTAGAAACTCTAGCCTGGCTCTGATGGGCTCCAGTGGAGGTGGTTGTGGTTGTGGATGTTTTCGGTGTTCTTTTCATGGAATACTTCCTTATCCTGATGGAGAGCTAATGCCTAATTGTCCTATTTATGACCAGGTGTCCCTCTCACTGGAAACTTGTTTTCACTGGCAGACACCATTGTGGCTTTTGTCTGACTAGTGTGTCCAGTTCATTCCTACCAAGATTGCCACTCTCTAAGGGAGCCTTGTCCAGAAAAAAAAATTAATTTCAGGTGTGTCAGGTGAGACGCCAAGAAGACACATAAAAAAAAATAGTATAAGTAGTTTTATTACTTAAAGATTCCAGAGAGAAGAGGGCAACTTGCCTCACAGGCCTAATGGGAGAAAGGGCATCCCTTAGAGACATGCATGTGCAACCAGTGGGTGGGTAGCGAGAGAGAGTGAGTGACAGACCAGAAAGCCAAAGCCCTTATTGGAGTACACAGCATTATCCAAGCAGGGAGTAACTGATTGCTGGGTTTAGAGCAAGCAGGCATGATTTCTTGGGAGTTAAGTTGTATTGAGAGGTGTTCACTGCTGCAAATCTGCAGTCCATGTGGGGTGTGGGGATCAGTGGGATAAGTCAAGTAGGTTGTATCTAGGTGTCCCACACGGAGGTGGTAACCAAGAGGCCAAATATCTGGATTGACCACCTGAAGAAACTGGGAGAGGAGAACTCAAAATTGTGATAAGGGTGACTAAGTCCTGCTTCTGGCATGAGGAAGTTCAATTATATATTGAAAATGAACGCTGAGGTAACATAAACTCATAAGAATTCACTACAGATATCTGCACTACCATGTTCATTGTAGCATTTTTCACAATAGCTGAGGTATGAAAGGAACCTAAATGTCCATCAACGGATAAACAGATAAATATATAAAAGGGATATAATGTGATATATATGAACCACATTATCTATATAAAATGGAATACTATTCAGCCTTAAAGAAAAAAGGGAAATTCTGTCTTTACAACAACATTCATGAACCTGCAGGACATTATGCGAAGTGAAAGAAGCCAGACACAGAAGGACAAATACCACATGATCTCACTCTTATGTGGAATCTAAAAAAGATAAACTCATACAAGTGGAGAGTAGAATGATAGCTACCTGGGGGGCAGGGGATGGAGAAAGGGGGGATTTTAAACAAGTAGATTTAAATGTTCTCACTATAAGAAAAATAAGTATGTGAGGTGATGACTGTGTTAGCTGGACTTAATCATTCCATATTGCACATATACATATATCAAAAGATCACATTGTACCTAATCAATATATAAAATTATTTGTCAATTAAAATAATAAAAGATTGGAGTAATATTTAAGATTTTTTTAACATTTTGCAGGAAAAATCTTGGAATTGAATTTAAAAGACAACTGGGAAGGCATAAATAATATAGGTCAGTCTCAAAGAGCCCCTCATTAATAAGGAACAGATATGCAGTTTAGTCTTTATGTATTCTAGTTTTTCTGTTGAATGACTCTCAAATCTCTCCTTTTTTTCCAGTTGTCTTGTACATTTGAGCCTTAGCCCCACGGGAAACTGAAAAAAAAAATCGGATGGCTCAGTAAAACCTCTTCCTTTCATTGTAAATGTTACTCACAGCATCTTTTCCCATGTTTGTTGGTGACAAATTCACTGTCATCTCAGTAAGAGTATAACATCATGCTGAAGATATTTCTGTGAAGAGTTTTGTACTGAGAACATCATACCAGGACAACTCCTTGAAGGGCATTAATTGCAGCTTTGGGATTTATACTCCCAAAGGCTGCAGTCAATGAAAGAGTATCCCGTTATTCTTTTTGTTTCCATAAAGATTACATTTGCTCTGGGATAAAGGGTCCATCCCGTGATACCTTGAATGCCCTAAAGTATTCCCACATTCTGCTAAAAAGCAGATCTTTTGGACAAACTCAGGCTCTCTTTTCTGTAGCAATGACAATCACAGTTATTTCCAGACTCTGTTCTTCATAGTTAGATTTAAAACATTGGCAAAAATGTTATAAGAAGGCAATTAGGTTGCTGTTTTTAGGTTGTATGGCAACCAGAGAGCCCCTTCATCAGTTTATACCTGATGAGGTTGTAGGCCAGGTAGAGAGTGACAGGGAACAGGGACAAACACAGGAAGGTCAGTACTGAAAGAAGTTGGTGCACTTCTTAAGGGGTAGACAGCTTCCATATTTCAAAATTGCAGGAAGTGTAGATTTTAAATGTTCTTACTACAAAAATATGATGGTTGTGGGGTGATGGATATGTTAACTAGCTTAATATAATCATTCTATAATGTATATATACATCAAAACATTACAGTGTACTCCATAAATATATACAATTATTACTAGTCAATGAAAAATTAAGAAAACAAACCAGATATAGTATAAAGGAATGGATGTGACACAAATTGGCATAATGTCTCTTAATAATAATTGGGGAAGGAAGAGACACTCAGCCATCCATTTTCCCTATAGTATTTGATTTAAAAAAAGAGAGAAGATATTTTATTCTACAACTCATAAAAGCTACATTTGATAGGGTCTTCATTTCCCTCTTTTCCACCAAGAAGAAAATTGAAGCTGAGACTTTTCTCTACATGAGTTCTGGGGGTTTTTTTGTCCCTTATTTCCTATCCCTTTTATCAACTCCGGAGGAATGCTGAAAGATGGGTCATATAACAGATAGTTATCAGATTCCACCTTTTAATTACTGTAATAAGGAACTCAGGCAGCTGCATTAGGAAAGAAAATTAGGTCGGCATCAGCAAAAGTATCCACAGCATTTGAGTTCAAGTATCTTATGGCATATTACCTTTCATCTTAGGGAGATTTAAAAAAATCCTTGGAATTTTCCCATGATTTCTCAAAAGGTTAATGCTCATTCCATTACCAACAATATGGAAAAATGTACAGTATCTTTGTACCAGTCTGGAGCATTTGCACAGATTTGGCCCAAGTTCAATGTTCCTAGCTCTCCAGCTGTAACTCAACCAGTTAGGCAACTCCTTACATCTTTTTCAAGAGTCAAGATTACAATACTTGAGTTATTAAAAGTTTTTCAAAACACTGAAGGTGAGTCGGGTGTAGATATTAGTTTTTTGAGACAGAGTCTTGCTCTGTCACCCAGGCTGGAGGGCAATGGCATGATCTCAGCTCACTGCAACCTCCACCTCCTGGGTTCAAGCGATTCTCCTGCCTCAGCCTCCAGAGTAGCTGGTATTACAGGTGCCCACTACCATGCCTGCCTGGCTAATTTTTGTATTTTTTAGTAGAGATGGTGTTTCACCACGTTGGTCAGGCTGGTCTCGAACTCCTGACCTCAGGTGTTCCACCTGCCTCGGCCTCCCAAAATGCTGAGATTACAGGCATGAGCCACCACGCCTGGCCTCTTTTGCCAAATTTATCAGAGAGTATAAGAGGAAGAGTTGGCTGTGGCAGGAGGGGAGCAGAAGGGGGATGACAAAACTATTTAGGAATATTGAAATGCTGGGTTCCTGTATTTTATTGCAAAAACTATATCATAAAAGAGTGTTTATCTTTCTCATGCAAGATTGGTAATGTGCAAGAGAAAATAAGCAACTGAAAATCAAGCTATCAAAGCATATTTGAATTTCTTCATTTTAAAAAAATAACTACAAGGTGAATTTTCTGGATTTTATACAATGTTCACGTATCTTTCTACTAATATTAGTTAATGTCTGTTCAGAAGCTCCATTAAAAATTGTGGAAAACCCAGAAAATACAAATTATAAATTGTGACTCAGAATTTAAAGTATAGTTCAGTTATTGGCCTAAAGCATATACAGTTTTGTAGAAACCATGTTTAAGTCTTCTTGTCCTTGTCTAACAAACTTGTTATACATTCTTTCAACTTCGCATACCACATTCAGACCTCTCTTCACTGTTGTGCATCCAAACACTCTCCATTTCTCTCTTACCAACCTATGTTTTTGTTAGACTCTGTAATCTTTATGTCTTCCAGTAATATAGTCTCATTTACCTTTGGAAGCATTCTATCACCGATCACTCTATTTTGCTGTATTAATCAGCTTTGTGTATATTGTGAATTTTTATAAGTTGGTGTGTGCGTGCATATTCTCTTTAAACTTTGATTTGTGCATTATTTTATTTGTCTAGAAATAAACTGCTAGCATAAATAGCATTTGATTCTTTCTATAATCATATTCAATTATTTCTTTTCAGTTAATATTTTAAAGTGACTATCTAATTGCTTTTTAATATGGGAAATTCCTATCTATAAGTAAGATCAGTAAGACTGCTGTTATTCCTTTCTCTGTAATTGCAAAATTGGAAATAGCCTGAAAATATAAAAATAATTTGACTTTTTAAAGTAAAAAATCATTTTTCATAAATATTGTGTTCCTGATTATGGACTATCTTAGTCTTCATTAATCCAAATGTTAATTCAGGGATGTATATAAAGAACTCAGTAACTTGAGAAGCTATTGCTTGTATCTGTAGCTGGATAAATATCTCAATGAAGCATATAAAGGGAACTGTATAAAAATTCTACTACCATTATGGTGCACACTCTCTGGAAGTGGGATACTTTTGTCTTCAATCTGTTTGCAAGTGAGCGGTTGACAATGCATGGACAGACTTTGAGTTTATGTGGTTCTTTCTTTAGGTATAAGAAAAAGATGAATGATGATTAAAAAAAATGCAAGTTCGGAAGACTTCTTTATTCTACTTGGATTTTCTAATTGGCCTCAGCTGGAAGTAGTTCTCTTTGTGGTTATCTTGATCTTCTACCTGATGACACTGACAGGAAACCTGTTCATCATCATCCTGTCATACGTGGACTCCCATCTCCACACACCAATGTACTTCTTCCTTTCAAACCTCTCATTTCTGGATCTCTGCTACACCACCAGCTCTATCCCTCAGTTGCTGGTGAATCTCCGGGGCCCGGAAAAGACCATCTCGTATGCTGGTTGCATGGTTCAACTTTACTTTGTTCTTGCACTGGGAATCGCAGAGTGTGTCCTACTGGTGGTGATGTCGTATGATCGTTATGTAGCTGTGTGTAGACCTTTGCATTACACTGTCCTCATGCACCCTCGTTTCTGCCACTTGTTGGTTGCGGCTTCTTGGGTAATTGGTTTTACTATCTCAGCACTTCATTCCTCCTTTACTTTCTGGGTACCCCTTTGTGGACATCGCCTAGTGGATCACTTCTTCTGTGAAGTTCCAGCACTTCTGCGTTTATCATGTGTTGACACCCATGCAAATGAGCTGACCCTCATGGTCATGAGCTCCATTTTTGTTCTCATACCTCTCATTCTCATTCTCACTACCTATGGTGCCATTGCCCGGGCTGTACTGAGCATGCAATCAACCACTGGGCTTCAGAAAGTGTTTAGGACATGTGGAGCCCATCTTATGGTTGTATCTCTCTTTTTCATTCCAGTCATGTGCATGTATCTCCAGCCACCATCAGAAAATTCTCCTGATCAGGGCAAGTTCATTGCCCTCTTTTATACTGTTGTCACACCGAGTCTTAATCCTCTAATCTACACTCTCAGAAACAAGCATGTAAAAGGGGCAGCGAAGAGACTATTGGGGTGGGAGTGGGGGAAGTGACAGGGAAATCATGTTGTCTGTTGTCATTGTTTTTCCTAGGGTCTTAGCCATCTTGAAAGGTGGTTTCCCTGCTTCTTTGTGATTTATTTTTGTTCTAACAGCTCACAAAACAGAATAGTTCAGTCTCACATTTGTTGCTCTTTTTATTATTTAGTTCTGAAATATTATGTTGAGATAAAGTTTCTGATTAGTGCCACTTTGTTCTTTTACAATTGTATATTTTATTTCTGTGAAAATTGTGGACTGTGGTTTCAACGTAAATAAATGTGCATGCGAATAGTTATGAGGAGATTATTTCAAAAATGTTGGGAATATTTCTAACAATGTGCTAAATTATGAACTGATGATATATACAGAAAGAGAAGGGCAATATTGCAAAGACTTAGGCTAAAAAGGTTTTTGGTTATTGAATAAACCTTAAATGAAGCTAAAAATAGTCACAGCAAAGAAAAATGGTAAACATAATGAATAACATTGTTTAAGATATGGTAAAGGATATATCATAAGTATTTGGTTGAAAGACACTTTTTAAAGACACTAAATTATCTAATTTATCCTGTAGGTCTACATACTTGTCACATTGAACAGTAAACTAATATCTCTTTAAAATGGCTCTTTCGTTCATCTGTCCATTTATTCATTAACTTATTCTTTATTAGCTAAATCTTATTGAATGTGTACTCTCTTCCAGTTTGTGAAATTCTTGGTAACGTGTATAAATATAACATACTCTGTCTGAACAGAACACACTCTCTGTCAGGAAAAATGGCAACATAAAAGATGAAGTATCTGTGCATGGCTTAATTTGTCACTGGGGGTAATGCTAATACATTAAGACAGCTTTTAAAAGTCAGAAACAATAAACTCTGATTACTCTTCAGATTGTATAAATCTTTCTTTCACTTTTTAAAAATCAAAAACAAGGCCGAGCACGGTGGCTCACACCTGTAATCCCAGCACTTTGGAAGGCCGAGTCAGGTGGATCATGAGGTCAGGAGACCAAGACCATCCTGGCTAACAAGGTGAAACCCCATCTCTACTAAAAATACAAAACAATTAGCTAGGCATGGTGGCACATGCCTGTAGTCCCATTGAAGCTAAACTTTTTTTTCACTTTACATGAACATTTTGAAATCACTACTAAATTCAATATTTTCAACATATTATTTCATCCGTATGTAAAATTATTGGGATTGCAATTGTTATGTTTTCTATAATCACATTTTTGAAAATAACCTGAAAATGCTGAAAAGAAAAGTTCCTTATTCATTAACAAAGAAAAATTTTGTGTTTTATGGAAATTATCTTCCTTAGCTAGGTTAGAAATTTCTTTCAATTACCATTTACCTAGAAGTCACCATAAAATGAATGGGAAGAACTCGATAGTTATTCTTCTATAAGGCAAATATATGAATAAAATATAAAATTAAAAAATTGTTTTCTATTTTTTGTGACTTTTTATTATGGTAAAATTTCAAACTTAGAGAAGAATTGCAAAAAAGTAGTACAAAGACTGACATTTACCCTATAACCAGATTAAGCATTAGTTTACATTTTCCCCCAAAGCTTTGTTATATCATCTATCTATCTATCTATCTATCTATCTATCTATCTATCTATCTATATCTCTATCATCTATTATATCTATCTATCTATCTATCTATCTATCTATCTATCTATCTATCATCTATCTCTTTTTCTGCACTAGCTGAGAGTAAGTTGGAGATGCCACGTACCTTTACACCAAGTACTTTTTTTTTTAATTATTAGGTCATTTTTATTCCTTTTAAATTTTTTATTTTGTGTTAATTATTTGTCTGCATTCTATGTACATAACTGTATTGGAGTTTCAGTTTCATATTAAGTTGTATAAACTTTTGTGTTCCAAGGTTATACAAATTCATATGTATTTTCTTAGTTCATTGCCTCTTATTTTGGTTTGTTACAATTTGTGATGTTAAAAGTCTAAAAATGTGTGCGTGGTTAATACTATCTATTGTTCATTAACATTGTGGTTTCTTCCTTTTCTTAATGCTATAATGTTCTTTTATTATAATTATTATTATTATACTTTAAGTTCTACGGTACATGTGCACAACCTGCAGGTTTATTACATATGTATACATGTGCCATGTTGCTGTGCTGCACCCATTAACTCGTCATTTACATTAGGTATATCTCCTCATGCTATCCCTCCCCCTACCACACAACAGGCCCCGGTGTGTGATGTTCCCCTTCCTGTGTCCAAATGTTCTCATTGCTCAATTCCCACTCATGAGTGAGAACATGCGGTGTTTGGTTTTTTGTCCTTGGGATAGTTTGCTGAGAATGATGGTTTCCAGCTTCATCCATGTCCCTACATGGACATGAACTCATCATTTTTTATGGCTGCATAGTATTCCATGGTGTATATGTGCCACATTTTCTTAATCCACTCTATCATTGTTGGACATTTGGGTTGGTTCCAAGTCTTTGCTGTTGTGAATAGTGCCGTAATAAACATACGTGTGCATGTGTCTTTCTAGCAGCATGATTTATAATCCTTTGGGTATATACCCAGTAATGGGATGGCTGGGTCAAATGGTATTTCTAGTTCTAGATCCCTGAGGAATCACCACACTGACTTCCACAATGGTTGAACTAGTTTACAGTCCCACCAACAGTGTAAAAGTGTTCCTATTTCTCCACATCCTGTCCAGCACCTGTTGTTTCCTGACTTTTTAATGATTGCCATTCTAACTGGTGTGAGGTGGTATCTCATTGTGGTTTTGATTTGCATTTCTCTGATGGCCAGTGATGGTGAGCATCTTTTCATGTGTTTTTTGGCTGCATAAATGTCTTCTTTTGAGAAGTGTCTGTTCATGTCCTTCGTCCACTTTTTGATGGGGCTGTTTGTTCTTTTCTTGTAAATTTGTTTGAGTTCATTGTAGATTCTGGATATTAGCCCTTTGTCAGATGAGTAGCTTGCAAAAATTTTCTCCCATTCTGTAGGTTGCCTATTCACTCTGATGGTAGTTTCTTTTGCTGTGCAGAAACTCTTTAGTTTAATTAGATCCCATTTGTCAATTTTGGCTTTTGTTGCCATTGCTTTTGGTGTTTTAGACATGAAGTCCTTGCCCATGCCTATGTCCTGAATGGTATTGCCTAGGTTTTGTTCTAGGGTTTTTATGGTTTTAGGTCTAACATTGAAGTCTTTAATCCATCTTGAATTAATTTTTGTATAAGGTGTAAGGAAGGGATCCAGTTTCGGCTTTCTACATATAGCTAGCCAGTTTTCCCAGCAGCATTTGTTAAATAGGGAATCCTTTCCCCATGTCTTGTTTTTTTCAGGTTTGTCAAAGATCAGATAATTGTAGATGTGTGGTATTATTTCTGAGGGCTGTATTCTGTTCCTTTGCTCTATATCTCTGTTTTGGTACCAGTACCATGCTGTTTTGGTTACTGTAGCCTTGTAGTATAGTTTGAAGTCAGGTAGCGTGATGCCTCCAGCTTTGTTCTTTTGGGTTAGGATTGGCTTGGCAATGCGGGCTCTTTTTTGGTTCCATATGAACTTTAAAGCAGTTTTTTCCAATTCTGTGAAGAAAGTCATTGGTAGCTTGATGGGGATCGCACCGAATCTATAAATTACCTTGGGCAGTATGGCCATTTTCGCGATATTGATTCTTCCTATCCATGAGCATGGAATGTTCTTCCATTTGTTTGTATCCTCTTTTATTTCATTGAGCAGTGGTTTGTAGTTCTCCTTGAAGAGGTCCTTCACATCCCTTGTAAGTTGTATTCCTAGGTATTTGATTCTCTTTGAAGCAATTGTGAATGGGAGTTCACTCATGATTTGGCTCTCTGTTTGCCTGTTATTGGTGTATAAGAATGTTTGTGATTTTCGCACATTGATTTTGTATCCTGAGCCTTTGCTGAAGTTGCTTATCAACTTAAGGAGATTTTGGGCTGAGATGATGGGGTTTTCTAGATATACAATCATGTCATCTGCAAACAGGGACAATTTGACTTCCTCTTTTCCTAATTGAATACCCTTTATTTCTTTCTCCTGCCTGATTGCCCTGGCCAGAACTTCCAACACTATGTTGAATAGGAGTGGTGAGAGAGGGCATCCCTGTCTTGTGCCAGTTATCAAAGGGAATGTTTCCAGTTTTTGCCCATTCAGTATGATATTGGCTGTGGTTTTGTCATAAACAGCTCTTATTATTTTGAGATACGTTCCATCAATACCTAGTTTATTGAGAGTTTTTAGCATGAAGGGCTGTTGAATTTTGTCAAAGGCCTTTTCTGCATCTATTGAGATAATCATGTGGTTTTTGTCTTTTGTTCTGCTGGATTACGTTTATTGATTTGCGTACGTTGAACCAGCCTTGCCTCCCAGGGATGAAGCCCACTTGATCATGGTGGATAAGCTTTTTGATGTGCTGCTGGATTCGGTTTGCCAGTATTTTATTGAGGATTTTTGCATCGAGGTTCATCAGGGATGTTGGTCTAAAATTCTTTTTTTGTTGTGTCTCTGCCAGGCTTTGGTATCAGGATGATGCTGGCCTCATAAAATGAGTTAGGGAGGATTCCCTCTTTTTCTATTGATTGGAGTAGTTTCAGAAGGAATGGTACCAGCTCCTCCTTGTACCTCTGGTAGAATTCGGCTGTGAATCCGTCTGGTCCTGGACTTTTTTTTGTTGGTAAGCTACTAATTATTGCCTCAATTTCAGAGCCTGTTATTTGGTCTATTCAGAGATTCAACTTCTTCCTGGTTTAGTCTTGGGAGGGTGTATGTGTCGAGGAATTTATCCATTTCTTCTAGATTTTCTAGTTTATTTGCATAGAGGTGTTTATAGTATTCTCTGATGGTAGTTTGTGTTTCTGTGCGATCGGTGGTGATATCCCCTTTATCATTTTTTGTTGTGTCTATTTGATTCTTCTCTCTTTTCTTCTTTATTAGTCTTGCTAGCAGTCTATCAATTTTGTTGATCTTTCAAAAAACCAGCTCCTGGATTCATTGATTTTTTGAAGGGTTTTTTGTGTGTCTATCTCCTTCAGTTCTGCTCTGATCTTAGTTATTTCTTGCCTTCTGCTAGCTTTTGAATGTGTTTGCTCTTACTTCTCTAGTTCTTTTAATTATGATGTTAGGGTGTCAGTTTTAGATCTTTCCTGCTTTCTCTTGTGGACATTCAGTGTTATAAATTTCCCTCTACACACTGCTTTAAATGTGTCCCAGAGATTCTGGTATGTTGTATCTTTGTTCTCGCTGGTTTCAAAGAACATCTTTATTTCTGCCTTCATTTCGTTATGTACCAGTAGTCATTCAGGAGCAGGTTGTTCAGTTTCCATGTAGTTGAGTGGTTTTGAGTGAGTTTCTTAATCCTGAGTTGTAGTTTGATGGCACTGTGGTCTGAGAGACAGTTTGTTATAATTTCTGTTCTTTTACATTTGCTGAGGAGTGCTTTTCTTCCAGCTATGTGGTCAATTTTGGAATAAGTGTGATGTGGTACTGAGAAGAATGTATATTCTGTTGATTTGGGGTGGAGAGTTCTGTAGATGTCTATTAGCACCGCTTGGTGCAGAGCTGAGTTCAATTCCTGGATATCCTTGTTAACTTTCTGTCTTGTTGATCTGTCTATTGTTGACAGTGGGGTGTTAAAGTCTCCCATTATTATTGTGTGGGAGTCTAAGCCTCTTTGTAGGTCTCTAAGGACTTGTTGTATGAATCTGGGTGCTCTTGTATTGGGTGCATGTATATTTAGGATAGTTAGCTCTTCTTGTTGAATTGATCCCTTTACCATTATGTAATGGCCTTCTTTGTCTCTTTTGATCTTTGTTGGTTTAAAGTCTATTTTATCAGAGACTAGGATTGCAACCCCTCCCTTTTTTTGTTTTCCATTTGCTTGGTAGATCTTCCTCCATCCCTTTATCTTGAACCTATGTGTGTCTCTGCATGTGAGATGGGTTTCCTGAATACAGCACACTGATGGGTCTTGACCCTTTATCCAATTTGCCAGTCTGTGTCTTTTAATTGGAGCATTTAGCCCATTCAAGACATTTACACCAAATATTTTATTCAGTGTTTCTTGTCTAAGAAGAAGGATGTTATTTTACATAAGTCCTGCACAGTACCCAAATCAGCAAATTTAATATGGGCACAATATTATTATCTAATCCATAGTCCACAGTGAGATTTCTTAAATAGTCCCAATAATTTTGTTAATAGCCACTTTTTAAAAAAATCCCAGATGATACACTGAGAAATCACATCTCACTAGTCTCCTTCCATCTGGACCAGTGCCACAGCCTTTGTTTGTCTACTTAAACTTGATACTTTTGAATTGTACAGGCAAACTATTTCTCTCAATTAGAGTTTTTCTCATGTGTCTTCATTATTAGAATTAGTCTGTGTATTTTTAACATAAATATCACTGAGGTGACATCATGTCCTGTTCAGAGCAGCATCTCAGCAGTCTCATGATGTTGGTTTGTACAAATACAGGTGATCTTAAGATCAATAAAATCACTTGGTTATGTTGGTGTCTGCCAGGTTTTTCTACTGTAAACTTCACTGTTTTTCAGTTTGAAATTAACAAGAAAGTTGTGAGGAGATATTTTAGACTATGTACATGTCCTGTTCCCCATCAAATTTTTATCCACTAGTTTTGCAATCATTTATGTTTTTCTTAACACCATCATCCCTTCTATGTTTATTAATTAGGGATCTACTGTTAGGAATGGCTTTTTCTTCACCATTCATTTATTTACTCTTACTTTTTATATCAGTACGAGCTTTATAATTCTTCTTTTGTTAAGTTCATTACTACTAATGGTTAAATTGTCCTACAATTAAATGATGGCAAGCCCTTCAAACTGGATTTTATTTTTTTTACGTATCCTGATGTTTTTTGGAGCATTTGTTTACTGCTTTTTGAGTTTACCTGATTTTTTTTTTCTCTCAGGTAATAGGAAATGAATGATGATGGAAAAGTCAATGCTAGCTCTGAGGGGTACTTTATTTTAGTTGGATTTTCTAATTGGCCTTATCTGGAAGTAGTTCTCTTTGTGGTTATTTTGATCTTCTGCTTGATGACACTGATAGGAAACCTGTTCATCATCATCCTGACGTACCTGGACTCCCATCTCCATACTCCCTTGTATTTCTTCCTTTCAAATCTCTCATTTCTGGATCTCTGCTACACCACCAGCTCTATCCCTCAGTTGCTGGTCAGTCTCTGGGGTGTGGGAAAGACCATTTCTTATGCTGGTTGCATGGTTCAACTTTACTTTGTTCTCACACTGGGAACCACAGAGTGTTTCCTACTGGTGGCGATGTCCTATGACCGTTATGCAGCTGTGTGTAGACCTTTGCATTACACTGTCCTCATGCACTCTCGTTTCTGCCACTTGTTGGCTGTGGCTTCTTGGGTAAGTGGTTTTACAAACCCAGCACTTCATTCCTCCTTCACCTTCTGGGTACCTCTGTGTGGACACCGCCAAATAGATCACTTTTTCTGTGAAGTTCCGGCACTTTTATGATTATCATTTGTCAATACCCGTGAAAATAAACTGACCCTCATGATCACAAGCTCCATTTTTGTTCTGCTACTTCTCACCCTCATTTTCACTTCCTATGGTGCTATTGCCCAGGCTGTACTGAGGATGCAGTCAACCACTGGGCTTCAGAAAGTATTTGGAACATGTGGAGCTCATCATATGGTTGTATCTCTCTTTTTCATTCCGGCCATGTGCATGTATCTCCAGCCACCATCAGGGAATTCTCAAGATCAAGGCAAGTTCATTGCTCTCTTTTATACTGTTGTTACACCTAGTCTTAACCCTCTAATCTACACCCTCAGAAACAAAGATGTAAGAGGGGTAGTGAAGAGACTAAGGGGGTGGGAGTGAGCCTGTGTTTGTGTGATATTAACAATATAATGGAGTCTTTCCTCACAATGATTCATCCATCTGTTCATTTATCAACCATTCTTTTATTCACTCACTCTGTTAGCACTTGCTGAGCATGTACTCTAACAAAGTCGTGGAGATCCTGGTAACAGGTAGGAATAAAACACATTCAGCTTAAATACCATTCACTTTTGGAGAAAACAGCTGTGTAAAATCAAGATAAAACATCTATAGTGATGTTTTTCCATGGCACAAACCTAATGAATACAAGAAAGACTTTTCCTGATTAAAAATAAGGCATGAAATTTGTTGTAAATATTGATAAAAGTGAAGTTATAATTCCTATGAAAAGATGATACTCTCAATTTTAAAATATCTAGAATATGTCTTTTAATTTTTTGCTGTTTAGGCAGAATACTTTTGTCTTCTATCTTTAGTTTAGTTGAATACACAGCAAAATACTTCAAATCCTTTCCTCCAACACTACTTATTTTTTGTTGGATGTAAATTTTGAGAGGAATTTTGGTCCATATTCTTTGATATCCAATATCAATAGTAAGACAATAAGTTTTATAAATTGTAGCAAGAGAGATGTTGAAGCAGTGTAGCAGAAGTCGGCGTCCAAGATCCCTCTTTTTTACAAGGCAGTGAGAAGGATATTGGAGGTGAAAGGAGCTGGTAAAGCTGACCTATGTAGCTTATAAAGAAATGGTCATCACCGTCTAGGTATACTTAGGTGAGGTAAGTGCTTGGAGCAACTGCATTACCTAAAGAGCTATGGAGAACATTTGAGGCAAATAGAGAGGCTCTGAAAATGACTTGAAGTCAATGGGTGTATAAAAGAATTATGTTTAAATATACTGGAAAATTTTTATGATAAAAGCTGTTATATGGAAAATGTTAGTTTATTTTTATTTTTAAGTTTGTTCTAATTTGAATATTTATAGTTAATAAGTATATTAGGAATATCAATATATGGTTTCAAATAAATATATTTTATAGAAGTTATCATTTTGTTCTATATATTATTGTCAACCATCTTCATCTGAAATAATTGCGTTATACCTAGAGCAATTTAAACTGACAGTCATAGTCAAATGATGTGGAAAAATGACTAAAGGAGAATTCAGTATAATGTAACGTACTTGCAATGCCTGAGTTTTCTCTATAACTGGAATGTCAGCTGTAGCTTTTGAGGCCTGTGAGATTTGGATGTGATTGATTCACACACTATTTCCTAAATTATAAAAATAAAAATGCATCTCGGAACTTCCCTCCAATTTCTAGTGTGACTTGCAATTGCATTGATTCTGCTGACTTTATCTTCTTTCTGCATCTGTGACTCTTCCTTTATTTCTAACTAGGCATGAAAAATATGAGTCATTTGCCCTTGTCCTTAAGCTTACCCAAGAAATGAAGAACCAAGAATAGTGTATGTAAAATAACTTCTAGTAAACAATTGAGACCACTTAGGGTAAAACATCACATAAAAACAAATTTTTTAAAACTTAAAGAACATAGCTTAGCTCTTTGAACTATTTCCTACTATGGAAATCTTACGATTTGTAACACTTCCTGTAGCATCCTGGTTTCTCACCTACTCAAATATCCTCTCCATCTTTATTAAGTGAAAAGTTGTATTTATTTATGATATACAGCATAAAGTTTTGATATATGTATAATTATGCAATTATTATTCAAGCTAATTAACAAATCATTAACTCACATACTTACCTGTTTTGTGGTGAGAACATTTAGGATCTGTTATCTTAGCAATTTTCAAGTATGCAGTACAGTTTTATTAACTATAGTCACCATACTATAGAATAGATCTCTTGAATTTATTCCTTCTAACTGAAACTTTGTACCCTTTGACCAGCATCTCCCCATTTTCCCTCCCTCCACTGCTAACCCCTGACAAGCCTCATTCTACTACTTTGTGCTTCTATGAGTTCATTTTATGTAGATTTCACACATTAGATCGTGCAGTATTTATTTTTCTGTGCCTGGCTCATTTTACTTAGCAAAGTGTCCTCAGGTTTGCCATGTGTTTGAAAATATTAGGACTTCCTTCTTATTTTAAGGCAGAATAGTATTCTATTGTATATAAACTACACTTTTTAAATTCACTCATTCATTGATTGACTCTTAGATTGATTCAATACTTTGGCTATTATGAATTTGCTGCCATATTCATGGAAGTGGAGATAGCTCTTCAACATAGTGATTTAATTCTTTTGGATATAAACCCAGAAGTGTGATTGATGGATCATATGGCAGTTCTATTTTTATTTATTATTAATTAATTAATTAATTAATTTTTTGAGACAGAGTCTCGCTCTGTCGCCCAGGCTGGAGTGCAGTGGTGGGATCTCGGCTTACTGCAACTCCCACCTCCTGGGTTCTAGCGATTGTCTTGCCTCAGCCTCCAGAGTAGCTGGGACTACAGGTAAGCACCACCACGCCCAGCTAATTTCTGTATTTTTAGTAGAGACAGGATTTCTTGTGTGTGTGTGTGTGTGTGTGTGTGTGTGTGTGTGTGTGTGTGTGTGTCCTAGCAAATCTTTAATTACCCTAAGGCTGATGTAGTTTCTCGTATAAGTTCTTATGAAATCTTTTATTTTTCATTATTTTTATGTTTATTTTACTTTAAGTTCTCGGATACATGTGCAGAATGTGCAAATTTGTTACATAGGTATACATGTGCCATAGTGGTTTGCTGCACCTATCAACCTGTCATCTAGGTTTTAAGCCCCACATGCATTAGATATTTGTCCTAATGCTCTCCCTCTCCTTCCCCCTGAACCCGTGACAGGCCCCAGTGTGTGATGTTGCCCTCCCTGTGTCCATGTGTTCTCATTGTTTAACTACCGCTTATGAGTGAGAACATGCAGTGTTTAGTTTTCTGTTCCTGTGTTATTTTGCTGAAAATAATGGTTTCCGGCTTCATCCATGTCCCTGCAAAGGACATGAACTCATTCTTTTTTATGGCTGCATAGTATTCCAAGGTGTATATGTGCCACATTTTCTTCATCCAGTCTATTATTGATGGGCATTTGGGTTGGTTCCAAGTCTTTCCTATTGTAAATGGTGCTGCAATAAACATACATGTGCATGTGTCTTTATAGTAGAATGATTTATAATCCTTTGGATATATACGCACTCATGGGATTGCTGGGTCAAATGGTATTGCTGGTTCTAGATCCTTGAGGAATCGCCACACTGTCTTCCACAATGGATGAACTAATTTACTCTCCCACCAACAGTGTAAAAGCATTCCTATTTCTCCACAGACTCGCCAGCATCTGTTGTCTCCTGACATTTTAATAATTGCCATTCTAACTAGTGTGAGATGGTATCTCGTGGTTTTGATTTGCATTTCTCGAATGACCAGTGATGACGAGCTATTTTTCATGTGTTTGTTGGCTCCATAAATGCCTTCTTTTGAGAAGTTTCTATTTATATCCTTTGCTCACTTTTTGATGGGGTTGTTTGTTTTATTTTCATAAATTTGTTTAAGTTCCTCATATATTCTGGATATTAGACTTTTGTCAGATGCATAGATTGCAAAAATTTTGTCCCATTCTGTAGGTTGCCTGTTCACTCTGATGGTAGTTTCTTTTGCTGTGCAGCAGCTCTTCAGTTTAATTAGATCCCATTTGTCAATTTTGTCTTTTGTTGCCGTTGCTTTTGGTGTTTTAGTCATGAAGTCTTTGCCCATGCCTATATCCTGAATGGTATTGCCTAGGTTCTTTTCTAGGGTTTATATGGTTTTGGGTTCTACATTTAAGTCTTTAAGCTATCTTGAGTTAATTTTTGCCTAAGGTATAAGGAAGGGGTCCAGTATCAGTTTTCTGCATATGGCTAGCCAGTTTTCCCACCACCATTTGTTAAACAGAGAATCCTTTCCCCATTGCTTGTTTCTGGTAGAGATGGGATTTCACCATGTTGGCCAGGCTGGTCTCAAACTCCTGACCTCAGGTGATCTGCCGACCTCGGCCTCCCAAAGTGTTGGAATTACAGGCATAAGCCACTGCGCCTGGCCCTATTTTAAATTTATTTAGGAAACTTCATAGTGTTTTCCCTCATGGCTGTCCTAATTTACATTTCAAAAAACAATGTAACAATGTATAAGAATTCTCTTTTCTCCATATTCTTCCCACCACCTGTTGTCCTTTGTGTTTTTCATAATAGATCTAACTGGTGTGAGGTATGAGGTGATAGCTACTGGTGTGGGCCTGAACTTTAGGTCCAGTGGAACCTAGAGTGGTGGGGATCAACCTGAAGCCTGGAACTGGCCTGGTTCTAGAGTGGAACTTGCTGCCTTAGGGGCTTGTCTGGAGCCTGGGTTTATGGGGCCCAGCTTATATGTGCTGGTCTGGAGGCTAGGCCCTTGGGTACTGGCATGGATCTTGGGACTACAGAGTCTGACCTAGGGGGCCAACTGGCACTGGAAAGTCCTATTTTGCCGTTTTATTGATATCACTTCTCACTCTCTAAATTTTTTTTGGCTTTTTAATTTTCTGGGCTCTTTTCTCCTTCTTCTCTTACAAAATATATACATTTTCTTTTATATGTGTAGACTTTTTGTTTTCTTTTGGGAGGTTATGTTGGGAACAGGCCCCCAAATCTGGCCATAAACTGGCCCCAAAACTGGCCATAAACAAAATCTCTGCAGCCCTGTGACATGTTTGTGATGGCCATGATGCCCATGCCGAAGGTTGTGGGTTTACCAGAATGAGGGCAAGGAACACCTGGCCCACCCAGGGCAGAAAACCGCTTAAAGGCATTCCTAAATCACAAACAATAGCATGAGTGATCTGTGCCTTAAGGACATGTTTCTGCTGCAGATAACTAGACAGAGCCCATCCCTTTGTTTCGGCCCATCCCTTTGTTTCCCTTAAGGAATACTTTTAGTTAATCTATAATCTATAGAAATAATGCTTATCACTGGCTTCGTGTCAATCAATATGTGGGTCAAACTCTGTTCAGGGCTCTCAGCTCTGAAGGCTGTGAGTGCCCTGATTTCCCACTCCATACTCTATATTTCTGTGTGTGTGTCTTTAATTCCTCTAGTGCCACTGGGTTAGCATCTCCATGATCGAGGTGGTCTTGGCAAGGTTATAATTATAGGATATCTAATATTGAATCCTAGTCATATTAACCTGTGCTATTTAATTTGTAATCTGAAAGTGATCAGTTACTAATAATTCCCCCAAAGTGTAACACAGATATTATTGTTTTTATTGTTTTGTACTTTTCAAACCAGTCAAGCAAACTTTATGCAGCAGAACAACAAGAATGAGTTCTCTCACTTTATCAAACTGAAGGGAGGAGATAGGTGCTTGCATAAGCTCTGGCAACTTGTATATGAAAAAATCAGGGTAAGGACAATACATTTTTAGCTCTGACGACCTGTTCCTATGTCAACAACACTGAAGGCAAAGTAGAAGCCCTGAGATGCTCCCCTTGTCAGGCCTAAACCTCATGTCAACGTTTGTGAACTGGGATTTCCAAAGCAGAAATGAATTTATGCAGCAAGCAATTTTACTGTAGAACTAACAGTGAAGCCAGCTTTTTCCCAGATAGGAATGATGACTAACTGCACTGAAGCATCAGCTTCTTTTTCCCTGTAAACTTCTGTCAGGAATACCACAAAAGTGTGATTGTGTTCTCCTTAGTGCATCCTATCAGTATGTACATATTTCTTTATTCTGTTATGGGCAATATTGGCTTTGATTACTTGGTTAATGTTGTATCTGCCAGGCATCTTTACTATAAAAATTAGTGTTTTTCTCAGTAATATATAAGTGTCATGTGGGGAAGTATGTTGAGATTAGGTAGCATTCTGTTTTTTAACTAGCTTTCATCCACTAGTTTTATTAGTAAGCATCCCTTAATATTCCTTCCCAGAAACAATTATTACTATAGTGGTTTCCAAGTAATGATTCTTAAAGTTCCATCATTCCTTCCAAATTTAATAATTTGTGTGGCAGGCTAAATACTTCCTCTCCTTCTCTCAAATGATCACAACCTAATCACTGGGATAAGTTATTATATATTACCTTACGTGGCAAAATTAATTTTATTTTTTATATTTTAAGTCCTGGAAGACATGTGCGGAATGTGCAGGTTTGTTACATAGGCATACATGTGCCATGCTGGTTTGCTGCACCCATCAACTCATCATCTACATTAGGTATTTCTCCTAATGCTATCTCTCCCTAGCCCTCCCACCTTCTAACAGACCCTACTGTGTGATGTTCCCATCCCTGTGTCCATGTGTTCTCACTGTTCAACTCCCACTTATGAGTGAGAACATGCAGTGTTTGGTTTTCTGTTCCTGTTTTAGTTTGCTGAGAATGATGGTTTCCAGTTTCATCCATGTCCCTACAAAGGACATAAACTCGTTCTTTTTTATGGCTGCATAGTATTCCATGGTGTATATGTGCTACATTTTCTTATTCCAGTCTATCATTGATGGGCATTTGGGTTGGTTCCAAGTCTTTGCTATTATGAATGGTGCTGCAATAAACATACATGTGCATGTGTCTTTATAGTAGAATGATTTATAATCCTTTGGGTATATACCTAGTAATGGGATTGCTGAGTCAAATGGTATTGCTGGTTCTAGATCCTTGAGGAATTGCCCCACTGTCTTCCACAATGGATGAACTAATTTACATTCTCACCAACAGTGTAAAAGCATTCCTATTTCTCCACATCCTCTCCAGCATCTGTTGTTTCCTGACTTTTTAATGATCACCATTCTAACTGGTGTGAGATGGTATCTCATTGTGGTTTTGATTTACATTTCTCTAATGACCAGAGATAATGAGCTTTTTTTCATATGTTTGTTGGCTGCATCAATGTCTTTTTTAGAGAACTGTCTGTTCATATCCTTCGCCCACTTTTTGATGGGGTTGTTTTTTCTTGTAAATTTGTTTAAATTCTTTGTAGACTCTGGATATTAGCCCTTTGCCAGATGGATAGATTGCAAAAATTTTCTCCCATTCTGTAGGCTGCTTGTCCAGAAGGTTTCTTTTGCTGTGCAGAAGCTCTTTAGTTTAATTAGATCCCATTTGTCAATTTTGTCTTTTCTTGCCATTGCTTTTGGTGTTTTAGTCATGAAGTCTTTGCCCATGCCTATATCCTGAATGGTATTGCCTAGGTTTTCTTCTAGGGTTTTTATGGTTTTAGGTCTTACGTTTAAGTCTTTCATCTGTCTTGAGTTAATTTTTGTGTAAGGTGTAAGGAAGGGGTCCAGTTTCAGTTTTCTGCATATGGCTAGCCAGTTTTCCTAACACCATTTATTAAATAAGGAATCCTTTCCCCATTGCTTGTTTTTGTCTGGTTTGTCAAAGATCAGGTGGTTGTAGACGTGTGGCATTATTTCAGAGGCCTCTGTCCTGTTCCATTGGTCTATATATCCGTTTTGGTACACATACCATGCTGTTTTGGTTACTGTATTCTTGTAGTATAGTTTAAAGTCAGGTAGCATGATGCCTCCAACTTTCTCCTTCTTGCTTAGGATTGTCTTGGTTATACGGGCTCTGTTTTGGTTCCATGTGATATTTAAAGTAGTTTTTTTCTAATTCTGTGAAGAAAGTCAGTGGTAGCTTGATTGGGATAGCACTGAATCTATAAATTACTTTGGGCAGTATGGCCATTTTCATGATATTGATTCTTTGGTATGTTTTTGCAGTGGCTGGTACTGATTTTTCTTTTCCATATTTAGTACTTCCTTCAGGAACTCCCGTAAGGCAGGACTGGTGGTGACGAAATCTCTCAGCATTTGCTTGTCTGTAAAGGATTTTGTTTCTCCTTCACTTATGAAGCTTAGTTTGGCTGGATATGAAATTCTGGGCTGAAAATTCTTTTCTTTAAGAATTTTGAATATTCGTTCTCACTCTCCCCTCGCTTGTAGGGTTTTTGCTGAGAGACCTGCTGTTAGTCTGATGGGCTTCCCTTTGTGGGTAACGCGACCTTTCTCTCTGGCTGCCCTTAACATTTTTTTTCTTTCATTTCAACCTTGGTGAATATTATGATTATGTGTCTTGGGGTTGCTGTTCTTGAGGAATATCTTAGTATTTTTCTCTGCATTTCCTGAATTTGAATGTTGACCTGTCTTGCTAGGTTGGGGAAATTCTCCTGGATTATATCCTGAAGAGTGTTTTCAAGCTTGGTTCCATTCTCCCCATCACTTTCAGGTACACCAATCAAACGTAGGTTTGGTCTTTTCACATAGTCCCATATTTCTTGGAGGCTTTGTTCATTCATTTTCATTCTTTTTTCTCTAATTTTGTCTTCACGCTTTATTTCATTAAGTTGAATTTCAATCTCTGATATCCTTTCTTCTGCTTAATCAATTCGGCTATTGATACCTTTGTATGCTTCACAAAGTTCTCGTGCTGTTTTTCAGCTCCATCAGGTCATTTATGTTCTTCTCTAAACTGATTAATTTAGTTAGGAAGTCTTCTATCTTTTCTTCAAGGTTCTTAGCTTCCTTGCATTGGGTTAAAACATGCTCCTTTAGCTTGGAGGAGTTTGTTATTACCCACCTTCTGAAGCCTACTTGTGTCAATTCATCAAACTCATTCCCCATCCAGTTTTGTTCCCTTGCTCGTGAGGAGTTGTGATCCTTTGGAGGAGAAGAGGCGTTCTGGATTTTGGAATTTTCAGCCTGCAAAAGGGTTTTTATAGATGTGATTAAATTCTCAACCTTGAGTTGGGATTATTATCCTGTATTAGCCAGGAGGGCTGACATAATCACACATATCCATATAAGAGAGAGGGCATGTAAGTTCTTTCCTGCCACATTCTTAGTCAGAGAGAAGATATTCTGCTGCTGACTTTAAAGATAGAGGAATGGGCCATGAGCCACGGAATACAGGTTGCTTCTAGAAGCTGGAGTAGTTGAGGAAACATGTTCTGTCCTAGAGCCTGCGGAAGATGTGCAGCCCTGTAGATCCAATTTAGTCTTTCTTTCTCCAGATATATAAGATATTTTTGTTATTTTAAACACCAAATTTGTAGTAATTTGTTTTAGCAACAATGGGAAACTAATAGAGTTGGCATTCTATATGAAGGAATAGCTTTCCTTTGTTCCTGTGTGTGTGTGTGTGTGTACGTGTGTGTATCAGGTATTATTTATCTATGTGTCTATCCATATATCTTAATATGGTCTTATGCATTCTTATTTCATTCTATCATTATTTTGATGCTGAAATGGTCAGTGTTTTGGCTAGAGAGGATCCCTTCTGGGTGGCTTATATGTCTTTTTTATATGTCTCCATACTTCTTAAAATATTTTCTTACTGTTGGCAAACTCAGATGAACTTGACATATCTGACACTTTTCTTTGGGAGGAACAGATAACTTTGTTTATCTTAGGTCAAATGACAAAAACTTTGAATAACGCAATGGGGTTTCCTAATGAACAATTCACTAGAAATGCATGGAGTAGATAACACCAAGAGATGGTAATATTGTTGGCAAATATTTATTTTGTTATAACACCACATTTCTTTACCCTCTCAGGAAATGGAAAGTTTTTGTATTGTGCTTGAGAGTGGGGCAATGGTGAAGAACAGTGACTGGCTATGGGTTTGGGGAGTCATTTGGCAGGAGTGTAAATCCTTGAAATTTGAAGATCTTTCAAATTACCTTGATTCTCCTCAACAAAATACTAGCAAACCAAATCCAACAGCATATAAAAACCCAATTTCTTAGCTTTTTGATGAAATAGCTGTTTCCTCATGTTTTCTATCTTCTAGAGGTGACCTATATTCCTTGGCTCATGGCCCATTCTTCTATCTTTAAAGTCAGCAGCAGAGTATCTTTTCTCTGACCTCCAGCCTCCCTCTTATATGGACACAGGTGATTATATTAGCCTACCTGCCTAATCCAGGATAATATCCCCATCTCAAGATTCTGAATTTAATCACATCTATAAAAGTCCTTTTGCCATGTAAAGTAACATATAATCACAGGCTCCACAGATTAGGGTGTGAGCATTTGCATCGCAGAGAAAAAGCCTACCATGACCCCTTGCGTCCCAGGGATAAAGCCTACCATGATCAAGTAGGCTTTATCCCTGAGAGGAAAGGTTGGTTCAACATATGCAAATCAATACATGTGATTCATCACATAAACAGAAATGAAAACAAAAACCACATAATTATCTCAATACATGCAGAGAAGGCTTTCAATAAAATTCAACATCCCTTCATGTTAAAAACCCTCAATAAACTAGGCATTGAAGGAATATACTTCAAAATAATAAAAGCAATCTATAAAAAACCCACAGCCAACATCATACTGAATGGAAAAAGCTGGAAGCATTCCCCTTGAAAACCGGCATAAGACATGGATGCCCTCTCTCACCACACCTATTCAACATAGTACTGGAAGTCCTGGCCAGAGCAATCAGGCAAGAGAAAGAAATGAAAGGCATCCAAGTAAGAAGAGAGGAAGTTATACTATTCCTGGTTGCAAAAGACATGAATCCGTATGAGAAAACCCCATAGTCTTGGTCCAAAAGCTCCTTGATCTGATAAACAACTTCAGAAAAGTTTCAGGATACAAAAGCAATGTACAAAAATTTAGCATTCCCATACATCAACAACATTCAATCTGAGGGCTAAATCAGGAATGCCATCCCATTCACAACTGCCACAAGAAGAATAAAATACCTAGAAATTCTGCTAACCAAGAACGTAAAACATCTCTACAATGAGAATTACAAAAAACTGCTGAAAGAAATCAGAGGTGCCACAAACAAATGGAAAAACATCCCATGCTCATGGATACTAAGATTCAGTATCATTAAAATGGCCACACTGGTCCAAAGCAATTTATAGATTCAGTGCAATTCCTATCAAACTACCGATGACATTGTTCACAGCATTAGAAAAAAACTATTTTAAAATTTGTATGGAACCGAAAAAGAGCCCTAATAGCCAAGGCAATCCTAAGAAAAAAGGAAAAAGCTAGAGGCATCACCTTACCCAACTTATACTAGAGGGCTACAGTATCCAAAACAGCACGGTACTGGAAAAAAAAACAAAACAAAACAGATATATAGACCAATAGAATAAATAGAGAACCCAGAAATAGTGCAACACACCTACAAAAAAATATGATCTTCAACAAAGCTGACCAAAACAAGCAATGGGGAAAGGACTCCCCATTTTATAAAGGGTGCTGGGATAAGTGACTAGCTCTATGCAGAAGATTGAAACTGGATGCCAACTTTGCACCACATACAAAAATCAACTCAAGATGGACTAAACACTTAAATGTTAAAATGAAAACTATTAATATAAAAACTCTGGAAGATAACCTAGGAAATACCATTCTGGACATAGGACTTGGGAAACATTTCATCATGAAGATGCCAAAAGCAATTGCAACAAAAACAAAAATTGACAAATGAAGCCTAATTAAACTAAAGAACGTCTCACAGTAAGAGAAACTATCAACAGTGGAAACAGACAACCTACAAAATGAGAGAAAATATCTGCATACAATGCATTTGACAAAGGTCTAATATCTGGCATCTAGAAAGAACTTAAACAAATTTATAAGAAAGAAACAATGCCGTTTAAAAGTCAGCAAAAGACATGAACAGACACTTTCCAAAAGAAGGTACACATGCGGCCAAGCATATGAAAAAATGCTCAATATCATTAATCATTAGAGAAATGCAAATCAAAACCGCAATGAGATACCATCTCGTACCAGGTGGAATGGCTATTATCAAAAAGTCAAATTATTAATAACAGATACATCAAGGTTATGGAGAAAAGGGAATGCTTATACACTGCTGGTGGGAATGTAAATTACCTTAGCTATTGTGGAAAATGGTGTAATGATTCCTCCAAGAACTTAAAACAGAACTACTCTTCCACCAAGCAATCCCATTAGCGGGTATATACCCAAAGGAATATAAATCATTCTACCATAAAGACATATGCACGAGTATGTTCATTGCAGCACTGTTCACAACAGCAAATACATGAAATCAACCTAAATGCCCATCAACAGTAGATTGGGTAAAGAAAATGTGGTACATAGACCCCATGGAATACTATGCAGTCATAAAAAGAATGAGGTCATTTCCTTTGCAGCACCATGGATGGAGCTGCAGGCCATCATCCTAAGCAAACTAAATGGAAAAGAGCCAAATACCACATGTTCTCACTTATAAGTGGGAGCTAAACATAAGAACACATGGATACTAGAAGGTGAACCACATGCACTGGGGTCTACTTGACGGTGGAGGGTGGGAGGAGGAAGAAGATCAGAAAAAATACCTATTGAGTACTATGCTTATTACCTGGATGATGAAATTATCTGTACTCCAAACCCCTGTGATGCGCAGTTTACCTGTATAACAAACCTGCACATATACCCATGAACCTAAAATAAAAGTTAAAAAAACCTAAACCCCAAATTACCTTCAACCTTTATGAGTTTTTACATTTGAAAGTTAAATCGATAACTTAATGACAATAATTCAACTCTCTCATGCTTATCCCCCTCATCTAACCCAAAACAAAACAAGATGGGATGCTGAGGTGAGGAACCTTTGAATTTTTAAATAGTATTAGGTCTAGCAGAACCTCAGAAAGACACGTTTACATTAAGAGGACTTTGACTATTGATATGGGCATGTAAGTTCTTTACTGCCACGTTCCTAGTAATTCCTGAATTGCACATGTATGAAATGACATTAATTCTCTCATACTTTAGGGTTGCTTGTTAGTGCCTAGAAGGAATACAGTCTCTGTGGCCAGTCTCCTTGGATCAACAAGAGCCTTGTAGTTTCCCATTTTTCATGTGCTAATAGTGAAAATGTTTAGAAAGCCCCATCTATCCTCCCACATTGGCATCCCACTGATGTGCTGTCCTGGTTGCTAGGTGCAGATTTAGGTTCCAAGCAGAACACTGCTAGTGTTCTCTGCAGTTTGTTGTAGAATCATAGTGTCTTGGCAACCAAAGGCAGATCTGGTGCTATGGAGGACCTGCTTACTGCTATGAGGTGTTACTTTATAGAGGTCCTGGAGAAGCTGATTGAGGCCACGTCAATGTTGCAAGGAGACATGAGACTCACATCAGAGTTCTATGGCTTAACATGGGGGATGGTGGTAAGTGCGGCTCTATTTGGATTTTGTAATTATAAAAGCCCACTTTATGTAGAGAGAAAAAAAAGAGTTTACCAGAGAAGTTTCTTCTGTAGTTGAAGACAAATGTAATGTTTTAATAAATTAGGCTGATTAAAAAAGAATATGAGCTTGGTGTGGTGGCTCATGCCTGTAATCCCAGCGCTTTGGGAGGCTGAGGCGGGTGGATCACCTGAGGTCAGGAGTTTGAGACCAGCCCGGCCAACATGGTGAAATTCCGTCTCTACTAAAAATACAAAAAATTAGCCAGGCATGGTGGCAGGTCCTGTAATCCCAGCTACTTGGGAGGCTGAGGCAGGATAATACTTGAACCTGGGAGGCAGAGGTTGCAGTGAGCCGAGATCACGCCATTGTACTACAGCCTGGGCAATGGGAGTGAAACTTTGTCTCTTAAAAAAAAAACGAGTATGAAGAGTATAAATTATTTTTCATGGAGTCCTGCCCTTAGAACAAGGCATTAAATCCTCTAAGTGTATAGGAAATTTGAGTTCAAAATAGATGCTTTGAAAAAAAGGAATGTTTTTGAAAAATGCGAATTTTTACAGATTTACAATGTAGAAGTGCAGTTGTGTTCCATGGATATATTGCATAGTGGTGAAGTCTGATTTTTCAATGTATCCATCATCCAAATAAAATACATTGTCCTCAGTAGGTAGTCTTTCATCCCTCAACCCTTTCCCAGCCTCCCACCTTTTGGAGTCTCCAATGCCTATATTTCACTCTATATCCACATGTACCCATTGTTTAGCTCCCACTTATAATTGATAATATGTAGCATTTGGCTTTTTGTTTCTGAGTTCTCTTAAGCCAATGGCCTCCAGTTACAGTCACGTTGCTGCAAAAGACATGATTTCAGTCTTTTTATGGCCAAGTAGTATTCTAAAGTGTGTATATATGTATACCACATTTTAGAAATCCAATAGTCCACTGATGGACACTCAGGCTGATTTTATTACTTTGCTATTGTGGATAGTGCTGCGATATACATAGACACATAGGTTTCTTTTTGATATAATGATTTCTTTACCTTTAGCTTGATATCCAGTAATGGGATTGCTGGATCGAATGGTAGCTCTATTTTTAGTTCTTTGAAAAGTCTCCATACTGTTTTCCACAGAGGTTGTACTAATTTACATTCCCACCAATAGTGTATGTAATCCTTTTCTCTATACCCTCGGCAAAATTTTTTTTTTCTGAATTTAATAATGGCCATTTTGACTGGCATAACATAATATCTCACTGTGGTTTTAATTTGCAGTTCTCTTATGATTAGCATTTGTTCATATGATTATTGGCCATTTATATGTCATCTTTAAAAAAAAAAGAACACCTTAAAGTTCAGAATGAATTACATTCATGGCTAGGTTTAGAATATGGGTTCCGTTACTGGAAGATGTGTTGAAGTCTTTTAAATAGTGAGAAGCTAATGCCAAAATAGCCTTAAAACTATGTCAGAAGAGGAAAAAAAACAACTTAAGACAGCAAAAAAAAAAAAAAAAAATTGGGTTTGGATGAGCATTTCAATCTTGAGAAAAACCTAACGTGTTTGCAAAAGAAACTCAAGGATTGGATGACAAGTTTACCACTGGGCAAAAGGATATTTATATCCTTGGATTAAGTGTTAAGTGATAAGAAATCAAATCAAATAACTGAGTAAACAGTTGATGAATATTCCCTACTATACTTGGAGAAGATAAAATGGATGCTGGGACTTAGAATTGGATCAAATCAGAACAAGTACCAATCAATGTTCAGTCAAAGGTGATTGATTTGTTTATGCTTCTTAAAATACTTTTTTTTTTCTTTTTTGTGATGGAGTCTTGCTCTGTCGCCCAGGCTGGAGTGCAGTGGTGCAATCTCAGCTCATTGCAACCTCCATCTCCCGGTTTCAAGTGATTCTCCTACCTCAGCGTCCCGAGTAGCTGGGATTACAAGCATGCACCACCAATTCTGGCTAATTCTTGTATCTTTAGTAGAGACAGTGTTTCACCCTGTTGCCCAGTCTGGTCTCAAACTCCTGACCTCAAGTGACCCTCCCACTTTGGCCTCCCAAAGTGCTGGGATTACAGGTGTGAGCCACCGTGCCTGGCCTCTTACAAGACTCTTCATGGAGAGAGAAATAAAATAGAAATTAGGTTGTATGAATAACATTGAATCTTGAAGCCTTTAAAAATCACACTGAACATATTCGGCATGAATTAAGCATTTTTTAAAATTATACTTTAAGTTCTGGGGTACATGTGCACAATGTGCAGGTTTGTTACATAGGTATACATGTGCCATGTTGATTTGCTGCACCCATCAACTCGTCATTTACATTAGGTATTTCTCCTAATGCTATCCCTCCCCCAGTGCCCCCCACCCCCCGACAGGCCCTGGTGTGTGATGTTCCCCACCCTGTGTCCAAGTGTTCTCATTGTTCAACTCCCACTTATAAATGAGAACATGCAGTGTTTGGTTTTCTGTCCTTGTGATAGTTTGCTGAGAATGATGGTTTCCAGTTTCATCCATGTCCCTGCAAAGGGCATGAACTCATCCTTTTCTATGGCTGCATAGCATTCCACTGTGTATATGTGCCACATTTTCTTTATCCAGTGTATTATTGATGGACATTTGGGTTGGTTCCAAGTCTTTGCTATTGTGAGTGCCACAATAAACATACGTGTTCATGTGTCTTTATAGTATAATGATTTATAATCCTTTGAGTATATACCCAGTAATGGGATCGCTGGGTCAAATGGTATTTCTAGTTCTAGATCCTTGAGGAATCGCCACACTGTCTAAGCATTTGTCTAGTAAGAAAATGTAATTTGAAAGTAAGGTTCAGAACATTTAACCAAATGTTCAAGTAATTTCTAAACTGTATTGAGAAAATGGAATAAAGTTTCATAGATTATTTGTATTAGAAAAAGTTAATTAGAAAGTTTTCAAATGCACATTAAGTGATAGATACACACACACACAAAACAAAAATTCTTAGAGAAAAAAATGAAAAAACTGACCTGTTCTTATCAAAGACATGATTTCCCACATTTAAAAAACCTTGTAATAGTTGATTTACAGTTAAGTTGACTGATGGAAATCTCACTGATTTAAGAAAATCTATATGAAAGTCCAGATACCAGTATTTTTTCCTATAAAAAGCTACGTAGTCAATATTAAGGCTTTGTAAACCAAGACACAAAACTGGAGTATTATGAAAGTACTTATATAACAAAATTAAAAATAAATTCTCACAATTTTTTTTTGTTGCTGAAACAAAAGCACTGAAAATAATAAATACTAGCAAGAATGCAAAGTGAGGGAAACTCTCTTTGATTGCTGGTAGAAATGCAAAGTGGTGCAACCACTTTGACTATTTGGCAATTTTTATAAAGTTTAATATAGTCTTGCCATATGACTTAACAATCACATTCCTAAGTATTTACCCTAGTGAATTAAAACTTAGGTCCGTGTAAAAATCTGCATGCAAATGTTTATATCAGTTTCATTCATAATTACTCCAAACTGTAAGCAACCCATGCCCTTCAACAGGGGAAAGATAATCTTGGGTATTTCCACACAATGATCTATGATTTTGTGGAAGTTGATTGATCAATGAATACTATTGATCAATGGGATGGAATGAGCTACTGATACATGCAACAACATGAATATATGTTAAGGGTATTTTACTAAATGAATGAAGCCAGACTTCAAAGTCTGAATATTGTATGATTTCATTCATAAGACATCTGGGGAAAAAAAACCCACTGGGATGGAAACACATCAGTGGTATCCAGGGCTTAGTGTAAGGGAGATTAGTTTATTACAAAGAAGACACACAGGGGAATTTTTAAATGATGGAGTTGTTTTGTATGGTGCTGCACTAGTAATACACAAGTCCATGATTTATTAATCCCTAAGTAGTGTATCACAAAATTGCACTCAAATGCATGCAAATAAACAAGCAAAAATATCACCAAGATGTGGGAAGATCCTAGAATGGTATGACAGTGGCAAATCAACCTCACTTTATATAAATATGTAAGCTAACAACACTGAAAAGGGTAGAGAAGAAGTAAAAAGTGGCCTAACTTACCTTGAGAAATAATGTTTTGATTAAAAAATGTCAGACTGTAGACAAAAGTAACTTTGCATAAATATGGTATTCTGAATAGTAAATTTGTTTCTCATGCGGATTCAGCTAATTCTGTAATTGCTTCACATGCATACCAGTTGAACAAAAATATTAAAATATGAACAGTGGCATCCAGGTTTCTCCCTGTTGGTAAGAGAAGTTACAGAGAAGCAAGAAAGGAAGGCCAGAATGACCATTAGGGACTGTGTTAGAGTCAGAGTTATCACTATGACCTCATGTTTAAACACAAGCCCAAATGCACATGGACACACACAGATGGACAAATAAGGAAACAACGACAGATATGTGTGTATTCAGGGCTTACTGTGTAGACACACATTACCTAGCCCTTTCTGCTGAAATAGCCTAGAAACAATGTTACCCTCATAGCAATGTGCACATGTCACACTCAGATAATGTTTTCTAATGCCATTTTCCAGTGAAAAGAAACAGAGATCGTTGGAGAAATGTCTGATTATAAGATATTTCTAAGCCTGGTGAAGAAATATATAAGAGAAGCCTGGAGAAGAACCAGTAATACCAGAAATCAGGGAGGGGCCCTGAAGAGAAAAGGATAACAAAAGGATGAAGACCTGTCCAAGGGACCCAGCAGCTAACTTGAAAGAGCTCTCAATGGGTAAAGCTGGAGCAATTTCAACAACAAAATAAATAACATATCACTGGATTATAACCTGAAGTATAAAACGTATGAGTCCATACTCTTATAAATAAATGATTGAATAAATACATAAATGAGAAGAAGGGAGAAATCTTCCTTACTAGTCTATTAATAGTCCCCACTTTCAGATGTGGAGCTCATGATCTCCTTTGTTAAGTGTAGGCTGGACTCAGTGACTGTCTTCCAAGGAATAGAGTATGGACAGGTAACAATTGTAAGTTTCAGTTTTATTTAGTGAAAACACTACCTTAACCAAGTGATTAAAGTCAGCACCATCAGTGATGCCATGTAGATATTATGTAACCCCTGCTCTGATGGGATAAAAAGGGCACTTTACCTCTGTGGTCTCCTCTGCAAAAATTCAAAGGCCCAGTGTAATTGATGGCAGCTGAAACCCATCTGGACTGTGATGCCGGCTGTAGTAGGGGAGATGCAGGTGTGGCTGTGCGCTCCGTGGAGCCCCTGGAGCCGGGAACAGGCGGAAGCCCCAACCCCTTATGAGTTGACAGGGCAAGAGCCTTGTGCTCCCCAGGCTCAGCTGCAGTTGCCCAGCAGCGGCTGTGGACAGGACATCCCTGTGCGCTTGGGGTTCAGGAGCAGGCAGAAGCCCCACCCTCCCTGGTGCAGCTGCAGCTGCTCAAGCTGTGTCTACAAACCTGGGCATCCCTGTGTTCTTGGGTGCCAGGAGTAAGAGCCCTGCCCTCCTGGGCGCAGCTGCAGATGCCCAAGCTGCAGCGGCAGACCCGGGCATCTCTGCACTCTTGGGGGCCTGGGAAAGCCCTTTTTGCCCCCGCAGGCTTGGAGGTGCCTGCTCCTGGTGTCTGATCTCTCCCTGCTCCTGGTGCGTGCTCTGATCTCGGAGCGTGGTTGAGGCCAGGCCCAGGTGCTATTGCAACCTGGCCTGGTGTGCCCACACTTGGGGCAGCACTGACATGCCAGTCTTCTGCCACCTCAGCCCCCTCTGGGCTTTGGGCACCAGTAAGCAAGGGAGGGAGGCTGGAGGGGGTGCTGCTGAGGGCAGCTTGGCGCTGGCCTGCAGGTGCCTCTTGGCAGGAACAGCCTGGGCACCGTCAACAGTGGCAGGAGGCCCACAGGCTCCTGGGCAGAAAGGGACGGGTCCCCGGTGAGGCCCCACCTTCAACTCAGGGAAGGATTGAAGCCTGGGAGACGGGCTGCCAGCCTCGCAGACTGGAGTGGGGACTTACGATGCTTTTTCCAAGCCTGCCCGTGGCTGCCCAAGGACCAATCAGCAAGCACTTCCTTTCCTCTGAAGTCCATAAAAATTCCCAGACTCAGCCAGACACAAAAAGATGTCAGGACAACCAGCTGCAGAGAGGAATTACCTACCCTAGGGTCTCTTTTCTGCTGAGACCTGAACACTCTGTGGGATGACCTGTCTGAGGAGAGGAGCTACCCACTCCAGGGTCTCCTCTCTGCGGAGAGCTGAACACTCGTTAGGACACCCTGGCTATGGAGAGGAGCGGGTTTCCTCTCAGCTGTTCTATTGTTCAATAAAGCTCCTCTTCACCTTACTCACCCTCCACTTATCCACATACCTCGTGAGTGTGGGACAAGAACTTGGGACCCACTGAATGGCATGGCTGAAAGAGCTGTCACACAAACAGGGCTGAAACATGCCCTTTCCTCACCTCATTGTGGTTGACATAAAGGAGATAAGAGATGCAACTCTTTGGGGAGCCCAGACCTAGGAGCTCCCTGAGCCAGGGCTGTGACACCCTTTTGGGTGGTTCTGTGGTTCCTGGTGCGGAAGCTGCTTGCAGTACACCTGGTCCAGCCGCAGACTTGCAGGGAGATGGCACCCCTGTCAGTGCCTGGAACTGCCTGCCCTGCTGCAGCAAGCATGCCTGGCTGTGTGCAGTAGCTGGACCCCACACTTGCTCCCTCATACACACCTGCCACAGTAAACATACTGCAGTATGTTGGGAGATATTGGATTTTACCAAAAGCTTTTTCAGCATCTATTGAGATGATCATATGGCTTTTCCTTTTAATTCTGTTTATGTGGTGAATCACATTTGTAGATTTGCAGATGTTCAACCAATCTTGTATGCCAGAAATAGAGCCTTCTTGATTGTGGTGTATTAACTTTTTGATGTGCTGCTGGATTTGTTTGATTAGTATTTTCTCAAGGATTTTTCCTTCTATGTTCATCAGGGATATTGGATGGAATTTTTTTCTTTTCTTTCTTTTTTTTTTTTTTTATTAAGCTAACTCACCTAACTTAGTGTGGGTCACATATCTTGGCTTGATAATCCCAAGCTGTGCTTAGAAACCCAGGTAGCACCAGGACATCCTGCAGCTCAGGGTTGGGCTCTGGCTGCACTGTGGGATCTGATATGCTTCTGGGTTGCTGGGAAAGTACTCAGGTGAAGCAAGGCATTCAGCTGGGCTGTGCAAGCTGCACAATGCACCTGCTTCTCCAGGGCAGCTAGGCATAGGACCTGAGAGGAGCCTGCAGGCAGGAGGGCTTGCAGAACAGATGTGTCTTAGTCCCATAGGGAAGCCAGCCCTGCTCTCCTTTGGCTTGACAGTCAGCTGAGTCAAGAGCCTTGCAGAGGGAGATGGGAAGCTCTCAGGGATGTGTGTCTATGGCTACCCTCCACCAAAGCTGCCCAGCACACAAAAGCTCCCAGGCTCTGCACTGTCTGAAGTACTGTCTCTGCCTGTTCCCCAGGGAGATACCCCTGCCAGCTAACACATTTATGGGGGATATGGGGTCTCTCATAGCTAGGATCCCAGAGGTACATGACAAGAGTGAGCTGTCCCTCAGTTCCCTGGCTCACCAATTTCCCAGGAGCCATCTGGGGCTGGGAACTAGCCCTGGTATTCAGGTACCACTTCAGGGTTTCCAGATTTCTGACTCTACAGCCTCAGCTTCAGCTTTGCTTCTCCATACACTCAGTGTTTTCTCTCCTAAGATCACACATTGACTTTGTATCCTGAGACTTTGCTGAATTTGCTTATCAGCTTAAGGAGATTTTGGGCTGAGATGATTAAATCAACCAATTTATGTTGATTAACTCAATAATTTGGTCTCTCTCGGTGAAAGCAGTGCTTCCTGGCTGCAACTAATTGGACATCTTGTCCCTTCCCATCTGTGTAACACATTTTTTATACATGCTTTATTTTGTCATAATTTTAGCTTTACAGAAAAGTTGCAAAGATGGCAAAGAATTCCCATATACACCTCAACCAGTTTCACTTTCACTTAATGTTACATTTCTCTGGTACATTTTTCAAAATTCAGAAACTAACATTGGTATGTTACTACTACCAAAACTCTAGACTATCTTTGGATTTCAGCAAGATTTTCTTTAACATCCTTTTTTTGTTGCAGAATCCCATCCAGGACACTCCATTGCCTTTAGTTGTCATGTGTTTCAGTTTCCTGAATCTCTGTTATCTTGTTTTTCATGATGTTGATAATTCTGAGTACTGCTCAGGTATCTTACAGAATGCACTTCAATCATGGTTTGTCCAATGTTTTCTAATGGTTATGTTACGGGATCCTTGGGTTATCACTTCACCAGCTGAAAACCTCTGTGGCTAGTGGCACTTATGCTGGGGTTTTGCTCAGGCCCACTGGCCCACTCAGCCTGGCAGCCTGTGCTCAGCTTACATTACCAGCCTGGATACTGCACACAGCCAGGCATGCTTGCTGATATTTCTGGTTCTAGATCCTTGTGGGAGTGTAAATTAATTCAACCATTGTGGAATGCCACAGTAAACATACATGTACATGCATGTTTATAGTAGAATGATTTATAATCCTTTGGGTATAAACCCAGTAATGGGATTGCTGGGTCAAATGATATTTCTGGATCTGGTTCTAGATCCTTGTGGAATTGCCACCCTGTCTTCCACAATGGTTGAATTAATTACACTCCCACCAACAATGTAAAAGCATTCCTATTTCTCCACATCCTCTCCAGCATCTGTTGTTTCCTGACTTTTTAATGGTCACCATTCTAACTGGCGTATGATGGAATCTCATTGTGGTTTTGATTTGCGTTTCTCTAATGATGAGTGATGATGAGCTTTTTTCATGTTTGTTGGCTACATAAATGTCTTCTTTTGAGAAGTGTCTGTTCATATCATTTGCCCACTTTTTGATGGGGTTGTTTTTTTCTTGTAAATTTGTTTAAGTTCTTTGTAGACTCTGGATATTAGCCCTTTGTCAGATGGATGGATTGCAAAAATTTTCTCCCATTCTGTAGGTTGCCTGTTCACTCTGATGATAGTTTCTTTTGCTGTGCAGAAGCTCTTTAGTTTAATTAGATCCCATTTGTCTATTTTGGCTTTTGTTGCTATTGCTTTTGGTGTTTTAGTCATGAAGTCTTTGTCCATGCCTATGTCCTGAATGGTATTGCCTAGGTTTTCTTCTAAATCTTTTATGGTTTTAGGTTTTATGTTTAAGTCTTTAATCCATCTTGAGTTAATTTTTGTATAAAGTGTAAGGAAGTGGTCCAGTTTCTGTTTTCTGCATGTGGCTAGCCAGTTTTCCCAACACCATTTATTAAATAGGGAATCTTTTCCACATTGCTTGTTTTTTTCAGGTTCATGGAAGATCAGATGGTTGTAGATGTGTGGTGTTATTTCTGAGGCCTCTGTTCTGTTCCATTGGTCTATATATTTGTTTTGGTACCAGTACCATGCTGTTTTTAAAACCTGTTTTATAAAAAAGGGAATTATTGTGAGACTTCAATGAGCCAGTGCATACACATCTAGATTTTGGACAGTGCCTGAAACATAGGAAGGATCTAATGAATGTAAGCCAGTTATCATTAATAGTATGATTAGCATTAATCATTAGTAATAATCATTACTTATAATATTGAGTCATTATTTCAGCTTGTCATGTGTATGAAAAAGCAGAGATATAATTTATTATTGGTAATCCCAGTGCTTATTGTAATTTTATAATATTATGATATGAAATGATTAAATGTATATGTCACTTCTTTGTTTCTAGCATAGTGCAGAGAACATAGTTTCCTCATAAGTGAAAGTCAAGTCAATAGTAGGAGATATTTGGTTATCTGAAGGGCATAGCTGATAACAGTAATTGACTCAGCAGCTCTTCCTTCTTATTCTATTATTTTCACAGCCTCTACTCCTCTTCACCTTTTATATGGCACTGGTGCCAGTTCATTTATCAATTCTTTTTTTTTTTTTTTTTGCATTATCAGTAAATAAACTTATCCCTTGACAAGAGAATGGTGATTCCACTGTTATCTTAAACCTTTTCTTATTTATGCATCCTGCATATATCAAAAGAAACCTCAAATACCACTGATTCTTTTTCAATTAAAAAATTCCCACTGACTTTTTTATGTGTGGAGATATAATAAGCAAATTTTCATTCAAAAGTTTCAAAGGATAAGAAGGATTTTTGGAATCACTAAAAATACTTGATATTTATTTCAAGGTTCCCTGGAAACAAATTGGACATTCTGATTACTTAACATGATGCAACCCAGAGGTAATGATGTAGGTTAGATGATCTTGAAAGACCCTTCCCAATCATGGTAACATAATTCTCTGTGGTAGACACCACTCGCCTTTATTCTAAGTGTCCTAGAGATATCCATGCCTTTCTTTGTGTTGTGTTTCAAGGAAGTCTGGTGCAAAGACTGATACATGCAATGATGTTTTGAGCTTTCAACTCTTTTGCCATTCTGACTCAACTACCTTTTGCCCACAGATTGAGAATAAAATTATCATGTATCTTGCACTGCCTTAAGAACATATAAGTAAAAATCTTAAGATGAGGTAAAAGTGTGTTACAGATAATGTCTTCAGTCACCGGGATATTTTTGACTGACATGGGCTGTCCTTGCCAGGTTCCTAATGGATTTCCACAATGAGAAGCTGATTTTATAGACATTAGTAACATTTGCACTGTCACAGAGAGAAGGTTGTGGCTTTTAATAAAACCAGCCAGTATTTATTAAAGTCCTACTATTCTCACAATGTTGTGTCCTTTATTTTAACCTTAGGGATTCTGAGTCCCTCAAGTTTAATTGGTCATTGTGTCCCCAGAGGCAATAAGTTAACTCTATTCCCAATTGCACTGGTGGCATAATACTGACACATAGGTAGTTCACAAATTCTAAAACTAGGGTGAAGATTAGAGTTATAAAACATGAACTATGAAAAATAGGTTTGGAATGTATTAATTTGAAGAGCATAAGGCTAAATAAACATACAGCCACAAATTTCTTTATTTTTCATTTTTAAATTTTATAGCTGTATTGAGATATAATTTATTTACAATACAGTTCACCCATTTAAAGTGTACAAGTCAATGATTTTTGGTATATTTCATTACTAATTTATAACATTGTGGTAATATATAACATAAAATTTGCCATTTTAACTATTTTTAAGTGTACAATTTAATGGTGTTAATTATATTCATACTATTGTGTAAATCTTGCCACTATTTTCTAAACTTTTTCGTCATCCCAAACAGAAACTCTAACCCTTAGTGATAACTCTCCATTCCCCTCCCCCATCCCCTAGTAACTTTCAACCTACCTTATGTCTGTATGAATTTGCATGTTCCAGATATTTCATATTATTGGAAACATACAATTTTTGCCCTTTTAGGTCTGGCTTATTCATTTAGCATAAGATGTACATATTGCTTTATAGCCTGCTTTTTCACTTAGCAGCATATTGTGAGAATGTTCATGGTTAGGCAGGGACTAGGCAGTGGAGTTGGGTGGAATTTTGCAAACCATACTTAGGAGTTTGGATTCTGTTTTGTAGGACTTGGTCTCAGGGTCAAATAGGGAGTCTTTTGATGGTGTATATAGGAAAATGGTATTTCTATTGTTTACTGATTTTTTTGTGATGAATATGCTTGGACTAAATCTCCCAAAGATCTGTGGTTAAAATATTATTTATATCATATGATGTCATTTAACATAAATTAACACACTGAAGTTTAAGGTTAGCATTAATTCACTGGAGCAGAACAAGTAGAAATAATGAGATTGCAACTGGAATAGTTTTTGAAAATAAGAAGATTTATGCAATGTATAACTTAATAAGTGCTCACCAAAGATTTTCAGTGAAATAAAGAAAATTATAATTAAATTAAATATCTAGTATCAGCCTGGATATAGCCTGGATATATATTGTTTGTTTGTTTTGTTTTGTTTTTAAGACAGGATCTCACTCCCATGGCCCAGGCTGGAGTGCAGTGGTGCGATCACAGGTCACTGCAGCCTCGACTTCCCAGGCTGAGGTCATCCTCCCGCCTCAGCTACCTGAGTAGCTGGTACCACAGGTGCACACCACCAAGCCCAGCTAATTTTTGTATCTTTTGTAGAGATGGTGTTTTAATACATTGCCCAGGCTGGTCTCCAACTCCTGGGTTCAGGCCATCCACCTGCCTTGGCCTCTCAAAGTGCTGGGATTACAGGTGTGAGCCATGGCACCTGGCCACATGCTCGTATTTTAATGTATTTGTTTCCCCTTACTTTTCTTTTGTGTATCATTTTTTTGTTTTGAGATGGAGTCTTGCTCTTTTCGCACACGCTGGAGTGTAATGGCACGATCTCGGCTCACTGCAACCTCCGCCTCCTGGGTTAAAGCAATTCTCCTGCCTCAGCCTCCTGAGTAGCTGGGATTACAGGCACCCACCACCATGCCTGGCTAATTTTGTATTTTTAGTAGAGACGGGGTTTCTCCATCTTGGTCAGGCTGGTCTCGAACTCCCGACCTCAGATGATCTGCCTGCCTTGGCCTCCCAAAGTGCTGGGACCTCACCTGTAGTGTGAGCCACCTCCCGGCCATATCATGTATTTTTATAAATTGTAAACTGACATATGTAAAACAATCATTTTCTAATTTATAAAATTTTCTTGATATGCAGTTTTTGAAGCTATGTAACATTCTTTTTTAAATTAATAATTCATATATACATTATATATGTACATATATATACTTTCTCATTCTTCTACAATTAAATATATTTTCTGAATTTGTCACCTTATACTATAGATCATTCAGAATAAAGTGCTTTCCATATGTGATCTCTTTTAGACTGTTTATCAGAAATGACGTCAGTGAATTAAAAGTATTAGTATAGGCTGGGTGAGGTGGCTTACACTGTAATCCTAGCACTTTGGGAGGCTGAAGTGGGAGGATTACTTGAATTCAGGAGTTTGAGACCAGCCTGGGTGACATGATGAACTCCTGTTTCTACTAAAAATGCAAAAAAAAAAAATTAGCCAGGCATGGTGGTGCATACCTATAGTGTCAGCTACTCTGAAGACTGAGGTGGGAGGATTGCTTGAGCCTGGGAGGTGGAGGTCACAGTGAGCCAAGATTGTGCCAGTGCACTCCAGCTGGGGCAACAAAGCAAGACCCTGTCTCAAGAAAAAAAATTTTTAGAAGTGTTAGTATATAACAAATACATATTTCGAATTGCTTTTAAAAGGAATAGAATTGTTTGGACTTGAATTATAATAGAAAAGTAATTTTAGACAACTTATAAAAGCATAAATCTCACAAACATCATTGAAGAGATATACATATGTGTGTGTGTATATATATATATATATGCCTCCTCTTTTGATTTTCCTTATATCTTTTCAATTTTAATGTTGAATCCTAAATTATCCTCAGGGTTGTAAAGTTGCTTTTATTTTCCCTATTCCCCTTTAAATCCTAAGGTATACAATAGTGGTACTTCCTGTCATATCTTCATTTGCATTAGCAGTCAGACCCCTGAAATAAATCAGACAGATATTGGGATGACAGTAGCAAATTACCACAGATTGAAATAAGTAGTAGCCCCAATTGAATCTGCTGGAAGAGATATGTTATCCTTGATAGAGTATATTAGCATGTTACTGAGTACCCCGTATGCATACATTGATCTGGTAAATGTTTTCTTTTTCATCCTTATCAGGAAACATGATCAGGGAGTTTGCACTCACTTGGAGCTGACAATACTATACCATGTCCCAGAGCTATGCTAGGTTTTTCATCTTCCATCATAAAATACTGAAGAGAACGGGACTAGCTGTATATTCTGTAGGCCGTCACACTGGCCAACTATATCTAACACATCATGCGTATCAGACAATATGAACAAGAAGTGGTCAATACATTAAAAGCCTTGATAAGACACATGTGATCCAGAGAGTGAGTGTTGCACTCCATAAAGATTCAGGGACCTAAAGCATAAAAGTTTTAAGTGTTTATTGGTCTGGGGCACTATGAGACATTCTATCTAAAGTAAAGGATACATTTTTGCATTATGCATTTCCTATCATAAAAAAGAAGCAAAGTGCCTGGCAGACCTCTCTGTACTTTGTAGTAAGCATATTTGACACTATCGAGTACTGTTCTAATTCATCCACTAGGTGCTGTATTTGAATGGCCTTCAGGGTAAGAATGGGCTCTATAGCAAGTCTAAATTTCACCATAAATGAGGTGGAATTTATGGCAAGTTTATGGGAAGATCATAACAAAATTCTTAGGGTTTTGATAAAACTCTGCTATCTACAGCACAGGATTGTATACATTTCAAAAATAAAGCCCTGGTGTTTTACTGAATTCTGGGTAGAGAAATAACATCTGACCATGGAACAACAAATAACCATGCAGGCAAAACTACCCATATGAGCTGGGGACTGTCTGAACCATCAAGTTATTAGGTTGAGTGGATACAGAGCAATCACTGTAACACGGCATTAGTACATCCAGGATTGACCACAGCATGACTAGAGGGCAGAGGCAAACAGTATGAGCAAGTAGCCCAGGACTTCATGCTATTCACCACTTTTGCATCAATATCTCTTCTTCAGACCACACTTACGCCTCCAAGAGAGAACACTTCCAACTCTAATGGAGGAGAAAAATGTCAAGCTTGGTTCATTAATGGGTCAGCTTGGTATGTGAGTCCAAGTCAAAAAGGATGAAGATAAATTATAGCCTCGCTTACGGTGATCTTGAAAAATAGTAGTGAGGAAAACGCCTCCCAATGGACAGAGTTTCAGATGGTACCCAGTCATTCACTTTGTGTGGAAAGAGAAGTAGTTTGAAGTTAGAATATGTATAACTCATAGGTAGTGATAAATGGCTTAGGAGGCTTTTCAGGTGGCTGGAAAGAAAAAGATAGAAACACTTGGAAAAAAGAAGTCTGGAACAGAGGCACATGCATAAACATATAAGAGTGAAGGTATGAAGTGTTGCATTATTTGTATTACATGCTAAAACTACAAGATGGAATCCATCATAGAAAATGAATTAAGCAACTAGGTAGAAAATGTGACTTGGCGAGCAGTTATTGTCAAGAGCTTCTGACATTTGCCCTCATTATCCTACCTGCAATGCTAGAGCAATGAGCTTATGAATGAAGTCACCATGATAGTAGGGATAGAAGCAATGCATGGGTTTAACAGCATGCATTATAGCCACTGGTCAAACATCCAGTCTTCCATCAATAAGTGTCCCATGCAATGACTGGATAAAATAGTTTCCCATCAAAAGATCAACCAGTTATTTAATGTCAAGTTGATGACACTGGACTTTTTCTACTTTGAATGTAGCAATTTTTTTTGGTAGGAATAGATACACATACTCCAGGCATGGGTTTCTATTCCTGAACATAAGTTCTCAGCCAGCATGACTGTCTAAAGGCTTATAGGATGTTTGACGCAGCAGCAGGAGATCCCACATACCATTGTATCAGAAAAAAGGGCCGACTTAATGGCAAAGAAAGTGTAGGAGTGGACTTATGACCATGGAATCCATTGGCCATATCACATATTGCACTATCATAAGTGATCTATTAGAGTCATGGAGGGATCTGTTGAAGCTACACCTGAAATTCCAGCTCAGATGAAATGTCATCCTTCAAGACCCAGTACTTTAAATCAATTATCTTTCTATGGTGCTGTGTCCTCACTAGGAAGAATGCATGGTTTAGAAACCAAAAGGTGAAAGCCCTTCTTAGAATCCCTACCAGTAACTCATTTGAGAAATTTGTGGTTTTTTTCTCCACAATTATAAGCTCTGTGAGTTTAGAGGTTCTAGCTCTCTAAAGGGAAATATTCCCACTAGGGGGTACAAAAGGTACACTAGGAAGTGTATACTTTGTTTAATTATGATGGTAAATGACCAAAGGCAATGAGATTAACTAAAAAAAGCCATAGTGATCAGGGGCTCAGACACTTCCGGATCATGACACCAGGTAAACCACTGAGAGCAGGAGAGGTGCCAGATAAGGGTGAGAGCAACACAGAATGAATAGTAAGAAGGAGATGGTGACCATAGTTTGTAGGACTTAAGACCAGCCGCAGTGGTGGTCGTCTTCTAAGTTTCCTCCAGATACAGAGGCCCACTATAGCCCTGTAAGAGCTTTTCCCAGATCTTTTTTAATCAATTAATTAATTAATTTTTTTATACTTTAAGTTCTAGGGTACATGTGCACAACGTGCAGGTTTGTTACATGTGTATACATGTGCCATGTTGGTGTGCTGCACCCATTAACTCGTCATTTACATTAGGTATATCTCCTAATGCTATCCCTGCCCCCTCCCCCACCCCACACCAGATCTTATACAAAGGAGTAGATCTGAAATTAAAGGAATAGACAGTGTTGGAAGTTATAATGCTTTACTCAGATAACACTTTCAGAATGAAGGCATTATTACTTCAGCTGCTAGATGTGCTACAGGTAGATAGAGCTCAGCTGAGATCCTTCTTTCTGGGTTGCCTCAGCTAAACAGAGTTGCTTCATCTAAACATATGGCCCTTTTCCATGTAATCTGCATTCAACACTGACCAACAAGGAGATTTAAGGCTTGCCGTTGGCCTCAGCTCAGAACATCAATGAATTGTCATCTCATATTGAGAACTTCCTACAGGGTTCAGTGAAACTTTAGTAGTTTGCATTACAAACTTCCAAAGTAGGTAGTTTGCATTACTTCCTTTCCTCAATCATGCTACCCACCCTTTCCTTTGAAAGATGTTGATCCAAAAAATGTTCCCTAGTAAACTTTCTAAATGCTGATCTCCATCCCTGAGTCGGCTTCCTGGGAAACTCCATTCTCATCTCTCTCTCTCTATATATATCTATATATAAAATATATACATTATATATGTAATATATAAAATACATGTATAATATATAATACATATGTATTATATGTATACAGGGAACAAGAAGAGTGAAACATTTAAGAAAGAAAGTTAATTTAGGGATGCATTAGCCAGGTTGTGTGTAATGAGAGCTCAGTTCTCTAAAGGCCTTCTGAAAAGCACACAGGATGTTTTTGCCTGAAGGGAGAGCTGCTGGACCATTTATTCCTAGTTAAAATTCTTCATTGTTGGAGGATTTCCCCTAGGGTCATTAAGCATTTTGTACTTCTAGGCAGCACTTGTCTATATGCCAAATGGGCTCCCATGGTGTCAGACAAGCCTTGGGGCCAAGGGAAGCCCTATACAGCATACTTGAGGTAGGTCACTGTCAGTATGTGTGAGATAATCTGAGTTCACACACAACTGTCCCTTGCAGCTCTGCTGAAATTAGAGCTGGGCTGAAGAGATGTGATACACTGGTACTAGAGGCATCTACTTTAGAAGGTGAGATAGAAATGCTGTATTTTACATTTACAACCATAGGAATGGAGGTGTGCTGGCTTTTACCATGAACTCCCCCAGATAGTGTTCTGAAAAGCAGAGGAGGCCAACTAAAATAAAATCACAGGGAAAACTATATTTGCAGGAAGAAGATAATCTCAAGAGAAGCAGAGATTAAGAGTATTCTTGAATTTTGCATAGTAAAAACCATCTAGTCTAAGACTGTCTCCCCTAACCAAGGACCTTTTACAAATAGTTGATCCAGGGGGAAAAAAAAAAGCATCTACTTCAATGATTAGTAATTTAAAAGGAACTGGAAGAGATAAGACATATGGATGCATACATATATAAAAATAGCTAGATAGAGACCTGCAGGTGATAATATACAAGAAAGAAAATGGGGAAAGGAAAAGCAATCTGAATAGACAAAAAACGAAACCAGTAGTTAGTGGTTATGAAGTGGATGAAAATCGAAGGGTGGGATAAGAGGCAGGTTGATTCTGAACATGGAAAAATCTACAAGACTGAGATTCTTTAAAACATCAAACTACTCTTCTACTTTAATATAATATCAAACTCAAATTCACAACCAAAGTGGTAACATTTCATCACTAATTTGAAAAATTCTAAATAAAATAAAGGAAAAATAACACACACACAAAACAGAGAATATATAGATTTTCTAGAATGCACAGCATAGTAAAGACAAACATGAGTAAAATTATGGTGAAATTTAAGCCATGAGGGTCAGTGCATCTTAATGCCCTGTGACATTGTACTTGAGGGTTTACCAGTAGATTAATACCCTTTAAGCATGAGAATTACTGATTGAGAGAACTTCAAATGAATTTGCTTCTAGTGTGTTGATAAAGTTAAATGTGATTTATCATAGGTGGGTAAGAATATGGTTGGTAGATAGGAGACAACAGGGCTAGGATATTCAGAAAATAACCTCCAGCAAGCTTTGTAAAAGCAAAAGCATATATTGATGTAAAAACTTTACATATGTAATTGCATGATATACCATCATGTTGCTCAAACTGCATTAAAGTGTGATTGAGAATTAACCACAATGTATGTTGATGTAATAGTAAATATCAGATTATGTCATAATTTTTCTTAGAATTATGGCTTGAGTGATCTATTTGACACAGTTATTATTGTTAATGATTTTAAATATTTTCATCTAATTTCAAGCTTTTGGTTTTCTTTAATGTACTTTATCATTCTTCATCAAAGAAGGTCATGTAGAAATATAATGTTTCTTTTTTCTAGATGTTATTTTTACTCATGCTCTGCAAAACTTTGGTAATAAATTTTGGTTTCTGGAACAATCCATTGAACAGTTTCATCATCATGATAATTATTGCTAACTTACATTGAACAGTTACTTTGTGCCAAGAACACTTTTTAGTATTTCCCACATTTGCACATTTAATCTCTCCAACAAGCATATGTAGGTTTTTAATTTTGCTCGTTTTCCAAATACAAAATCTAAGGAAAGAACTAAAGTAAGAACAAAAATGTTAACTACTTTTCCTAACATCACACAGCATGAAGGTGGCTGAGGGAGAATTCAAGCTCATCAATAACAGACAGAGTGAAAAGGAGGAATGGAGAAGAGGAGAATGAGAGAGAAAAAAGAGAAGATAAAGGGAGAAGATCCAGGGAGAGAAGAGGGGAAGGAAAAGAGAGAAACATGGGAGACAGAGAGTGAAATAAATCAAGATACAAGGTCACAGAGAAATAAGAGAACAAAAGAAATAGAGAAAGTTATAAAGCTAATAGGCAGTGATTAGAACTATGTAATAAATGTGGTAAATGTATACTCTTTGAGAGCACAGATGAAACACATCTAATATTTAGCAAAGTGATTTTCACTAGCAGGTGCTTACATGTATTTTATATAATATTTATAATGAACAATTTTAATCAGAGACAAAATATGAGGAAGATGTAAAAGAGGAAGAGAGAGAGTGAATGATGAATATCAAAGATTAAAGCACTTCACTAAATCTTGTATTTTTTCCCAAAATACAGCTGGTGAAAATCTTAACCTTGAGTAGAAAGGAATCAAACAAGTCATATACCACCCGTCTTCCTGTCTGTACTGGAACCATCACAGGCTTTTGAGGAACTACTTTTGAACCGTTCCCCAGAGAGGCATTTGCCCCAGTAGCTATGATTATAATTTGCAATGACAGCCACAGTGATTTCATCCTTCTGGGCTTCTCTAACAAGCCACATTTGGAGAAGATACTTTTTGGATCATTTTTATTTTTTATTTTTTGACTCTTGCAGGAAATATGGTCATAGTTCTTGTGTCCTTGAAGGATCCAAAACTCCACATCCCTATGTATTTCTTTCTTTCCAACCTTTCCTTGGTAGACCTCTGTTTGACCAGCAGCTGTGTTCCACAGATGTTGATTAACTTCTGGGGCCCAGAAAAGACCATCAGCTACATTGGCTGTGCCATTCAACTCTATGTTTTTTTGTGGCTTGGGGCCACGGAATGTGTCCTTCTTGTTGTCATGGCTGTGGATTGTTATGTAGCAGTGTGTCATCCACTGCAAAATACCATGATCATGCACCCAAAACTTTGTCTGCAGCTGGCTATCTTGGCATGGGGGACTGGCTTGGCCCAGTCTCTGATCCAGTCCCCTGCCACCCTCCGGTTACCCTTCTGCTCCCAGCGGATGGTGGATGATGTTGTTTGTGAAGTCCCAGCTCTGATTCAGCTCTCCAGTACTGATACTACCTACAGTGAAATTCAGATGTCTATCGCCAGTGTTGTCCTCCTGGTGATGCCCTTGATCATTATCCTTTCCTCTTCTGGTGCTATTGCTAAGGCTGTGCTGAGAATTAAGTCAACTGCAGGACAGAAGAAAGCATTTGGCACCTGCATCTCTCACCTTCTTGTGGTTTCTCTCTTTTATGGCACTGTCACAGGTGTCTACCTTCAACCAAAAAATCACTATCCTCATGAATGGGGCAAATTTCTCACTCTTTTCTACACTGTAGTAACCCCAACTCTTAATCCCCTCATCTACACTCTAAGGAACAAGGAGGTAAAGGGAGCACTAATAAGATTGGGGAGGAGGACCTGGGATTCCCAGAATAACTAACAAGGTTAACATATGTTTACCTTTGCTTAACCTAAGAATAGAGAACAACCTCATCACAAAAAGCTGGAGATACACCTCCTAAGCCAAAAGTAGGAGAGAAAGAGCTGCATTCTGTTCAGGTTGAGATTTCAGTTTCCTTCATCAATCAATTGGGCCCTTAAATTCTTCATATTGTGGATTTAGACACAGTATGGTATAAAAATTAATATATTTAATAGCTATTGTCTTGAAAAGGACACAATGCAATTGAATGGGGGAGGAGGAGAAGACACAAGAAACACATTACTTGCAAAATAAAATACTAAGTAGTACGTTTCATGCCTTTCTATTTCGTTCTTTTTTTGTTCTATTTTCCTACAAGCTCCACCAGTGCTTTCAGTCCCAACAAGATTTCTAAAGTTTTGAGACAGAAACTTCTTGATCAACTTATATGTACCCCTATACTGTAATATGGCAGGTCTTGGTTTTAATTGCTTCTGTCTCTCTGTCTCAGCATGACCACTGTTGACCTGTAATGTGACTTTCACTATCCAATGCAAAGTGTTTGCCATGCCAAAGTCCACATTTACTGCTCTCTGGTGCTGATACTATGATGAGTGTGTGTGCAAGTTTCTCAGTTTGAGCCTTGATATTCTGGGCCCCCAGTTATAGGAATAGACTTCTGTGTTTTTCTTCATTCTGAGGCCTTATTGTAACAAAATGGCTATCTTTTTATCAGACCCAATTATTCTTTCACTTTATAGATATTTATGGCTTTCCTATTATATACCTATTATGTTTCAGATGGTAGTTATGTAATAGTAGATAAAACATATAAAATAATCAACATCGTGGAACTTATAACAATATCATCTCTTGCTCTTAGACTCTTTCACAGTATTGATATAATATTAGATTTGCCTCATTACAAAACCCATTTGTTTATTGCTTTACTCTTAGCTATTATTTGTCTTCTCCATTTACAACCAAACTTTTTCAATTTTGGAAGGAATATTAGGTTCAGCCACTGTGTTGCTTCAGATTGCAGCTAACAACACTGGTCTAGCAAGTGCTTCCCCCTCAGTTCACTCCTGTTCAGAGACAGTGACAATGTGATAGAAAATAAAAACCCATTTTCTGAGGAGAAATTCAAGCAGGCTGCAGAAATTTGCATAAGTAAGAAGGAGCCAAATGTTAATCACCAAGACAATGGGGAAAATGTCTCCAGGGCATGTCAGAGGTCTTCACAGCAGCCCCTCCCATCACAGGCCCAGAGGCCTAGGAGGGAGAAACAGTTTCCTGGGCCAAGCCCAGAGCCCCCCTGCTCTATGCAGCCTTGGGACATGGTGCCCGGTGTCTTATCTGCTTCAGCTCCATCCTTGGCTAAAAGAGGCCAAGGTACAGACCGCTTCAGAGAGTGCAAGCCCCAAGCATTGGCAGCTTCCACATGGTGTTGGTCCTGTGGGTGTGCAGAAGACAAGAACTGAGCTTTGAGAACCTCCGCCTAGATTTCAGAGGATGTATTGATGTGCCTGGATGTCCAGGAAGAAGTTTGCTGGGTTGGCAAGAGCCCTCATGGAGAATCTCTGCTAGGGCAGTGCAGAAGAAAAATGTGGTGTTGGAGCCCTTACACAGAGTACCCACTGGGGCACTGCCTGGTGGAGCTGTGAGAAGAGGGTCACCATCCTCCAGACTCCAGAATGATAGACCCACTGACAGCTTGCACTGTGTGCCTGGAAAAGCTGGAGACACTCAATGCCAGCCTGTGAAAGCAGCCAGGAGGGGAGCAAAGCCACAAGGATGGAGTTGCCCAAGGCCATGGGAGCCCACCTCTTGCATCAGCTTGACCTAGATTTGAGACATGGAGTCAAAAGAGATCATTTATGAGCTTTAAGAATTGACTGCCCTACTGGATTTCGGACATGCATGGGTCCTGCAACACCTTTGTTTTGGCCAATTTCTCCCATCTGGAATGGGTGTATTTACCCAATGCTGTACTCCCATTGTATCTAGGAAGTAACTAACTTGCTTTTGATTTTACAGGCTTATAACCAGAAGGGACTTGCCTTGTCTCAGATGAGACTTTGGACTTGGACTTTGAGTTAATGCTGGAATTAGTTAAGGCTTTGAGGGACTTGTTGGAAGGGCATAATTGTGTTTTGAAATGTGAGGACATGAGACTTGGGAGGGGCCAGGCACAGAATGATAGGGTTTGGCCTTGTCTCCACCTAAATCTAATCTTGAATTGTAGTTCCCATAATCCCCATGTGTCTTGGTAGGGACCTAGTGAGAGGTTGAATCATAGGAGTGGTTACTCCCCATGCTGCTGTTCTCATGATAGTGAGTGAGTTCTCACAAGATCTGATGATTTTATAAAGAGTTTTTCCCCTTTTGCCCTTTTTCTCTCTTCTGCTGCCATCTGAAGAAGGATATGTTTGCTTCCCTTTCTGCCATAATTGTAAGTTTCCTGAAGCCTCCCCAGCCTTGCGGAACTGTGAGTCAATTAAACTTCTTTCCTTTATAAATTACCCAGTCTCAGGTACGTCTTTATTAGCAGCATGAGAATGGACTAATATACCTTCTCTCATGTTAACTGCCCTCTTGGATCAGACGTTGTAGAGATAATTTATCTTGTTCCCAACATAATTTTTCTCTTGAGGGGTGGTTTTGAGGTTAGTGGTCTGAGTTCACACTCATCAAAATCTGAGCTTATTCTAGCATTAAGGTCTGCTTTGGCATTCTCTTTTAATTTCATTTTAGCTATTACAGATTACAATAAGCAATGGATTATATATTTTTCTTTTAAAAATTAGTTTGCATTTCTTTATGGATCTTGTGAACCAGCTCTCTGGGGGTTGGATTTGTATCTAAATTATAGAAAATTTGAATGATCCTGGGAAGACAGGAGGCTTTTCTCTCCAGCAATTTGCAGAGTTGGGTCTGTAGTTAAGATCAAGAGCAGTTGACAGAATTGGTAGCAGCACAAGAGATCATGAGCCACCTAAGGTGACCTAACTGAGTTGTTTCTGGAGATCTAATTTTTTTTTTTTTAGATGGAATCTCACTCTGTCGGTCAGGCTGGAGTGCAGTGGTGCCATCTCAGCTCACTGTAACCTCTGCTGCCTGGGTTCAAGCAATTCTCCTGCCTCAGCCTCCTGAGTAGCTGGGATTAGAGGTGCCTGCCACTGCACCTGGCTAATTTTTGTAGTTTTAGTAGAGACGGGATTTCACCATCTTGGCCAGGCTGGTCTTGAACTCCTGACCTCATGATCTACCCTCCTCAGCCTCCCAAAGTGCTGGGATTACAGGCATGAGCCACCACGCCCAGCCTCTAATTTCTTTTTTTAAAATTTAATTTAATATTAAGTTCCGGGATGCATTTGCAGGACGTGCAGGTTTGTTACATAGGTAAATGTATGTCATGGTGGTTTGCTGCACCTATTAACCCACCACGTAGGTATTAAGCCCCACATGCATTAGCTATTTATCCTGATGCTCTTCCCACCTATCCCCGACAGGTCCCAGTGTGTGTGGTTCCCCTCCCTGTGTCCATGTGTTTTCATTGTTCAGCTCCCACTTATAAGTGAGAACATGCAGTGTTTGGTCTTCTGTTCGTGTGTTAGTTTGCTGAGAATGATGGCTTCCAGCTCCATCCATGTCTCTGCAAAGGATGTGATCTTGTTCCTTTTCATGGCTGTGTAGTATTCAGTGGTGTATATGTACCACATTTTCTTTATCCAGTCTATCATTGATAGGCATTGGGGTTGATTCCATGCCTTTGCTATTGTGAATAGTGCTGCAAAGTACATATGTGTGCATGTATCTTTATAATAAAATGATTTATATTCCTTTGGGTATAAACCCAGTAATGGGATTGCTGGGTCAAATGGTATTTCTGGTTCTAGGTCTTTGAGGAATTGCCACACTGTCTTTCACAATGGTTGAACTCAGGCATCCTATAAAATGGGAGAAAATTTTTGCAATCTATCCATCTGACAAAGGTCTAATATCCAGAATCTATAAGGAGCATCACTGATTATTAGAGAAATGCAAATCAAAACCAGAATGAGATAACATCTCACACCAGTCAGAATGGCCATTATTAAAAAGTCAAGAAATAATAGATGCTAGCAAGGCTTTGGAGAAATAGGAAACAGCTTTTACACTCTTGGTGAGATCTGATTTCTTAATTAACTTAGATACTAATTTATTAATAGACAGGAAACTAATTTCTAATTTCTTAACAGATACATACTGGCTTCTCAGCCAGGCTACTGACCTTTACCCCTTACATACACACCTTAACTTCTGTATGAACATGGATGTGACTGCATTGGGTAAGAGAGGGGAGAGGTGGTGGGCAGCAGAAGGGTGGCCTCTTTGAGGAAGATGTGGGTAAGGATAGCAGGATTCTACTTAGGGGTAGACAGAGCAGTGAACTTTCTGTGGATCAGAGACCTGGGTTTTGATTCTATGCTTGTACTGTCAGAGTATGCATATTCCATGTAGATTGTAGCCTGTGGCAGAGAGAAGAAAGTAGTCATCCTTCAATGCCTTCTCATCAGCTTCAAGATAATATGCCATTCATTCAAAATATTTTTATTGATCTCTTAGTGTATGCAAGAAAATATGTGGAAGGCAGTGGTGACTTAGAGACTCTAAGAAACTGGTTTGACTATAGGGTGGCAATCGGGGGAACAGTATTATTAACAGCCTAGAGAGGTTGGTGTGGTCTTGTGGGTTGTATTTGGACTTTAACAGTAACAGAGGAGCACTGCAGCTATTTAAGCAGGAGAGACTCTCTTGTCTTTCTCTGAGATTCTCTCCCTATGTCTCTAAATCTGTTTCTCTGCAGAGAAACAGATTTTATCCATATGCTCTTTATCCATACAGCCTTTATCTATAAGCTCTTCATCTGTTTCTCTTTGTTTCTCTGCTTCTCTGTCTCTTTTTGTCTCTCTACTGCTTTGTTTCTCTCCATTACTGTTATTGTAGCAGTATCTATATATCTCTCTGGGTCTCTTTCCAGCACTAGACCTCCCTGTGCCTTTAAGGAAATAAAGGAGCATAGGGCATTGGACCTGAAGCAGTATCTTTTGTTTCTTACCCTCTACTAGATCTTGCTGTCTGCCCTTGTCTCTGCGTATTAGTGAGCGTCCTCTCCTGACTCAACAAAGAAAGTAAGAGAATGAAGTGTATAGAACTGAAAATGCCTTGACATATTCTTTTTCTCAAATGTGTCCAGATTTTTCCAAAAAGATTGAGCTTTAGAATTTATGTGATATCTAACCAAAGTGAACAAGTTCTGTGTCCCCAAAAACTCAGGATCCACCTCTATGACAAGGAGGAGCTCAGATAATCCATAATATTCCAATTCTTACCACTATTAAAACAGTTCTATTTAGCATCCAATACTAGGTTCATAATTCTGAACATCAGAATCTCAGAAGGTTTTCTGCATTCATAAATATTTTACTGTTTTTAAGAGGGTTCAATGTATTGGTTTTTGATACTTCAAAAATGATCGTGTACATGTGGTAGATGTATCAGGGTCCTTTGGTTGTAAAAAACAGAAAATACCTCTGGCCATCTTAAAAAAAATAAATTTTGGTTCAACCATTGTGGAAGTCAGTGTGGCGATTCCTCAGGGATCTAGAACTAGAAATACCATTTGACCCAGCCATCCCATTACTGGGTATATACCCAAAGGATTACAAAACATGCTGCTATAAAGACACATGCACACGTATGTTTATTGTGGCACTATTAACAATAGCAAAGACTTGGAACCAACCCAAATGTCCAACAATGATAGACTGGATTAAGAAAATGTGGCACATATACACCATGGGATACTATGCAGCCATAAAAAATGATGAGTTCATGTCCTTTGTAGGGACATGGATGAAACTGGAAACCATCATTCTCAGCAAACTATCGCAAGGACAAAAAACCAAACACTGCATGTTCTCACTCATAGGCGAGAATTGAACAATGAGAATACATGGACACAGGAAGGGGAAGATCACACACCGGAGACTGTTGTGAGGTGGGGGGAGAAGGGAGGGATAGCATTAGTAGATATACCTAATGCTAAATGACAGTTAATGGGTGCAGCACACCAACATGGCACATGTATACATATGTAACAAACCTGCACATTGTGCACATGTACCCTAAAACTAAAAGTATAATAATAATTTAAAAAAAAGAAAAATCAATTGGAGAAGATAAAATTTTATAATAAAAAAAAGAAAAATAAATTTTGGAAAGATACAGTGAGTACCCCACCAAATGAAAGAACCAGTAGGACCATCAGGTTACTGGAGTAAAATGAATCAGGGTAGGCCTGGGGAATTCAGATTGGAAGTAACAGGTAACCCCATTTGGACAATACCATCTGTTGAAGATTCAAAGCACTAAGAAAAACTGACTTGTTGAAATTGGATCACTTGTTCACCCTTGTGATCAGTTTCATGGTCAAGAACTCACTGGAACTGTATGGAATAGGAATAGCCGTTCTCATGAATGTTCACAAATAGAGAAGAACAAGGGATGGCAACTTCTGTTATAGCAACTCATTATTAACTGCCTGTTTGATTATGGTATTCTATTCCTCTCTCTGCCAGGGAATAGAAAGTTTTTGCGTTTTGCTTGAGAATTGGGAAACATGAAGAACAGTGACTGAGTAAGGGGCTGGGTGTTATTTATAGCATGATTATAAATCTTTTATATTTGAAGGATTTTCAAGTTCCCCTTTGATTCCTTGAGTTGTTACATTTGAAATTCAAGGTGGTAAGTTGATTATGAGACCCTTCATTCTCCTTCTTCTACACTTGAGATCTGACCAAACACAAAAAGGGATAGGTTGCCAAAAGGAGGGCTTTGTTTAACTTTTTTGGAGTATTAGAACCTTATGGGTCTAAAAAAATATTTACATTAAGAAAATATTGACCATGAAGGAGAGCATGTAAACTCTGTAAAACAATGAAAACAAACAAGACAGAAGTTTCCAGTTTCCCCATTGCTTTCTACCTTTGTCCTCTTTTCTTATTCTTTCCTATTCTTTTATTCTTTTTTCCTTCTTTCTTTCTTTCTTTCCTCCCTTCCTCTCTCTTTTCCTTTCTTTCTTCCTCTCTCTCTCCCCACCCCATGAACCTTGACTAACTAACAAACCTCAAGGCTTGCAAAAATCATTCTCAAAAAATACTTTTCTGATGATTATTGACATGAAAGGGGCATGAAAGCAGGTATAAGCCCCCAACTGAGATTTTAAAATAGAAAGCTGTTGCCTTAGCCAAAACAAGGTAACGAGGATGTGTACTCCACTTCCTCTATCCTGTAAAAACTCTGATCTGACTTCAGTAAGGAGATCTCAATGCTCATCACCTGAATAAAGTCTTTAGCCTTTGAGTCACATCATTTTCATTTGACAGTCTTTGTCAGTGATTCCCGAATAGCACATGTGTAAAAATCCATCTATCCTCCCAGATTTTGGGATTGATGGATGTGGCCTTGGATGAACAAAGTCCCAGTGGCCAATCTTCCCTGGTGAAAGTCAGCCTTGTACATCTAACTTAAAGTGTGCTATGAAATGAAAATGTTTTGGAAGCACTGCCTGTTCTCCCCTATCGCCACGCACACTGCTGGTCTCTCTTGGTTGCCAGGCACTGGTTTAGGTTCTGAGCAGAATACTCCACAGTGTTCTCTACAGTGTGTTGTAGAATAGGAGGGTCCTGGCAACCTGAGGCAGAGCTGGTGTTACAGAGTACCTGCCTACTGCTATAAAGTTTTACTTTATACGAATTCTGGAGAAGCTGAGTGAGGCCATGTCTGTTACCAGGAGACATGAGACTCACAGCAGATCTCTCTGGCTTAACATGGGAGATGGCGGTAAGTGCAGCTATATCTGAATTTTTTTAATAGTTAAAAGCTGACTTTATCCAAATAGGGATTAATGTATTTTCCATAAGAAGTTCTGTTCTAGGTAGAAAAAAAGTGAAGATTTTGGTTAGGTTAAACTGATTTTTAAAGTATAGGAAGAGTTACAGATTTTTTTCTTATTGAGTCTAGTCTTGAGAACAATTTATCAAGAACTCCAAATTTAAAGGCAATTAGTTAATTAAAAACTTGAAAGATCTAACTCTTTGAGTTTAAACTGGACTCATTAGAAAACAAATGGAAGAAAAAGGTATCTAAATGTTCATAATGACTTGTGTCTGACATTAAAACAAGGATTCAGTCACTAGAAGATATGTCAAAGTCCATCAGTACCAAATGGATAAAGCCAAAATAACTTTAAAACTATATCACATGAATGAAGACTTGCCATAGCAATAAAGTAGAGTTTGGATGAAGACGTCCATCTTCGGGAAAACCCAAAATAGCTTTTACAAAAAACTGAAGGATGAAATAAAAGATTAAGCCAACAGAAATAAACATATTGAAAATATCTCAATAAACAGAAATAACTTAGAGTGAGTCAGAACTGAGAACACCTAGAACAAGTTCCAAAGAACAAGAAAAGTCAGAGCAAATCTCTGACACTTGGAGAAGATAAAACAGATGCAGGTATGTTAGAGTGGATGTAATAAACAAATCAGAACATGTATATTACTTAGATAGCTCTCAATAATCTGATTTATGCTTTTGTAAAACCTTTGGAGAGGACACAAACAAAATATAGTCTGAATTATCTGAAAAGAATAAAAGGAACACTTAAAATCATATTAAGCATATAAAATAAATCAAGAATCTTTGGACCAGAAAATGCACAGTATGAAAATTAGCTTCAAAATCTCCAGGACAGAGATTAAGTAATTACTGATATATATCAAGAAAATGAAATAAAACTTCAGATCATTTACATATTTATACATCTTAAAGTAGAAGAAGATAACCTTCCTCATTGATTCTACCTTCAAATAGACCTGCTTATTATTATTATTTTTTAATGTTTTTGTAGAGATGGAGTCTTGCTATTTTGCCCAGGCTAGTCTTGAACTCCTGGGCTCAAGCGATCTTCCTGCCTCTGCCTCCCAAGTGCTGGGATTACAGATATGAGCCACCGCAACTGGCCCTGAACCTACTTTTAACATCCAGGAAAAATAGCCATATCATTGTTGTCCTAAAGTAATTAAAAATTCTCTCTATTCTAGTTTCGTTGCTGTTAAATTGTTATACAGGAGTTCAAATTGAAGCTTAATAGAATTAAAACTCTTAGGATGGTGTTTTCTAAATATATATTACTTAAATGTTGGGGAAGAGAAATAATTTTAATTTCTAGATAGTACATGTACAATATTCTGTTTTTTAAATAAGTTATAGTGGGAGATTTATAAAGGCAGTTGAACAATCAAAGACATTTGGAACTAAATTTCTGTATATCAAGTGCTGTATTTACTATAGTTAAAACACAAGTATGAAAACAATGGAATGTTTATATACAAATGACTTTTATAAATGACTATTTCAATTGATTTAAGAAGTCATTTGATGAAAATGATAAAATAGTTAGAGATATAGTGGGAAAAAAAGAGACCCACGGGGAAACACCATGATAGACTGAGCCAAATGTAGAGCTCAGCTCTTCCTCCCCCAGGATCATAACATATCACCAGATAAACCTTTGAAAAAAAACGAAATGCAACAAAACAAAAAGAAAATCCAGAAAAGAAAATCGTTAGTTTTCTATATTTCATAATTTCTGTACTTTCCCTCTTCCCAGGTGTCTGTTCACACCTTCTCTGCTCTATCCAAGCGCACATCCTTTCCTTTTCTTCACTCCCAACTGATGCCTCTGCTTTTCAAAACTTCAGAGAAAATTGGAGAAATCAGAAAGGAATTTCTATCAGATTTCAATACTACCTCAACACACCCACCTGCTTCTATATCCATGTATTCTACTTTCTGTCTGGTTCCTATTGATGAACTGTTTGTGCTCTAGCAAAGGCTGATCAATCCTCTGCTGCCCTGGATCCATCCCCTCACCGACCTAAAGACTTTGTTTCTGAGTTCACCCTCACTCTCCTGCTGTGTAATTTTGCATACTCTATAGGTCATTACCATAGAATACAAGCATGCTGCCATTACATCCATCTTACAGAAAAAAACTCTTTCTGCCTTCTCTTGACCTCCCTTTCCCTACAGCTATTGAATCATTTCTTCCTGCCTTCAGCAAAGCACTATTCATGAGTTTTCTATGCTTTCTGTCTCTAAGTTGTCTCCCACTGTTCTCTCTTGCTTCCATTCCAGTGTGGCTGTTGCCTTCTTTTTCTCTAGCAAAACTCCTCCCTTAGTGTCACAGATGACTTCCTTATTGCTAAATCCAATGGTCAGTTCTTAATCTTCATCTCACTTGACCTACTATACTAACAGCCTTTGACACAGCTCCTTCTTCTTTGATATACTTTAATACTTTCTTTTTTTTTTCTTTCACCCAAAGCAAGATTCCTCCTCCTATCTTGTCTGAAGGAGAGTGGCGAGAGCAGATTAAAGCATCCGTGAGGCAGCCTTCTAAAATTTCTCAGGAAGTGGTAGCCAGTGTGAAAATGTATCACCTCACCTTGCTTCATATTTCCCTTCTCTCAGTTCCCTTTTTTTCTCACCTTTGCTGCCCTCTATTTGCATTCCCAAATAAAACATTAATATTTCCTTTTTTGCCTCAAGCTCTGATTTTTAGAGAATCTAGGCTAAGAAACTCACTAAGGTCTTAAGGTAAAAGGCCCAGCAAACACACTGTTATTTTGCTCAATCACAGAACGCTCTAGCTATTCAAAAACTGTTTTCTCTTTCTCCTTCTTCCACATGCACATCCACTAAACCCCGGACCCCAAATTGACAGACCATTCCCAAAACAATAACTTCTGGGTATGTGCTGGCCCTGGCTGGTGGCTTTTCAGTGTAGAGTTCCATGGTTCTAAATTCTTGACTTCAGGAACTCTCCAAATTATATAAAATGGCAAACTCAGAACCAGTTATTTATACTTGAAATACATTTTTATGTATAAAGAAATAAATTTTAACATATTAAGGCATAGTCACAGGACAAATGACAAGTATTGTCATTGTACAGTCATCTAGTGTGTTTGGATTATAAAGGCACACAAGGATTTTTATGGTAGGGAAGACATTGCTATTGTTTTCAACAGAGAAATAGGAGGATTAGGCAGAGGAAGGGAATTAGGAGAAATTTCACCGAAAAAGCCCATGAAGCTTTGGGTAAGGCAGACGAGGCTGGATATGACAGGAAGAATTTGCTGGATACATTATGGTCTGCTGGCACCATCTGGTGTTGAACCCAAGAAAAAACGGAAGATGAAGAAAAAGCTTTCAGAAAGTAATGGAGCCAAGATGAGGCCCACTGAGGGTCTTGTTCAAGTGACATCGGGATCTCGTAACAGAACAAATGGCTGTCAAAGTAGCTGGAAAAGCCCTAGGCTATATCTCCTTAGGGCTCCTTCCTTCCCCAACTTTCCAGATGTCAGACCCTAACCTACCTCAGAGATAGCACTTTACCTTTCACCCTCTCTTACCCATGTTCCTCCAACTGGTGCCATTCCCATCTGACTATCCCATGCCCACACCCAGATCCAGAAGCTGGATAACCCCGCCTCCCTAAACAGCAGATGCCATGTTGGAGAGGTGAATGCAATTGGAATCACTGAGCATTTACTTCACGTTCTCATTTCCACCGATTTTACCTCATGCCTCACTATTTAATAATATAAAATTAAAGTAAAATCTTCCCTTCAAAAAAATTTTTAATGAAATAACATTGCTCTGAAAAAGATAGTTCAACATATGTCAAAATGGCCTTTTCTCTTATTATAAAAATGAAAATTTAAAACCATACATAATGAAACAAAAGGACACTAAAAACATTTTATCAAATATGTTTGTATATGTTCCTGTGCTTTTGTGTTTCTATGTGCACACCTATGCTTTGTGCACTAGAATGACTGCTGCTAGTCTCACTCTGACCCTGTAGGCTTACTCCCATGTAATAAAACATGCCTCTTGATATAGCAATATGCCCTGATTTATGGCAGTGCTTCTATGCCAGGAGCATTTTTGCTTCCTAGGGCATATTTGACAATGTCTGGAGGTATTTTTGCTTGTCACAACTTGGGGGGAAAGGAGATGCTACTAGCATCTAGTGCACAGAGGCCAAAGATACTGCTGAGCATCCTAAAATGCAGAAGAGAGACCCTGACAACAGAAAATTATCTGTTCCAAAATGTCCAGAGGGCTAAGGGTGAGAAATTTTGATTTATAAAACACTGGTACCCATGTCCTGTTTGGATCTGAGCTCTTTTCCTTTTGCCAAGTGTGCATAGTTTCAAAGCAGGCCCCAGATGGAATTCTGTGAACTCTCTGTTTAATTGAAGATGGAAAAGATATCATTAATTACTAACTGCTGGTGAATGTCCCTTCTTGTGAATAACTGAAATAAAAAATCATGTTATCAAGTGTTAGAATGAGTGATTTGGCCTGTTCCCCCAGTTTGCCACAGCCTGCTCTAGAACACAGATACCTATTCCTTTTCAGTGCTTGAGTATATTTAAATAAAGCATGCCCTAATTTATAGTTAAGTTTTAAGTAATTCAAGAAGGGCTCTATACTTTTCTCTGAGTTGATCCAAAACAATGACTATTATATAATAAACAAGACCTTGTATACCAAAATTGTGTTTGAGGGCTTATATGTCTTTTTTTAATGAATAAATAAAAGGTGGAAACGGAAGGAAGGGAAGGAAAAAAGCAAGAAAGGAAGGAAGGCTAAAGAAAAGCACAGGAAGCCGGGGAGAGCGAGAAACAGAAATGATGTGACTCATGGAGATCTAAAAGGCATGGGGGAATATTGCCTTACATGGGCTCAAAAGAAGTCTGGAAAGAGATTGGAGAGGATAGAAAGCTCTGAGGCCAAGTGAAATACAGTAATGCAGATGGAGAAGATTACATCTCTTCCTTTACAGACTGGCAAAGTTCTTGAGTGAAAAATTATACAAGATGACCTTTAAAGTTGCTTTGTGAAAAAAGTTGAGCGCTGTGTACTCTGCTTCATTTTTTATGTGCCTAAGTCTCTGTTAAATAATCGCAGTGCTCCTTTCACGTCATTATTCCTCAGTGTGTAGATGAGAGGATTGAGGGTCGGGGTCACAACTGTATAGAAGAGGGAGATGAACTTCCCATGAGCATGGGCATAAGAACTGTTGGACTGGATGTAGACAGCTGTGATGGTCCCACAGAAGAGGGACACTACTATCAAATGGGATCCACATGTCCCCAGGCCTTTGCACCAGGCCTGGACTGACTTGATCCTTATGACCACCTTGGCTATATGTCCATAGGACAGCAGTATTAGCACTAAGGGCAAGAGGAGCAAGACCAGTGAAGCAACAAAGAGCTGAACCTCATTATCATGGATGTCCACACATGCAAGCTTAATCATGGAGGGTACCTCACGAAGAAATGTTGGAGCAATCGGTGTCCACAGCGAGGAAGCCAGAGGGTGACAGTGCCCTGGATAAGAGTGTTTCCCACTCCACTCAGCCACGCAACCCCTGCCAGAGCCTGGCACAGCTGAGGGTTCATTACGGCGGTATAGTGGAGAGGTTTGCAAACTGCAGCATAGCGATCAAAAGCCATTACAGCCAGGAGGACACACTCAGTGGAGCCCAATGCCAGGGAGATGTAGAGCTGGATGACACAACCCAGGAATGTGATTGTTTTGTCAGGTCCTTTTAGGTTCCACAGCAGCTGGGGGACAATACTGGTGGTAAAACAGATATCAACTAAGGAGAGGTGAGTAAGAAAAAATACATGGGTGTCTTGAGTTTAGGGTCTACAGAGCAGATCAGAATAATTACTGTATTTCCCACAAGGGTAAGGAGATAGGATATCAAAACAGCCACAAAGAGGATCTTTTCCAGGTGGGGCTGATGAGAGAAACCCACCAGGATGAAGTCTCCCTTGACACTGCTGTTGGTCATGCCCATCACCCTGTTCAGAACTAGGAGAAACACATTACAAGAATTCAGGGAGGATAATGTGTTGGCCATTGGGCAAAATATCAATCTTTAAAAAGTTTTGATTAATCTCTAATCAAAACACTGACTCAGAGATGTTACAGTGACCCATGGAATAAATTTTGATATAGAAATCACAAAAGAAGACCTTAAAGAAAATACATAATACAGAGAGATACATGAAGGCTATTGTGGAAGCAGTATTTTCCTGACTGATAACTATTAGAAGCTGAGATAAAGTGTATCACAGAAAAAATAAAGGCAGAAAGAAAGAAAATGTCAAAGGAATAAAGTACATTCAATTAATTTATAACTCAGGACAAATTGTTCAAATTCAGTGAAAAAACTCAGTAATGGTTAATATATGCAAATAATTAATATAAATAGCATTTCCATTCTTCAATTGTAAATTCTGAGTTGGGCATTTTTTAAGGTTTTTCTTTATATGAATGGTAGCTCGCTTCTGGAGATTATAGAGGTTATTTTTCCTATAAAATGGCAAACATTTGGCTATTGAAAGTAATAATATTAACATTTATAACTTAATGTTTAATTATATGGACACATACTTTCAATGACTTATTTTCTTTAGGGATTCGTTAACTCATTTAGTCCACCAGCATACTGATGACGTAAACTCATGCAGTTTATTCAGCAAAGATATTCTTATGCAAGCATTATGCAGCACACCTCATGTTTAGTCATCTAGTTTACCTTCTGGCCTATAAGCTGGATTCATCTATGATAGTCCTGATTTGCAAAGTTCTCCTTCTCTTCTTTGGTGTGTGGTGTTAGGGAAGGGAGTTAGCTCTCTGGTCTTGTGTGTTGAATGAAGAGGTAGTTGAATCTGAATGGAAAGAGTGGTGATCAGGGTAAGAAGGGCTCTTTAGTGAGACTAAGAGGCATCAAACCAACATAGAATGTTTATCTTCTAGAAGATGAAAAGATCAAAATTTTTAATCAGCTTTTTAAAAGTCCAAACACTTATAAATGCAGAAGTTTAAAATATATTCACAGATACAAAGTATATACCCAAATTTCACGACTTTACCTCATATATAGGACAAATAGGCACTTTCCACGTGGCATCAGGAAAAATTACTCCAGCCTAAAATTCTTCCCCTACAATAACTGTATATCCTGAAATTGCATTAATATTTGTTCTGAAAATTAGTCATTAAAGTAAAATATATAAGGTAATTTTCACTGCTTTTTTAATATTTATTTCACTTATCATCTAAAAATTGTACTTAGCAGTACTCAATGGAAATGAAAAGAAGTCACAGGAAAAGTCAGAGGAGGCATGGGTACCCCATAAAAGGATGAAGACACTGAGTGATCCCTCAAAATAGGGGGAGGAGAGCACAATAGTAAAAAGAGAACATGAAAGGACCCTTAAGGAATAAACCAGTTTATAAATATGCTACATGTAATATATTCAATATAACGTATACTAAATATATATAGTTCTAATAATTTCACTCACAGTTATACACATACATACCCATAAAAACATACATACATGCGTAAGTCTTCCGATTCTCTCATTTATGTTAATTCCCACCCATTTAGCTACACTAAATTGTACTCGTTTTACTTGTATCAAAGGAATAAAATAAAGCCAGACACACATCACTCTTGTTCTAATCTGTTTAATGCAGCCTGCTCATTGTCAATTTACCCATCCCAATCAAAGGAGACTTCTCCTGTATTTTTAACACACACTCACACACAATACCTCCAAAGAAACGCGATGAGAGATCAATTCACAGTCATGAACCAGCTCCTTATTTGTAGGAATATGTTTGTTTTAGGCTTGTAGAAGAATTTTATTTTACCATGATGCAAAATTTAACATGGGCACTATATAATCTCCCCTCACCCAGATGAACATCACTTTAAACCAGTTCGCCATTAAAAGTTAAGAATCATGGGCATGGTATAGAAATAAAATCAAAGCATAAAAAGAAATAAATATGTTACAAGAAAAAAAGTTTTCCACATTTTTTTCACACTAATAATCATATTTTAATACAGAAAGGAAGCTTAAGCCATAGAGTTCAAACCATTATTACCTTCAAGTGACAACTCAGTGTCTAAGGCTCATGTATTGGTTGTCGGGGCTGTTATTTGAGATTGGAGATCACTGAAGATCAGCAAATCAGGAGACACTGGCAAGGACGCAGGACACTGAATCCAAAAAGATCCCAGGGACACAGTTCTCCCAACATGCAATTAATATCAGGCTCTGTAGTATCCAAAGATGAAATGTCCCAGGAGTTTATTCTGAAAGAAATAATTTTGACTCTCTGATCTTTCAATATTGTGTAAATCTAGGCAAAACCACAAAGATATTTAACTTCTGCCCTCATAGCCTCCCAACGTTCAATTTTCTCATTTCTGCTGTTAAGTTTCTATCAAAAATCTAGTATTTTATATATGCAAGTACATATAATTAATTTATCCTGTTGACTCATAACTTTAAATTCTCTTCTTAATAACTTTAAATTTTGGGGCACCTTGCCTTTACCTCACCTCTACTGAGACAAAAACGGCAGGCCTGCAGCCTTCCAACAGGGCCTTTTCCCTCATATCTAATAGGCACTTGACTGTTGCTGGAGATAAATATATAAATGTTTTGAACGGCGCCCTTAAACACCCCTGGTCTTTCTCAACTTCCAATGGGCTCTCTTCTGTCCAGAGGTCATTCTGTGTGTATCCTGTTTGTCTCTTGCATCACCATAGCAAATGTTCAACAAATTCTTAAATCCTCCAATCCAGTGTCCCACAGCTCTCCAAGCAGGTTATCTTGCCCTGACTTCCAAGACAAAACAGAGGGCCCAGGGGGAAATTCCATTAACTTCCTGTCTGTCACCTATAAATGTATATACATTCATACTCTTCCTTTATGATTTTTTTTCAGGTCTCAATAGAGGAAGTGAACCTCTATTTGTTTAAGGCAAATTCTATAAATATTTTAGGGTCCAAGAAAAATCTAATGCATATTCAAGTACAAGCAGGTGATATGAATGACTGAGTGGATAAGGTATAAGAAAAACAATTGTAGAAATGCAATGATAAGTGTCAACAAACATTTAGCTGAGGTCTATATGCAGTAATAAAAGAGTGGTGAACATTTTGCTGCACATGCCACATCTGAAGAAAACAACAACTGCTGAGCGCTAGTTGACCAATTTTCTATGCATTGAGCCCCAGGATTGCAAAATATTCTGAATTCTCAATGGAATCTAGATTTTTATGAAAGCTTTCATTTAAAAAAATAGTTTAGTTAGTGGGTGCAGCGCACCAGCATGGCACATGTATACATATGTAACTAACCTGCACAATGTGCACATGCACCCTAGAACTTAAAGTATAATAAAAAAAAGAAAAAAAGAAAAAAAAATGTTTGCTGAAGGCAAAAAAAAAAAAGTTTATATAAAATAGTTCATGAAGGTGCAACTTAATTATTACAAAGTGAACAAATTTTGATCAAGAAAACAATGTAAGAAACATTCTAGAATGACTCTCAATTTCATTTCCTTATGCTACTTATACCTGCCCCTTGTAACCATTATTATGATTTTTTTGAACTATATATAAACAAAATCATACAGCATTATTTCTTTTGTTTCTGCTTATATTTATTCAATGTTATCTTTGGGAGATTCATTTATGTGGTTGCATATACCAATACAGCACTATATTTTTACTGCATTGTATTTCATTGTATAAATATGCCACAACTATTTTATCCTTTGTAGTACTGATAGGCTAGACATTTGGGTGCTTATGATTTTTGTCTTTTGTGAATATTGCTGCTGCAGTCACTTTAGTATATGTGTTTGGTAAGAAATGTAAGCATTTTGGCAGGGACGATACTGTGGAGAAATTGCTTAGGTTTGAGGTATGCATATATTCAGCTTTGGTAGATACCACCAATTCTGGAAGTTGGTTGCACAAACTTAAACTCCACAGTATGGTGAGAATTACAGTTGCTCCAAATCTATACTAACAGTGTTTTCTGTCCTCTTAATTTTAGCCATTCTGGTGATATATCATGAATATATCATTATGATTTTAATTTGTACTCACCTACTAACTAATGAAGTTGACCAGTTTCTCTTATATTTATAGTCATTGAGAAATCTTTTGTGTAGTATCCATTCAAGTCCTTGACTTTTTCCAAATTCATTTGTAGGAAATTTTTATATATGCCAGAGGTTTAAAAAATAGAAGGCAAGTTTCAAATACTATTTTAGTCAAGTATAACTTTGGCAACAAAACAAAATTTTAAAATTGCATGATAGTCCCATGAATTAACATAGATTTGAAAATATTACCAATTAATTCAATTATTTAAAATATTCTACACACTGCTGAAAGTAAATTTATTCCAGAAAAAAATGAAATTCATTTTTTCATTGTGTTAGCAAAATAACACAATAAAGAAACAACATTTTATAATCATATCATCAGATAAAAAATCAAGTATTTGATAAGTCTCAAAATATATAAAAATAATAAAAATGACTTAGTAAGCTATGAAAAGAATGATAGATCCTAATCTGTTAAACAGGATCCGAAAACCCTTTCAGCAAGCATTATGAATATGTTGAAAATTTTCTCTTTGAAATTGAGGAAAAGACAAGGACACCTTCTATTTCCATTTCCATTCAAACTACTTTGTTGTAGAGACTTTAGCCAGTATAATAGGATAAGACAAGGAACAAGCAAGATTGCAGTAGAAGAAATAAAATTTCATTATTATATATATGATTATGTATGTAGAAAATTCAAAGTGATTACAACTATTCATAGATGATTCAAAATTGTATAGATATTAATTATATCTTTGATCTCTATATTCAGTGCTAACTCAATCAAAATTCAGACTATTTGTAAAATTTTCTAAGATTATTCTAAAATGTATATAGAATACCAAGTTGTATATAGAATATCAAGTATCATTAATTCTGAGACACTCTTGAAGAAAAAATTGTCAACAAAAAAGAGTCAAACTCCATGAAATATTTAAAGAGTTTTATTCTGAGCCAAATGTGAGTAATTGACGGCCTGAGGCGCAGTCTCAAGACATCCTGAGAACAAGTGCCCAAGGTGATTGAATTACAACTTGATTTACATTTTAGGAGCATGTAAAAAATCAGTCAATACATGTGGGGTCTGTGTTGGTTCAGTCATGAAAGGTGGAACAACTCAAAGTGGGGCCTTCCACATCAAAGGTAAATTCAAAGATTTTCTTATTGGCAATTGGTTGAAAAACTTGTTACTATTTAAATGCCTAGAATCAATAGAAAGGAGTGTCTGGATTAAAATAAGGGATTGTAGAGAACAAGGTTCTTATTATGTAGATGAAGTCTCATAAGTGGTCACCCTTACAAGCAATAGATGGGAAATATTTTGTATTCAGACCTTTAAAAGGTACTGGACTCTCAACTAAACTCTTCAGGATCAGAAAAAGACCTGGAAAGCAAAGGCGATTCGCTACAGAATGTAAATTTCCCCCACCAGAAGCAGCTTTGCAGGGACATACTCTCCTCCCTTTGGAATTCAGGCATAACTTACCAGCATTATTAACTTTAAAACAGAGATCTTAATTAAGACTGACAAAACAGATTCCTTATAGCAATAACATACCAAATTGCAACCTGACTCTAGTATAGCATCACATGATAGATAGCCAGTCCTGAAAGAAATCAAAGTATTTTACCCCAAAATAGATTTCTTTGACACCTTTTGGAATGCCTTTGAAAAGCTGTTGAAGTGGCATCGTTGTCTGGGGTAAATACCCAGGGTTCATCGTCTTGCACTAAGAAGATTAAGGACACGGACACATGTGGGTGTGTTAAGGAGCAGAGAGTTTAACAGGCAGAAGAAAGGAGAGAGGCAAGCAGCTCTCTCTCTCTCTCTCCCTCGTGAGAAAGAGGTTTTTGAAAGGGAAACAACTGGCTTGCGGCAGACCACAGCAGATTTTATAGGCAAGCTTGAGGAGGAGCCGGTGTCTGATTTACACAGGGTCACAGATTGGTTCTACCAGGTGTGACATTTACATAGCCCGCAGGGAAGTCTGGTTGACCCACCTTAATCTTATGGCCAGCACCATCTTGTCTGCTCCTTATTCTACACGTGGCTGACAAAGAGAAGGGAAGATGGAGCCACCATTTTGATCATGCTTAATCCCAGGTAGCCTTTTTCTATTAGCACAACTGCCAGCATTGATCAATGCAAACTTCCTGTTTGCTTGTCTATGTCTGCAGCTAGATTCTATACAGGCTGCTCTTTGTTAGAAAAAATGATTTGGGGGCTGCTTTTTATTAAAAGGAAAACCTTACCCAGGAAGGATTTCCTTACCCTCACTATCTGCCTAAATAATTTGTTTATAACACCTATATTATTGTTTCTTGTGGGGAAAATCTACATTCTGTATAGAATTCGCTACCCTTTCCAGGTCTTTTCCAGATCCAGGAGAGATTTAACTAATAGTCTGACACTTTTTAAGATCTCATAAGAGACATTTACTACTTAATTTTTTCTGAAGCCTGCCACCTGAAGACTTTATTTACATAACAAGAACCTTGGCTTCCACAACTCCCCCTATCTTAAACCCAAGCATTTCTGCTGACTTCGACTTTTTTTTTTCTAATAAAAACTTTATTTTAGGTTCAGGGGTACGTGTGAAGGTTTGTTACAGAAGGGAAACTGTGTCACAGGGGTTTGTTGTACAGATTATTTCATCACCCATGTATTATGCTCAGTATCCAATAGTTATCTTTTTCCCCTCCTACCCCTTCTCCCACCTTCCACCCTCAAGAAAATCTGTTTCTGTTTTTTCCTTCTTTGTGTTTATGAGTTCTCATAATTTAGCTCCCACTTATAAGTGAGAACATGTGGTATTTATTTATTTGTTCCTGCATTAGTTAGCTAAGGATAATGGCCTCTAGCTCCATCCATGCTCCCACAAAATACATGATCTTTTTTTTATAGCTGTATATACCACATTTTTAAAATCTAATTTGTCATTGGTAGGCATTTAGGTTGATTCCATGTCTTGCTTTTCTGGATAGTGCTGTGATGAACATTTACCTGCACATGTGCTGTATCCTTTTTTTTTTTTTTTTGAGACAGGATGTCACTCTCTCGCCCAGGCTGCGGCGCAGTGGCACAATCATGGCTCACTGCAGTCTTGACCTCCCCAGTCTCGGGTGATCCTCCCATCTCAGCTTCCCTGGTAGCTGGGACCACAGGCATGCACCACCACACCCGGCTAATTTTTGTATTTTTGGTAGAAATGCGGTTTGGCCATGTTGCCCACGCTGGTCTCAAAGTGCTTGGATTATAGCTGAGAGCCGCCGCACCTGGCCACATGTGTCTTTACAGTAAAATGATTTCTATTCTTCTGGGTGTATACCCAGTAATGGGATTGCTGGGTTGAATGGTAGTTTTGCTTTTAGCTCTTTGAGGAATAGCCATACTGTTTTCCACATTGGCTTAACCAATTTATACTCCCATCAACAGCGTATAAGTGTTCCCTTTTCTCTGCAACCTTGCCAGCATCTGTTATTTTTTTACGTTTTAATAATAGCCATTCTGACTGGTGTGAGATGGTATCTCATTCTGGATTTGATTTGCATTTCTCTGATGACCAGTGATATTGAGCTTTTTTTTTTTTCATATGCTTACTGGCCACATGTATGTGTTCTTTGGAAAAGTGTCTGTTCATGTCCTTTGCCCACTTTTTAATGGGGTTGTTTGTTTTTCTCTCATAAATTTGTTTAAGTTCCTCATAGAAGCTGGATATTAGCTAGTTATCCCAGCATGTTTGATGGAATAGGGAGTCTTTTCCCCTTTGTTTTTGTCAGTTTTGTTGAAGATCAACTGGTCATAGGTGTGCATTCTTATTTCTGGGCTCTCTATTCTGTTCCATTGGTCTATGTACCTGTTTTTGTACCAGTACAATGCTGTTTGGTTACCATAGTTCTGTAGTGTAGTTTAAAGTTGGGTGATGCCTCTAGCTTTGTTCTTTTTGCTTTGGATTGCCTTTGCTATTCGGGCTTTGTTTTGGTTCCATATGAAATTTAAAATAGATTTTCCTAGTTCTGCAAAGAATGTTGTTGGTATTTTGATAGGAATATCATTGAATATGTAAATTGCTTTGGGCAGTATGGCCATTTTAATAATATTGATTCTTCCTATCCACGAGCATGGGATGTTATTCCATTTGTTTGTGTCTTCTCTGATTTCTTTAAGCACGGATCTGATTTCTTTGCAATTCTCATTGTAGAGATCTTTCACCTACCTGGTTAGCTGTACCCCTAAGTATTCTATCCTTTCTGTGGCAATTGTAATTCCCAAATTAGAAAAGGATTGCCTTTCTAATTTGGCTCTTGGCTTGGCTGTTGGTGTATAGTAATGCTAGTGATTTTTGTATATGGATTTGTATTCTGAAACTTTGCTGAAGTTGTGTATCAGCTGAAGGAGCTTTTATGCTGAGGCAATGGGGTTTTCTAGATATAGTATCATGTGGTCTGCAAACAGATAGTTTGCCTTTCTTTCTTCCTATTTACATGCCATTTTTTTCTTTCTCTTGCCTGATTACTCTGGTTAGGAGCAATTCCTATATATATGTGTGTGTGTGTGTATATACACACTTTATATATATATACTTTATATATGTATATACTTTATATATGTATATACTATATATATACTTTATATATGTATATATACTTTATATATACTTTATATATATATACTTTATATATATACTTTATACATATATATTATATATTATATATTTTAAGTTCTGAGATACATGTGTAGACGTGGAGGTTTGTTACATAGGTATACACGTGCCATGGTGATTGATGCACCCATCAACCTGTCATCTACATTAGGTATTTCTCCTAATGCTATCCCTCCCCTGGCCCCCCACCCCCTAAAAGACCACAGTGTGTGATGCTCCCCTCCCTGTGTCCATATGTTTTTATTTTTCAACTCCCAGTTATGAGTGAGGACATGCAGTGTTTGGTTTTCTGTTCCTGTGTTAGTTTGCTGTGAACGATGATTTCCAGCTTCATCCATGTCCCTGCAAAGGACATGAACTCATCCTTTTTTTTATGGCTGCATAATATTCCATGGGTTATATGTGCCACATTTTCTTTATCCAGACTATCATTGATGGGCATTTGGGTTGGTTCCAAGTCTTTGCTATTGTAAACAGTGCTGCAATAAACATACGTGTGCTTGTGTCTTTATATTAGAATGATTTATAATCCTTTGGGTATATACCCAGTAATGGGAATGCTGGGTCAAATGGTATTGCTGGTTCTAGATCCTTGAGGAATTGCTGCACTGTCTTCTACAATGGTTGAACTAATTTTCACTCCCAAGAACAGTATAAAAGCATTCCTATTTCTCCATATCCTCTCCAGTATCTGTAGTTTCCTAACTTTTTAATGATCGCCATTCTAACTGGCATGAGGTGGTACCTCACTGTGGTTTTGATTTGCATTTCTCTAATGACCAGTGATGATGAGCTTTTTTTCATGTTTGTTGGCCACATATATGTCTTCTTTGGAGAAGTGTCGATTCATTTGCTTCACCCACTTTTTGATGGGGTTGTTTGTTTTCTTCTTGTAAATTTGTTTAAGTTCCTTGTAGATTCTGGATATTGGCCCTTTGTCAGATGGATAGATTGCAAAAATTGTCTCCCATTCTGTAGGTTACCTTTTCACTCTGTTGTTAGTTTCTTTTGCTGTGCAGAAGTTCTTTACTTTAATTAGATCTGATTTGTCTATTTTGGCTTTTGTTGCCATTGCTTTGGTGTTTTAGTCATGAAGTCTTTGCCCATCCTGAATGGTATTGCCTAGGTTTTCTTCTAGGGTTTTTATGTTTTTAGGTCTTACATTTAAGTCTTTAATTCATCTTGAGTTAGTTTTTGTATAAGGTGTAAAGAAGGGGTCCAGTTTCAGCTTTTTGCATATGGCCAGCCAGTTTTTTCAATACCATTTATTAAATAGGGAATCCTTTCCCCATTGCTTGTTTTTTGTCAGGTTTGTCAAAGATCAGATGGTAGTAGACATGTGGCATTATTTCTGAGGCCTCTATTTTGTTCCATTGGTCTATATATCTGTTTTGGTACCAGTACCATGCTGTTTTGGTTACTGTACCCTTTTAGTATAGTTTGAAGTCAGGTAGTGTGATGCCTCTAGCTTTGTTCTTTTTGCTTAGGATTGTCTTGGCAATACGGGATGGGCTCTTTTTTGGTTCCATATGAAATTTAAAGTAGTTTTTTCTAATTCTGTGAAGAAAGTCAGTGGTAGCTTGATGGGGATAGCATTGAATCTATAAATTACTTTGGGCAGTATGGCCTTTTTCACTATATTGATTCTTTCTATCCATGATCATGGAATGATTTTCCATTTGTTTATGTCCTCTGTTATTTCCTTGAGAAGTGGTTTGTAGTTGTCCTTGAAGAGGTCCTTCACATCCCTTGTAAGTTGTATTCCTAGGTATTTTATTCTCTTTGTAGCAATTGTGAATGGGAGCTCATTCATGATTTGGCTTTCTGTTTGTCTATTATTGGTGTATAGAAATGCCTGTGATTTTTGCACATTGATTATGTATCCTAAGACTTTGCTGAAGTTGCTTATCAGCTTAAGGAGATTTTGGGCTGAGGTGATGGGGTTTCCTAAATATACAATCATGTTATCTGCAAACAGATACAATTTGACTTCCTCTCCTCCTAATTGAATATGCTTTATTTCTTTCTCTTGCCTGATTGCCCTGGCCAGAACTTCCAATACTGTGTTGAATAGGAGTTGTGAGAGAGGGCATCCTTGTCTCGTGCTGGTTTTCAAAGGGAATGCTTCCAGCTTTTGCCCATTCGGTATGATATTAGCTGTGGGTTTGTCATAAATACCTCTTACTATTTTTAGATATGTTCCATCAATACCTAGTTTATTGAGTGTTTTTAGAATCAAGGGTTGTTGAATTTTATCAAAAGCCTTTTCTGCAGCTATTGAAATAATCATGGGGTTTTTATCATTGGTTCTGTTTATGTGATGGATTATGTTTATTGATTTGTGTATGTTGAACCACCCTTGCATCTCAGGGATGAAGCTGACTTGATCATGGTGAATAAGCTTTTTGATGTACTGCTTGATTTGGTTTGCCAGTATTTTATTGAGGATTTTTGCATCAATGTTCATAATGGATATTGGCCTGAAATTTTCTTTTTTCATTGTGTCTCTGCCAGGCTTTGGTATCAGAATGATGCTGGCCTCATAAAATGAGTTAGGGAAGAGTCCCTCTTTTTCTATTGTTTAGAATAGTTTCAGAAGGAATGATAGCAGCTCTTCTTTGTGCCTCTGGTACAATTCGGCTGTTTATCCATCTGGTCCTAGGCTTTTTTTGTTGGTAGGCTATTAATTACTGCCTCAATTTCAGAACTTGTTATTGGTCTATTCAGGAACTGGATTTCTTCTTAGTTTAGTCTTGGGAGGATGTATGTGTCCAGGAATTTATCCCTTTCTTCTAGATTTTCTAATTTATTTGCATAGAGGTGTTTACAGTATTCTCTGGTGGTAATTTGTATTTCTGTGGGATCAGTGGTAATATCTCCTTTATCATTTTTTATTCTGTCTATTTGATTCTTCTCTCTTTTCTTCTTTATTAGTCTGGCTAGTAGTTTATCTATTTTGTTAATCTTTTCAAGAAACCGACTCCTGGATTCATTGATTTTTGAAGGATTTTTCATGTCTCTATCTCCTTCAGTTCTGCTCTGTTCTTAGTTATTTCTTATCTTCTGCTAGCTTTTGACTTTGTTTACTCTTGCTTCTCTGGTTCTTTTAATTGTGATGGTAGGGCGTTGATTTTAGATCTCTCCCCCTTCCTCCTGTGGGCATGTAGTGCTATAAATTTCCCTGTAAACACTGCTTTAGCTGTGTCCCAGAGATTCTGGTATGTTGTGTCTTTGTTCTCATTGGTTTCAAAGAATCTATTTATTTCTGCCATAATTTTGTTATTTACCCAGTAGTCATTCAGGAGCACATTGTTCAGTTTCCATATAGTTTTACAGTTTTGAGTGAGTTTCTTAATCCTGAGTTCGAATTTGATTAAACTGTGGTCTGAGAGACTGTTTGTTATGATTCCCATTCTTTTGCATTTTCTGAGGAGAGTTTTACTTCCAATTATGTGGTCAATTTTAGAATAAGTGCTATGTGGTGCTGAGAATAATGTATGTTCTGTTGATTTGGGGTGGAGAGTTCTATAGATGTCTATTAGGTCCACTTGGTCCAGAGCTGAGTTCAAGTCCTTAATATTCTTGTTAATCTTCTGTCTAATTGATCTGTCTAATATTAACAGTGGGGTGTTAAAGTCTCCCACTATTATTGTATGGGAGTCTAAGTCTCTTTGTAGGTCTCTAAGAACTTGCTTTATGAATTTGGGTATTCTTGTATTGGGTGCATATATATTTAGGATAGTTGCATTGATCCCTTTACCATTATGTATTGCCCTTCTTTGTCTTCTTTGATCTTTGTTGGTTTAAAGTCTGTTTTATCAGAGACTGGGATTGCAACCCTTGAAGTCTTTTGCTTTGCATTTGCTTGTTAGATGTTCCTCCATTCCTTTACTTTGAGCCTATGTGTGTCTTTGCACATGAGATGGGTCTCCTGAATACAGCACACTGATGGGTCTTGACTCTTTTTCCAGTTGGCCAGTCTGTGTCTCTTAATTGGGGCATTTAGCTCATTTACATTTAAGGTTAGTATTGTTATGTGTGAATTTTATCCTGTCATTATGATGCTAACTGGTTATTTTGCCCATTAGTTAATGCACTTTTTTCATAATGTCGATCATCTTTACAATATGGTATGTTTTTGCAGTGGCTGGTACCGGCTTTTCCTTTCCCCACTTATTGCTTCCTTTAGAAGCTCTTGTAAGGTAGGCCTGGGGGTGACAAAATCTCTCATTATTTGCTGTCTGTAAAGAGTTTTATTTCTCCTTTGCTTATGAAGCTTAGTTTGGCTGGGTATAGAATTCTGGGTTGAGAATTCTTTTCTTTTAGAATGTTGAATATTGGCCCCCACTTTCTTCTGGCTTGTAGGGTTTCTGCAGAGAGATCTGCTGTTAGTCTGAGAGGCTTCTTTTTGTTGGTATTCTGACCTTTCTCTCTGGCTGCCCTTAATATTTTTTCCTTCATTTCAACCTTGGTGAATCTGACAATTACATGTTTTTGGGTTGCTCTTCTTGAGGAGTATCTTTGTGGTGTTCTCTCTATCTCCTGAATTTGAATGTTGGCCTGTCTTGCTAGGCTGGGGAAGGTCTCCTGGATAATATCCTGAAGAGTGTTTTCCAACTTGGTTCCATTCTTCTAGTCACTTTCAGGTATACCAATCAAATGTAGGTTTGGTCTTTTCACATAGTCCCATATTTCTTGGATGCTTTGTTCTTTCTTTTTCATTCTCTTTTCTCTAATCTTGGCTTCATGCTTTATTTCATTAATTTGATCTTCCATCTCTTATATACTTTCTTCCACTTGATTGATTCAGCTATTGATACTTGTGTATACTTTACGAAGTTCTCGTGGTGTGTTTTTCAGCTCCATCAGGTTATTTATATTCTTCTCTAAATTGGTATTCTAGTTAGCAATTCCTCTAAACATTTTTCAAGGTTTTTAGCTTCCTTGCATTGGGTTAGAACATGCTCCTTTAGCTCAGAGGAGTTTGTTATTACCCACCTTCTGAAGCCTACTTCTGTCAATTTGTCAAATTCATTCTCGATCCAGTTTTGTTCCCTTGCTGGTGAGGATTTGTGATCTTTGGAGTAGAAGAGGTGCTCTGATTTTTGGTATTTTCAGCCTTTTTGTGCTGTTTTTTTTTTCTCATCTTCATGGATTTATATACCTTTGGCTTTTGATGTTGGTGACCTTCAGATGGGATCCTGAGTAGACATTTTTCTCTTGATGTTGATACTATTCCTTTCTGTTTGTTAGTATTTCTTCTAACCATCAGGCCTCTCTGCTGCAGGTCTCCTGGAGTTTGCTGGAGGTCCACTCCAGACCCTGTTCACCTGGGTATCACCAGCAGAGGTTGCCGGACAGCACAGATTGCTGCCTGTTCCTTCCTCTGGAAGCTTTGTTTAGGAGGGGCACCTGCTGGATGCCAGCTGGAGCTCTCCTGTATGAGGTGTCTGTCGATCCCTGCTGGGAGGTGTTTTTCAGTCAGGAGGCATGGGGGTCAGCGACCCACTTGAGGAGGCAGTCTGTTCCTTAGCAGAGCTCGGGCACTGTGCTGGGTGATCCACTGCTCTCCTCAGAGCTGGCAGTCACGAATGTTTAAGTCTCGAATTTGTTAATTCTTAATAAAAATGATACACATTTCTCATGTGCTCACATGATCACAGCTGTACTGTTAATATAATATGTAGCTGAATGAGAAAATAGTTAATTGAAAAAGTGATTATGATGTGAATAATGCTTTTTAGTAATTTCTTTGTCAATTAAATATTTTTCAGTTTTTATTGTTAATTAAGAAATTGATACACAACTATTGTACATGTTTCTGAGGTGCTTGTGATATTTTGATAAATCTCTATGATAACAATAATTTATTGTTTATTTCAAAATAGCTAGAAGAAAGACTTAGCATGTTCCCGACACAAATAAATGCTATATTTCTTTTTTCCCCCACTAAATATTATGTTTAATGTTTTACTGGTTCATGTAAAAATGTATTTATTTTCACTTCTGACTTGAACATGAGTTGCTTTCAAAGTTACGTTATCTCTGTTACCATAATTATTATTGGACACATTAATAGTTTAGTTTTATGATTACTCTTTTATCATCTGTGTATTCAGAGATCAGTTTACCCTACTTTTGAGATAAGAATAAATGGAAAACATGAATCCTACAAACTGGTTATGACAATCAATGGTAGCAGTACATTTTAAAGAAATATCACTGACCCCAAAAATCCATCAGAGACTATTTCGAGCACCTCTATGCACAAAAACTAGAAAACCTAAAAGAAATGGCTGAATTCCTAGAAACACACTACCTTTCAAGATTCAACCAAGAAGAAAGTAAAACCCTGAACAGACCAATAATGAGTTCTGAAATTGAATCAGTAATTTAAAAACTTACAAATCAGAAAAAGCCCTGTACCAGGCAAATTCACAGCTGAATTCCACTAGACATATAAAGAAGTGCTGGTACCAATTCTACTGAAACTATTCCAAAAAATAGAGGAGAAGTTACTCCTCCATGTTATACATGTCCATGTGAAGAGACCACCAAACAGGCTTTGTGTGAGCAATAAAGCTTTTAATCACCTGGGTGCAGGCAGACTGAATCCGAAAAAGGAGTCAGCAAAGGGAGATGGGGTGGGGCAGTTTTCTAGGATTTGTGTAGGTAGTGGAAAATTACTGTTAAAGGGGGTTGTTCTCTTGCAGGCAGGGGCAGGGGTCACAAGGTGCTCAGTGGGGAGCTCCTGAGATTCACTGTCCAGGAGAAGGAGTGTCACAAGGTCAATGCTCAGTTAGGGTGGGACTGGAACAAATCACAGTGGTGGAATGTCATCAATTAAGGCAGGAACTGGCTATTTTCACTTCTTTTATGGTTCTTCAGTTGCTTCAGGCCATCTGGATGTATATGTGCAGGTCACAGGGGATATGATGGCTTAGCTTGGGCTCAGAGGCCTGACATTACTGTCTTCTTATATTAATAAGAAAAACAAAACAAAATAGTGGTGATGTGTTGGGGGCAGCAAAAATTTTGGGGGGGGTGGTATGGAGAGATAATGGGCAATGTTTCTCAGGGCTGCTTCAGGCAGGATTAGGGGTGGCATGGGAACCTAGAGTGGGAGAGATTAAATTGAAGAAACATTTTGTGGTAAGGGGTGATATCGTGGGGTTGTTGGAAGGAGCATTTGTTGTATAGAATGATTGGTGATGGCCTGGATGCAGTTTTGTATGAACTGAGAAACTAAATGGAAGACACTAGGTCTGAATAAGAGAAGGAGAAAAACAGGTATTAAAGGGCTAAGAATTTGGAGGACCCAGGACATCCAATTAGAGAGTGAGTGCCCAAGGGGGTTCAGTGTAATTATTTGCTTGGTTGGTGAGTTTTTGGGCTCTATCCGTGAGTTTTTTTAGGTTGTCGTATACCAGGCCAGATTGATTTAGGTAAAAACAATACTCTTCATTTAAAAATATAGAGTCTCCCTTTTTCAGCAGTGAGTAAGTCAAGGCCTCATGGTTTTGGAGGACAACCGCAACTGAAGAGTCAACCTGCGCCTGAAGGACTGATAAAGATTGTGATATGTCTGCAATGCTAGCAGAGAAGTCATTAGAGAGGCTACAGAAGGTTGTGGCAGAGGTTGAATTGCCTGCTATTCCAGTTCCAAGAGCAATAGTGGAGGCAGAAAATATTGGAGTGTGCCCTGCCAGCAAAGATCATCTATCCACTCCAAGAGGGAGTCGAGAGTGGCAGTTTGGGGATAGCACCATGAGATATCAGCTGTGATGGTTTGGAGGAAAAGTGGAAACTGGCAGTGTAAACAAGAGCAGGGCATTTATGAGTAGGTGAGAATGGTGAATTGGAAAATAGCAGGGATGAAAAAGCTTGTGAGTTGCAGTCCAAGAAGTGGGGGCGGGTGTGACTGCATAAAACCCTGTTGTAGAGAGTAAGGCAAGGAAGAACAGACCTAATAAAAATGAAAGGATGTGTTAGGCTTATAAGGGTTATTACTGTTCTTTAGAAATGCGAATGAGTTTTAAGGGAAGTAGGGGAGAGTACTCGCAACTTCCAGGAGGAAGAGGAGAGATCTGGCTGGCTGTCCAATGGACACAGCTTTATTCTGTAATGGTGAACTCAATGGGGAGATTCCTGTAGATGGACGGAAGTTGGGGTGCTATAGATGACTAGGTAGGGTCCGTTCCATCGAGGCTGTAGAGTTTGAGGGGTCAGACTCTTAACAAGAACCGATCATCCAGCTAGGGTGTCTTCATATGGCTGGGAATCTGGAGTAGGCAAGAGAAGATTAGCAGCCTGGCGAATTTCCTGTCTAGCCTGCTGGAGGACTGGAAGATAGTTGCCCAGAGGGCTGGTGTCTGGAATAAGATTGGGGCTGAGCAAGAAAGTGTGTCTATATAAAAGTTCAAATGGACTGTACCCTGTAGCATCTCGAGGGCAGGCTCTAATTCTGAGAAAGGCAAGTGGTAGAAGTACTGTCCAGTCCTTTTTAAGTTAGAGGCTGAGCTTGGTGAGGTGTGTTTTTTAAAGAGCATTAGTCCATTTTACCTTTCCTGAAGATTGAGGACAGTAAGGGGTATGAAGTTTCCACTGAATACCAAGAACCTGAGAGACAGCTTGGGTGATTTGACTAATAAAAGCTGGACCATTGTCAGATTGAATAGAAGTAGGGAGGCCAAATCAGGGAATTATATCTGTTAGAAGGGAAGAAATGACTGCAATAGGCTTTTTGGAACTAGTGGGAAAGTCCTCGAGCCATCCGGTGAAGGTGTCGATCCAAACCAGGAGATACTTAAATTTACGGACATGGGGCATATGAGTAAAGTCTAACTGCCAATCATGAGTTGAAGTAAATCCACAAGCCTGATGCTCAGGAAAAGGAGGAGGCCTGAGAAAGCCTTGGGGGCTGGTGGCATGGCAGACAGAGGATTGAGAGGTTATGGTCTTAAGGATGGACTTCCATGAAGAGAAGGAGATGAGGAGCTGCAGGAATCAAGCCACAGGCTTGTATCCCACATGGAAGTGGTCATGAAGGGAAGAAAGAATGGACTGAGCTTGTGAGGCAGGAAGAATGAATTTTCCATGATTTATAAGAACCACTTGCCTTGAGTTGGAAAAGACTGGTAGAGCAGGTTTTCAGAAAAGTAGGTGGGAGTGTTGGAGGAGAAGGAGAAATACTGGACCTCTGGAGTGAGGGCTGGAATATTAGTGGATGTGGAGGCATCAGCTATTTCTTTTGCCGTCCTGTTGGCATAGGCATTTCCTTTTGCAATAAGATCAGTAGGTTTCTGGTGCCCTTTATAATGAATGACTCCAGCCTTGGCTGGCAGGAAAGCAACCTTAAGGAGGGCCTTTGTTAGGGAGGCATTGATAATGGAAGAGCCTTGTGTGGTAAGGAAGCCTCTTTCAGCCCAGAAGGCAGCATGGTTATGGAGGATATAGAAAGCATATCTGGAGTCAGTATAAATGTCAATGTGCATTCCTTTAGTGAGAGAATGCGGTAGTTAAAGCAATCAGTTCAGCTTATTCGGAAGTGGTGGAGGGAAGTGCAGCAGCTTCAATAGTAGCGGTGTGGGACACGACAACATATCTAGCTTTAGCTGGTGAAAATTGATTGGGTTTAGAAGAACTGCCATCAATAAACCAAGTGTGGTCTGTGTTTGGAATTGGCAGAATAGGAATATGAGGACGGGGGAGGATGCTATGTTTATTAGGGAAATACAGTCAGGTGGTTCAGGACTTGTGCTGGGTGCTAAGTGAGAAAGTGGGTTGAAATCAGGCCTATGGATAATAGTTACTGTTGGAGTTTTAACAAAGAGTGAATAGAGCTGGAGGAGTTGAGGGGCAGACAATAAATGTGAAAGGTATGGGGAGGATATTAATGCTTGAAGGTTGTGAGAACTGTAAAGGGTAAGTGGAGCATAGCCTGTGATTTTGAAGGCCTCTAGAAGTATTAAAGCAGTGCCTGCCGCCCCATGCAGAGCCAGCCCAGAACTGTGAGGTCAAGTTTCTTTGATAGAAAGGCAACAGGTTGTGAGCCTGGCTCCTGTGTGAGGACTCCGGCAGCACAGACTTGTATTTCCGCTGTGTGTAAGGAAAAGGGATGGGACGAGTTGGGGAGTGCAAGTGTAGGAGCTGTCTCCAGGACCTTTTTGAGAAAGTGAAAGGAAGAATGGGGAAAAGACTTAGGATCTATGGGATTAGTTAAGTTATCCTTTGTGAGCTTGTAAAGTGGTTTTGGTTAGAATAGCAAAGCCTGGTATCCAGAGTTGGAAATATCCAACAATGCCTAAGAAGGAAAGGAGTTGTTTGGTGGTGGGGATTGGGGTCTGGGAGATTAACTGAATACGGTCTGCAGGAAGGGCACATGTATGTTGATGGAGGATTATACTGAGATAGGTAACACTAGGAGAAGAAATTTGTGCCTTGGAGGGGGATACTTGGTACCCCTTTCAGTAGAGATGTTGAAGAAGCAGGATAGTGTCCTGCTGGGAAGATTAGTAAGAGGGGCTGCAAAGGAGATCATCAAAATATTGAATAAGGTGAGAGGCAGATGGGGAAGAAGAAAGCAGATCATGAGAAGGGGCCTGGCCAAAGTAGTGTGGGCTGTCCCTGAAGCCTTGGGGCAGAACAGTCCAGGTGAGTTGTTGGGATTAGTGGGTGTCAGGGTCAGTCCAAGTAAAGGCAAAAAGAGGCTGGGAGGAGGGATGCAAGGGGATAGTAAAGAAAGCATCTTTGAGGTCGATAACAGAATAGTGAGTTGTGGAAAGGGGTATTGAAGATAGGAGGGTGTACAGGTTTGGCACTATAGGATGGATGGGAAGGACAATTTGATTAACAAGGTGAAGATCCTGAACCAACCTGTAAGACTTGTCCAGTTTCTGGAGGGGTAGGATAGGGGAGTTGTAAGGAGAATTTGTAGGCTTTAAGAGGCCATGTTGTAACAGGTGAGTTATAACAGGCTTTAACCCTTTTAAAGCCTGCTGTGGGATGGGATATTGGCGTTGAGCAGGGTAAGGGTGATTAGGTTTTAATGGGATGATAAGGGGTGCATGATCGGTTGCCAAAGTAGGAGTAGAGGTATCCCATACGTGTGGATTAAGGTAGGGAGACATAAGGGGAGGATGTGAAGGAGACTTTGAACTGGGGAAAAGGGTGGCAATGAGGTGTGGCTGTAGCCCAGGAATAGTCAGAGAAGCAGATAGTTTAGTTAAAATGTCTTGACCTAATAAGGGAGCTGGGCAGGTGGGGATAACTAAAAAGGAGTGTATAAAAGAATGTTGTCCAAGTTGGCACCAGAGTGGGGGAGTTTTAAGAGGTTTAGAAGCCTGACCATCAATACCCACAACAGTTATGGAGGCAAGGGAAACAGGCCTTTGTAAAGAAGGTAATGTGGAGTGGGTAGCCTCCGTATCAATTAAGAAGGGACTTACCTCCACTGTAAGTTACCTGAAGTGTCTGTGATGGTCCAGGAGGCTTCTGAGGCAATCAGGCAGCATCAGTCTTCAGCCACTAAGCCAAGAAGATCTGGGAAGGAGTCAGTCAGAGAGCCTTGGGGCAGAGTTCCAGGGGCTCTGGGAGTGGCTTTTGGGCAAGCTGGACAGTCCGATTTCGAGTGGGGACCTGCACAGATAGGACACGGCTTAGGAGGAATCCTGGGCTGCGGGCATTCCTTGGCCCAGTGGCCAGATTTCCGGCACTTGAAGCAAGATCCTGGGGGAGGAGGTCCTGGAGGAATGCCTGGCCACTGTGGTTTAGGCGTTTTGAAGTTCTTGTGTGCTGGAGATGTGGCTGGGGTTTCTCTCAGAGCGGAGGCAAGTAATTGCAATCCAGAAATACATTGCCGCTTGGCTGCCTCTTCTCTATTATTGTACACCTTGAAGGCAAGGTTAATTAAGTCCTGTTGTGGGGTTTGAGGGCGGAATCTAATTTTTGGAGCTTTTTCTAATGTTGGGAGTGGATTGGGTAATAAAATACATATTGAGAATAAGATGGCCTTCTGGTCCCTCTGGGTCTAGGGCGGTAAAGCATCTAAGGGTTGTTGCCAAACCAGCCACGGACTGGGCTGGGTTTTTATATTTGATGAAAAAGAGCCTAAACGCTAACCAATTTGGGAGAGGTCAGATAAAGAAAAAAGGAGCATTAATCTTGACTATGCCTTCAGCTCCGGCCACCTCTCTAAAATGAAATTGTTGGGCAGGTCGGGGAGAGCTACTTACAGAAAGAAACTGTAAGCCAGACTGGGTGTGAAGAGGTGAGGTGATAGAAGCATTATAGGGTGGGAGAGTGGAGGTTGAGGAAGAATTGGGACCTGGCTCGGCCTGGTGAGGAGCAGCCTGGGGAGGAGGGGCAAGGTCAGATGGATCTGTAGAAAAAGAGGATTCAAAGGACTCAGAGCTTGGGGTGGAGACTGAAGGAACACATAGGAGAGAAAGAAGAAATATTTGGCACGAGTTGCAATGGGAGCAGAGACTAGGGAGGGACCGATGTGTAAAGAATGCCTGGACATCAGGCACCTCAGACCATTTGCCCATTTTACAACAAAAATTATCTAGATCTTGTAGGATAGACAAATCAAAAGTGCCATTCTCTGGCCACTTGAAACTATTGTTGAGTGTGTATTGGGGCCAAGTGGTATTACAGAAGAAAATAAGATGTTTAGGTTTTAGGTCAGGTGTTAGTCGAAGGGGTTTTAGGTTTTTAAGAACACAGGCTAAGGGAGAAGAAAGGGGAATGGAGGGCAGAAGATTGCCCATAGTGAAGGAGGTAAGTTTAAAGAGAAAAGTAGAGACACAGAGAAGGTGGGGGTGAGTAGCCGTGGGCTGTAATGTGGGTGAGCAGCCAAAGCAGGTGTCCCCACAACTGACTTGTCACCAAGGGAATGTGGGTGAATGACCAAGGCAGGCATCCTCACGGTGATCAGACACCAGTGGAATGTGGGTGAATGATTGAATGATCAAGGCTGGCGTCCCAGCAGTGATCAGACACCAATGGAATGTGGGTGAATGATCAAGGCAGGCATCCCTGTGGTGATCAGACACCAATGGAATGTAGATGAATGATCAAGGCAGGCATCCCCGCTATGATCAGACACCGAGGGAAGACCATCTTCCCATATCCGTGACCGACGTCGGAGTTTTTGAGTTCACGGATAAAATGTGTCTCCTTTGTTTCCACTAGAGAGGAAAAAGAACTGGAATTGGAAGAACAGGGAGATTGAAGGGTAGCGAGAGAAGCTGGAGAAGAGTGAAGAGACTGCTTACCTGATTTGAAATTGGTGAGATGTTCCTTGGGCTGGTCTGAGGACCTGAGGTTGTAGGTGGATTTCCTCACGGAGTGAGGGTGAGGACAGGGGGCTAGTCTCCTGGAGCAGTCCCCCTGTCCCAGGTCTTCGGCACCAAATGTTATGTGTGTCCACGTGAAGAGACCACCAGACAGGCTTTGTGTGAGCAATAAAGCTTCTTAATCACCTGGGCATAGGCAGAATGAGTCCAAAACAGAAGTCAGCAAAGGGAGATAGGGGTGGGGCAGTTTTATAGGATTTGGGTAGGTAGTGGAAAATTATAGTTAAAGGGGGTTGTTCTCTTGCATGCAGGTGCAGCAGTCGCAAGGTGCTCAATGGGGAGCTCCTGAGATTCATTGTCCGGGAAAAGGAATGTCACAGGGTCAATTGATCAGTTAGGGTGGGGCAGGAACAAATCACAATGGTGGAATGTCATAAGTTAAGGCAGCAACTGGCTATTTTCACTTCTTTTGTAGTTCTTCAGTTGCTTCAGGCCATCTGGATGTATATGTGCAGGTCACAGGGGATATGATGGCTTAGCTTGGTCTCAGAGGCCTTACACTCCCTAACTCATCTTATGAGGCCAGCATCACTCTGATACCAAAGCCTAGCAGAGGCACAACAAAAAAAAAATTTTAGGCCAATATGCTTGATGAACATGGGTGCAAAAATCCTCAGCAAAATACTAGCAAACTGGATCCAGCAGCATATCAAAAACTTAATCCACCACAATCAAGTAGGCTTTATTTCTGGGATGCGAGGTTGGTTCATCACCCACACATCAATAAATGTGATTCACTACATAAACAGAACTAAAAGCAAAAACCATGTGATAATCTCAACAGACAGAAATGGCTTTTGATGAAATTCAACATCCCTTCATGTTAAAAACCCTCAACACACCAGACATTGAAGAAACATTCCTCAAAATATTGAGAGCTATGTATGACAAACCTGCAGCCAACATCATACTACATGGGCAAGAGCTGGAATTATTCCCCTTGAGAACCAGAACAAGACAAGGATGTCCCCTCTCATTACTCCTATTCCAAATAGTACTGGAAGTCCTAGCCAGAGCAATCAGGCAAGAGAAATAAATCAGGCAAGAGAAAGAAATAAAAGTCATCCAAATAGGAAGAGGGAAAGTCAAACGATCTCTCTTCAGAGATGATATGATTATATACCTAGAAAACTCCACTCTCTGCCAAAAGGCTCCTAGATCTGATAAACGATTTCAGAAAAGTTTCAGAATACACAATGAATGTGCAACTATTAGTAGCATTTATATACACCAATAACATCCAAGCTGAAAGCCAAATAAAAATGCAATCCATTTACCATAGCCACAGAAAGAATGAAATACCTAGGAATACAGCTAACCAGGGAAGTGAAAGATCTCTGCAATGAGAATTAAAAAACACTGCTGAAAACCAGAGATAACATAAACATATGGAACAGCTTTTCATGCTCATGGATAGGAAGAATCAGTATTGTTAAATGGGCATACTGCCCAAAGCAATTTACAGATTCAATGGTACTACTAGTGTGAAAGGAAAATGTCTTGAGCCCCCCAAATCACTAAGGAAAACTCAAGCTGGAAACCGCTTAGGGCAAACCTGCCTCCCATTCTATTCAAAGTCAACCCTCTGCTCAGTGAGAGAGAATCATATCTAATTACCTCCTTTGGAAAGGCTAATCAGAAACTCAAAAGAATGTAATCGTTTGTGTATCACCTAGTGTAACCTGGGAGCTCCCTCTCTGCTTTGAGTCTTCTTTCCTTTGCTTCAAGTTGTCCCACCTTTCCAGACCAAACCACTGTACTTCTTACATATATAGATTGATGTCTCATGTCTCCCTAAAATGTGTAAAACCAAGCTGTGCCCTGACCACCTTGGGCACATGTCATCAGGACTTCCTGAGGCTGTCACAAGTGCTTCCTCAACCTTGGCAAAATAAACTTTCTAAATTAATGGAGACCTGTCTCAGACTTTCTGGGTTCACACTAGCAATCTACCAATAACATTTTTCACAGAATTAGAAAAAAAATGATTCTAAAATTTATATCAAACAGCAACAACAAAAAAGCCTGAATAGTCAAAGCAACCCTAAGCAAAAACAAACAAACAAAAAACACAAAACCAAACACACACACACACACACACACACACAAAACAAAGCTGGAGGCATCACATTACCTGACTTCAAGCTATACTGCAAGGCTACCATAATTAAAACAACATGGTACTGGTACAAAAACAGACTCATAGATCAATGGAATCAGTTAGAGAACCCAGGAATAAAGCCTCACACTTACAGTAATCTGATCTTTGACAAAGCCAACAATAATAAGCAATGGGGAATGACTCTGTATTCAGTAAATGGCGCTGAAAAAACTGGACGGCCATAATCAGAATATCGAAGCTGGACAACTACTTTTCACTATATACAAAAATCAACTCAAGATGGGTTAAAGACTAAACTGTAGAACCTAAAAGTGTAAAAATCCTAGAAGAAAACCTAGGAAATGCCATTCTGTACATCGGCCCTGACAAATACTTTATAATGAAGACTCCAAAAGCAATTGCAACAAAACAAAAATTCACAAGTATGACCTAATTAAACTAAAGAGCTTCTGCACAGCAAAAGAAACTATCAACAGGATATGCAGACAACCTATAGGATGGGAGAAAATATTTGCAAAGTATATCTGACAAAAGTCTAATATCCAGAATCTATAAAGAACTTAAATCAACAAGCAAAGAAAAGGGAATGCTTATACACTACTGGTGGGAATGTAAATTAGTTCAGCCACTGTGAAAAGCAGTCGGAGATTTCTCAAAAAACTTAAAACATAACTACTATTTGACTCAGCAATCCCATTACTTATATATCCAAAGGAATATAAATCATTTAGCCATAAAGACATATGCATGTATATGTTAACTGTAGCACTATTCACAATAGCAAAGACATGGAATCAACTTAGATTGCCATCAATGGTGGACTGGATTTAAAAAATGTGGTTGGCTGGGTGTGGTGGCTCACGCCTGTAATCCCAGCACTTTGGGAGGCCGAGGCGGGCAGATCAGGAGGTCAAGAGATCGAGACCATCCTGGGCAACATAATGAAACCCAACTACTAAAAATTAAAAAATTAGCTGGGAGTGGTGGTGCGCACCTGTAGTCCCAGCTACTTTGGAGGCGGAGGCAGGAGAATCACTTGAACCTGGGAGGCAGAGGTTGCAGTGAGCCAAGATTGCGCCACTGCACTCCAGCCTGGTGACAGAGTGAGACTTCGTCTCAGAAAAAAAAATAAATGTGGTTCATTTTTGAGGGATAGTTTTCCTGGATATAAGACTCTTGGTTCAACGTTCTTTTAGAACTTTGGCTGTCATCCCCACTGCCTTCTAGTCTCCAGTATTTCTGATGAGAAGTCAGATGATAATCTTACTGAGGTTCTCTTGTACATCATGAGTCATTTTCCTCTTGCTGCTTTCAAAACTGTCTCTTTGACTCTAGCTTTTAGTGTTCCTATTATGATGCAACTGAATGTGAATATTTTTACATTAATCCTATTTAGAGAAAGGAGCTTTTTAGATATATAATTTTTTTCATCAACTTTAATGTTTCAGCAATTAATTCTTTGAATATTTTTTTAACTTGCTTCTCTCTGCTCCTTTGATACTTCCATTATGTGTACTTTGGTGTCATCAGTGGTATTCCATACTTGTCTGAGGATCTGTTCATTTTATTTTTTTCTTGTTGCTCAGATTGCATAATCTCTATCAGCCTATCTTCAAGTTCACTGATTCTTTCTTCCATCAGTTCAAATCTACTGTTGAGCTCCTCTAGTGAAGTTTTCACTGTGCTTTTCAACTCTAAAGTTTCCATTTGTTTCATTTTTAAAATACTTTATCTCCCTTTTTAGTAGTCTCTATTTGATGAGACACTCTTATCATACCTTCTTTTACTTCTTTAAGCATGATTTTATTTCCTTGAACATATTTATATTGGTTGTTTTGATCTATGATAAATCTGACATTTGGGGCCTCTCACTGGCAGTTTCTATTGTCTGCTCGTTTACTTGTGTATCAGTCATGCTTTCCTATTTTTTTACAAGTCTCATAGTTTTTTTGTTGAAAACTAGACATTTGAGTAATATAATGTTACTAAATTAAAACTAGACATTGTAGTAACTTTGTATACTGACTCCCCGTCCTGGGTCTTGTTTTATTTTTTGTTTGTTAGTGACTTGGCCAGGCTATTTTAGTAAATTTCCTCCACAGTGTGAAGCCTCTGGTGTTACCCTTCAGAGAGCACAGCCTTGGGCATGGACATAAACAACCTGGGATGAGAATAGTTTGAGCAGGGCTTTGGATGTCTTGTCTTTGCAATGTCATTTGCTGATTTTTGTTAACCAGTCTTCGTCATTTGGTATTATACTCAGCTGGGAGGATCCATTAATTGCTGGCTGGGTGCTCTATTGGTTTTGATAATGCCCTGGGGACATAAATTGCTCCACAGTGTGATCTAATTTTGCAGGGGTAGTTCTTGAGGTCACTTTTTGAGATTTGTTCTGACCCCAGAAAAGCTCTTTCCCTGGTTGTCACTGGTAAACTCACTGTTTTATGGCCTAGCTTGTTGTCTCATAGAGTCTCAGCCTTGTCTTAACTCCTTAGCACCAAATATTCATTGTTTTTTAATGTACCCTTAGGCTTGAACTTTCAACACTCTGCTTCAAATACAGTCAGTTTCTTTGGACAGAGCTTTTGAATGTTCTGTTCTTCCCCTGTCCCTAGACAAAACCTTCTATGCCACTGTTCCAAGGGCAGTGCACTGAAGAGTGGTAGCTTTTACTTTTCTTTGCTTGCCTCTCCCAGTGTTGGACCTCTGTTTATGAGTGAGCTAGGGCAAAGGTGATAAGAGTTCCAGTATTCTTGGCTCAACATGCTTGGCATAGGGTATCCACCTTATGTATGGAGTGCAGGAAGGTAGCCCCAGTCTTTTGTTTAGATCTCTGGGAATGTAGCCTTGACAACTCAGAAGTGAAAGTGATAAGAAATGCTGGCATTCTGCCCCTCTCAGTGAGATACTATATTCCTTGACTGGGAGCTGAGGGGAAAGGAATCCTTTTCTTCTTGGCCACACCTGTCCAGAGTGGAGCTTCCATCACACTGAGCTGGGTAGGAAAGCAGGCTGTGGCTCAAGTGCCATAGACTCTTGCTCTTCTTAGTGAGATTTAGTAGAGTATCTTGAATAAGTATTACTTCATTTGTTGTTTTCTCTTAAGACAATTTTCAGAGACTTGGAATTAAAAAAATTGTATCAGTCATGGTTGTTTTACAGGGCAATGAGCCACACCACCATTATGGAAGTGCCATTATAATTTATGAACATTTCTTTAAAAATCATAACTGATTAAAAGTATTTATAAATCAAAATATGAACATGTTATTATTTTTCAGATATTATCAAAACAAAATTTGAGAAAAAGGATATATCATAAATTTTAATAGAAAATTCAATGATGGATAAACCACGTGGTTCGATAGGACCCAAACGAAACCATTAATATACATAGCAGAAAAATACTGCTTTTCTTAATAAAAATAGCTTTTGACTTTTTATTTCCCCAAAATTAAAAATGTTTCTACAAAAAATGGGCAAATATCCTAAAAGACATTTTGGAAAAAAAGAAATAAACACATATGAAAATAATTTCAATCCTATTCTAATTAGTAAGTTGAAATTGAAAAGTTGAGGCATTTTTTTGTCCTGAAATGGCTTATATTTAAGTGACTGTTAGGAACCAACCATGTTGCAAATGTTTAGAAAATGATCAGTTTCATAATCTATGTGGAGAAGGATAAATTCTTTTTGTAAGACAATTTGCTGTTATCTTTCACAATAAAAATGTACATAAAAATATTTTGAACTAACTTTGATTAATTTCATTTCTAGGAGTTTATTCTGCATGCATCCTAAAATATTTGTGAAACATTACTTTCATGTAAAAAATTGGAAACAGCACACATGATCATCAAGAACGAGCTAGTTAACTGAATATTATATACATTTAACATAATTACACAAGTTTGCATATACTCATATAGAAACAGGGTCAAATTATATTCGTAATTAAAAGTGGTAGAGCATTGAATATATCGTATTTCATTTGAATGATATAATGCAGCATAATTTGTCTTACTGCGACATTATTGGTTTTTGGAGGGTGATGTGCCTCATGTTAGAAGAGTTACATATTTAATTTTCACTTTATACTCTAATAAATATATTCTTTATATATGTAACAAAATTTGAATTATTCAAAATAACTTAAAATTTGAAAATAATTAAGCAATTTATTTTGATTCTGTTACTTAGGTTTGACAAACAACATAGTAAAGGACATATCTTTTTATATAATTCCCAAAGCATTAATGTGATTAAAGGATGTGTGTTTTATCATATACAGTGTCTACCATTGTCTGAGGTGCTTTGATTCTACAACTTAAAACTTTCCAGCTGCTGCAGTTTCTGACTGCACAATATTATACTCACAAAATTAAAATCATTACCAAATGATTTTCTTACAATATGTCAAACAATTTAGTGAGTTAAAAATAGATGTGATTTAAAAAAGTAAAATAAAAAAAGATTCTTGAAAAATATGCATTTTGGTTTAGATCCTTGTCTTAGTCAAATTAAAAAAGAAAACAAAACCTATTAGAGTCTACTAGATCAATGCACTCTTTGTGGCTTAAATTTGTTTGTGTAAGTTCTACTACTAGCTATTTACTGCTAAACTCACTTTCTCACTAATGGTTTGCTCATAAATTTTTTCTTCTAACAAAAAACGTATCAGTTCAAATAAAAAGATGAGAAGTTTTCTTTTCTCAGATGTTTGGTTATTCTTCTTGAAAGCAGACAATTCACTATAAATTACTTTCAAGGGCTTTGGTTTCCTATATTTTTACTGCATTTCTCCTCAACTTCCAAGTTAAAACTAAGATACAACTTGACATTTATTTTTCTGAAGCATCATGTGCATTACGGCTTTTATATTCTAAAGGTGTGAGAAAGGAAAAATGGAGCACACATTGGGAATGTTGACGCTGGATTGTGCTTTTATCTGTAGTTATTCATGTTTCAGGCAGTTCATTCCTACTTTCTGAGAAATTGATGAGTTGTTGTGTTTGTCCTTGCTATCTGTCTTTCTGGATAATGGGAAAATTCTCAAGGATTCTGAATAAGAGACTCATATTTGATGTTTAAAGTCAAAGGAGGAGCAAGGGAGATTTTCACATAAGCAGTTATTTACCAGAGGGAAGGGCAGGGCCCAAGGGATCTCATTATGAAGTGAATGGAATTACTGGCATTGATGATCTCACTTTGTTCCTATCCCAAAAGATTCTGTTACTTTAGATTTTAACTTCTCCCAATGCTATGTGAAGCAATTAAAACGTTTCAGATAAATTTCATAGTAGTTCGTACAGCAAAATTACTTTTAGAGTTTTTTCTCTTCAAGGAAATACACAATAAAATAATTAACTGTTCAGAATGAAAGTGAACTAGCTAAAACTCAACCCAATGTCTTTCATTTTCAGACACTAGGAATTCGTCAAAGCAACCAGATCACCAGGGACTAGCAACAATATCTAATAACCCCCTTCTTCAGGGATGATTAGCTAGTTAAGTGCCTGGAATGTCTCTGTAGACAAGACTTGAGGGAAAAAGCTTTAATATTATGTTGCTTCATTGCCAGATCTATTCATAAAGGGATTATTCTACCTCTCAGATGAGAAAATCTGAATCTGCAAACTGGCTTAATATGGAAACTGGGTAAAAAGCCATGAATCCCTATTATATTGTTTCAAGTTATGTTTCTGTCTCCACACCTAGAATTTTTTCTGCTAATATACTCCAGCTAACATCTTAGTAGGTATCTTAGTCCATTTGGGTTGCTATAACAAAATACCATAAACTGGGTAGCTAATAAACAAAAAAAATTTACTTATCATAGTTCTAGAAGTTAGGAAGTCTGACATTAAGGTTCTGGCAGATTGGTGTCTGGTGAAGGCCCCTTTATGGTTCACAGATGGTGTCTTCTCACTGTGTCTTCACATGGTGGAAGAGACAAAGCAGCTCTCTGAGGCCTCTTCTATAAAGGCATGAATTCCATTCAAGAAGGCTGTGCCCTCATGATTTAATCACCTCCCAAGGGCCTACCTGCTAACACCATCACACTGGTGATTAGGTTTTAACATGTTTTGGGGGACACAGACATTCACAATACAGTGGTAGGTTACCCAAATATTGTGTTTTTAAGTACCGTTTGATAAACTGTGTATCACTACAGGTCCCTGTAGGTCACAATACCCTAGTCAATGTGACTTACTTGTAGTAACTACTTCCACTTTGTCTATGATGGTGTCACTTCCTGGCATTTAATTTTCCAGAATTATCATTTTTCTCAAGACCATATAATCCAATTTCAGTTTCATTCCCCACCATCAGCTCTGCACCAAAGAATTCAGATGCCACAGAGCATTTTAAGACCACTGATGCCCTCCTCACTGATCCATTTCTTAATGCTATAGGGAAGAAAATGTCTTCCAATCTTATAGCACAGGGTCTTATGTACAGAGGGCAGATGGCCATACTGTATTAGATTACAAAATCTCTATTGACTACTGATTCCTTATTTTACAAGGTACTGTGGAAATTCTAGCTTTTCAACCTCATTAGCTATAGGCTATCTCTGAGTTCAAGCTTCAGTGAGCTAATGTGAAAGAAGATCAATAACACTTTCAGGAGTTTGAGCCAATGCTTGTATCCTGTGCTCTGGGTGATAGCACTCATGTCATTAAATTCAGTTCATTCAAGCTCTGTATTTCATATTCCTTGACATCCACCCCCAAACATACTCTTAAAGTTCTCATCTATATCGTAAGAAACTGCATATCTTTTTTTGTTAATAGACCATGTTATTATGGAGCAGTATTTGTGTTTAACCGTATCTCTTTGTTGTTATAATTTTCCCTGATGATTGGTGAAGTTGGGCACATTTTCATGTGTTGGCCATATGGCTATCCTCTTTTGTGAAGTGATTGTTCTATCACGTTGTTTGTGTTTTTTCTTACTGATTTGTAGAAATTCTTTTTATATTCTGAATAGTTCTTACACACACACACACATTGCCTCTCTTAATGGACCTCCTTTATATATTTGATTTGTTAATATTTAGGGATGTTTGCAACTGTGTTTATGAAAGATACTGATAAACATTTTTTATTTTTTTGTAAATCCTTGTAATGTTTTTAAGTCTAGCTTATGCTGGCCTTATAAAAAGAATTAATGAATACAAAATGTTTACTTACTACCAACTTATATAAAAAAGATTAGTGAAGTTGTTGAATGAACACAAAAATTTAAAACTAAGAATGATTTATTAACATTGTAACCATATCAACATCCATATCCAATCTAGTCCTACATTTTATTTTAGTAGCAAAATTTTGAGAAAGTCCAGATTCCTGCAGCAAATAGCTACAAATAGAAGTATATTTTAGACCAGTAACCTAATATGTCTTAAAATAGGTAGAGATGGCAGGAGTATTTGGAATCTAAACAAAAATGTTTTAATCTTAATAGGAACAGATGAATGGTGAATTATAGCCAAAACTCATAGTTAACACATGAATTAATGAATTTTTGTTATAGTATAATAGTTTAATTATATTTAAAATTATTAAATAATATAAATTATAATCTGAATTTAATCTTTATAAAATGCTCCCCCGTACCCCAGTTGACATAACCCTTAGACTTTACGGAACCTGTTTTGTTGCCACAACTGTAGATGAATCATCCAAGATAATAAGTAGTGTTTTTGAAAGACATTTTTAATTTTTTAAAGAATGAACCCTTGACAATGAGGGACATTGATACTAAAATACAAGCAAAATTTTTAGGTATTTTCTTTTTCAGATGATGACTACTACTAAAATAAGTTGACTATAATTTAAAGGTTAGACAAAGATAATTTCTTTATTGGGAATTTCTTTTTTTATTTTTTTTTTTTGTTTGTTTTTGATTCGGAGTCTCGCTCTGTCGCCTAGGCTGGAGTGCAGTGTAGCGATCGCGGCTCACTGCAAGCTCCGCCTCCCGGGTTCACGCCATTCTCCTGCCTCAGCCTCCAGAGTAGCTGGGACTTCAGGTGCGAATTTTTTGTATTTTTAGTAGAGATGGGGTTTCACCATGTTAGCCAGGAGGGTCTCGATCTCCTGACCTTGTGATCCCCCTGCCTCGGCCTCCCACAGTGCTGGGATTACAGGCGTTAGCCACCGTGCCCGGCCAGGAATTTCTTGTAAAAAGATGTTAGTGACCTATTGTGTCTCCAGAACCTTTTTCTTTTCCAATAAGCCTTTTCATGGCCCACTTGAACTCCTTATTCCTTAGTGGGATGGGTTCAAGGTGGGAGTAACAATGGAGTAAAATATATGGAGAAGTTTGCCCTCATCCTGAGATGGACTGTTTCCTGGCTCTATATACCTATATCTAACAGTCCCATAGAAGATGGATACCACAATGAGATGGGAGAAACAGGTCCCAAATGCTTTTTGTCTTCCTGCTGCAGACTTGATCTTGAGTACAGCCATAGCAATGAAGCCATATGACACAAGAATGAGAAGAAGTGATGCAAGGAAAATGAAAACAACAACAACAACACAATGCAAATAAGGTTTCTGACAGAGCAGGAGCATCACCATCTTGGACAAGCCCCTTATTCTATAGTTCATTTTAATAAAAAACCACCTAATCCAAAGGGCCTCAGCCTAATGGCTAAGGTCAGCACGACCATAAACCACAAATAACATCCCAACCAGAAACCTTCCAAACTCCTCCCCGACCAGAGTCATGCTAGCCTCTAGATAAGCCCTCTCAAGCTGGGAAGATGCTAGCCCAGAGATAACCCCCCTCCAGGCCAGAAAGATGTCTGCCCCAAGATAACCTCCCCTCTTCCCAGAGAGATTCCAACCCCGCCATAAACTTCTCCACACACATAAACATTCCAAGCTTGTAATAAGCCCCCTCACCCTAAAACCAATATATGTTCTTAGCCCCCTCACCCTAAAACCAATATATGAAATCAGCCAGGAGTGCTGTCAGGTTTTAATTAAGGAAAACCTGTCTTTAACTGCCAGCCACGTTTCGTGTTTCTTTCTTCTTTCTTTAACTCTTACAGTTTCCTCCATGACTGTGGTAGCCCCACATGCAATTTTGACCATTGCAGATATTTCACAAAAATAGTGATCCAGGTGGTGGTCTCCGCATCGAGGAAGACTCACAGGACAGGGGGAAAGTATCATGCAATTAGTGACACCAATTAACCAGGTCATGGCCACCAGGCCTTGACAGAGTTGGGGGTTCATTATGGTCATATAGTCCAGAGGCTTGCAGACAGCATTGAATGGGTCATATGACATCACAGCCAGAAGCATACATTCAACCGTGCATAGCGTCACATTAGTGAAAAGTTGAAAAGCACAGCCACCAAAAGTGATTTTCTTGTCTTTACCCCAGGCATTGACCAACATCTGTGGGACTATATTTGTGGTGTAACAAAGATCCAAGATAGCCAGATTTCTAAGAAAGAAATATATGGGGGTTTGGAGATGTTTATCCAGTAATGGCAGCAGGATAAGGACCATATTTCCCATCAAAGAAATTGCATAGAAGAAAAAGACAACCCCAGAGATGATCATCTCCAGCTGAGGCTTCCCAGGGAACCCAAGGAGCATAAGCCAACCAAAGTAACTATCATTGATCATTTTTGCTATTTTCTGAATATCAGCTGTGAAAATTTAAAAAATAGTCAACATTTTGGAAGCCATAATGAATATATTTAGATATAATATTAGCAGTATATATAGCTAGGAAAAGTACATAATGGGATTGAAAGAAAATATAAGTATTTTATATTTCACCATTGTTCTAATGTTTTATCTGTTTATCCAACTAAGTGTAAAATTTATACCCAGGGCAATTTGCCTTACAAGGTCTATATTCTCAATTACATTGTATATTTCTATACCAAGGCAAAAAAAAAAAAATCTACAAAAATCTCAAAGGTGAATCATGAGCAAAATGGCTAAATAAAACTGGATGGATCTCCCCTTATTAAAAAGGATATTACGAAGGGGTTAGAAATCTGTTACAAGTTATCACCTCCTTTAGCCAAGGGTTCATAGAGAATGCAGGTTTTATACCTTTTATGCCTTTTTTCTAATATTTAAGCTGAACAGTTTTAATCCTGCTGTCCACCTTCACTCTGCTATGTAAATCTTCTGACCTTAAATTTTTAAAATTCAAACTTTTTTCTTTCATCTCAAAACTTGTATTTCCAAATATTATTTGCCTTTCCTTTCCAACTCCCTTGAGACAGCCAGGTGGGAGGTGTTCCCTGGAGAAACTCCAACCAGCCTGCCCACTGAGGTGGAGCCTCCAGAAGTTCATGATGTTTGCCACAGGAAGGAGCCTGGCTCCTCCTTTTCCTGTGTGGAACCTGGGATTCAAACACCTGGTCGGGAAGCACTGTAGCAGGGACTCTGGCCTTCCAAGAGCCCGTGTTTCCCCCTTTACACCCAATAAAATCCTGTCTTACTCACCATTTAAGTTGTGAGTCTGAATTTTCATGGCCATGGGACAAAGAACCCCCTTTTTAGCTGAACTAAGGAAAAGTCCTGCAATATTTTTTGGCACACAATGTGAGGGTTTGAGAAGCAATGAGTGAGGTGCAAACTCACAGTTCCACATGGCTGGGGAGGCCTCACAATCATGGCAGAAGGTGAAGGAGGAGCAAAGTCACATCTTACATGGCATCAGGCAAGAAGAGTGTGCAGGGAAAATTCCCTTTATAAAACCATCAGATCTTGTGAGACTTATTTACTATCACGACAACAGCATGGGAAAGACCCATTCCCATGATTCAGTTACCTCTCACTGGGTCCCTCCCATGCTCCCATGCAGGAATTATGGGAGCTACAACTGAAGATGAGATTTGGGTGGGGACACAGCCAAACCACATCAAACACTGAAATAGAAAAAAAAAGACTTGAAACAAACCCACAGATCTGTGGAAATTTATTTATGACAAAGACAACACTACAGAAGAATAGAGAAAAATTATAATTTTCAATATATGGTGCTGGACCAATGGGATATTAATTAAAAAAATAAATTTGTCCCAACTTATACTGTGTATAAACATCTATTCCAGATAGATTGTAGATTTAGATGTGAAAGGGAAAAAGTATCTTCTAGAATAGGGTACGGAAACTTTTTTGGAAAGGCCAGATAGTAAATATTTTAGGCATTGTGTGTCATCAGGTCTCGGTCACAACTACTCAACTCTGTAGTTGTAGTGCTAAAGCAGCCATAGACAAAAGTAAGTAACTGGGTGTGGCTGTGTTCCTATAAAACTTTATAAAACAGACACAAGTGGCCCACTGGCTACAGTTTCCCAACTCCTGTTTTAGAAATCAATATGAAATAATAACTTTATGGTATTATTAGGTATTATTAGGAAGAGGAATTATTTCTGTAACTGGTCTTAAAAATCACTGACAGGTAAAAAATGATGAATACACTTCAATCATTGAAACTACAAAATTCTGTTCATCAGGTGACACCATTAGGAGTCAAAAGACAAATCACAGAAAAGGAAGAGATATTTTTAGTGCTTGTGCTTGTTAAAAGGCATATCCAGAACATATAAATACTTCATATCAATAAGAAAAATAGTAAAAAATTGCAAAAACCTGAATAGATAAATCTCAAAGGGTAAACATAAGTGGCCAATGCATTTGTGAAATGGATGGTGCTCGTTTGCTTCAATAATCATAAAAGCAAAAATTATACCCATCATGCACTCACATCAGATTGACTAAAATTAAAAAGAAACCTAAGAAAACCAAATATTGATGAAGATGTAGAGCAATGGAAACACATACACTGATAAGTGTTTAATATGGTGCAACCACTCTGGAAAATTTTGGCAGTGTTTCAAAAAACCTGAGTACAAATATACAATGAGGATATATATACATATGCAAGATGAGCCAAAATACATGCATAAAATATTCTAAGCAGAATTGTTTCTGAGGTTTGAAAACGTGAAAAACTATAATTTTTATGAAGACAGAATAAATAAATAAGTTGTATATGTATATTATGAAGTATTTACAGCTGTGGAAATAAGTGAAGTACAGAAATGCTTAATGCATAGATGAATCTTAAAAATATAATGTTATTTGAAAGAATTCAAGTACAACAGAATCCATGTATATAAAAATTAAAAAAATTAAACCATATTATTTGGAGATGCATAGTTAGGTAAGACATCTGTAAAGGAAAGGAAAAGTGTGAAATCTATATATGTAAGAATAATAATTAATGTTGAGAGAGAAGGATAGGGATTATAACCATGAAGCGGCACTTTGGCCACCTCTGAGTACATTTTTCTAAAACTTGACTTGGGTGGGCTTTTGGGTGTTCCATCACAGTGTATTGTACAATAATTCTTTAAGGTGTACATTTATGTTCTTTTGATCTGAAAATTTCTCCTGTCTGCTTTTGGTAACTTCCTTTTCTCTGTTTTCTCTCTCTTCTATTTTTTGAAAGATGTTGGAATTCCTGGAAAATGTGGCGTTCTTAATAGTCATAAAAGTACTAAATATATACTGCAAAATGCTAGGTGTGTCTCTGAGATTTAGGACAACTTCTGAAAGTACTGTCATTAACGGAGAAGCTGGAATAAAAAGAAAAGTCACTCCAGAGCTTAAGTAGTTCCTACAAGTATCTCAATTTATGATGCTTCAAAACAGCTATTGAAACAATTTTACTTTAACTTATCTAATGGAGTATTTAGACTTCAAAATCCTATTAAGTTCATTTTTCATCCTCAAGAACTACAAAAATATCAAAATCAAATATTCTAGATTTTTCATTTTATTTAAGTTTTCTACTTTCTCAAGGGAGAAAGAGGGTATAAGGAATAAAATTAATCACTCTAGCTTTTTTAATAAAAAGTCTTTTTGGCATGAATGGAATTATGTGACTGTATAAATAACTAGGACATGAGCAAGAGATGGAGCAAGAAAAAGTGATATTGGATATTGGATCAGAAACATAAAGGAAGTTTTCAAAAATTCTTTTTCAAGTTACAAGTTGGTAACATAGCTCTGAACTATCCCATGAATCAACATTTATCTTCAAGACAAAAATCAAATTTATCTTCAGTCAAAATATGGAAAGGATAATAACTCAACAAAAATGAGAAAGAAATGCATTTAAAAACACACTTCAGAAAAAGACAGAAAGACCATTTCAATAGCCAAATAAATCACCTTTCTATGTGTCAGTTTTCTTGAAGCACTCAGAGAAAAAATGTAGAACATCTAAAACCAGGTGACATGGCAATACCTCCATGCTCATCCCCAAAATAAGTAGTAAAAACTTGGAAGGCCAAGTGGGAAAGAAAAAAGCATTATCTTAAAGATGATTATTGGAACTGATAAAAATATTTTTCTTTTGTGATCACAAAAATTGAGCTCCTTGAGTAATTATCTAAGCAGAGAAAGATAGGGGGAAATTACTGTGGTTAATTAACATGAGATCTTTTCAAAGATGATTGATAACTAGAACTCTTGGTCTTCTTGGTTAACGACTAGCTTTGCTGCTGTCATCTTCAGGCTGGAGATTTGCCTGTGTAAAAATATTCCTGGGACTGGTTGGAGCAAAAGTGTTGTACCTTAAAATAGAGGGCAATGAAAACAGCTTTTAATCTCCTTAAATTAATGACAATATTTAGTTAGCATAATCAAAGGAGACTATTAGAGTTAAATTGGTCAATATCAATATAATTGTAACATATATAATCCAAAAGAAATCAGTGCATAGCATGTTATTTTTAGTGTTGGCACTTTAGTTTATAATTTCATTTTAAATATGAGTTTTGTACATATACCAATCATCATGGATTAAGTATTCAATAAATACATTCGGCTTAATTATAATTTTTATTATAATTTTATTATATTTTTAATGGATATTATCTTTATCTCAGGTGTAGACAATTTATTTACAAAATAAATTGTCTACATTTTAGATTGGGAAGATCAATTGCCATATTAGAAATTGCTGGGAGGAAGAATCAATGTCCTCTTTTTTCCATGCAATCTTTTTCTTTTCCAGTTAGCCTCTTCATGGCCCCCTTGAACTCCTTATTCCTTACCGTATAAATTAATGGGTTCAAGCTGGGAGTAACAATGGAGTAAAATATACTGAGAAGTTTGCCCTCATTCTGATTTGGACTGTTTCCTGGCTGTATATACATGTATGTAACTGTCCCACAGAAGATGGATACCACAACGAGATGGGAGGAACAGGTCCCAAATGCTTTTTGTCTTCCTGCTGCAGACTTGATCTTGAGTACAGCCACAGCAATGAAACCATATGACACAAGAATAAGAAGAAGAGGAACAAGAACTATAATCAGGCACATGGCAAATGTGGTTACCTCCATGGCTGTGGTGTCCACACATGCAATCTTGAATCTTGATCATTGCAGACATTTCACACACACAAAAAAGTGGTCTAGGTGGTGGTTCCTACATCGAGGAAGACTCGTGGCATAGGGGGAAGGTATGATGCAATTAATCACACCAACTACCCAGGAGATGACCACAAGGCCCTGGCAGAGTTGGAGGTTCATTATGGTCATATGATGCAGAGGCTTGCAGATAGCATTGAGTCGATCATATGACATCATGGACAGAAGGATGCATTCAACTGAGTACAGTGCCACATCAATGAAAAGTTGAAAGGCACACCCACCAAAGGTAATTCTTTTGTCTTTGCCCCAGATACTGACCAACATTTGTGGGACTATATTTGTGGTATAACAGAGATCCAAGATGGCCAAATTTCTAAGGAAGAAGTACATGGGGACTTGGAGATGGTCATCTAGGAAAGACAATAGGATGATGGCCATATTTCCCATGAAGGCAATAGTGTAGAAGAAAAAGACAACCCCAGAGATCATCATCTGAAGCTGAGGCTGCCCTGTGAATCCAAGGAGTATAAAACCACTGAAGTGGCTATCATTGATCATTCTGTTTTTTCTTAAGGGAAATCCATGTCATCATTTTGGTAAAGGGCAACGGTGTGATTTTCTTATTTATTTTGCATTGGGTTTGGTGAACTTCTCGGATTTATGGTGGTGTCATTAATTTTGGAAAATTCTCAACCATTATCTCTTAAGATTTTTTTCTGTTTATTTCTTTTTCTTATATTCTGGAGCTCCAAGTACTCATGTGTCAGAGGAGATAATATTATCCTACATAACTTGGATGCTTTTTCTTTTTTCTCTTTGGGTTGAAGTTTGGATAATTTCAATTGACTTGTATTTCAGTTCATGAATTCTTTCCTCTACTGAGTCCAGCCTATTGTTAAGCCCACCAAATTAATTATTTATTTCTTATATTATTTCTGGTATGTTTTTTTTTATATCCAACATTTCCATTTGGTTCTTCTGTACAATGCTAATCTCTTTGTTGAGATCTCCCCTTTGTTCATAAATCTTGTCTGCCTTTACCAGCGAAATGTTAAAACATATTTAAAAAATTCTTATCTGATGATTCTAATGTCTGAACCATGTCTGGATATACTTCACTTGAATATTTCCTCTTTTTAGCTTCAAATGACTCCTGTTTCTTTCTTTTTCTTTTTTCTTTTTCTTTCTTTTTTTTTTTTTTTTTTTTTTTTTTGAGACGGAGTCTTACTCTGTTACCCAGGCTGGAGTGCCTGGGTGATCTCTGCTCACTGCAACCTCTGCCTCCCAGGTTCAAGTGATTCTCCTGCCCCAGCCTCGCTAGTAGCTGGAATTACAGGCGTGCACTGTTTCTATTTTTCTTGCTTGTTAGTGTGCCTCATAGTGTTTAATTTTTATTTTATGCCAGGCATTGTGTGTCTTGGTCAGCTTGGGCTGCTCTAACAAAATACCACAGGCTGGGTGGAATAAACAACAGACACTTATTTCTCAAAGTTCTGGAGGCTGGGAGGTTTAAGATAAAGGAGTAGGAGGTGCAGTTCCTGATGAGGCCCTACTTCTTGACTTGCAGACGGCTGCCTTTTCACTTGCTGTTCCCTCAAGTGGTAGGGAAAGAGTGTGCTCTTCCTTTTATGGTCCCTCTTCCTTTTATGAGGTCACTAATCCCCTTATGGAGGCCCACCCTCATGACCTGATTTAAACCTAATTACTTTCCAAAGGCCCCATCTCCAAATACCATCACATGGAGGGTTAGGGCTTCAACATATGAATTTTGGGGGTACACAGACATTCAATCCATAGCATTCTGCCTTTTGTCTCCCAAATTAATGTTATTCTTACACACAAAAAAAATTGATCTTATTTCAGTAGCCCCCAAAGTCTTAACTTATTCCAAGATCAACTCTAAAATTGGAAGTCCTGTCTCATCTAAATATCATCTAAATCAGATATAGGTGAGGCTCAAGATACGATTAATCCTGAGGAAAAATTCATCCCCAGTTATAAGTCTGTGAAACCAGATAAATTACACACTTCCAAAATACAATGATAGATTAGACATAGAATAGGCATTCTCATTCCAACACCTGGAAGAAAGAAAGGGGTGGCAGGTTCCAAGCAAATCTAAAATCTTGTAATGCAAATACCATTAGATCTTAAAGCTCAAGGATAATCTTTGGTTTCATAATTTGCCTTCTGGGTCTACTGGGATGACAGTCCCACTTTCTGGACAAACTGGGATAGTAGATAGTCGGACCTCTGTAGCTCTGCAGGGAAGGGGTCATGTCCTCATGACTCTTCATTGTACCCAAAAGGCTCTGGCAGCCACTCTGACACCAACTGCCCATTGAAACTGAGATGATAGCCCCAACCTTTAAATCTGAGGTGGCAGCCCAGATAATCTCTAAAACACCTTTAGGGTCTTTCTTCCCTTGTCTTGAAGAGTAATATCACACATTCACATCTGAATAGCTCTATGGTCCAGTCCCAAAGAATCTAAGAAGTCTGACAGACTTCCTTCATTTTATCCCATTCCCATCTCCTTCAGTTCAGACTGACAGTGTTTCTGCTTATATAATCCCGTAATCTCTTTATCGAGTGAGGGTCCAGCCACACCTTTGGTGGTTTTTTTTTTTTCTCAGCATGCTTTCTCATCTTTTGCAGTGTGGATAGGCTGAGAACTTTCCAATTTTTTAAGTTCCAGCTCCTTTTTTTTTTTAACAATTCCTTTTTTGATTCATTTATCTCTTTTTTTTTTCTTGCATCTTAGTAGAAGCAGTCAGGATGAACAAAGTGACTCCTTCAACACTTTGATTAGAAATGTCAGCTATGTTCACTGTTAATTTCATCACTTACTAGTTTTACATTCCACAAAACAATAAAACATGAACATAATTCAGCCAAGTTCTTTACCACTTTATAAAAAGAATCACTTTTTCTCAATTGTCCAATAGCTTATTCTTCATTTCTGTCTAAGCCTTCCCCAGAATGACCTTTACCATACATATTTCTGCCAACATTCTGTTTATAATTATTTATGTATTCTATAAGAAAATGGAAGTTTTTCTCCAGCAGTCTTATATTCTGTATAAGCCCTAAACAGAATAGCTATTATTGTGCATATTTATAGCATGCATCCCCAAATTCCTTAACTTCTACCCCTTTTCCAGTTTTAAAGCCACTTCTACATTTTCAGCTACATCCCACTCCTGGTACAAAAATATGTCTTAGCTCAGGATGTTATAACAAAATACCATAGCTTGGGTGGCTTAAACAACAGACATTTATTTCTCATAATTCTGGAAGCTGGAATGTCCAAATTTAAGGTGCCAGAAAATTTAGTTTTTGGTGAAGTCTCTCTTGCTGACAGACCTTTCACTGTATTCTCACATTGTGTAGATAAAACTCTGATCTTTCTTCCTTTTCTTATAAAAACACTAACCCTGACATGGGGGCCCCACTCTCATGACTGCATCTAAACCTAATTTAACTTCCCAAAGACTCTACCTCCAAATATCATCACATTGTGGTAAGTGCTTCAACATATAAATTTGGAGTGACACAAACAGTCCATAACAATTTGTAAAAAATACTTGTAGGGACAGAAATAAATAGTAAGTAGTATTTATCCTCAGGATAGGACACATTCCTTATTTATCAGGGTATGAGTATGGGGAACTCAGACTGTCTGATGTGTAGCTAAGCTTAAACCTGTTGTAAACTTGGTTAAATTCAGTTAACCATTGTCTTCAACTATTTTGAAGGAAGGGTGGGCCTGAATTCTGGTGAGAGTCCAGATAAGTCTTGATGTTTTATAGTGAGGCTACCAGCCTTTTGGACTACGGGAGATTTCTCTTTGCTTTATAGTCTGGCTGCCAGCCTTTTGGGTCAGTGGGGACTTCTATTTGCTTCCCAGTCCTGTCCCTAGCTTTCTGCCCTTTGAGGGCACTCCCAAACTTTGGAAGGACACTTCAGCACACATTATGAAAGCTTGTAGTGCATTGGAGTGAATTATCTTAGCTTTTCTGCTGCACTTGTGGCAAAATACCCATCCAAGTTTGCTCCTGTAGTGTTGAGAATATCTAGATAGTTTCAAGTAAATTACAGTGCTATCAATCCCAAAATAAAAAAAAAATCTTTGTTTTCATGTCAGGTCACCCTATTTCTTTTGTTTGGTGAAATGACCATGATTTGGCTGAAGTTTTTGAAATGATATCTGAGGCAATACCTTTAAAGAGGGTATCAGTTATCATGATTAATCACAACACAACTAGGTAGGATGTTTCTGTCTCCCTGGAGCATGCTGAGAGATGACACTTGTTGTGTGCCCATCAGACTAACACTAACAGTGTGTCAGGAGACAGAAAATAATGATAAAATTTGCCATTTTAAGCTACAAAAATCTTGGGGATTATATTGGAATGGATTGTCATGAAGAGAGAAAACATTTGACTGAACCAAATGTGGATTAAGCCAAATTTATCAACATGAGAGCCCTTAAAAGATATTCTAATTTTATGTGCTGGCTCAAACAGCTGGGAGAAGCTAAGACCATTTCTTCATTGGGTTGATTTAAAAACTCAACTAACCAGGGTGGAGCCAAAATGGCCGAATAGGAACAGCTCCAGTCTACAGCTCCCAGCGTGAGCAACACAGAAGACAGGTGATTTCTGCATTTCCAACTGAGGTACTGGGTTCATCTCACTGGGGAGTGCCGGATAGTGGGTGCAAGACAGTGGGTGCAGTGCACCATGTGTGAGCCGAAGCAGGGCGAGGCATCGCCTCACCTGGGAATCACAAGGGGTCAGGGAATTCCCTTTCCTAGTCAAAGAAAGGGGTGACAGACAGCACCTGGAAAATTGGGTCACTCCCAACCTAATACTGTGCTTTTCCAATGGGCTCAACAAACAGCACATCAGGAGATTATATCCAGCACCTGGCTCGGAGGGTCCTACGCCCAAGGAGCCTTGCTCATTGCTAGCACAGCAGTCTGAGATCAAACTACAAGGCAGCAACAAGGCTGGGGGAGGGCACCCACCATTGCCAAGGCTTGAGTAGGTAAACAAAGCGGCCAGGAAGCTCGAACTGGGTGGAGCCCACCACAGCTCAAGGAGGCCTGCCTGCCTCTGTAGGCTCCACCTCTGGGAGCAGGGCACAGACAAACAAAAGGCAGCAGTAACCTCTGCAGACTTAAATGTCCCTGTCTGACAGCTTTGAAGAGAGTAGTGGTTCTCCCAGCACGCAGCTTGAGAACTGAGAACGGGCAGACTGCCTCCTCAAGTGGGTCCCTGACCCCCAAGTAGCCTAACTGGGAGGCATCCCCCAGTAGGGGCGGACTGACACCTCACACGGCCAGGTACTCCTCTGAGACAAAACTTCCAGAGGAACAATCAGGCAGCAGCATTTGCGGTTCACCAATATCTGCTGTTCTGCAACCACTGCTGCTGATACCCAGGAAAACAGGGTCTGGAGTGGACCTCCAGCAAACTCCAACAGACCTGCAGCTGAGGGTCCTGACTGTTAGAAGGAAAACTAACAAACAGCAAGGACATCCACACCAAAAACCCATCTGTACGTCACCATCATCAAAGACCAAAGGTAGATAAAACCACAAAGATGGGGAAAAAACAGAGCAGAAAAATTGGAAACTCTAAAAATCAGAGCGCCTCTCGTCCTCCAAAGGAATGCGGCTCCTCACCAGCAACGGAACAAAGCTGGAGGGAGAATGACTTTGACAAGTTTAGAGAAGAAGTCTTCAGAGGATCAAACTACTCCTAGCAAAAGGAGGAAGTTTGAACCAATGGCAAAGAAGTTAAAAACCTTGAAAAAAAAAATCAGATGAATGGATAAACAGAATAACCAATGCAGAGAAGTCCTTAAAGGACCTGATGGAGCTGAAAACCATGGCACGAGAACTACGTGATGAATGCACAAGCCTCAGTAGCCGATGCAATCAACTGGAAGAAAGGGTATCAGTTATGGAAGACGAAATGAATGAAATGAAGCGAGAAGAGAAGTTTAGAGAAAAAAGAATAAGAAGAAACGAACAAAGCATCCAAGAAATATGGGACTATGTGAAAAGACCAAATCTATGTCTGATTGGTGCACCTGAAAATGACGGGGATAATGGAACCAAGTTGGAAAACACTCTGCAGGGTATTATCCAGGAGAACTTCCCCAATCTAGCAAGGCAGGCCAACATTCAAATTCAGGAAATACAGAGAATGCCACAAAGATACTCCTCGAGGAGAGCAACTCCAAGACACATGATTGTCAGATTCACCAAAGTTGAAATGAAGGAAAAAATGTTAAGGGCAGCCAGAGAGAAAGGTCAGGTTACCCACAAAGGGAAGCCCATCAGACTAACAGTGGATCTCTCGGCAGAAACTCTACAAGCCAGAAGAGAGTGGGGGCCAATATTCAACATTCTTAAAGTAAAGAATTTTCAACCCAGAATTTCATATCCAGCCAAGCTAAGCTTCATAAGTGAAAGAGAAATAAAATCCTTTACAGACAAGCAAATGCTGAGAGATTTTGTCACCACCAGGCCTGCCCTAAAAGAGCTCCTGTAGGAAGCACTAAACATGGAAAGGAACAACCTGTACCAGCCACTGAAAAAACATGCCAAATTGTAAAGACCTTCAAGGCTAGGAAGAAACTGCATCAACTAACAAGCAAAATAACCAGCTAACATCATAATGACAGGATCAAATTCACACATAACAATATTAACCTTAAATGTAAATGGGCTAAATGCGCCAATTAAAAGACACAGACTGGCAAATTGGATAAAGAGTCAAGACCCGTCAGTATGCTGTATTCAGGAAACCCATCTCACATGCAGAGACACACATAGGCTCAAAATAAAGCGATGGAGGAAGATCTACCAAGCAAATGAAAGACAAAAAAAGGCAGGGGTTGCAATCCTAGTCTCTGAAAAACCAGACTTTAAACCAACAAAGATCAAAAGAGACAAAGAAGGCCATTACATAATGGTAAAGGGATCAATTCAACGAGAAGAGCTAACTATCCTAAATATATATGCACCCAATACAGGAGCACCCAGATTCATAAAGCAAGTCCTTAGAGACCTACAAAGAGACTTAGACTCCCACACAATGATAATGGGAGACTTTAACACCCCACTGTCAACATTAGACAGATCAACGAGACAGAAAGTTAACAAGGATACCTGGGAATTGAACTCAGCTCTGCACCAAGCGGACCTAATAGACATCTACAGAACTCCCCACCCCAAATCAACAGAATATACATTCTTTTTAGCACCACACCACACCTATTCCAAAATTGACCACATAGCTGGAAATAAAGCTCTCCTCAGCAAATGTGAAAGAACAGAAATTATAACAAACTGTCTCTCAGACCACAGTGCCATCAAACTACAACTCAGGATTAAGAAACTCACTCAAAACCACTCAACTACATGGAAACTGAACAACCTGCTCCTGAATGACTACTGGGTACATAATGAAATGAAGGCAGAAATAAAGATATTCTTTGAAACCAACAAGAACAAAGACACAACATACCAGAATCTCTGGGACACATTTAAAGCAGTGTGTATAGGGAAATTTATAGCACTAAATGCCCACAAGAGAAAGCAGGAAAGATCTAAAACTGACACCAGAACATCACAATTAAAACATCTAGAGAATCAAGAGCAAACACATTCAAAAGCTAGCAGAAGGTAAGAAATAACTAAGATCAGAGCAGAACTGAAGGAAATAGAGACACAAAAAACCCTTCAAAAAATCAATGAATCCAGAAGCTGGTTTTTTGAAAAGATCAACAAAATTCATAGACCACTAGCAAGACTAATAAAGAAGAAAAGAGAGAAGAATCAAATAGACGCAATAAAAAATGATAAAGGGGATATCACCACCAATCCCACAGAAATACAAACTACCATCAGAGAATACTATAAACACCTCTACACAAATAAACTAGAAAATCTAGAAGAAATGGATAAATTCCTCGACACATACACCCTCCCAAGACTAAACCAGGAAGAAGTTGAATCTCTGAATAGACCAATAACAGGCTCTGAAATTGAGGCAATAATTAGCAGCTTACCAACCAAAAAAAGTCCAGGACCAGATGGATTCACAGCCGAATTCTACCAGAAGTACAAAGAGGAGCTGCTACCATTCCTTCTGAAACTATTCCAATCAATAGAAAAAGAGGGAATCCTCCCTAACTCATTTTATGAGGCCAGCATCATCCTGATACCAAAGCCTGGCAGAGACACAACCAAAAAAGAGAATTTTAGACCAATATCCTTGATGAACATTGATGCAAAAATCCTCAATAAAATACTGGCAAACTGAATCCAGCAGCACATCAAAAAGCTTATCCACCATGATCAAGTGGCCTTCATCCCTGGGATGCAAGACTGGTTCAACATATGAAAATCAATAAACGTAATCCAGCATATAAACAGAACCAAAGACAAAAACCACATGATTATCTCAATAGATGCAGAAAAGGCCTTTGACAAAATTCAACAACACTTCATGCTAAAAACTCTCAATAAATTAGGTATTGATGGGACATATCTTAAAATAATAAGAGCTATCTATGACAAACCCACAGCCAATATTATACTGAATGGACAAAACTGGAAGCATTCCCTTTGAAAACTGGCAAAAGACAGGGATGCCCTCTCTCACCATTCCTATTCAACATAGAGTTGGAAGTTCTGGCCAGGGCAATCAGGCAGGAGAAGGAAATAAAGGGCATTCAATTAGGAAAAGAGGAAGTCAAATTGTCCCTGTTTGCAGATGACATGATTGTATATCTAGAAAACCCCATCGTCTCAGCCCAAAATCTCCTTAAGCTGATAAGGAACTTCAGCAAAGTCTCAGGATACAAAATCAGTGTGCAAAAATCACAAGCATTCCTATACACCAATAACAGACAAACAGAGAGCCAAATCATGAGTGAACTCCCATTCACAATTGCTTCAAAGAGAATCAAATACCTAGGAATCCAACTTACAAGGGATGTGAAGGACCTCTTCAAGGAGAACTACAAACCACTGCTCAATGAAATAATAGAGGATACAAACAAATGGAAGAACATTCCCTGCTCATGTGTAGGAAGAATCAATATCGTGAAAATGGCCATACTGCCCAAGGTAATTTATAGATTCAATGCCTTGCCCATCAAGCTACCAATGACTTTCTTCACAGAGTTGGAAAAAACTACTTTAAAGTTCATATGGAACCAAAAAAGAGCCTGCATTTCCAAGTCAATCCTAAGCCAAATGAACAAAGCTGGAGGCATCATGCTACCTGACTGCAAACTATACTACAAGGCTACAGTAACCAAAACAGCATGGTACTGGTACCAAAACAGAGATATAGAACAGTGGAACAGAACAGAGCCCTCAGAAATAATGCCACATATCTACCAGTATCTGATCTTTGACAAACCTGACAAAAACAAGCAATGGGGAAAGGATTCTCTATTTAATAAATGGTGCTGGGAAAACTGGCTAGCCATATGTAGAAAGCTGAAACTGGATCCCCTCCTTACACCTTATACAAAAATTAATTCAAGATGGATTAAAGACTTCAATGTTAGACCTAAAACCAGAAAAACCCTAGAATAAAACCTAGGCAATACCATTCAGGACATAGGCATGGGCAAGGACTTCATGTCTAAAACACCAAAAGCAATGGCAACAAAAGCCAAAATTGACAAATGGGATCTAATTAAACTAAAGAACTTCTGCACAACAAAAGAAACTACCATCAGAGTGAATAGGCAACCTACAGAATGGGAGAAAATTTTTGCAACCTACCCATCTGACAAAGGGCTAATATCCAGAATCTACAGTGAACTCCAACAAATTTACAAGAAAAAAACAAACAACCCCATCAAAAAGTGGGTGAAGGATATGAACAGACATTTTTCAAAAGAAGACATTTATGCAGCCAAAAAACACATGAAAAAATGCTCATCATCACTGGCCATCAGAGAAATGCAAATCAAAACCACAATGAGATACCATCTCACACCAGTTAGAATGGTGATCATTAAAAAGTCAGGAAACAACAGGTGCTGGACAGGATGTGGAGAAATAGGAACACTTTTACACTGTTGGTGGGACTGTAAACTAATTTAACCATTGTGGAAGTCAGTGTGGCGATTCCTCAGGGATCTAGAACTAGAAATACCATTTGACCCAGCCATCCCATTGCTGGGTATATACCCAAAGGATTATAAATCATGCTGCTAGAAAGACACACACACACATATGTTTATTGCGGCACTATTCACAATAGCAAAGACTTGGAACCAACCCAAATGTCCAACAATGATAGGCTGGATTAAGAAAATGTGGCACATATACACCATGGAATACTATGCAGCCATAAAAAATGATGAGTTCATGTCCTTTGTAGAGTCATGGATGAAGCTGGAAACCATCATTCTCAGCAAACTATCACAAGGACAAAAAACCAAACACCGCATGTTCTCACTCATAGGTGGGAATTGAACAATGAGAACACGTGGTCACAGGAAGGGGAACATCACACACGGGGGACTGTTGTGGGGTGTGGTGAGGGGGCAGGGATAGCATTAGGAGATATACCTATTGCTAAATGATTAGTTAATGGGTGCAGCACACCAACATGGCACATGTAGACATATGTAACAAACCTGCACGTTGTGCACATGTACTCTAAAACTTAAAGTATAATAATAATAAAATTTTAAAAAAGTAATGTTCAAGTTTATTTGGGTATGAAATTCTAATACCATCCAGAGAGAGTTCATGCTGCTTCAAAATAATTTTAAGTGTAATTCTACAAATAAAGAAACCATTTATATCAATAAAAAAAATAAAACCATAAAATTTTAAAAATAAAGAGATGAATATTGAAGATAATCTGATTAGGTAAGATGTTGGTTTATTTCATTTCATACTCTAAGCACATTTTTTTCATAATGGAATTATGCTCTACATGCCCTCCTCAGGAAACTTCCCAGGAAGGTCATCATAATGCTGTTGTTTTGTGCTCATTATTGTTACAAATTCAAAAAATGTAAAAAATATGACAAGAAATATACCCAATAAAGATATTTATGGTGCAAACACATCCCTCTTCCACTCCTTACTCCATCTCACTATTTGCCATTTTTCACTTTTCTGAAGATATTCTTTACACATATTAGTGTATGTGGGGTAGTTGTGTATGTGTTCATGTGTTTTAATAGATACATTTATTTATATATGCATATTGATAGGTTAGTAGAGAGATAACATCCTGTGTCATCTTATAAATACCATCTTGTAACTTTTTTCTCCTTAAATATATCAATTCTCTAACTACAGACTTGCCTCGCTATTTTTAATAAATGCAAAATATTACATTATGAAGATGTGTTTAACAACTTCAGGACTGGTAGTCATTTATGAGATGTGTAGCTTTTTGCTAATGCAAACAACACTGCAACAAAGGTCTTTGTACACCCACTTCTGAACGAATATGTGCAAATTTGTGTCAAGTGAATACTTTTATGTATCAAATACATCAATAATTTAAGGCCTTTAAGTGATCTTAGGTCTTTTGCCTAATATTTCTACATTTAAATTTTTATTGTTTTGAAATTAAAGATAGGAATTTATTTATTTTTTTCCTGATTTTAAATCAGTTAGCACACACACACTCCATTGAAACGTTCTGCCTTTACGTAATGATATGAAATTACTCCTTCATGATAAAGTAAATCTCCATACACATTTGGGTTCATTTCTGAAGCCTGATATGAAATGCTTTCAAAAACCTTGCTTCGTATTATTTATTTGAGAGCAAGTTAATTTAGTGGTTTTGATAAGTATACTTTTTAAAATAAAGAAATGCAAAGTCTGGTATTTAAGCTTATCTGTCCAAGAAGACGATTAAGTATTTATACACAGTCTTAGCATTTTCATGTCTATTATTTTTCCTACTATTCCAGAAAGATTGTAACAGAAAAAAAAGGCTAATATAATGGAGATAGTGGGCCAGAATATATGTTGAATTACAATTTCAACCTTCACTCTGAGGGGCCTAGATTAGTTATGCTCAATAACTTGGAGGAGGAAAAACTAGATCAAATTTGGAAGCATTGGTTTGTGTTCCTAGTCTACCTGTCTGTAATCTTGAGAAACTTTGATTTTCTCAGTTTTGGAATTGTCATCAGCTAAATATGAATAATGAAAATGTATTTTCCTAATTTATATAGTGACAATGTTATCCAATGAATCAATATGTCTTATGTTTGTGAAGTATCTTATACAATACATTAAGTGAGAATGAGGAAACACTATAGGAAGAAATAGGAAAAAAAAATCATATTTTAAACTTACATTATTTTAACGAGTGCATGAAGTTGTCATATCTTTATCAGAATAATAAGTACATGTGAAGGAAAAATTTACCTATTTCATAATCCATATTTAAAAAATCACCTTGACATTGGCTCTGTTTAAGTGACGGATTACGTTTATTGATTTGTGTATGTTGAACCAGCCTTTCATCCCAGGGATGAAGTCGATTTGATTATGGTGGATAAGCTTTTTGATGTGCTGCTGGATTCGGTTTGCCAGTATTTTATTGAGGATTTTCACATCGATGTCATCAGGGATATTGGCCTGAAATTTTCTTTTTTTGTTGTGTCTCTGCCAGGTTTTGGTATCAGGATGATGCTGGCCTCACAAAATGAGTTAGGGAAGATTCCGACTTTTTCTATTGTTTGGAATAGTTTCAGAAGGAATAGTACCAGCTCCTCTTTGTACCTCTGGTAGAATTCGGCTGTGAATCTGTCTGATCCTGGGCTTCTTTTTTGGTTGGTAGGCTATTAATTACTGCCTGAATTTCAGAACTTGTTATTGGTCTATTCAGGGATTAGATTTCTTCCTGGTTTAGTCTTGGGAGGATGTATGTGTCCAGGAATTTATCCATTTCTTCTAAATTTTCTAGTTTATTTGCATAGAGTTATTTATAGTATCCTCTGATGGTAGTTTGTATTTCTGTAAGATCAGTGGTGATATCCCCCTTATCATTTTTTGTCGTGTCTATTTGATTCTTCTCTGTTTTCTTCTTTATTAGTCCAGTTAGTGGTCTATTTTGTTAAGCTTTTCAAAAAACCAGCTCCTGGATTCATTGATTTTTTGAACGGTTTCTTGTGTCTCTATCTCCTTCATCTCTGCTCTGATCTGTTATTTCTTGTCTTCTGCTAGCTTTTGAATTTGTTTGATCTTTCTTCTCTAGTTCTTTTAATTGTGATGTCAGGTTGTTTATTTTAAAGGCCTTCAATAAAATTCAACACCTCTTCATGCTAAAAACTCTCAATAAACTAGGTATTGATGGAACGTGTCTCAAAATAATAAGAGCTATTTATGACAAACCCAAAGCTAATATCATACTGAATGGGCAAAAGCTGGAAGCAGTCTCTTTGAAAACCAGCACAAGACAAGAATGCCCTCTCTCACCACTCCTATTCAACATAGTATTGGAAGTTCTGGTCAGGGCAATCAGGCAAGAGAAAGAAATAAAGTGTATTCAAATAGGAAGGCAGGAAGTCAAATTGTCTCTGTTTGCAGATGACATGATTGTATATTTAGAAAACCCCATCGTCTCAGACCTAAATCTCCTTAAGCTGAAAAGCAACTTCAGCAAAGTCTTAGGATACAAAATCAATTTGCAAAAATCACAAGCATTCCTATACACCAATAATAGACAAACAGCCAAATCATGAGTAAACTCCCATTCACAATTGTTACAAAGAGAATAAAATACCTAGGAATACAACTTACAAGGAATGTGAAGGACCTCTTCAAGGAGAACTCCAAACCACGGCTCAAGGAAATAAGAGAGGACACAAACAAATGAAAAAACATTCCATGCTCATGGATGGGAATAATCAATATCGTGAAAATGGACATACTGCCTGAAGTAATTTAGAGATTCAATGCTATCCCCATCAAGTTACTATTGACTTTCTTCACAGAATTAGAAAAAAACTACTTTAAATTTCATATGAAACCAAAAAAGAGCCCGTATAGCCAAGACAATCATAAGCAAAAATAACAAAGCTGGAGGCATCATGTTACCTGACTTCAAACTATACTACAAGGATACAGTAACCAAAACAGCATGGTACTGATACCAAAACAGATATATAGACCAATAGAACAGAACAGAGGCCTCAGAAATAATGCCACACATCTACAACCATCAGATCTTTGACAAACCTGACAAAAACAAGCAATGGGGAAGGGATTTCATATTTAATAAATGGTTTTGGGAAAACTGGCTAGCCATATGCAGAAAACGGAAACTGGACCCCTTCCTTACACCTTATAAAAAAATTAACTCAAGATGGATTAAGATTTAAATGTAAGACCCAATATCATAAAAACTCTAGAAGATAACATAGACAATACCATTCATGACATAGGCATGGTCAAAGACATCATGACTAAAACACCAAAAGCAATGGCAACAAAAGCCAAAATAGACAAATAGGATCTAATTAAACTAAAGAGCTTCTGCACAACAAAAGAAACTATCATCAGAGTGAACAGTTAACCTACGGAATGGAAGAAAATTTTTGCAATCTATCCATCTGACAAAGGACTAATATCCAGAATCTACAAATAACTTAAACAAATTTACAAGAAAAAAACAACCCCATCAAAAAGTGGGTGAAGAATATGAACAGACACCTCTCAAAAGAAGGCATGAAGGCATTTATGTGGTCAACAAACATATGAAATGAAGCTCATCATCATTGGTCATTAGAGAAATGCAAATCAAAACTACAATGAGATACCATCTCATGCCAGTTAGAATGGTGATCATTAAAAAGTCAGGAAACAAGAGAGGCTGGAGAGGATGTGGAGAAATAGGAATGCTTTTACACTGTTGGTGGGTATGTAAATTAGTTCAACCATTGTGGAAGACAGTGTGGTGATTTCTGAAGGATCTAGAACCAGAAATACCATTTGACCTAGAAATCCCATTACTGGATATATACCCAAAGGATTATAAAACATTCCACTATAAAGACACACGCACATATATGTTTATTGCAGCACTATTTACAATAGCAAAGACTTGGAACCCAAATGCCCATCAGTGATAGACTGGATAAGGAAAATGTGGCACATATACACCATGGGATACTATGCTGCCATAAAAAAGAATGAGTTTATGTTCTTTGCAGGGACATGGATTATGCTGGAAGCCATGAGTCTCATTAACTAACACAGGAACAGCAAACCAAACACTCCTTATTCTCACTCATAAATGGGAGTTGAACAATGAGAACACATGGACACAGTGAGGGGAACATCATACATTGGGGCCTGTTAGAGGGTGGGGTGCATTAGGAGAAACACCTAATGTAGATGACGGGTTGATGGGTGCAGCAAACCACCATGGCATGTGTGTACCTATGTAACAAACCTGCATGTTCTGCACATGTATCCCAGAACTTAAAGTATAATGAAAAAAATCATCTTGGCAACCATGAGATTTAGTCTTGCTTGAATTAATTTTCTTTCTTCTTAGATGACTCTCCAAACTTACATGCCCAAAGTTTGTATTTTGTTAGAAACATTTTCTTGATTTCTTCTGTGGCATACTCATTTTCTAGTCCCTCTGGTTATTTTTCCCTGGACATGTTGGCAGCAGTAGAGGCTAATTATTTTGAATCTCGGAGGCTTAAACGGAAGTATGAGAGTGAGGCAGTAATGGCATGAAAGCTCCCTGAAGAGCTATGTATTCTATGGATGGCCATCAGTTGGAGTTGGTTTCTTGAGGTTGACCCTTCAGTAGGTCAGAGAGAGCTGGGTTGATGTTAAAGAGGGCTGAGAAGAAATTCAAACAACAAACTGGTTTGAGGATCATGTTTGGGCCCCAGGTCAGTCTTCCAGGACTCCGTATCTCCATGTCACATTCCAGACAAACTGATGGATTACAACCCAGCATCAGGTAAATGTTGAAGGGATTTGGAGAGGGAATATTAATTAAAGTTGTCATCACTTCGTGGAGTAGGCTGAAGGGAGCACTCAGGAGTAGAACTATAAAATAAAAATTTTTTAAAATGTAAAAAGGTTTATTCTACAAGCCACATACATTTTTGTTTGAGAGAACAATAAGCTTATGAAAAGTATACTGATGTAGGATTCAAAATATTGTATTATTCAAATCTTTTCTTCTGAATTTACTAGATCTATAAACTTGAGCAAGTCCTACAACCTCTTGGTGCCTGCGTTTCCTCTCTTCTGTTATATAAAAAAATCGTTCTTTAGAGGCATATTATAAGAAGAAAACAAACATACTTGTATGAAAGCAATTATATACTTAAAATTTAAGTTTATGGATAGAAAATTTGATATGAACTATCTGGTGTTTGCCAATCTTTGTTAAACACTATTCTATTATTAGGAGACTGATGGAAAAATATGTGTTACCAATCATGTTATTTACCTTTGAAACTTTATATTTTCATTTAAGTATTTTTAGGTGTACCTTTTTTTAACCACTTTTCTAGACTGAAACTGCTATTTCCATTACAAAGATTGTAGCTATTAAGATGTTGATTTTTGAGAAAATTTAGCTCTGAAAGGCCTACCACTCAGATAATCAAAGGTTGTTTAAATCCATTAGCTGGGTGTGGTGGTGCACACCTGTAATTCCAGCTGCTCTGGAGGCTGAGACAGGAGAATCGTGTGAACCTGGGAAGCGGAGGTTGCAGTGAGCTGAGATCACATCACTGCACTCCAGCCTGGGTGGCAGAACAGAAACAAAAACAAAAACAAACAACAACAAAAAGTTGTTTAAATCTATGACAATTTAGAACAAGGGAATCTGATAGCATGGAATTAAAACTATAGCAAAAGTTCTTACAAAGTAACATGAAGAGGAAGTATATAAAATAAGTCAGGTAGAATGAAAATCTAAATATTGTTTCAGTTTTGTTTATTAACATATTATATTAGAGCCATGCTTAGAAAGTTAATGAAGAGTGTATTAGGATGTAAACGTTTAAAATAATGGGCTTCATGTGTTCTTAAACCATGTGGTCAGATACTTCTACTCTGCTCACCCTTCGTTTTTTTGTGCACTCCATTTGCCAGAGATCTATAGATTCTTCTGTCTCCCAGCTCCAGTTTTTCACCCTCAAGGGGATTATCAGCCTGTTTTTAACTTTTGATTTAGGCGAATTCCGTATTATTCTTATACAGTCAGAAAGGCAAGAACTCCCTGCATCCTTTCTAGACATTTAAACTGAATTACTGAATTTAGTCTTAGATCTTTCATTTTTATTTTCTATTTTTCTTCCATTTCTTTTTATATTCATATATTTGACAGCTACTTATGTGACTATTACTATGTATCAGACAAAAATTTACCATCTTTATGTACTTCTTTTTTCTGTCTTATTTTTTTCTTTCCATTTTTCTTCTCTCTTTACTTTCTGAGTTTATCTGCTGCTATTATTTCCTTGTTACTCATTTTACCTCTATTTCCTATAAATTTTCAATATTTAAGCACAAATGAAGTATATGGAAAACCAGGGGAACAGGCTACATATACTTCTTTAATAACTTTACTGTTTTCCTCGGGTAAAGTATATAATTAATTTTATTCATAACTTTCCAAACTTACCCCAGAAACTTAATAGTACTTAATAGAACTTAATAGAAACAAATAGCTGTGCCTACTGGAAGAGAAGCAGTAGAAAAATATAAAGATTGTGAAAATGTTATTACTAATTTTGAAATGTAGGAAAAGAAACACAGCTTTCTTCAGATTTAGAACATTATCTGAGTTCTAACTAAATGAGATTCTGAAAGAGACTCTAGCAAGAAAACAATCCAGACAGAATGAAGGTAGCATTCCAAAATTGTCTTTTTAGGATTTTAATTGGACAAGGAATTACTTGAATACTGATTAAGAAGTATTCTTCTATAAGAAATCCTACAACACAGAAGAAGTCTTCCTTTGACCATAATAGATAAGGCAAAATTTGATTCAGAAATATATATGTAAAGATAAAATTGTTTCTCAGTATTGAATCAAAATATATTCATATAATAATCTTCTAATCAACTGGCAGAGATATGTGTTCCATTTCTTTGGGGATACAATACAAAATGTAATCATATATATATATATATATATATATATATATATATATATATATTATATATATATATATATTATTTTTTTTTTTTTGAGACGGAGTCTCACTGTCTCCCAGGCTGGAGTGCAGTGGTGCGATCTCGGCTCATGGCAAGCTCCGCCCCCTCCGGGTTCACGCCATTCTGCTGCCTCAGCCTGCCGAGTAGCTGGGACTACAGGTGGCTGCCACCACACCCGGCTAATTTTTTTTTTTATTTTGAGTAGAGACGGGGTTTCACCTTGTTCGCCAGGATGGTCTCGATCTCCTGACCTCATGATCCGCCCGCCTCGGCCTCCCAAAGTGCTGGGATTGCAGGCGTGAGCCACCCCGCCCGGCCGTAATCATATTTTTAAGGCTCTATTCCTAAAGACTCACTGTCCCAGGTGAGAAATGGGAGAAGAAAGGAATTGGATAGCACCAGTTTGAATGAAGAGTGGCATTATAGAGATACAAAATGACAAGGTTTAAAAAAGGAGACGTCCCAGAAGTTTCTAGAATCACTTCTATGTAATTTTACCATGTGAGTAGTCCTACTAATATTGCAGCTACTGCTTTTGTATTATATGTGGTCTTTTATAAGTTTTTTTTAATTTACAAAGGAAATATACATTTAATTGTCATTAAAGTACTATGGAGTTTATATGCAAGTATTTTAATTCTCTTGATCTGGTTGAACAAACCAGGTCACAAGGGTATGAAGTGACATATTTAAAGTCCATGCATTTTTAGTAAGTAAAATAAATGTATTTATTGGTTAATTAGTTACATCAATTTGAGAATTAGCAATAAAACCCTAAAACTGCCAATGGGGCATATTTTAACTCTGCTTTGACCTCTTGGGCTCTGAATTAGTAAATGATGTATATGGGTTTGGTTGTGATGAAATATCAGTGAAACTGATTGAGGTCATAGGTGAAAAATAATGATATCAAAATGCTAATGTAATCTAGGAATAACATATCAGAGCACCAAAGGAAAAAGCTTCATGATTGCTGGTTTCAACTAAATTCAAATTGATTAACATGTAGTAAATATCTATTATATTTAACATATACTCTTATGTCTAAAAGTCACGTGCTGACTCTTTTCAAAGAGTATGTAATCGATATAGTCAGGAAAACATATCGAGTACAAAAAAGACAGAAAAAAATCTCTATCTCTCCCATATATAGATATATATCTATATATGAGTATATATGTATATCATGAAAAAATTATCAAATCATATATACATGATATATATATATATCATGTATATATGTCATATTTATAAATGAGTATATCATCAAGAAATTACAAATAAAATGCTCTGGACGACCAGTAAGAAAGGAGAGCAGGAAATACTTAAGGACATTTTTATATTTGAGATGATCCTTACAGGATACATAACAACAATGGCATTTCACATCAGCATAAATACAAGGGGTCAAGGGGGAAGGTCACAAGTTTGGTTGGATCAGTGAATATGTCTGCATGGTTCAAGCGATTGTTATATGAGGCCTGAGTCCAAGGTTGCATTTTAATATAATGTGTCAGAATATGGAGAGCCACTGAATAATTTTGAATTGAAATGTACATGGCCACATTTTAACGATGAAAAGACTGTTCTCCAAACCAGCTAGGTTGTTTTGAAGATGAGAGAACAATTGTAAGTAAGAATACCAGTTTGAAAGCTAGAGATCATGGGACACTGAACTATTTTCTGTATGTCTGCCTTAATGTTTTTAGATAGATACAGATTTAATAGATAGATTTGAGAGACAATGGTGAAGAAGAAATTACTCCAGCTGACATCTTACGTGACATGTATGCAATTATAATTCAAAGAGAATGATGACCTCTGCATACCAAAAGAATTGTTATTCTATAAGCAAATGAAGAAATTAGAAGTGTTAATGGATGGATACTAAAATCAGTTTTGAATTTAGTGATTCTTATGTTTAGCTGTGAAGCAAGTTTTTATCCCTATCATTTCTCACTGTCACTCATTTCATTCACACGGATACCGTAACTCAGATGACACGATTTGAAATATAGAGCTGGCCAACTAAGTACATGAACCCTACTAAGTCAGGATCACAAGAAGAATATGACATAGGGCAACTGAGAGGATCAGAAAAGTAAATAGAGGATCCTGAGCTGATTTCAGAGCAGTCACATTTTGTTTACTATCCTCTAATAAATATTTGTTTATTGTTACAAATATCATTATAAACTGCATAAATGCATAAAAATAAAACAACTGTAATACATCTGGGGATTCATAATTAGGTAAGTATATAATAATTGTTAATAGTCATTGAATTATTAGTATATGACAAGAACTGAGCTATGTTTGCAATGTACACTCTATTCCTTAATTTGTACACTAGTTCTATGAGATGGGTATAATTATGCTTATTTGAAAGATGAGAAAATTGAAGCACACAAAGATTAAATGACATCTCCAAAGTCACACAGCTAATGAATGGAATGACTGGGATTTGGAGGAAATCCCAGTCTTTTATAAATGTCTTTTATAAAACAACTAGAGAAAAACACAAGACAAATTTACTAAAAGATAAGAGTCAAACAAAAAAAGAAATTTGGGATTGTAGGGAATGGAAAAATTTGCAATTGGAGTTATTCTTTAGAAATTATATGATAAAGGAATTGTGTAATTTGGATGGGCAAAGAGCAGGATAGAGGCAATTTTGGTGGAAAAAATAGTATCAGTAATTAGAAAATATGAGAATAAAGAAGGGAGAGAGAGGGAAAATGATTAAGTTTATATGTGCTGAGAATGATGCTGAGAGATTACAAATTCATATACATCCTCAAATTTCAAGGATTCACATATTTAAAACTCTTTCTGGTGATTTCTTCCAGAGATTAAAATTTCATCAAATGTATCCAGATATTTTTAAAGTTGCATTTTCACAGCAAACAAATTTCTAAGGACTGATTGTCTTTTTGTGTGTGTAATTTTGTTTGTTTTTTTGGCTTTTTTCTCCCTATTTTTAAATGTTCTGAGTAGGACTAGCATTAAAGCTTGGAAGGGGTAAAACGAGTCATGGCACTCCATCCTTTTATCATGCAGACTTTATAAAGTGCTCCAGTTCTTATGGTGTTTTCTGACCAGGATCTGTACCAAGCAGATGAACGTGCCAAGATGTCTTCGTTCTCCCTGGCTGCACATCCTCCTGTAGTCTTCATGCCGGCCTTCGTTTGACCTGTTTTTGGGAAGTTCTGCCTTTTCCTTCTATTTTAATCTACACTCTGTTGCCACCATTACATATCCATGCATGTAGAGTTGATGGTAGTATACTAAAACTTTTTAGAAGAGAAGATATGAAAACCCAAATGGAGTGAATAGCTAACCAGAAGACATATATTAAATAAGCAAAATTCCCAACTATGTTGCTGGTGTGGTATTTATTCTGTTCTCAGTAATCTTTCAATATTACATTGATGATGTTGTCTCCACATTTCATCATAATCAGGATGTAGATGCAAATGATATTTTACTGTAATGAAGATACAGATGCCGATTAGAGCAAAAATGAAAATTTCATCTTGGCATCTCTGATCTCTAATTCTCAGTGGCTTCCTCCTACTGTTGATGTCTATCCCTAACTGTGGGTATTTAGAGGTCTCAGCTGGAATTTCACCTCCCAGTGCTAACATGTGGATCAACAATCAAAGCTCGCTAGATGATTTTATCCTATTGGGATTTTCTGACCGTCCCTGGCTAGAGACACCCCTCTGTAATCTTTCTGGTGGCCTACATCTTTTCCCTATTTGGAAATATCTCCATTATCCTAGTTTCCCATCTGGATCCCCAGCTTGACAGTCCCATGTACTTTTTTGTCTCTAATCTATCCTTTCTGGACCTCTGCTATACCACCAGCACTGTCCCACAGATGCTGGTCAACCTCCGGGGACCAGAAAAGACCATTAGCTATGGGGGTTGTGTTGCCCAACTCTATATATTTTTGGCCCTGGGTTCTACTGAATGCATACTTCTAGCCATCATGGCCTTTGACCGTTACGCTGCCATTTGCAAGCCCCTTCACTACCCAGTCATCATGAACCATAGACGCTGTATCCACATGGCTGCTGGCACTTGGATCAGTGGCTTTGCTAACTCCCTTGTCCAGTCCACTCTCACAGTGGTGGCCCCAAGATGTGGACAGAGGGTGTTGGACCATTTCTTCTGTGAAGTTCCAGCCCTTTTGAAACTAGCCTGTATTGATATTCGTGTGAATGAAATGGAGCTCAATGTACTAGGCGCTTTGCTTCTCCTGATGCCACTCACCCTCATCCTGGGCACTTATGTGTTCATTGCTCAGGCAGTAATGAGAATCTGCTCTGCTGAAAGTCGCTGGAAGGCTTTCAATACCTGTGCCTCACATTTGCTGGTGGTCTCCCTCTTCTACTTCACAGCCATCAGTATGTATGTCCAGCCTCCCTCTAGCTATTCTCATGACCGGGGGAAGATCATGGCTCTCTTTTATGGCATTGTCACACCCACCCTCAACCCATTCATCTACACATTGAGAAACAAGGATGTGAAAGCTGCCCTGAGAAGGTCACTGACTAAAGAGTTTTGGATTAAGACAAGATGATATCTGAAAAGAAGTCCTAAGAAGCGAGGATAGATGTGTTTGACTTTCAAAAAGATGTTGGACATGGAATTGATGAGGGAACAGTATCAAGTGACACAAAGTTTACAAGTGGAACAAGACTAAGAAAAAAACAATTAACTCTTGGTAAAATCTACATAGCATTTTTTCACTTACGAGACTATCTGCTTTACAATATTGGATTCCATCAAGTCAGTCTTTTTTCTCCCTATTCCTAATGACTAGCTAATCTAGTTAAAGTAAGGGAAAATGGTATAATAGCTAGAGAAAAAGATACTGAGAAAGTTTAGGAAATATATTTAGCATAAATTGTTTATAAATGAATCCCAATTAAATTAGAAATGATCCCAACTCTTAGAAAAACATGCCAGTACTATCGTGAGGTAATTTTGATCAACATGTATTGCCACCATTTAGCCATCTTCTAACATTCGATGTCCAATTATATCACCCTCAAATGCTTTTGTAAGGTCTCACAGGCAAGTAAAATCAAGAGACAATTAGTTCAAAAACATTAAGATGGAATTATGGAAAGAGAAATTAATGAACAAATTTAGAGGTGATGATTTTAAATATATTTTTTTTGCCATGAATTCTTTTAAATACAAATTTTTTTTGCCATAAATGTTTTGCCTTAGTCAATCTTATGCTCTTGTGGTACACAACAATGAGGCCTAGGTCAATGCAAATAGAACTTACTCTGGGGGGAAAGATGAACAGTGAGATGCTTTGGATAGTGATCAGCAGGGGAAAAACCTGAGGTGGAAAAAATTCTAATTTAGGGACACAAACTCAGTGGGAATTTACATGTTTTGACAAGGCAGCTTTCTTCACCACTTGACTGGGTAATTTAGTCCTATTTCAGTGTGGGGGTTTGAGAATACCATGTGGAATTCAAAACTTTGGTTGATCTATTATCTTTATTTAGAAAAAAAAGACTTTTATAGCCTTTTGCTATAAACTGCCTCACAAACCTATGAGCTGAAGAAACCAAGACAAAATAGAGTGAGTTCACCAAAAAATCCACATCATTAAAAGAACAGTGCAAAGCTCTATTTCCTGTACTGTGAGCATGTCCACTTTCTGTGGCTCCCGGTGGTGAGACAGATGAGAAGCTGGAACACAGATAAAAGGTTTTTGGGAACACTTTTGAAGGCCTGTGGCTATATAAGAGAAAGTGAGTTCATTTCCTTAATTCTAGTATAATCTGGAAAAGGATCCTAGACATTATGCATTTTTTTGATCACAGTATTTTTCCCAACCCATGGTTCATTTATACATGGAGTCTGCTATTGGCATGAAATAAAATACATCCTAATATGTATTATGAAAAAAACGCTTATTGTATTTATTTATTCTATTAAAGCAGTATATTTCTCAGAGGTTGAATGTTGGGGGTTTTTGTGGTCATTTAATAAAAATGTTAACATATTCTTGAGTTTGTTTGTTTAACTTAGAAGTATAAATAGAACTCAAAATAATTGAACATTGAAACTACTGTGTTGCATTGGAATAAACATGGATATATTATGTTGAGAAAATCACATGTATTTTTAAATTAAAATATGGGTGCTTGGAGAAATGTTTTGCTGATGTGGGTGGCTGCTCAAGATATGTCCCCCAAGCCCTAGAAATATATTTTGATTCACTTTCATTATTACAGATATGCCAGAGAAAAATTTTATCTTTAAACAGTTTTAAATTTTTGACTTTATAAAGGTATAATATTTCTGCATGTATGCTGCCTGAGATTTTGGAAGGCTATATATTTAAATATATCATTAAATAAATTATAGTACCTGTACTATCAAGCAAGCAAATCAAAATAAGGCAATGTTGAACAAGTTTAATAAGGAAATATTTTAAGTATTCCTGAAAGTATTACCAAAACATTAGTAAAGTTATTAAATATTAAAAGTTACTAAATATTACATCAATTATGCAAATAATTGGCAAGCCATTAAATAGAAATAGGCCCTGTGCTATAGGAGCAGTAGGAAAACATATTCAATAAGGTAAAAATATTTATATCAGAACAAAGTCTACTATCATATTTATTCTAGGAGAAGTGGATAATTCCCAACACTTTTAGAAATAATAGAAATTTTCTGACTCTCATCACAGTTATATATTGTTGGTTTGGATTAACTACCCAACATGATTTAAAAATAATATTAGTAAATTATTAAATAAAAATATTTATTTGTTATATCTTATAAAACAACATAAACAGCAACATTTAAATGAGCTGTTGCTATGATGAGGTTTATCTTATGATGAAAATGCATTCCTTTATTTGGTAAATATTTATTGATGGCAACTATGTACAAGTCACTGAAATAAAATTAGACATTTACCTTTACATCAAGGAATACAACTTTTGAAAAAAACTGAGAAATAAAAAAGGCAGAACTGAGCATCCAGACTAAGGCAGAATTTGTCATAAAAAGTGTCAGAAAAGATAATGCTAAACATAGAAAAATCTTTCACGACTTGCAGAATGATGTGATTTGGCTCTGTGTCCCCATCCAAATCTCATCTCGATTGTAATCCCCATATGTTGAGGGAGGGAGGTGACTGGATCGTGGGGGTGGTTTCTCCTATTCTGGTCTCGTGACAGTGAGTTACTTTTCATGAGATCTGATGGTTTTACAAGCCTCTGGCATTTCCCCTGCTTGCACTTCTCTCTCCTGCCACCATGTGAAGAAGGTCAGTGCTTCCTCTTCACCTTCCACCATGATTGTAAGTTTCTTGAGGCCTCCCCAGCCATGTGGAACTGTGAGTCAATTAAACCTCTTTTCTTTACAAATTACCCAGTCTTGGGTATTTCCTTATAGCAGTATGAAAATGGACTAATACACAGAGAGAGGGCCCTGCTTGAGTTTAGCTGAGCGCTGATTTGCATGTGTGTGAGGAAGCTATCCAAGAATGAGGAAAGAACCACTTAATGGATTAAGGTAAATAGTGCCCAATGCTTATGCAAAGGCTGGGAATTTTGTGGGTTCTCAAGCTATTTATGTGCCAGAATGAAAACCTAAGAATTCCTGAGGCATTGAGTTTAGCAATCAAAAGTGTCTTGCTTCAAGAATTTCAATAATTAGCTCTAAACTAAACACTGTTCTGGTTTTACCTAACAAATCTTCAAAACAAGTGACTAAAGTATCAAACTGTATCCAAGTAACTTAGTAACACTCCAGAATAAACTCAAGGGTATTTATAGGATTACAGATATACCCAGTAAAAGAAAATTTTCCAATGAAAATTTACTAAGCATGAAAAAAAGCAGGAAAATATGATGTAAGGAGAAAAATCAATAAATCAAACCTGACTCAGAACTGACACATATGTTAGAATGATTCAAGTTATGGCATTAAAACAATTATACTGTTTACCATATGTTCAAAAATTTAGAGACGAGGAAGATACTTTAAAAAATCAAACTTCTAGAGATGAAAACCACAACGTTTAAATATACATAATACCTAAAAGCACTGAATGTAATTCATAGTACACTAAACATTGAGAAGTCCCATGATCTGCAGTTGGCATGCTGGAGTTCCTGGGCCTTGGGAGGAGGCTCTGTGCAGGCCTCCCAGGGCCAGTCCCCTGGGGTCTGCTCTATACAGGTCACCCGAGGCGTTAGGGTGACCTCGGAGCCTGCCACTCCCGACAGCCAGACCCAGGGCCTGCGTTCTGCTCTATCCAGGGCCTCCCTGAAAGCCCCTGCCCGACTAGGCACAGCTGCAGCCGCCAAAGTCGGTGCAGTATACCCGGGGCTCCTGTGTGCTGGGAGCAGGCAGGAGCTCTGCCCACCCTGGGCGCGGCTGCAGCCACCCACGTCAGGGTTGTAGACTTGGGCCTCCATGTGCTCTTGAGGGCTGGGAGCAGGCAGGAGCCCCACACCCCCAAGCACAGCTGCAGCTGTCCAAATGGAGACAGTAGATGTGGGCCTCCGTGTGCTCTTGAGAGCCAGGGAAGGCCCCCTTTGCCATTGCAGGCTCAGAGGTGCCTGCTCCTACTGCCTGGTCTCTTCCCACTCTCTGCAACTGATCCAATCTAGGAGTAGGTGGAGCTGAGCCCAGGCACTGTCACAACCCTGCCAGGTATATGCATGATCGAGCCCTGCCACCTCAGCCCCCTCTGGATGTTGGGCCAGACAAGAGTGGATGCGGGCAAAGCGTTGGCCTGCAGGTGCCCCTTGGCACCATGAAAGGCGTCAGGAGGCAGACGGGCTCCTAGGTGGAAGGGAGTGGGTCCCTGTAAGGCCCCATCCTCAGGCCAGGAAGAGCCTGAAGGCTGGGGGTCAGGCTGCCACACCGGTGGACTGGAGTGGGGTCTTGTGGTGCCTTTTTCTGCCCACCCATGGCCACGGATGGACCACTCCATATGCACTTCCTCCCCTCTGAGGTCCATAAAAGCCCCAGGATCAGCAATAGCATGGTAGAGGACAACTGAGAGATGACGAGATGACCAGCTGCAGAGAGTAGCTATCCTCTCTGCTGAGAGCTGGGAAGTCAATGGGGACCTGCCTGCAGAGAGGAGCCACCTCTCCAAACACACCCAGAATGATGTTCGACCAAATATAGGCCTGTCTCATTTTATTGTGCTTCACTTTATTGCACCTGAAGGTTTGTGGCAACCTTGCAAGAGCAAATCTATCAGTATCATTTTTCCAACGGCATGTGCTCCCTTCATATCTCTATGTGACGTTTTGGTAATTCTCACAATATTTCAGACTTTTTCGTTATTATTGTATCGTTATTGTCAGGCCTCTGAGCCCAAGCTAAGCCATCGCATCCCCTGTGACCTGCATGTATATGCCCAGATGGCCTGAAGTAACTGAAGAATCACAAAATAAGTGAAAATGGCCTGTTCCTGCCTTAACTGATGACATTCCACCACAAAAGAAGTGAAAATGGCCGGTCCTTGCCTTAACTGATGACATTACCTTGTGAAATTCCTTTTCCTGGCTCATCCTGGCTCAAAAAACCTCCCCCACTGAGCACCTTGTGACCCCCACTCCTGCCCGCTAGAGAACAACCCCCCTTTGACTAATTTTCCTTTACCTACCCAAATCTTATAATATGGCCCCACCCCTATCTCCCTTAGCTGACTCTCTTTTCGGACTCAGCCCGCCTGCACCCAGGTGATTAAAAAGCTTTATTGCTCACACAAAGCCTGTTTGGTGATCTCTTCACACGGACGCAGGTGAAAGTTATGGTGACGTGTGATCAGTGATCTTTGATGTTACTATTGTAATTGTTTTAGGGAACCACAAACTGCCCATGTAAGTCAGTGAACTTAATTGATAAATGATGTATGTTTTGATTGCTCCACCCACTGGCTGTTCCACCATCTCTCCCTCTCTTCAGGCCTCTCTATTTTCTAAGACACAACAATATTGAAATGAGACCAATTAATAATCCTACAATGGCCTTTAAGTATTCAAGTGAAAGGAAGAGTCACATGTCTCTTATTTAAATCAAAAGCTAGAAATGATTAAGCTTAGTGAAGAAGGCCTATCAAAAGCCAAGACAGGCCAGAAGCTAGGGCTTTTGCACCAGTTAGCCAAGTTGTGAATGTAAAGAAAAGTTATTGAAAAAAATTAAAATGCGCTACTCCAGTAAACACATAAATAAGATAGCAAAACAGTCTTATTGCTGATATGGAGAAAATTTTTTGTGGTCTGGATAGAAAATTTTAAAAAGCTAGGGAAAAAAAGAAAAATAAATCCATGTCAGTAGAAGCCAGAAAATAATAAAGAAAATATTTAATAATTGAAAGTAATAAAATAGAAAATAATAGATAAATTAATTTTTGTATTTTTTGTAGAGACAGGGTCTCACCATGTTGCCCAGGCTGGTCTTGAACTCATGTGCTCTAGTGATCTGCCTGCCTTGGCCTCCCAAAGTGTTGGGATTGCAGGCATGAGCCACCTCGCCCTGCCTGAGTTAAACTTCTAGTGGAAAACCCCTTTTATATAAGCCACAAGCAGTTTCAGACTGTCCAATGTTATTATTACTAACATAAATTAATGTAGGCTTTCTTTTATCCTAGAGGAGTTGTGGAAAAACATCCTCATGGCATGAATTATGAGTCAGAATATTAAAGGCATAGACACAGGAGTTGGAAATTGAAAGTGTAGATGAAAAAAAAAGAAAAAGAATTTTACAATATCAAAATTAGATTTTTTCACTGAATTCAAAAAGGTCTCCACAAAACTTTTGTAAGGGATTCAAACCCTTCCTTTAAAAAATAAATAAATAAATATTTCTTAATATCAGTCTGTAGTTACTGTATCATCAGGAACAGGTTTTGAAAATTATTGTTTATGCTGAGAAAACAACTATCTGAATATAACTAATAACCATTATTACTAGATTGATTCTAGGAACATAGATAAATTTAAATTTATTTTTAAAAGACAAACATTTTTAATATTTGAAAATATAGGTCACCCTGAGCTTTCTAGTAATTGGAATGAATGACAATTGCTTTTGTTTGCTAACACATCCATTTGTCTACAATTTTCTTAATGTATTTAATTCTGAAATGATTCATTCAGTTTCGGTCTGATGAAGAGAGTAAAGTGAAAATATTACTCATCAATTGAAATATTACTATAGGGTCTTTTTGTAACTGATTTCTTTGTCATTGGATGCTCTTAGCATGTATTGATTAGATTTAATCAATCTTAAAAAAAAGAAAAACACACATCTCTCAAATTTTAATGTGCCTTTATCTTGGAAAGTATTTTATTAAAGTTTATCCTATTTGAACTATCCCACAGTTTTCTCTAAATTATCCATTATTGTTGTATGTTGAAATTTTTGGATTATTTGTCTACTAACCACCATGTATAATATTGAATCCACCTACCATCTGTATCCAAAGCTTTTACAAAAACATTGATCAGATCACAATCAAAGTCAATGTTAAAATAGAAAATTCTTTCCTCAAAATGAAAAAAACCTGAGTATTTTTTAATCATTCATTAATTGTCTCTTATTGTTCATAAACAGCCTTATGAAAACATGTGATCCTTACTGAGACACCATATTGTGGTACTTAATGTGGTACTATATTTGTCACTGGAGATCAAAATAAAGTTTATTGGTCTGCAACATTTACAATTCAGTTTCTTATATTTATATATATAATTCATATATATAATACACATAATATAAATCATATACATTATATATATATATATATACACACACACATGGGAACTTAGAGCTATTTTTAAACATTTGCCAAGTAGAATATACAATATATTAAATTTTTGATATTAAAAGTTTTAAAAAATTTTCTTTCAATGCTAAGAAGGTAGATTTTATGTTAAGTGTCCTTATCATGATTTCAAAAATGCCTTTTCCAAGGCATTCAATTAGGAAAAGAGGAAGTCAAATTGTCCCTCTTTGCAGATGATATGATTGTATATCTAGAAAACCCCATCGTCTCAGCCCAAAATCTCCTTAAGCTGATAGGCAACTTCAGCAAAGTCTGAGGATAAAAAATCAATGTGCAAAAATCACAAGCATTCTTATACACCGATAACAGACAGAGAGCCAAATCATGAGTGAACTCCCATTCACAATTGCTTCTAAGAGAATAAAAACCTAGGAATCCAACTTACAAGGGATGTGAAGGACCTCTTCAAGGAGAACTACAAACCACTGCTCAATGAAATAAAAGAGGATACAAACAAATGGAAGAACATTCCATACTCATGGGTAGGAAGAATCAATATCGTGAAAATGGCCATACTGCCCAAGGTAATTTATAGATTCAATGCCATCCCCATCAAGCTACCAATGACTTTCTTCACAGAGTTGGAAAAAACTACTTTAAAGTTCATATGGAACCAAAAAAGAGCCTGCATTGCCAAGTCAATCCTAAGCCAAAAGAACAAAGCTGGAGGCATCACACTACCTGACTTCAAACTATACTACAAGGCTACAGTAACCAAAATAGCATGGTACTGGTACCAAAACAGATATAGACCAATGGAACAGAACAGAGGCCTCAGAAATAATGCCACATATCTACCAGTATCTGATCTTTGACAAACCTGACAAAAACAAGCAATGGGGAAAGGATTCTCTATTTAATAAATGGTGCTGGGAAAACTGGCTAGCCATATGTAGAAAGCTGAAACTGGATCCCCTCCTTACACCTTATACAAAAATTAATTCAAGATGGATTAAAGACTTCAATGTTAGACCTAAAACCAGAAAAACCCTAGAACAAAACCTAGGCAATACCATTCAGGACATAGGCATGGGCAAGGACTTCATGTCTAAAACACCAAAAGCAATGGCAACAAAAGCCAAAATTGATAAATGGAATCTAATTAAACTAAAGAGCTTCTGCACAGCAAAAGAAACCACCATCAGAGTGAACAGGCAACCTACAGAATGGGAGAAAATTTTTGCAACCTACTCATCTGACAAAGGGCTAATATCCAGAATCTACAATGAACTCAAACAAATTTACAAGAAAAAAACAACCCCATCAAAAAGTGGGCAAAGGATATGAACAGACACTTCTCAAAAGAAGACATTTATGCAGCCAAAAAACACATGAAAAAATGCTCATCATCACTGGCCATCAGAGAAATGCAAATCAAAACCACAATGAGATACCATCTCACACCAGTTAGAATGGCAATCATTAAAAAGTCAGGAAATAACAGGTGCTGGAGAGGATATGGAGAAACAGGAACACTTTTACACTGTTGGTGGGACTGTAAACTAGTTCAACCATTGTGGAAGTCAGTGTGGCAACTCCTCAGGGATCTAGAACTAGAAATACCATTTGACCCAGCCATCCCATTACTGGGTATATACCCAAAGGATTATAAATCATGCTGCTAGAAAGACACATGCACACATATGTTTATTGTGGCGCTATTCACAATAGCAAAGAGTTGGAACCAACCCAAATGTCCAACAATGATAGACTGGATTAAGAAAATGTGGCACATATACACCATGGAATACTATGCAGCCATAAAAAAATGATGAGTTCATGTCCTTTGTAGGGACATGGATGAAGCTGGAAACCATCATTCTCAGCAAACTATCACAAAGGACAAAAACCCAAACATCGCATGTTCTCACTCATAGGTGGGAATTGAACAATGAGATCACATGGACACAGGAAGGGGAACATCACACTCTGGGGCCTGTTGTGGGGTGGGGGGAGTGGGGAGGGATAGCATTAGGAGATATACCTAATGCTAAATGACTAGTTAATGGGTGCAGCACACCAACATGGCACATGTATACATATGTAACAAACCTGCACGTTGTGCACATGTATCCTAAAATTTAAAGTATAATTTAAAAAAATGCCTTTTCCATAATCACACATATTTAAGAATGGAATTCATTCACTTTTGAGTAAAAATTATTCATCTGGGGGATTGTTAAAATGAGGGCTGGATTATCAGTTTCAGAGTAATTTTAGAAAAGACACCATGTTTGAAGAAAGTTTAGCTCTCTAAGTCATGGTTTTATTCTGAGATTCTTTGATTCTACTATTATGTATGGGTTTATGTAAATAATTACTAAGTATTCCTTTTTTTTTTACATAAGGCCAGTGCAATCATGCATGATTTTATTGGTGACCAGTTAAAATGAAACTGTTAATTAATGAAAAAAATCCTTTTTACTAGAAAAACCTGTGAACCTGTGTTACAGAAAACGAGTTATGTATAATATTCATTTTTTTAACCTGAAATGCATCGACTACAAGAGTTAGCTAAACCAAGATAATAATTAACTACTTCCCACTGAGGCAATTCCCTGAGGGAGAGGTCCATGAAATCCCCTGCTTTGAACTCATAGTTTTTATCTGAAACACCAACTTTCCTGCACAGGATTTTTGTCCCCAGTGCCTGGACAGCACTGGCTTCATTTCAAATACCCCTTAGTTAATAGGAAATTTAAATGTCCCTGGGCAGTTACATCCTGTTTGGTCCTATATAAAAGCGTTTCAGTCCTTTCCTTACATGGAAATTTCACTGACTGAAACACCAGCTTGATTCTAGAACAAAGATGCTCAGTCTCAGGATCAATTGAGATTTGTTTCTACCGAGAGATCCACTCTGGTGAGTAAAACTTCTTCAAATTTTATGGAATTTATCCAACATTTATGTAGCACCTGCTTAGTGCCAGCGACTATGCGAGTCTTCAAAGTTATAACTCTAAATAAGATACATAATTTCTCACTCCTTAACTAAGAACAGTTTAAATAAGCTGCGATATCTATGCAAATAAGGTAGTATAAATTATAAAAAAGTATATAAAGCATAAAAAAGTTAGTATAAATTATAAGGAATCTTAAATGAATGCAATCTGGGCTCCAAAGAGTGACAATTCTTCTTGGGTCGACAGTTAAACTCAGGTGAATTATAAATGGAAAGAGACAATGTAGCTGTGTTAAAAGATAGTTAAGTATTTGCCAAACAAATGAGGGGAGATTTTTTTTCTTTTTTTTTTCTTTTTTTTTTTTTTTTTTGAGACGAGTCTCGCTCTGTCACCCAGGCTGGAGTGCAGTGGCGCGACCTTGGCTCACTGTAACCTCCGCCTCCTGGGTTCAAACAATTCTCCTGCCTCAGCCTCCCTAGTAGCTGGGATTACAGGTGCCCACCACCGTGCCCGGCTAATTTTTGTATTTTTAGTAGAGATGGGGTTTCGCCATTTTGGCCAGGCTGGTTTTGAACTCCTGACCTCAGGTGATCTGCCCACCTCAGCCTCCCAAAGTGCTGGGATTACAGGTGTGAGCAACCGTGCTCAGCCATGAGGGGCAATTCTAATGGGAGGACTTCCAGACAGGAGGGATAGTGTGATTTAAGAAAAGAAACACAGCATGGTGATACAACCTGATTGATTTATTAAGAGTAATTAAGTCAGTCGCCATTATTAGACATGGAGATTGGCATGGGGTTAGAGAAGTCACAATGATAGATAATACTGGAATGGCAGTCAGGAAGCATTGTAAAGATATTGTTTGCCATCCTAAGCTTTTTGGGCATCATTGCATAATCAAGTCAATAAAGAGCTAAAAGCTAAATTAATGTTACAAGATGTGATCTGCATCACCATTTGTCCTGGCAACAGCATTGAAGTTGGATTAGAAATACATAAAACTGAAGAATAAAATATTGCCAGAGATAATGAAGGTTTGAACTAATCTGTACGTGTGACAGCAAGATGTAATAACTACAACAGATAGTAAGCAAATAAAATTTTGGTGTTTGATTGGATATACAGATTAAAGCAAAGTTGTGCCATTCTTTGAAATAGGTCACAGTGACAGGGAGATGTCTGGGAGAAGAGATGAGTCCTTATGGGAAAGACCCATTCAGGGACAGTGATGTGCCAACCGTGAAGCAGGATATGAGGACCTGCAACCCAGGGGACCTGCAACCCAGAAGACCTATGGTAGTGCTCGAAACAGCAGACTATTATTTTCTATTGTGTAGGAAAATAGTTAATCTGTCTTCTTTAAAAGGCACAGGAATATTTTTGAGTAAACAAAAGTACAGAAAGAAAGTGTCAGGACAAATTTTTGGAAACCATCAAATTTCAATAAATGTTAAAAGAAGACCCAGATAACGAGACTAAGAAAAAATATTCAGAGAGGAAATAGAAAACCAGAACTAAGTGGCATAGAGCCAATGGAAGTCAGCTGTTTTAGAAGAAAGAACTGTATAATAGTGTCATATATTTGAGAAACAAAATTTAAAATAAAAACAAAATAGAAAGAGTGCATTGAATTTACCGTTGTGATAGTTATTTGTGGATTTGCTGGAGCTGTTTGTGAGGACTCATGAAGCAAGAATGATTAACATGGTTCAAGAATTGAACCAAATGTGCCAGGGCACAGAATGATACCCTATTCTGCTCATAAAGCATGGCTGTAAAGAGAAGGGACATTATAAGTAAGTCCTAAGTGTGGAGTGAAGACTTTTCTTTTTCTTTAAAATGGATGAGTCTTAAGATTATCTCTATCTATCTATCTATCTATCTATCTATCTATCTATCTATCTATCATCTATCTATCTCTAATCTATCATCTATCAACAGAGCATAGTGAAACAATCTGGTTCATTAAGAGTAATCTCAGTAAATCAACATTATTAGAATTTTTAGACATGGAGTTTGTGTTGATTTTATACACACACATATACAGACACACACACACACATAAAATGTGCACTATTATGAAAGAGAGAGAGAGAGCAAGTGCATACTGTGGCAAAGATGCCCTTTGCGATAGAGCAAGGTTGAGTATAGGGTTGGTCACTGACTTGGAAAGGAAAAAAGAGCTCTTTCTCTGCCTTTGAAACCCTAGAGTGGGTGGAATTAAATCATGTTAGAGATCATTTCGTTTATATACAGGTAGGAAACTGAGGGGCTTAACATATAATTACCTATGTTTTCTCATTGAAGTTATTGGCAATGCTACCTCCCAGGAAATAGAGGAAAATAGTGAAGAAGAGACACAGGATGCTAACTCTTTAGAGCAGCTACTGGAATGAATTAGAGTTTATCTACATAACATATTTGCACATGTACCACTGAACCTAAAAGAGAACTACTTTCAAAAAAATTGAGGGTTTCAACATATGAGAGGTAAAAAACGGAAAAGTTTAGAAATGTTTTGTAGGATAAAATTTGCATACAAGTGGTTAGTGAAGACAGAAAAAAATGCTTGGGGGAAACAAATGACATTGAAAGAATCATTATACTCTCCACCAAAAAATGTTTAGTTTTATTATAAATAAAGTATTTAATGCAGGTATGACTTGGAAGGATTGAACACAGGTTTTATATGTTCTCGCAGTATCATCCTTAATCCTAAGAGTATCTCCACACGTATATGATTCCCTTCCTTCTTATTTGATAAGTGATGAATTAATCAATACAATTTGGAACTAGTGAAATTAAAATGATGAAATTTTCCATTTATTAATCAGATATAAAAATTATTATCTATGTCTTCAAAGAAAATAAAAATGAAAATAGGTTGGTGGGAGTTGTTGAGAGGAGAATATGGTGTGTGCATTCAAGTTTTTTCTTACGATTTTTCTCCTCCTTCCCTCTATGGAGAAACCTTAATGGGGAGGCTAAATGATAGAGGTTTTTCTTAGATTACATTAACAATGTGTATTAGAAGTGGTAAGTAACACGATGCTTTTGATTTTCAAGCCAGAGACAGTAAGTTTTAAAATATAAGTGAATTGCTTTCATCTATTCACATTTTATTTTAAATTCCAAAACTACCATCCAATATTTGGAGCAAGTTAAGCCAGGCATTAAGATTGGCAGCACTGGGGATTAAGCTATATCTTATGGAGGACCAGGAAAACTGTAGGAGCAAGAAAGCTAGAGAAACTTTGAAGAAAGTAACCCCTGTTTTCCTCTGATTCCTACTGCCATGAAGCAGGGGATGTGACCATCAGTGAGGGATTAAGGGCCCTTCCAGCCCTGAGACTGTTCCTTGTGGAAAAAAAAAATTTCCTAAAAATTAGTTTCAGTCAGTTCTCAAAATAAATTACAGCAAAATCAAAAAGATCTTGGTTTAAGTGATTTTTAACCTTTTCCTACAGCTTAGGGATTAATAAATGAAACAAACTACAATATCAGATGCAGTTACTTCAAAATCAGATGCATTAACTCATGTAACTTAGCCATTAAGTTTTTGTCTATATAGAACTGAAATCAATTATGTAGATATCCCGTTAAATAAGTATTTACTTAGAACCTATATGTTAGATGCCTTTGGTCAAGGGTGAAGAAATGGACAGAAATGATGAAGGAATAGTCTTTGTGCAGAAGAAACTCAGTGAAAATGATACTGATTGACCTTTCAACAAATGCACAGATTTAAAAAGAAAAAAAAGAGGCAAAAATTAGTTAGCAGAGTGATTCTGATACACAAAATAATTCTATGATGGTGTTGATTCTATAATAATAGCACATTTAAAATGAAATAGGAAAAGTTACATCATTTAATCCTCCTAACAATTGTTACATCTGGTATAGATTTTTTTTTTGTTTGGTTGGTTATTTTAAGAAATGGGCTCCCACTATCTAATATATTTCAAGTCCTAGAAAGAAATATATATATATATTTTTTCATTCAGGAACTCACAATGAGACACAGCACTAGAAAGATATATACTCTACTACCTAGCATTCTGCCTATCACATAGATTTTAGAAAATCTCTTTATTTCTTCAAATGGATTTGATTGAAAATGTCCAACCCCAAGTTGTCATAAGAATTTTGAGAATTAAACGTTCTTTGACGGTGAACCTTTGTCACTTAGTTGCAAGATCTCCAAAGCTCAGGATTCAATGCCTGATATCAGTGGCATCTGCATTTTACAATTTTGAGACATTTCATTTTTCAAAATTTCTATGAAAAGTTTATTACAATCAAATGTAATCTTTTTAAAGTGTTAAGAGCTTTTCAAAGGAAAAAATATGACTGTTCTTTGAGCTAACCTCTCTTCTAGATTAGCTTCTGAGCTGTTTCTAGATCTGCCTCTGAGCTGTTTCTAGATCCATTTGCAAGGTGGTATCAATAACTTCATGTTAGCTGGTTAGCAAAAGAAGCTATATAGTGCATCGTTGTAATACTAAGGCATCATATAGAAGATGTAATGAGACTGGTATGCTAGAATCATTTTCATTGACTTTATTGAAGGTAAAGACTTTATCATTTCCATCAATTTCTCCCTCTTTGACAATGCAAACTCTGCTCCAGAAAATGTTTATGACTTGTTGATCACATTCAGGGATTCTATTTCTGAATAATTGCTAAAACGTTTTTGAATTGAATATTAACTAATCGCAATGAAAATAAATTCATCTCATTTCAGTACCTCCTTGCTGAGGAATTGAGTTACTTGACACACAAATATATTAGATGTCATGCATTTTCTTCCTACTGTCTTTGGCTTCCTAAACAGAGTCACACTTGGTATCTTCAGAGAGACTATGGTCAATTTGACTTCAATGAGTGGATTCCTTCTTATGGGGTTTTCTGATGAGCGTAAGCTTCAGATTTTACATGCATTGGTATTTCTGGTGACATACCTGCTGGCCTTGACAGGCAACCTCCTCATTATCACCATCATTACCGTGGACCGTCGTCTCCATTCCCCCATGTATTACTTTTTAAAGCACCTCTCTCTTCTGGACCTCTGCTTCATCTCTGTCACAGTCCCCCAGTCCATTGCAAATTCACTTATGGGCAACGGTTACATTTCTCTTGTTCAGTGCATTCTTCAGGTTTTCTTCTTCATAGCTCTGGCCTCATCAGAAGTGGCCATTCTCACAGTGATGTCTTATGACAGGTACGCAGCAATCTGTCAACCACTTCATTATGAGACTATTATGGATCCCCGTGCCTGTAGGCATGCAGTGATAGCTGTGTGGATTGCTGGGGGCCTCTCTGGGCTCATGCATGCTGCCATTAACTTCTCCATACCTCTCTGTGGGAAGAGAGTCATTCACCAATTCTTCTGTGATGTTCCTCAGATGCTGAAACTAGCCTGTTCTTATGAATTCATTAATGAGATTGCACTGGCTGCATTCACAACGTCTGCAGCATTTATCTGTTTGATCTCCATTGTGCTCTCCTACATTCGCATCTTCTCTACAGTGCTGAGAATCCCATCAGCTGAGGGCCGGACCAAGGTCTTCTCCACCTGCCTACCACACCTATTTGTAGCCACCTTCTTTCTTTCAGCTGCAGGCTTTGAGTTTCTCAGACTGCCTTCTGATTCCTCATCGACTGTGGACCTTGTATTCTCCGTATTCTATACTGTGATACCTCCAACACTCAATCCAGTCATTTATAGCTTACGGAATGATTCCATGAAGGCAGCACTGAGGAAGATGCTGTCAAAGGAAGAGCTTCCTCAGAGAAAAATGTGCTTAAAAGCCATGTTTAAACTCTGAAGAACCATACAAATGAAAGGCATTGTTATTATGTTTCAGATTGGAAGAGAGGTGAATCTTATTTCTACCCAGAATGCTCTTCCAAGCTGTCTATTGTATATATTCCTCTCAAATATAATTCTTTAAAATTTAAGATGTTGTGCTCTAATAATATTAGCTTTCCTTCCTCCCTCCAATTCAAGTGTTATTTTAAGTCATCTTTGGAAAATTTTTCTGAAATGAAGGAGAAAGACAATTAGTTTGGAGTCTGGCCTGTATAATTTAAAACTTGTTATTAACAAATAAGGTTGGAGATAGATGAAGCTAACTGGGTTAATATTATGGTGCATATATGGTATTTCCAGTGGGCCTCCTAGTTTTCTATCCATATTAAGTATTCATATTAAGTTCTTTTACTATTATTACAGTGGTGATTTCAACAATTTATTCAGCCCCTAGTAAGTATCAAGTGCTTTATATATATACATTTTTTTGACTCAAGAAAACAACTCTTCTAGCTATAACATATTGTCCCCATTTTGCCAATAGGAACAATAAATTTAGGAAGGATTAGTTAATTTTCCTGAGATTTCTCAAATAAATGGTAGTTAAGCTCTGATTCAAATTAATATTTGTCTGACTCAAACAATAAGGTCATTTATGTTCCTTACTGATGGCAAATGCATTATTACCCAAATGTGAGTGTGTATGTTTATGTGTGTGTGTGATGTGTATAATCTATAAATATAAGCATATACTACTATAATCTATTAATAAAATTGTCATCACCCTTGTGCATCCCTATTACTGGAGGTATTTATATTAATTCCTTTACTTTTCTGATCTGTACAAGAGTTTGACAAATTGGTTTTACAGAGTTAGGCAGGGGATGCTCCCTAGTTCCATGAAACAGAATATAGATAAACTGCAAATGAAGAGTTCCAACTTATGAATGTGTGAGATAAGGAGGCACAAATCTTGTGAATCTGAATATCTGATTCAATTTTGTGTAATGCTGCAGATTTCTTCAAGAAAGACTCATAATTTACAAGAGTACAAAACTGGACTAGTCCCCTCAGTTTTGAAGTAAATCAAAGTGCATGTTTTAATGACAAAGGGAATAAGCAATTGCTCAGTAATGGGGAATGTTTTTATAGGACTTTTTTGAATTAATGGTTATAATATCTACATATGCATATACCTTAGTAAGTTTTTTTTTCTTTAATCTGCCACATGAGATTTTTTCTTTTTTTTATATACTTTAAGCTCTGGGGTACATGTGCAGAACTTGCAGGTTTGTTACGTAGGTATATACATGCCATGGTGGTTTGCTGCACCCATCAACCTGTCAACTACGTTAGGTATTTCTCCTAATGCTATCCCTCCCTTACCCCCTCACCCCCAAACAGGCCCCAGTGTGTGATGTTCCCCTACCTGTGTCCATGTGTTCTCATTGTTCAGCTCCTACTTATGAGTGAGAACATGCAATGTTTAGTTTTATGTTCTTGTGTTAGTTTGCTGAGAATGATGGTTTCCAGCTTCATCCATGTCCCTGCAAAGGACATGAAATCATCTTTTTTATGGCTGCATAGTATTCCATAGTATTCCATGGGTGTATATGTGCCACCTTTTCTTTATCCAGTGTATTATTGATGGGCATTTGGGTTGGTTTCAAGTCTTTGCTATTGTGAACAGTGCCACAATAAACATACGTGTGCATGTGTCTTTATAGTAGAATGATTTATAATCCTTTGGGTATATACCCTGTAAAGGGATTCCTGGGTCAAATGGTATTTTTGGTTCTAGATCCTTGAGGAATCGCCACACTGTTTCCACAATGGTTGAACTAGTTTACAGTCCCACCAACAGTGTAAAAGTGTTCCTGTTTCTCCACGTCCTCTCTAGCATCTGTTGTTTCCTGCCTTTTTAATGATAGCCATTCTAACTGGCATGAGATGGTATCTCATTATGGTTTTGATTCACATTTCTCTGATAACCAGTGATGATGAGCTTTTTTTCATATGTTTGTTGGCCACATAAATGTCTTATTTTAAAAAGTGTCTGTCAGGCCGGGGCATTGGCTCATGCCTGTAATCCCAGCATTTTAGGGGGCCGCAGCAGGCAGATCACGAGGTCAGGAGATTGAGACCATCCTGGCTAACATGGTGAAACTCCATCTCAACTAAAAATACAAACACTTAGCTGGGCGTGGTGCCATGAACCTGTAATCCCGGCTACTCAGGAGGCTGAGGCAGGAGAATCGCTTGAACCTGGAGAATCCCAAAAGTGTCTGTTCACATCCTTCGCCCACATTTTGATGGGGTTGTTTGTTTTTTTCTTGTAAATTTGTTTAAATTCTTTGTAGATTCTGGATATTAGCCCTTTGTCAGATGGATAGATTACAAAAATTTTCTCCCATTCTGTAGGTTGCCTATTCACTCTGCTGATGATTTCTTTTCCTGTGCAGAAGCTCTTTAGTTTAATTTGATCCCATTTGTCAATTTTGGCTTTTGTTGTCATTGCTTTTGATGTTTTAGTCATGAAGTCTCTGCCCATGCCTAAATCCTGAATGGTATTGCCTAGGTTTTCTTCTTGGGTTTTTATGGTTTTAGGTCTTACGTTTAAGTCTTTAATCCATCTTGAGTTAATTTTTGTATAAGGTATAAGGAAGGAGTCCAGTTTCAGTTTTCTGCATATGGCTAGCCAGTTTTCTCAACAGCATTTATTAAATAGGGGATTCTTTCCCCATTGCTTGTTTTTGTCAAGTTTGTCAAAGATCAGATGGTTGTAGATGTGTGGCATTATTTCTGAGGCCTCTGTTCTGTTCTGTTGGTCTATATATCTGTTTTGGCACCAGTAACATGCTGTTTTGGTTACTGTAGCTTTGTAGTATACTTTGAAGTCAGGTAGCATGATGCTTCCAGCTTTGTTCTTTTTGCTTAGGATTATCTTGGCTATGTGGGCTCTTGTTTGGTTCCATATGAAATTTAAAGTAATTTTTTCCTATTCTGTGAAGAAAGTCAATGGTAACTTGATGGGGATAGCATTGAATCTATAAATTACTTTGGGCAGTATGGCCATTTTTCATGATATTTATTCTTCCTACCCATGAGGATGGAATGTTTTTCCATTTGTTTGTGCCCTCTCTCCTTGAGCAGTGGTTTGTAGTTCTCCTTGAAGAGGTCCTTCACATGCCTTGTAAGTTGTATTCCTGGGTATTTTATTCTCTTTGTAGCAGTTATGAATGGGAGTTCACTCATGATTTGGCTCTCTGTTTTTTTTATTATTGGTGTATAGGAATGCTTGTGGTTTTTGCACATTGATTTTGTATCCTGAGACTTTGCTGAAATTGCTTATAAGCTTAAGGAGATTTTGGGCTGAGACGATGGGGTTTTCTAAGTATAGAATCATGTCATCTGCAAACAGAGACAATTTGAATTCCTCTCTTTCTATTTGAATACCTTTTATTTTTTTCTCTTGCCTGATTGCCCTGGCCAGAACTTCCAACATTATGTTGAATAAGAGTGGTGAGAGAGGGCATCCTTGTCTTGTGACAGTTTTCTCAGGGAATGCTTCCAGGTTTTGCCCATTCAGTATGATATTGGCTGTGAGTTTGTCATAGATAGCTTTTATTATTTTGAGATACATTCCATCAATATCTAGTTTATTGAGAGTTTTTAGCATGAAGGGCTGCTGAATTTTGTCGAAGGCCTTTTCTGCATCTATTGAGATAATCATGTGGTTTTTGTCATTGGTTCTGTTTATGTGATAGATTCCATTTATTGATTTGCATATTTGAATCAGCTTTGCATCCCAGGAATGAAGCTGACTTGATCATGGTAGATGAGCTTTTTGATGTGCTGCTGGATTCGGTTTGCCAGTATTTTATTGAGGATTTTCACATCAATGTTCATCAGGGATATTGGCCTGAAATTTTCTTTTTTTGTTGTGTCTCTGCCAGGTTTTGGTATCAGGTTGATGCTGGCCTCATAAAATGAGTTATGGAGGATTCCCTCTTTTTCTATTGTTTGGAATATTTTCAGAAGGAATGGTACCAGCTCCTTTTTGTACTTGCGGTAGAATTCGTCTGTGAATCTGTCTGGTTCTGGGCTTTTCTTGGTTGGTAGGCTATTAACTACTACCTCCATTTCAGAACTTGTTATTGGTCTATTCAGGCATTAGACTTCTTCCTGGTTTAGTCTTGGAAGGGTTTATGTGTCCAGGCATTTATCCATTTTTTCTAGATTTTCTAGTTTATTTGCATAGAGATGTTTATAGTATTCCCTGATGGTAGTTTCTATTTCTGTGGGATCAGCAGTGATATGCCATTTATCATTTTTATAGTGTCTATTGATTTTTCTCTCTTGTCTTCTTTATTAGTCTGGCTAGCAGTCTACTTTGTTAATTATTTCAAAAAAACCAGCTCCTGGATTCATTGATTTTTTGAATTTTTTTGTGTGTGTCTCTATCTCCTTCATTTCTGCTCTGATCTTAGTTATTTCTTGTCTTCTGCTAGCTTTTGAATTTGTTTTCTCTTGCTTCTCTAGTTGTTTTAATTGCGATATTAGAGTGTCGATTTTAGATCTTTCCTGCTTTCTCCTGTGGGCATTTAGTGCTATAAATTTCCCTTTAAACACTGCCTTAGCTGTACTCCTGCAGCTAGCTCAGTCTCTGCGCAAACAGCCGCCCAGTTTTGTGCTTGAAACCCAGGACCCCAGTAGCGTAGGCACCCAAGGGAATCTACTGTTCTGTGGTTTGCGAAATCCATGGGAAAAGCGTAGTATCTGGGCTGGAGTGCACTGTTCCTCATGGCTCAGTCCCTCATGGCTTCCCTTGGCTAGGGGAGGGAGTTGTCTGACCCCTTGCGCTTCCCGGGTGAGGCGATGCCCCACCCTGCTTCGGCTAGCCCTCCCTGGGCTGCACCCACTGTCTAACCAGTCCCTGTGAGATTAGTCGGGTATCTCAGTTAGAAATGCAGAAATCATCTGGCTTCTGCATTGATCTCAGTGGGAGCTGCAGACCGAAGCTGTTTCTATTCCACCATCTTTCCAGCCACCCACACTGATTTCTAAAGTAGTTGTTCCATATTATATTCCCTAGATAATCAAGAATTGTTATAAAGGGCTGGGCGTGGTAGCTCACGCCTGTAATCCCAGCACTTTGGGAGGCCGAGGTGGACGGATGACGAGGTCAGGAGATCAAGACCATCTTGGCTACCTTGTCAGGTGTTTTGAAAAACTTTTAGCTTTTTAAACACATTCATGGTGATATATATCGATGAGTTTATTTTGTATTGCCCTGTTCAACAAGGTTGAACATCTTTTCATGGACTTATTAGTTATTTGTGTGTCTTCATTTGTGAAGTTTTTGCTCAGACACTTGGCCCATTTTTAAAACAAGTTGTTAATCTTTCTATTATGAAGACATTTACATATGTGTGTATATATGTATATATACTGGATAAAAATCTTTTGTCAGATACACGTATTACAGATGTTTTTTCTAATCTCCTGTGATTGTCTTTTTTTTCCATCAGGTTCTTTTGGAGAGTAAAACTTTAAAAATTTTGATGTAGTTCAATCTATCAACTTTGTGTTTTATAATTCATGTTTGGTGTCCTATCTTCCAAAAATACCTTCTTTAAAATTACAAAGTTTTTTTTCTTTTGAGACAGGGTCTCACTCTGTCACCCAGGCTGGAGTGCAGTGGTGCAATCTTGGCTCACTGCAACCTCCGCCTCCTGGTTCAAGCAATTCTCGTGCCTCAGACTCTCAAGTAGCTGAGATTACAAGTGTGTGCTGCTATGCTGGCTCATTTTCTTTCTTTCTGTCTTTTTTGTTTGTTTGTTTGTATTTTTAATAGAGATGGGATTTCAGTATGTTGGCCAGGCTGGTTTTGAACTCCTCACCTCAAATGATCCACCTGCCTTGGCCTCCTAATATGCTGGGATTACAGGCATGAGCCACCGCGCCCGGCCTAAAATTATAAAGGTATTTTTCTATGTGACCATTTAGAAAATGAATAGTTTTAGCTTCTATATTAATTAAGTCTGTGATCCTTATTGAGTTAATTTTTGAGTGTAGTATAAAGTGAGTGTTAATGATCATTCTTTTTCTATACAGATATATAGTTTTTAGTGTGATTTATTGAAAAGACATTATTTTCCCCCATTGATTTGCCTTAGCACCTTGTCAATATATGGGCTTACTATTCTTTTTCATTGATCTATGTGTTTATTTTTAACTAATACCATACCATACTGATTTCAGCAACTTTATAACGATTTTTTTTTGAGACGGAGTCTTGCTCTGTCGCCCAGGCTGGAGTGCAGTGGCACCATCTCGGCTCACTGCAAGCTCCGCCTCCTGGGTTCACGCCATTCTCCTGCCTCAGCCTCCTAAGTAGCTGGGACTATAGGCGCCCACCACCATGCCTGGCTAATTTTTTTGTATTTTTAGTAGAGACGGGGTTTCACCGTGGTAGCCAGGATGGTCTCGATCTCCTGACCTCGTGATCCGCCCACCTCGGCCTCCCAAAGTGCTGGGATTACAGGCATGAGCCACCACGCCGTGCCCTTTATAACAATTCTTGAAGTCAGGTAGTTTAATGCCTCTAATCTTTTGATTTTCTAGGCTTTGATTTTCCAAGTCTTCTGCATTTCCATATACACTTTAGAATTAGCTTGTTAATTCGTACTAAAAAGAAGCATGCTGGCATTTTTATTAGGATTGCATCAAATCTATAGATCATTTCTGAGAAAATAGAAGTCTTAATATTGAGTCATTTAATTCATAAACACAACATAGCTTCCCATTTTTTAGGTCTTTAATTTCTTTCAGTAACGTTACATGGCTTTCAGTGAGGCAGTCTTGTTCCTTTATTAAATTTATTACTAATTATTCACATTTTAAGTTTTGAATACAAAAATTACACTTCATGCTCCTTAAATTGTTTCAAATGTTGTAGAAATAACATTAAAATAAGAATTTCCTCTTTAATAGTGATTCCTAGAGGTTATCACTATTTTAATTTTGATATATATATATAGACAAAATTGCATATATTATTTCTTTTTTCCTTTTATTATGTGGTTGGATCTCAAGTGCAGAAGGTTGAGTTCATTACATTTATCAGTTCATGGCACCCTGTCCTCATTAATATGTGCACGATCTCTCTCATCTTACTTTATTTAAAACATTTCTTTCCTGTCTGTTTCTACTACCATTCCCCCTAAGGAAAACAATTATTATAAGTTTCATGTGTAACATTTTATGGGCTCTTAATTTCTATTAGTATTGTTGTTTTAGGATATTTTATTCTATAAAATAGTATTACATTATAATCTTATTCAGTTTCTTACTTTTTTTCACTCAGCACACTACTTTTAAGAGCTATCACGTTACAATGTCTACATCTAGCCCACTTTTTCTAAAAACTGCATTTTTTTGATGTTGTACATCCTCAACCTTCGCAAATCTGCTCTCCCGTTGATGGACATCTGGGTTGCTTCTAATTCCCCATTACCATAAATTATGCCAAACAACTGTTGTTATGGACCTGTGTAAGGATTTATTTAGGATATATACCTGGAAGCAAAATTGCTCAGGTCCAATATATGAGAGACTTAATTTGAATTTTTATACCCAGAATGTGCTCCAGAATGCTTCCATGAGGCTACACTCCTACCAGCGGGGCAGACGTGTTCCTGTCATTTCCTCACCTGTCCCAATTCTTGGCACTACCCTGCTTTCTAATACTTACTACTCAAATAGAATACAATGTTACCTCACTTTTAAACTTTGGAGAAATTTTAAACCTGTAAAAAATTTGTAAAAACAATACAGAGGCTTCTCTTTTTATCCCTCACCTTGTTTCCCTAATGTTACTATCTTAACAAAATCATAACACTTCTCTCTTTATAAAATAGCCTAAATAGCTTGAGGTGTTTTTTTATTTTTGTTTTTTCGCTTTTAACTTTTTGGAACACTTTTTGCTCATATCTCTCGATCTGCTTTCTTATGCCTGTGCTAGCGTATAATAAAACTATAATAATAATAATGACATGTAATAAGTACTACTTATGCCAAGGATTATTCTAGGCTTCAAAGGTATTATTGTGTTCAACATTTACAATAAATCTTGTGAGGCAAATAATATTGATATTCCTATTTTAAAGATAAGGAAATTAAGGCACAGGTCACTAATCAACTTATCTACAGTCACTAGCAAACTACTAGCTAACCTGGGACTCAAACTCAAGGTAGTTTGGCCCCCAAGTTTTCATTCTTTACCACTATGGTATTTTAAGGAAAAATTCGATATTATTTTATGAATATAGTTTTGCTTCTCTTTTTTTCAGTTGCAAAAGACCTAACGCATCTGATATATCAAAATATATCAGTCAACCATTATGCAGAAAAGGGTTAACTTTTCATGTCTGTGTTGCAGAACCCTGTATATTCCCAAGAAAGGCCTATATTCAGGACTGGCCCTTGGCAGGCTCCTGGAAGAGGAGCTCTAAGTTCTTTGAATATCCTGCCTAATAAAATGTTTTTTTTAAAATAATTTGTTTTATTGGGTCACAATATAAATTTGATCAGATAGATTATGCTAACAAGGTGATTTATGGTGCCTATTTTTGCTCTGGTGGGCTGGGGTCTGAGTAGCTGAGGTCAGTTACACAGGTGCCGTATGCCTACCTGACTGATCCCCCATAAAAACCTTCTACATCAAACTTGAGTGAACTTCCTGGTTGGCATTATTCTGCATGTGTTATCGTACCATTGATGGCACAATTAAGCACATCAATGTAACTCACTGGAAGAAAACACCTGGAAGCTTATTCCTGGTTTCTCCTAGACTCCCGGCACCTCATGCACTTTTTCCCTTTGTTCATTTTTAATATGATAACTTTTCAATACTAACAGGGACACAAATATGCACATAACACATTATGCCATGTCTTATATCTTTCTTGAGTTGACGTTCTATGAGATATATTATCACATCAACACATGAGTTAAAATTGTCCTATTATCCATACCTTTCAATGCTGTCCATGTTGTTAAATTATAGCAGCTTTCTATTTTGATTTATAAATGGACAGGAATATATCAGTAAGACACTACCAGAGTAGTGCAGTGAATATGCATGCATTCTTACATGTTTACAGAGAGAGATAGGAAAATAAAAGGAAAGGAATGGGATGGAAAGAAAAGGAAAGAAATAAATAAATGAAAGAAAAGAAAATGAAAGAATAAGAAAGGAAAGGGAAGGAATGCCAGCCTTTCCCTAAAGACACATGACACAACTTGAGACCAAAAGTCATAGCATTATAAACAGAATCCCTACGTTTATAACTCTTTCTGTTTGATTTTTACCCTCAGAAGGAAGATTACAAAAAACAATGCAACTGAAATTCATACTTCATAATAATGGTTAAAGCAATAACCATTAATAGTTCATAAGATTTGAGTCCAATAACTTTTAAAGGCATAATTCTTTATGAGCGTATTTTATTTCCCTTTATGCGCAGCTCTAGGCTCCTTTTCCTACTTCCCTGTTTCTAAAAGGTATCCACTATACATTTCTGAAAAATTATGTTTTTGCCTTTGACATCTAAAGCTTCCTGATATAATGTGAAATCATTCTTCAAAGTAGGTTTAGCAATTTACACCCTTACCAACCTTGTATATGAGCTCTCAGAGCTTTACATACTTATCCAACGAGTTACTACTCTAAGGATACTGACAGATACAGCACACTCTACTTTTAATTTGCTTTTTCTATCTTATTAGACATTTTTGTTTGTGTGTTTACTAGGCATTTGGATTTGTTTGCAGACTTTTGCTCATTTTCATTTTGGCCATTTTCTTTTTCTTATTTTTAAGGGAATTATGTGTCTCTTTAGAATACTAAACTGTGCCACTTAATAGAAGTGGCAGATATCCCTTTCCCTTCTGTAGCCTGATTTTTCATTCATTCTGTGGTTTCCTTTGATGTGAAGATGCTCTAATTTTAGATTGCAGAATTATTAAAATAAGTCTTTCTCTCTATGCTAAAGTCTTTTTTAGTTCTTTTGTTAAGGAATGTTTTCCACTCCCAAGGACATAAAGATAATCACTTTATAGGTACTTTAAAAAGTTTTAAAGTTTTGACTTTAATATTTCAATCTTTAATCCACCTGAAACTCATTTTTAGATACACTCATAGTGAGAAATATTTCAATCTATCTTTCTTTTCTTAATGTGGAAAACCAATTGCCCCAGTGCCATTTACTGACTTGCAATGTGTGTGTGTGTGTGTATGTATATATATATATATACATACACACACAGATCTCTTTGGTGTCCTCTCTTTTTGTCCACTCATCTACCTGTCTGTTCCTGTGCTAACACTGTACTGTCTTATTTCCTATACATTGTAAATCTTGCTATTAGAACAAATCTCTGAATTTTATTCCTGTTTTTTTTACTTTTTTTTGTTATCTTGCACTCTTCCCTCTTTGCATAAATGTGAGAATTGGTGCAATAAATTTTTTTATAAATTAAAAGTATCTTTTAATTAAAATTTCATTGACTCTATATGTTAGCAAAAAAATAAAGTTACTAAAGATAACTCCTCAACCATTATCAAGGTAAATATCCATGTTTATTTAGATCTTCTCTAATGTATTTCAGTAAAGTTTTATAATATTCTGTGTAAAGCTTTTCTATGTTCTATTAGATTTACATCTGGACATTATTACTTTGGTAGTTATCAAAATTATGTTTTCCAAACTACATTTTACTCTTTGTTGCTGGTATATAGAAATATACCAATTTGATACCTGGGCCAAGGGATTTGCTAAATTATCTCATTTTTCTAATGTTTTATCTGCAGATTCTTAGGGATTTTTTTTTTTTTCTTGAGACGGAGTCTCGCTCTGTGGCCCAGGCTGGAGTGCAGTGGCGCGATCTCAGCTCACTGCAAGCTCCACGTCCCGGGTTCACGCCATTCTCCTGCCTCAGCCTCCGGAGTAGCTGGGACCACAGGCGCCTGCCACCACGCCCGGCTAATTTTTTTGTATTTTTAGTAGAGACGAGGTTTCACTGTGTTAGCCAGGATGGTCTCGATCTCCTGACCTCGTAATCCACCCGCCTCGGCCTCCCAAAGTGCTGGGATTACAGGCATGAGCCACCGCGCCCGGCCAGGGATTTTTTTAAGTAGGGAAATATAGCTCCTATAATTAAGGAAAGTTTTTAAACTTCCATTCTAGTTGCTATGAATTTTCTTTATCTTAATGCACCAGCTAAAACAATCAAAACAGTGTGGAATTAAAGTGATAACAAGTGGCAGTCATGTCTTGTTCTCACTGAGTACATGTTTTGACCTAGGTTTTAGATGGACAACTGTTTCATTTATCTATTTTTGTATAAGGAGACATCCCAAAACAGTGACTTCAAACAATAACTATTTAACTTATTTACTTTAGCAGAGCTTGGTAAAGACAGCTTGCCACTGTTCCAATAAAGTTAGTATTAGGTTTTACCTAGAAGTCTAGCTAGAGCTGTTGGCTGGTCCTCCATATGGTTCTCCATATGACCTTTCTACATGGCTAGGTTGGGCTCCTCACAAAATGATGGCTAGGTTCCAAGGATAATCTGAAGAACCGGTGTTTGAAGAATATAAGCCACAGGTACAACCATTTATCAAGCCTCTGCTTAGATCTGTCACATTGGTCAAACTTATCACATGGCCAACTGTGGAGTAAGTCATTGTGAAACAAACGTGAGTACTGGGGGCATGGTTCCTTGAGCCCACTAAAGTACTGATCTACCCCAGGAGCCTTTATTAAATTGACAAAGTCCCTTCTTATTTCAGGTCTGCTAAACTTTTCATCATAAATATATGCTGACTTGTATGCAATGTTTCTTTTTCCTATGTCTATTAAGACCATCATACAGTTTTAATTCTTTTATTCATCATTTATTCATGTGAATTTATTGGAACTCCAACTGAAAATCCAGTAGTGATGAATTAGACAAAGTTTTCATATTCATGAAGTGCAATCTATAGTGGTAGAGAAACCACTAACAAATAAACATGTAAGCATGAACCGGGTTAGATGGCAACACACATTACAGAGCTAAAGAAAGCAAGGCAAGTGACATAGTGCAGGAAACAAACTATTTCATATTGTAAAGTTTTCACTAATAGCACCACATGTAAAAATAAAGCTTAAATACAGTTAGCTAATTGAGTATCTGAGGAAAAACATTCCAAGCAGAGAAACCAATGCAAAGTCCAGAGATAGGAGCATTCTTAGAATGTATAATTAATAGCAAGGAAGCCAGTATATTTTTTAAATTGTTCTTCATCATTACTAAATTATATTCACTATTTTTTCAAACCTATTGGCATAACGTTTCATAATTTATTCTTTTATCTTATCTTATTTTTGTGGTTACCTGAAGTTACATTTCCTTTCAATCCCTAATATTATTAATTTGTGCATTATCAGCTATTATTCTTAAAAGATTTTGCCAGAAATTTGACATTTAATATCTTTCCCTCTATTGTTCTTAATTTCAATAACTCTTGCTCTTATCGTAACACTGTATCATTTCTTCCACTTATTTTGAAATTTTTCCATTTGTATTTGTAATTTTTCACATTAGAGACTTAGCTAGTTAACATTTATTTTTTTCTTTTTTAATGTAAGTATTTATGGCTAAAATTATCATTAAAATCAGTTTAGCATATTTGTCATAAATTTGGTGATGTTTATATGTGATGTGATTCTTGATACTTGATTCTATGCCATAGTTCTAGTTAGTTATCATAGCTTTGTAAGTTTTGATATCCAGTGGTGTGACTTCTCCAACTTGGTTTTTCTTCATGTCATTGTGGCTTTTGGTTGCATGCATTTAGATATTAATAGAATCATTTTGTGAATTTCCATAAAGCCAAAAACCTGCTTGCATTTTACTGAGAATCACAATGAATTTAAACATAAATTTGGGAAGAATTGACTTCTTAGCAATATTGAAACTTCCACTTTATAAAAATGTAATATTCCTTGATTTATTTGTCTATTTAAAATTTTTTTAGTAATCGTTTGTAGTTTTCAATGTAGAGATTTTGCCAATATTTAATTAAATTTGTTCCTAAATATTGGGAGGCTTTTGATGCTACTAAAATTTTATGGCCTTTGTATTTTATTTAGTTTACTATTTAATTCTAATAGTTTAGGTATATTTCCTTTCCAGATCTTTATGTACCCAACCACATCATCTATTTTCAAATTTTATACCTTCTTTGTCATTTTCCTGGCTCTATTGGGCTACTGAGAAGAAATATTGACAGTAGTCATTCTTATCTTATTTCTTAACCTATAGTGGAAATTTAAAGTATTTCATCAAGTATGATATATACTGTAGCTTTTATGTAGAGTCTTTTCTTCAGATCAAACATTCCCTTTTCATCTGAGTATGCTCAGTAATTCAGCGATTTTATCTTTAGTAAATGTTAAATTTTTTCAAATGTTTTGCTGTATCTATTGGAATGGTTAAAGTTATTTTTCGTCTGTGTGTATGTCTGTGTGTGTGTGTGTATAATGTCTTCGTTTAATTTTGTTATCAAGTTGATACTGGCCTCATAAGACAAATTGGAAGTGTTTCTTCTTCCCTATTTCCTGGACAATTTTGTGTAATAAAATTTTATCTATCTATTTATTTATTTATTTTTAAACATTTTATTTTGACATAATTTCAAGGTTACATAGAGATTATCAGAATAGAACAAATAATACTCATATATCCTTTACCCAGATTCACAAATTATTAACATTTTTGCCCTAGTTGCTTTATCATTTACTCTTTTAATAAACATTTTTTTAACCTTTTGAACAATGTGTATTTCCTAAGAACAGACATTCTCTTGCATAACTAGTAAAATGACCAATAATAAAAAAATACCATTCATACAATAATATTATGTCATCCAGAGTCAATATTCAAATTTAATCCATTATCCAAATGATATCCTATATTGATTTTATTTCCTAGTCTAAAATTCAACTCAGGAATAAAAATTTCACTTAGTGGTCATGTCCTTTGAGGGTCTTTTAATCTGGATTAGCTCCTCAGTCTTTTCTCTTATAACGTTGGCAGCTTGGAGTTCCTGTTATTTTGTAGAATGTCACTCAGTTTGGGTCTGTCTGATATTTCCTCTGATTAGATCTAGGTCATAAATGTCATATAGGAAAATAGACATGAGATTGTCTTCTCAGCACATTACATCGGAAGGCACATGTTGATCTGTCCCATTACTGGTGATATTAGCTATAATCAGTTGGCTAAGATGGTTCTGCCAGGTTTCTCCATTATAAATTTACTATTTTCCCCTTAGTAATTTATAAGTAATTTGTGGAGAGGTACTTTGACAATACATAAATATTCTTTATTCCCCAAACTTTGACCTACTCATTTAAGTATTCACTGATAATTTTTGCTTAAATTTTTGCTTATAATTTTTATTATAATTGTAGCAAAATGGTGATTTTCTAAGTCTACCATCTCTTTCACATTTATTAGTTGATGTGCTACTTAAAGATATTAAATCCCCTTCTATTAAACAATTTTTTTAATTTATTTTTTATTTCAATAGGTTTTTGGGGAACAGATGGTGTTTGGTTACATGAATAAGGTCTTTAGTGGTGATTTTTGAGATTTTGGTAAACTCATCACCCAAGCAGTGTACACTGTACCCAATATGTAGTCTTTTATCCCTCACCCTGCTCCCACCCTTTCCCCTGAGTCCTCAAAATCCATTCTGTCATTCTTAGGCCTTTGCATCCTCATAGCTTAGCTCCCACTTATGAATGAGAACATGTGATGTTTGGTTTTCCATTCCTGAGTTACTGCACTTAGAATAATGGTCTCCAATTCCATCTCAGTTGCTGTGAATGCCATTATTTTGTTCCTTTTAATGGCTGAATAGTACTCCATGGTGTATACGTATACATCTCCCATATGTTCTTTATCCACTCATTGATTGATGGGCATTTGGACTGGTTACATATTTTTGCAGTTGCAAATTGTGCTGCTATAAACATGTGTGTGCAAGGAATCTTTTTCATATAATGACTTCTTTTCCTCTGGATAGATACCTAGTAGTGGGATTGCTGGATCAACTGGTAGTTCTACCTTTAGTTCTTTAAGGAATCTCCACATTGTTTTCCATAATGGTTATACTAGTTTACATTCCCACCAACAGTGTAAAAGTGTTCCCTTTTCACCACATCCACGCCAACATCTATTATTTTTTGAATTTTTGATTATGGCCATTCTTGCAAGAGTAACGTGGTATCACACTGTGGTTTTGATTTACATTTCCCTGATCATTAGTGATGTTGAGCATTTTTCCATATGCTTGTCGGCCATTTGTATATCTTCTTTTGAGAGTTGTCTATTCCTGTCCTTAGCCCAATTTTTGATAGGATTCTTTGTTTTCTTCTTGCTGATTTGTTTGGGTTCTTCGTAGATTCTGGATATTAGTCCTTTGTCAGATGTATAGATTGTGAATATTTTCTCCCACTCTGTAAGTTGTCTGTTAACTCTGCTGATTATTTCATTTGCTGTGCAGAAGCTTTTTAGTCCTATCTATTTATCCTTGTTTTTGTTGCATTTGCTTTTGGGTTCTTGGTCATGAAATCGTTGCCTAAGCCAATATCTAGAAGGGTTTTTCTGATGTCATGAGTTTTTATGGTTTCAGGTCTTAGATTTAAGTATTTGACTCATTTTCAGTTGATTTTTGTATAAGGTGAGAGATGATGATCCAGTTTCATTCTCCTATATGTGGCTTGCCAATTATCCCAGCACCATTTGTTGAACAGGGTGTCCTTTCCCCACTTCCTGTTTTTCTTTGCTTTGTCAAAGATCAGTTGGCTGTTAAGTATTTGGTTTTATTTTTGGGTTATTTATTCTGTTCCATTAGTCTATGTGCCTATTTTTAGACCAGTACTGTGCTGTTTTGGTGACTATGGCCTTACAGTATAGTTTGAAGTTGGATAATGTGATGCCTCCAGATTTGTTCTGTTTGCTGAGTCTTGCTTTGAATATGCAGGCTCTTTTTAGGTTCCATATCAATTTTAAAATTGTTTTTCTAATTCTGTGAAGAATGGTGGGGGTATTTTGATGGGAATTGCATTGAATCTGTAGATTGCTTTTGGCAGTATGGTCATTTTCAAAATATTGATTCTACCCATCCATGAGCATAGGATGTGTTCCCATTTGTTTGTCTTGTCTATGATTTCTTTGTAATAAAATTTTAAACAAAACATTAATGGACATAATATGTAGCACCATTAAGTGTCCATTTTTGAGTCACTCTGCTAAGCACTTTACAGAATTATTTATTCAATATGCTCATTTTACAGATGCAGAAAGATTAAGCGACTAAAGTCACCTCACAAAGGATAAATGGTAGCACTAGAATTAAACCCAAGCAATCTGACTGTAGTTGTTATGTACTTATATATGATACAGTATGCCTTCTATTATTAAGTATAAAAAATAACAAATGATAAATTCCTCATGTTGGCTAGACTGAGGGAGAACAATACTGGAAGCAATATAATATTTTACAATAATTTTAGAGAGGAATTTATCAATATTTAAATGCATACAGTTTTAGAAATAAACTTAAACTGAATAATCTTATATTCTTTAATTTTAAGGAAAAAACCAACTGCAGAAAATGCAATATTTATAAATACGCTTATGCTATCACTTAGTTGTTATGTTATTCATAATTAAGAAAAAATATTAATAGAGCTATTTAACCTGGTTTGTTGAATGTGATAATGATTACAGAAAACATTGACTAATGCTGCTTATAATAATGAAAAACTGGAAAAGTGACTGGTATACAATAGGCAATCAATAAATATTTGTTAAATAAATAAAGAAAATTTTTCTGCAAATTGTGAATTGTTATCTGAGCAGAATGCTATGTAGCCTTTAAAAAAATAATGTATATCCACATAGCTTCAGAGGAATTTTTGTAACAATTATATTATTATTAAAAATACTAAAATGTGTATACAAGATGGTGAGACAACTCCAAAATATAAAACAACATTATGGACTTACCTTTATTTCTAAGTACTTACAAAGTTGTTGCAAAAATTTTAATATACATATTAATGGATTTAGCTATCATATGAGATTTGCAGATATTGTTGCTAGATTTGTTTTTGAATATTTCAGTAGATATTTCTGATTGTTAGAGATCATAATTTATGACCAAAATAGCTGTTCTAAATCTAATTTTGACACAAAGGCTCAAATTTGTAGCATAAAAAAATGTTAAGTACTGACTTCTAGTTTTCCAGGAGGTCTGGCATTAGAGATCCATTAATTTTTAAAGGGTTAAATGTTCCTGTTTCTTTTTTGGAAATATGTGATTTAGAGTGCATTGATTCTCCAAGTTTGGCTCTTGGACTAGCAGCAGCAGTACCTGGGTGCTTGTTAGGCATTCAAATTCATGAGTGCCATTCCAGACCTACTGAATCAGAATTCATGAGTTTGAGGCTTAGACTTAGGTCCTTATGTTTTAACAAGATCTTCAGGCAACTCAAATGTCTGCTAAAATTTGAGAACCAATGCTAAGGATGACAAAACCCCATAACTTACTAAACTATTTCCCTTCTATATGAAAATTTTAAGGGCTCCAAATTCCAGGTGTTAGAAGAGTACGAAATTGAAATATTTTTATCATATAGTCCAGACTTCCAGTATGAAAGACGTAAAATAAAAAAAGTCCTGAATCTTCTAAGGAAACAATATGTTTAAAAGTATCTGAGAGTAGATTTGAGAGTTTTAAAAAAAACTGTTTTTAAAGACGTAAAGTAGAGCTATGAGCTCACCAAAGTCCACTGAAGTTCGCCAAAGAGCTGAGTTACTTCAGCTCTCATGAGACCAGTAATTTTTGCTTGACGAAGGTATTTGGCAAGAAAATAATTCCACAATAACACATTTAAAGATACCTAGAACATTGAAAAAAATTCTCAAATTAAGATAATATAGCTTAATTCCCAAGAACTTATTTCATCTCTTTTGTTACTAATCTAGAAGGTCAGGAGTGTGGTAAAGGCAGTGTCTGATAAGGTTATGAGCTTCCAAAGAGTTTCTACATTTTTAGTGCAGACACTCTCCCTTTGGGGGCAAAGTACGGTTTCTCCCATCCCTATTAAAAAGAAAACAGTTAAACTAAGTTATCAGAATGAGATATTTTGACTCTTAACAATTTACACTCAAGGCTTTATGCTGAGTTGTCTTGTTCTAATCAAGCATGAAGGTGTCAAGCACAAAGCACGTGGCAAACGAAAGACACTCCCGCCTCATTCTGAAAACAAATACTGATAACCAACCCCACCCTCTTACCATTTCAGGCCAACCCATCTTATGATACTGGGACCAACTTGAAATAATTTAGAGGTATATTTAGGTTTCCCTCTCCCTTACTTCAGTAAAAGATCATTTTAGAATAACTTTATTCCTTTCCTAAGGGAAAGACAAAAAAGTTTCCATCCCGTCAGAACATACGGGGAGAGAAAACACACAGGCCCAGAGGTGGGAAGGTGTGTGACAGTCCATAACCCATTACACAACGATGCAACCAAAGGCTAAACCATGAGTTGAATATAGTTTTAATATTAAAAATAGGAACTAGTTATCATCCAAATGAACCACTGGAAAAAATATTACCATTACTTTAAAAAATACATTCCAATATTGGAAATAATCTGAAAACACTTTCCAGTAGTAACAATCCTCCTTAATATGAGGGACAAAAAAAAAGACCAGGCTTTGACCAAGTCCTTAGAGCATATTTCCATTTCATGATTTATATTCAAGAACCAAGCAACAAGCTGGACAGCTGCCTCTGTAACACTGTGTCCAATAGTGGTGTCCCAGATAGTTTAAGTGCCACTCGTCATTAGATGTTATACTTCAGCAATACTTCCAATTTTAAGTCTGTACTTTAAGAGGGACCCACAGGAACTCAGCACCAGGCAGAGCAGTGTAAGACTGGAAAAGAAGACTGAACTTTTGATTGGTCACTCACATGTTTTTTAGCGAGATACAGAATTACATTTACACTCTTTCCTTGCATTTCTTCTATATTAATGATCCCTCTTGCAGGAGGTGTAGGAGAAAGAATGCTGCGTCAGTACAAGAACAAGACTTTTTGGTCAAAAGTTGATACCGTTTAAATTCCCTCTCCCAGCGCTTCATGCAAAAAAAAAAAAAGGTTACTTCCTGAATTAAGGTTTGTATTTAGTAACCAACATTGACTGGACAGAACATACGTGACTTGGATTCCAAATAAATGAGATTGCTCTTTTTTGGGTTTGTACTGTGCAGCTCTTGCCACAGTTGTTGAAGAGTTAGGGCTGTGTCTGATCAGGAGGCATCTGTAGGATTTTGATCTCCAAGGAATTGTGGGTGAGTCACATACACCTGGTGTATTACAGGTGGGCACCTGTAATCCCAGCTACTTGGGAGACTGAGACAGGGAGAATCTCTTGAACCCGGGAGGCGGAGGTTGCACTGAGCCAAGATCATGCCATTGCATTCCAGCCTGGGTGACACAGTGAGACTCTGTCTTGGGAAAAAAAATAGAAGTGGGCAGAGTCAAAAAAGCAACTTCAAATAATTAATCCCTTTGTCCATATGAGTTAAATACAAACGTGTATATTTTAGGTTTTTAAAAATCAATGCAATATGGGAATCAATTTTTTAAAAATTATTTTTTGCTTTTTTTTCTCCTCCCAGATGCCTTCTGATTGACCTAGTACACTGGGTTAAAAGGGAATTCAAAAACATTAAAAAAAAGTTCACTGGTTTTGATTCATCTCAGTCTTTTGGCCTGGAGATTAGGCCAAACATCAAGCATGTTGGGAGGGCAACAATTTAAAGCAACATTATTGACTGTAAAGCATTTGCCAGGAATTTACAGTACAAAATGACAGATAACAATTATTGTCATAACACAAGAGAATGGCAAGCAGCTTTGTGTGGTATGAAAGTTAAACAGTTCTCAGGGGTTGTCCATTCCTGCAAAAGTTTATGTATCAAGGTGGGCAGAAGGCAATACATTTACACACTACAGATGATCCATAGAAAATTAAGCTCCAGAACTCCTAACATCACCAAAGCTGGTACTGGCTAATACTATGAAATGCGAATCTGTGCTTTATGCATGTACTGCTCAACAATACTACCACTCAACAGAATCCCCACACTGCAAGGTAGATGCATGGTAGATTAATCTTTGCCCTCTTTTGGAGAGCTTGAAAAATTCCTTAAACTTTTAGAAAGGGTGAAGAAGCAAAATAAAAGAGCTTCTCAAAAAAAAAAAATCTTGAATTATCAATTTTTGACGCTTCGTTGCTCTCTCTGGTAAGCCTCCTCCAGGGGTACTAGATGAGACAGCGTGGGAGCAAACAGGACATCCCAGATTTCTGTGTCCCTTTCCTAACCAAGGGTACCATAGAAACCTGCTCTCTACAGCAAGAGGCCAAAGTGCTTTCTAGAATTTAGTGCTGAGTAAACTGAGCCCCTTCATCTTTAGCTGCTCCCATAATCACTCTAATCCCCTTAATCCCATCAACCTTTATCATATATATGTATATATACATATACACTTATTTACAAGGTTGATAAAAGTATACACACTCAATTTTCAACGCAACACACTCTGCCACAAAAGAAATAGGGTCAAGGTTCTGACATGTCTACAAGTCAAGTGCCATATTGTTACTGGAGACGTATGTAAACCAGTCTTTAGTGTTTGCTATAGAGCACAAAGGCTTGTCATAAGGCTCCTCCAATGATAGACTGCTTTTCCTTTGGGAGCATTGATGTTTTATCTACTCAGACCAGAATAAATTTTTACTTGGAATTATTATTATTTTGAGACGGAGTCTTGCTCTGTTGCCCAGGCTGGAGTGCAATGGCACGATCTCAGTTCACCGCAATTTCCGCCTCCCAGGTTCAAGCAATTCTCTTGCCCCAGCCTCCCAAGTAGCTGGGATTACAGGCACCTGCCACCACGCCTGGCTAATTTTTTTGTATTCTTAGTAAAGACAGGGTTTCACTGTGTTGGTCAGGCTGGTCTCAAGATCCTGACCTCAGATAATCTATCTGCCTCGGCCTCCCAAAGTGCTGGGATTACAGGCGTGAGCCACCATGCCCTGTTGGGATTTTTTTAATACATGTGTTTACAGTGTGGATGAACTGCAGCTGCATATCAACTCCTCCAATATAAAGAAAAAGAAAATGGTATTTAACTGACTAATAAGTTTCATCTACCAGCTCTGGGCTTCAGTATTGGGTAGAAAGAAAACAGAGACTTCACCCTAAAACCAAAATTAAAAGACAAAAATTTTTTAAAGAATAAAGGAAAGAAAGAGTACTACTGTTGATTCTTTGGTCTGTGTCTAAAAGATGATATTCTGAATAACTCAGAGCATACAGCACTTCACACAAATGAGTAATAAGCTCCTCAGGCTTAAAAAAAAAATGGATGACTAGGGAGAAGTTGAAATGTCCTCGAGAGTCAGATGTTGGAGAATTTTGAAATAATAGACAAGCTTTTGTGTTCATTAAGATTCTTCTCTTTTTAGGGTTTCTCCCCTTCTTTCTTTTCCTTTCCTGTCCCCTTTCCCCAGAAAACATTTTTTTAAAACCAGCAGTTAGTGCAACTAATGTTCACTTAGCATACAGTGCAAACAGATGGAACAAAAAAAAAGGAATATTCCTTCTTTTCAGCTTTTTTCTCTTCACCAGTTAAAAAAGGAAAAAAAAAATTCTGAACTCTTTTAAGTCTTCATAGTTCTGAAATAAAAGATGAAAAACTCACAAAGAGAAGAGCACTCCTCTCTAAAAAATGGTATGTCATAGATCCAAACAAGGCTTCCACAGTTTGTCAAAGAGTGCTTATTAAGGCTTCTCATTTTCTACAGCCTTGCTGTGGAATTCTGCCACATGCAGGCTCTTGTCAATGTTGCTTGGAATAGGTTTTATTTCTTTTCCCAGCTGCTCCTCAATACCTTTCAGGTTGAAGTGATCGCCATATGTGATCAAGTTGATGGCTAAGCCAAAATGGCCAAAGTGACCTGGTCTTCCAATATGACGGAGATAGGTCTCTTCTAGCTTTGAAAAGTCAAAGTTTATTACCACATTCACAGCTTGTATATCAATACCTCAAGTAAACAGATCAGTGCAAATGAGAATAAGCCATTTCAGAAATAATAAAATACACAATTTTGATGTTCCTGCCTCATTTTAGCATGAATGTAGAAACAAAAATAACCCAGTTGAGAAATTTTGGCTGGCCATTCAACTCGCTGAGAGCAGTTAAAGAAAATGATCATCTGGTTTAGCTGAAGCCTGGAGAAAAGTGTGGTGAGGCCGTGTACTTTTTGGTGCTCAGTTACATATGCGTAGTACTGGGTTATGTCCTTCAGAGTTAGTTTTTCCATCAGGTTAGTCTCAGGGTTTCTGCAAATGGGAATTCATGAACTTCTGTATACTAAGAGGGAAAGTAGCAGAATGTAGTAAAATCTGCCTGTCTTCAGGTAGCATGAGAATAATATCTTCCATTAACTGCCCAAAATCCTGGGACAGAAACTTATCTGCCTCATCCAATACTATCACCTGGACATGACTGACCTTTGCTACTCCTTTCTTAATAAGATTCAGGATTCTCCCAGGGGCAGCAATCACCATGTGCACTGTATCATCCAGCCTCAGTACGTCATCTCCTGAATTGGTTCCTCCTGTGGTCATCACCACTTTGACTCCTCCCATGTGTTTGCTGACCTGGATGCAAATTTGACTGACCTGTAGAGCAGGTCCTCCTGTGGGAACAATCACTATTGTTTGTATAGTGTCCTTCTTCAGGTCTAGCCTTTTAAGTAGGGGAATGTCATGGGCACTGCTCTTGCCTGTTCCATTTTTTGCTCTAGCTAAGATATCCCTACCAGATAAAGCAATGGGAATGCTCTCTTCTTGGAAAGGAGATGGCTTTTTCCATCCCATTTCAAAAATTCTCATCAGTAACTGCCGTTTCAAACAGTAATCTTCAAATTAATATCCTCTTGTAGAGGTCACATCCAACATTTTGATTCTTAGATCCTTTGGAAGGAGTTTTAAAGTCTTCTTCCAATTATCACCAGGCTTAATAGTGGTGGTCATACTCTGCGCTTGTGGTTGAGTGCTATTATTGTGTTGGTGTTTTTCAGCTGGTTCGTCTGTTGCTGTGTCTGTGTGGCCTCTCCTCTAGGGCCACCACTGGGTTTCAGGGGACCCCTCAGCTGACCATTTTGACTGGACAGACCCATTATAACAGCGTTCTCTGTTCTGGTTGTGCTCATGCTGTGTTAATTGCAAAGGTGTCTTTCAAACTTCAAAACGTTTGAAAGTCAATAGAGAAACTGTAATAATAGTTTATTAGGCTGTCCAAAGTGAAGAGATAAATATAGGTCTTGCTCAATAATTAAGTTCTTTTATTATAATGCAGGCAAGCACCCGTAAGTCTCTGAATGGTAAGCAGCAGTAACTTACTTTCTTGTACTGTATCAACTTTTAATTTTTAAAAGGCCCTCTTACCAGCTTCAATTATAGCTGAATTCACTTACTTCAATCACTGAGGCCACTCCTGTGCTGGACACTCTTGGTCCTTTATTGTTGACTGGAAACTCCCAAAATATTGCCACTCTTTCCTCTTTGGATACCTCAACCTGCACCTCCAGATATAATTTCTAAGATCAATTACTGAGACACACAAAGAAATCTGGTGAGATTTTACGTGGTTTAGAATAAAGTCCAAAGAGGCTGTTTGATATAGTGGTTTTTCCTACTTCTTTCTAGAACTCACAGATGAAAAAGAAAAATGCAGAAATATGAGACTCATTACCAAGTGACTCGTCAACACTCATATACTGATGTGTATTTTGTTTTGTTTGTTTAAAGACAGTCTTGCTATGTTGCCCAGGCTGGAGTGCCGTGGTGATTCACAGGTGTGATCATGGTTCACTACAGCCTCAGGCTCCTGGGCTCATCCTCCCACCTCAGCATACTGAGGAGCTAGGACTGCTGGCATGTGCCATCATACCCAGTTAAATTATATGTATTTTAATTAGGGTAGAACCCTTAGTTATTTCCAAAGCTATTTCTTATACTGTATTTAAAACTTAAACTTAATTCTAAAGAAAAGATAATGAATAAATGAATCCCTTTTTTTTGTTGAGATGGAGTCTCACTCTGTCACCAGCCTAGAGTGCAGTGGTGCAATCTCAGCTCACTGCAGCCTCTGCCTCCCGGGTTCAAGTGATTCTCCTGCCTCAGCCTCCTGAGTAGCTGGGACTACAGGACCGCGCACCACCACACCCAGCTAATTTTTGAATTTTTAGTAGAGATGTGTTTCACCATGTTGGCCAGGATGGTCTCTATCTCCTGACCTTGTGATCTGTCTGCCTCAGCCTCCCAACATGCTGGGATTACAGGCGTGAGCCACCGCACCCGGCCATAACTTATTTTTAATATCTCTTGACTGCAGCTGCTACCACAATTTGCATCTTCAAAATGGTTATGGAGGTTCAAGATGGCTGACTGGAAGCAGCTAGAGTATGCTACTCTCAAAGAGAGGAAAGAAAGTGGCAAGTAAATAGTAGCTCTTCAGGTGAATTCTCTAAGAGAGCATGTCAAGATTCACCAAGGAAGTGAGGGGGCTCACGAAGACCTCAGCACATTTTATCAGGAGCTTCTCCTAGCCACACCCATCAGGGCTGGTGCCTGCACCTGTCATTGAGATATTCGTGGGAAAGCCACGTTTCCAGCTCTGCCCAGGTATATCCCACCACCCTCACAAATTAGGAAGCTCAGAACACTGGACACCCACCCCACTGTCCAGTCCTTCACCTGAAACAACAGAGAGCACCTCACAGTAAATAAAGGTCAGCTCCCCTCCCACCTACTTGTGTGGCAGCTGACTCTTACCTGCAAATGCCATATCCTGAGTCATAGGTCAAACCACACAGCCCAACACAAAACCTGCTGACAGAAGTGCATAGGACTATAGAAACAACCCCAAAGACCCTACCTAGTACAACACTCTCCAGATGAGAAGGAACCAGCACAAGAATTCTGCCACCATTAAAAATCTGAATGGAATGACATCATCAAAGGCTGACTCTAGGTTTCCAGCAATGGTTCTTAACCAAAATGGAGGCAGGAGGATGACAGAGGAGGAATTCAAAGTATGGATTACAGGGAAACTCAATGAGATCCAAAATAAGGTTAAAAATCAGTACAAAGAAACCTGTAAAGCAATCCAGGAAATAAAAGAAGATGCAAACATCTTAAAAAGAAATCATTCAGAGCAATGAAAACTATAAAACTCACTTAAGGAATTTCAAAATACAATTGAATGCTTTCCCAATAGACTAGACCAAACAGAAGAAAGAATTTCAGAGTTTGAAGATTGGTCTTTCAAACTTACCCAGTCAGACAAAAACAAAGAAAAAAGAAATTTAAAAATTCTTAAAATTCTTGGCACAAAGTCTCCAAGACACATGGGTTGTGTAAAATGGCAAAACCTGTGAATGACTGGCATTAATGAGAGAGAAAAAGAAAAAGTAAAAAACATGGAAAACATATTTGAGGGAATAATTTGAGAAATTTTCCTTTATCTTGCTAGGGAAGTAGACATACAGATATAATAAATCCAGAGAAGACCTGCCAGATCCTATATAAAATAAACATCACCAAGGTATATAGTGACCAGAATGCCCAAGGTCAATGCTAAAGAAAAAACTTTAAAGGCAGCTAGAAAAAAAGGTTAGATCCCATACAAAGGGAATCCCATCAGGCTAACAGCAAACAGAGGAAACATTATAAACTTATTGGGGGCCTTCTCAGCAGAAATCTTATGGGGGACTTACATTCAGCATTTTTTAAGGAAGAGACTCCAACCAAGAATTTCATACAACACCAAACCAAGCTTCATAAGTTAACAAGAACTAAAATATTTTTCAGATAAGCAATAGCTAAGGGAAGTCATTACCACTAAACCAGCCTTACAAGAGATCCATAATGGATTTCTAAACATGGAAAGAATAATAACTGCTACTACAAAAACACACTTAACTACATAGTCCACAGACCCTATATGGCAACCACACAATAGAAACTACAAAGCAACCAGCTAACAACTTTACGATATGATCAAAATCTCACATATTAATATTAACCTTGAATGTGAATGGTCTTAACACCCTACTTCAAAGGCACAGAGTGGCAAGTTGGATAAAAAACAAGACTCACCCATCTGCTGTCTTCAAGAGACCCATCTTACACGTGATGACACTGATAGACTCAAGGTAAAGGGTAGGAGAAAGATCTATCACCCAAACAGAAGACAAAAAAGAGCAGGGGTTACAATTATTATTTCAGATAAAATAGACTTTAAAACAACAGTAGTCAAAAAAGGATAAAGAAGGGCTCTATGCAATGATAAAGGGTTTGATCCAACCACATGGCTTAACTATCCTGAATATATATGCAAATAAAATTGGAGCACCTAGATTCATAAAACAAGTACTGCTAGACCTACAAAAATACTTAGCCACACCATGGGAGTGGGTGACTTCAACATCCCATTGACAGAGTTAGATCATCAAGGCAGAAAACTAACAAAGAAATCCTGGAGTTAAATTCGACATTTGACCAATTGGACATAATAGACATCTACAGAACACTCCACCCAGCAACCATAGGATATACATTCTTCTCATTTGCATATGGAACATATGCTAAGATTGACCACATGCTTGGACATCAGGCAAGTCTCAATAAAGTTAAAAAATTCAAAATCATACAAACTATACTTTGGGCCATGGTGGAATAAAAATACAAATCAATACCGGTAAGTTCTCTCAAAACCACAAAATTACATGGAAATTAAATAACTTTATTCTGAGTAACTTTTGGGTAAACAATAAAATTAAGGCAAAAATTTAGAAAATTATTTAAAATAAATAAAAACAGAGATACAATATTTTATTTTTTATTTTTACTTTTTTATATACATATTTTATTATACTTTAAGTTCTAGGGTACATGTGCACAACGTGCAAGTTTGCTACATATGTATACATGTGCCATGTTGGTGTGCTGCACCCATTAACTCGTCATTTACATTAGGTATATCTCCTAATGCTATCCCTGCCTCCTCCGCCCACCCCACGACAGGCCCCGGTGTGTGATGTTCCCCTTGCTGTGTCCAAGTGTTCTCATTGTTCAATTCCCACCTATGAGTGAGAACATGTGGTGTTTGGTTTTTTTGTCCTTGCAATAGTTTGCTGAGAATGATGGTTTCCAGCTTCATCCATGTCCCTACAAAGGACATGAACTCATCATTTTTTATGGCTGCATAGTATTCCTTTGTATATAAATGCCACATTTTCTTAATCCAGTCTATCACTGATGGACATTTGGGTTGGTTCCAAGTCTTTGCTATTGTGAGTAGTGCTGCTATAAACATACGTGTGCATGGAGACACAATATTTTAAAATCTCTGGAATACAGCTAAAGCAGTGTTAGGAAAGCTTACATCACTAAATACCTACATCAAAAAATTAGAAAGATCTCAAATTAACAATCTAACATCACACCTAGAGAACTAGAAAAACAAGAACTAGTCCCAAAGCTAGAAGACAATAAATAACCAAAATTCATTAGAGAACTGAATGAAATTGAGACTCAAAAATACATGCAAAGTAATAACCGAAAGCTGGTTCTTGTCAACCAGATCAATAGGACACCAGCTAAATTAACAACAAAGAAAGAGAAGATCTAAATAAGTGCAATCAGAAATGGCAAAAGTGAAATAACAACCAACCCCACGGATATATAAAAAATCCTCAGAGACTATTATGAACACCACTATGCACACAAACTAGAAACTCTAGAGGAAATGAATAAATTCCTGGAAGGTCACAACACCCCAAGATTGAGCCAGGAAGAAATCAAAACCCTGGAGAGATCAATATAGAGTTCTGAAATTGAAAAACAAACCTACCAAATAAAAAGGGCCCTGAAACAGGTGGATTCATAGCCAAATTCTACCAGATGTACAAAGAAAAGCTGGTACCAATCCTACTGAAATATTTTTTAAAAATGGGGAAGAGGACTCCTCCCTAACTCATTCTACGAAGCCAGCATCACTCTGATACCAAAATCTAGTAAAGACACAACAACAAAAGAGAAAATTACAGACAAATATCCCTGATGAACATAGATGCAAAATTTCTCAATAAAATACTAGCAGATGGAATCCAGCAGCACATCAAAAAGCTAATTCACCACTATCATGCAGGCTTCACTACCAGTACGCAAGGTTGGTTCAACATATGCAAATCAATAAACATGACTTGCCGCATAAACAATTAAAAACAAAACCATTTAATCATCTCAATGAATGCAGAAAAAATGTTTTGATAAAATCCAACATCCCTTCATGAAAAAAATCCTCAACATACTAGGCATGGAAGAAACATACCTCAAGATAATAAGAGCCCACTATGACAAACCCACAGCCAACATTATACTGAATTGGCAAAAGCTGGAAGTGTTACACTTAAGAACTGGAACAGGCCAAGGATGCCAACTCTCACCATTCCTATTCAACATAGTGCTGGAAATCCTAGTCAGAACAATCAGGCAAGAGAAAGAAATAAAAAGCAACAAAATAGGAAAAGAGGAAGTCAAATTATCTCCTTGCTGACAATACGATTCTATACCTAGAAAACCTTAATGACTTTGCCAAAAGGCTTGTAGAGCTGATAAAAACTTCAGTAAAGTTTCAGGATACAAAATCAATGTACAAATCAGTAGTATTTCTATATACCAATAACATTGAAGCTGAATGCCAAATCAATAATACAATCCGATTCACAATAGCCACAAAAAGAATAAAGTATGTTGGAATCCACGTAACCAAAGCAGTGAATGATTTCTTTGAGGAAAACTACAAAATACTGAAGAAAGAAATCATAGAGGATACAAATAAATGGGGAAAAAAACCCATGCTCATGGATTGGAAGAATTTATATTGTTAAAATGACCATACTCTCCAAAGCAATCTACACGTTCAATGCTATTCCTATCAAACTACCAATATTGTTTTTCACAGAATTAGAAAAAATATTCTAAACTTCATTTGAAATCAAGAAAGAGCCCAAATAGCAAAAGCAATACTAAGCAAAAAGAAAAATACTGGAGGCATCATACTACCCAACTTCAAACTATATTACAAGGCTACATTAACCAAAACAACATGATAGTGGTACAAAAACAGACACATAGGCCAAATGGGAGTCTCTTAGCAACTACTTTACTAATATTAATTTGCTTATATTTTGAAAAAGAGTATGGACCATGTCACTAAGCTGTTATGAGTTACATAACTGGCATGTGAAGTTGGTTGGTGGAGAGGAGAGACTGTGCTTCTATGGAATACAACCTCAGACTGCACTCTGATCCTAATCTCTGTCATGGCCCTATCAATCACGAGCCATCTCCGAGACTCATTCTGGCCAGACATTTAAAATACATTTTTCAATGGAAGTATTCAAACTACAGTAAAATAGGAGAATCAGGTGGAATAGTGGAACCAACTGCTTATAAATTTACTGTACACATAAAAATCATCTCTTCAAATCACCATGCCACCTCTTACTAAATGTGACTAAAGGTTTCCAGAAGCTAGGGAAAGTTCTTTAGCCTTTCTGTGGCTTTGTTTCACCATATTTAAAAAGCCCCACACATGAAGAATTATGCAGCCCAAAATGTCAATTGTTCTTCTGTTGAGAAACCCTGAACTAGGTGCACTGTGACTTAAGAAAACTACTCCAACGCAAAGACAGATAAATGTGTTCATATAATTTTTAACTTCCAAGTTTAGGGATATTACAGCCAACATGGAAGTAAGGATAAGTTGTTGGTTAAAGAGAAGTTGTTGATCATTCATTCTATATTAGATGTAAAGAAATGAAAAATAAGGAGTGGGAAAGGCTACCCATTCACTCTGCCTATTGAAATCAGGCTTCCACCTGTATCTCTGTACCAGAACTTTTCTGGTCAGGGGCAATAATAACTTCCTTGCATTTAGCAACAGTTTCATGAGTGGACCTAATTTTTAACAATACTTTAAATATTTGAACTTGATTATAGACTGAAGTAAGATAGAAGAGTGGTTGGAAATACAGAGAATGGCATTAGATGAACTTATCTAATGCTTTATGTTTCTTCTGTGGAACAGAAGGTGAGACTGTCTGCCAAGCATGAAGGGAGTGTGGGTAAATTAATGAAGGAAAGATGAATGTTTAAAACAGTTCCTGAAGGAAATAGGAGATGGCAGTAACCATAACAAATAAAGTAAGAGAAAAGTAAGATTGCTATTAATTTTAAACAACATCAGAGTGTGTGAGTGTGGAGTTTTCTCCAGATTTTCTGAACCGTATGTATAGAAAATACTGGATGCTGTTTTGGAGTATTCCCTGGAGATGTGGCTAGAGGATAAATGTGTTATGAAGTTGGAAGTCCCAGAAATAAATTGCAAATTTTTTTCCTCTGGCTTACTGTTCTAGCCCTTTACAGACATAGAGGTCTGGCTCTATAGGGACATAAGTACAGTTACAAGGAACTGAAAGACTTACGGAAAGTGGGCAGTTAAGAAACTGAAAGTATCTTTGAAGCCAAAGAAATGAAAAAGATGTAGAGAAAAAAGACACATATCATATGATTTTACTTGTATTATTACATTAGGGAAAAGAAAAAAACTATAAAGATGGAAACAAATTTATGGTTACCAGAAGCTGGAGTCCGTGATGTGTTGTTTATAAAAAGGAATGGGAGGATTTGGGAGGTGACAGAATTGTTTTATATCTTGCCTGTGTCTATAGTTGCATGATTATATGTGTTTGCAAAAAATCAAGTAATTATATGCTAAAAAAGAGAATGTTAACTGTCTATAAATTATACATTTATAAAATAAATTGGAATGAGAGAAGTAATGGGAGAATGGCAAAGAGCATACTCCAATACCAAACAAAAGACTATGAAGGTGGGATATAGTCTTAGAGTAGACATGTAGGTAATCTTCATGATGTGATCATAACATCTGCACTACCTTTGTAACTTTCATATTAACTGTTGCACTTACTACATTGTATTCTAATTATCTGGTGTATGTGTTTCTCTCTTTATAAGGTGAATGATTTGAAGGTGGGGAATTGAGACTTGACCTGATACACAATTGAATTTTTGATATCTGGATTATGCCACAATGTCTTGTATTAGGTTGATGATCAACAATAATTTTAAAAAGAATAAAAAAGGAGTGGAGGTCAAGGAGGTCTGAGGTTAGTGTGGGGAGGCAAGATAATCTACCTAATATTGATTGTGGCAGCATGATGGTCAGTGGGAAGGTTGCATCATCAACATAGATGCCTGGGTGATGGCCATATTTGATACTGGAGAGAAGAAACTGGTATGGGCACCCAATATGCAGTTAGGAACATGCCTGGAAAATAAGCATATGAGCAAAATAAGAAGATGTAGAGAATTTTTGTGGTAAGAAAATGACCTCAAAGTGCAAGATATTTTATATGAAAGAGAAGAAGTAACAGTCAGAAAAAAAATAAGAAACTTAGAGAATACAGACCTTGATCCTACCCACCTCCTCAAACTGTGAGAGAAGGAGCAGCTTTGAATTGAAGAATAAGAGAAATAGCTTTTGGGAGAAGAACCAAATGTCAATGACAACACAGAAATATCAGGAGTAGGTAGTGGTATTGGAGAGCTTTTTCATAGTAGTGCTAGGGTTCTAAGGAATTTTATTAGTGAGCAAAGAATTCAAAAAGAAACATTCCAAAATGTAAGAATGACAGCATGGGCCGGGCGCAGTGGCTCACGCCTGTAATCCCAGCACTTTGGGAGGCCGAGGCGGGCGGATCACGAGGTCAGGAGATCGAGACCATCCCGGCTAAAACGGTGAAACCCCGTCTCTACTAAAAATACAAAAAATTAGCCGGGCGTAATGGCGGGCGCCTGTAGTCCCAGCTACCTGGGAGGCTGAGGCAGGAGAATGGTGTGAACCCGGGAGGCGGAGCTTGCAGTGAGCCGAGATGGTGCCACTGCACTCCAGCCTGGGCGACAGAGCGAGACTCCGTCTCAAAAAAAAAAAAAAAAAAGAATGACAGCATGGGATAGGAAAAGGTGGGATGACCTAAGTTAAAGAAAAGAAATTAACAATATGTTGCTTGAATTTATTTTTCTAGCGATAGAACTTTTGCAAATGAAAACACTTCTTCACCATGCACTTATGTACCTTTTGGTCCTAGAGAAGAAATAATTTATTTTCAAAGATGTGCTAACCTTGTGGGTTAATTGTTATTTAAATAACAACTATTTACTCATGAGAGAGAGTGACTTGCATGACATAAAAAATTTCATAATTATTTTTGTAAGTAAGAGAAACATACAGTTTCACTTTGCTTTACAAAACAGTCTTTTGGGTAACAGTGTATAAATTACTTATACTCCAAATCACGGTTGCCACACACAACAATAACATTATTTAAAACAACTTTTTTGTAAATCATTTTGTAAAATGGAAAAAAAAGAACATGTTTGCATTAGGTGCTTCCTGCAGATAATAAAAACAAAATGGAATTTATTTTTCCCTCAGATGTGTTTGACATGTGATAAAGGTAATTCTCACATAAGAAATATTGTAGAGTGCTTACAAAGAATATATAAATCATAAGAATAAATCAAACACAAGTCACTAGAACTTGTATTGCCATATTAATATAATTATTCCAAAATAAAAGTTAATCTATAGTTTCCTAAAAAAGATGACCTTTGAAAAGGACAAAAGAGAAATATTACAGCTACGTGAACTGGCATTTTGAATGTTGATATGGTTTGGTTCTGTTTCCCCACCCACATCTTACAACTCGAATTGTAATCCCCAAGTGTCGAGGGACGGAGGTGATTGGATCATGGGGGTGGTTTCCCCCATGCTGTTCTCATGATAGTGAGTGAGTTCTCAAGAGCTCTGATGGCTTTATTAGTGTTTGGAAGTTCCTCCTTCACTCTTCTCTCTCCTGCCACCATGTGAAGAAGGTTCTTGTTTCCCCTTCACTTTCTGCTATAATTGTAAGTTTCCTGAGGCATCCCCAGCCATGCAGAACTGTGAGTCAATTAAGCCTCTTTCTTTTATAATTACCCACTCTCAGGTAGTATTCTTTATAGCAATGTGAAAACGGACTAATACAAATGTCTTACCCCAAATTAAGTTTGATTATTTTTTCTTTTTTTAAAAAAACAGCTTTATTGGGAGTATAATATACAAAGAATTGCACATACTTAATATGTACAAGTTGATGAGCTTTGACATATACAAATATCCATGATACCATTACCACAATCAAGGTAATAGACGTATCTATCACCTTCCAAAGTTCCGTTGCATCCCTTTGCTTTTTTTTTTTGTTTTTTTTTTTATAAGAACACAACATGAGATTTACCCTCTTAGCAAATTTTGAAGTGCACAATACCTATAGCCACTATGTTGCACAGTAGAGCTCTTATTCATCTAGCATAACTGAAACTGTATACTCATTGGAAAACAATTTCCCTATCTCCATTTCCCCCATCCCCTACCCTTGGCAATAACTTTCATTCTCTACTTCTAGAGGCTAAATGTTACAGGTCCTCACATAAGTGGACTCATGGAGTATTAGTCTTTCTGAGAGGCTTATTTCACTGAGCATAGTGCTCTCCAGGTTCATCCATGTTGTTGCAAATGGAATAAACTTTTTATTTTTAAAGGATGATTTTGCATTTTCAAACTAAAAAATTGGAATACCTCTCACTCTATTTGTTTGAAAATAGGCAGGATACATAGGTCCACAATCATGCTCACTGTACTCATAACCCCACCTTTTTACCAGCTATCTATTGTCGTTTGATTTCAATTAACAGTTAGATTTGAGTGAGGCTTGAATAGGATGATCATGAGAATGGTTCTAGCATGTGAGTCTGAGTAGCTATCAAGGTTTCCAATTACCTTGAAGCAGGACTTAACTCTCGGTCATATCACTTTTGTGTACGTATATAAAAACACAAATACATAAATAAAAATCAATGAGACTTATTTCATGGAGTTTTTTTTTTTTTTTTTTGCTGTAGAATAGTAATATATTTGTTTATGTCATGAAGTACACACCAGGAGATTGGTAATGGAAAACAACTGGTAAATTAGATATTAAAATTTTGATATATCATTTCAAAACCAAACCAGATTAAAATTTAAAAAGCATATAATTTTCATTTGAATTAAATGACATTATCTGCAATTTTCAACAAGATAAAAGTATACATCCTCTGCCCAACTAGTAACATGAGAATATCCTTGCATAATGTACCTCTGCCCCATATAATATTTTACTTAGTTATGTATGCAGTCTAGTATCATTGAGCAGATGATACTTTCATGCATTTTAGAAAATAAAACATATGAAAGCTATACGATGGAATATTTTTCTCATATTGATGTGGCAAACATTTATTTACCACATCAATTCATTTCCTCCAAATAAAAACTGATACTAGTTTCTTGATACAGAAAAAGCAGAGGACTTGGATAGAGGGAATAACAGTCACTAATTTGACTGTACCTGTATTAGTCCATTCTCACACTGCTATGAAGAAAAATACCCCAGGCTGGATAATTTATAAAGAAAAGAGGTCTAATGAACGCATGGTTCTGCATTGCTGGAGAGGCCTCAGGAAACTTACAATCGTGGCAGAAGGTGAGGGAGAAGCAAAGACACGTCTTACAGGGTGGCAGGCAAGAGAGCTTGTGCAAGTGTAGAAAAAACTACCAGTCATAAAAACATCAGATCTTGTGAGAATCCACTCACTGTCATGAGAACAGAATGGGGAAACCACCCCCATAATCCAATCACTTCCCACCAGGTCTCTTCCACAACACCTGGGGATTACAATTCAATGTGGATTTGAGTGGGGACACAAAGCCTAACAATATTAGTACCAAATGCAATCCTAGATGAACTCCTAGAGCAGGAAATTTTAAATATAAGTTTTGAATGGAAAGACAGCTGTAGAGGAAGAATATGATTTCTTAAAGAACTATTATAAGTGTCCTGTTCTTGTCTAAAGTAATTCTTCCCTAACACAGAATCTCACTTCCTATAGGTTCTTAAGCATGATGATACATGTTTTGTGGCTGAAATAACCTAATGAAATATTCCAATACACAATTTTATTACATATATATGTTACTAATTTGTACATAGCTTTATAAGTATATATACAAGTATACATAAGTTTATAATATGCATCTAGCTTTTCAAAACTACATGAAAAGAATCTATGAAAGATATAGTAACAAAAATCAAACATAAGGCTATGTATACAACAGTAAATTGAATTCATAGATGACAAATTTATACTATAATTCACAAATAGCAATAAATAGTAGAAAAGCATGATCTCATATTATAAAACTGAACAAAATTAATTTTAAATGCTACAACATAAATATCAAGTGGAAAAAAGCTTCCGTTTTACAAGATGAGGCACATTCTTTACAGTTGTATGTTACTTGGATTAGTATTTTAATTTGTAATTTAAATAGAACTTTCAATATGGTAGACTACTGTAATGATGATCCAGTATATCAGAATAGTGAATTAAATAAAACAAGAGAATAAGTGAATGGGTGGCTATGTGAATATATACTGTACATACATAGTCCCCAGGGTGAATGAGAACTGGAACTTTGCTAATACCAACTCTCTCCCTTGCCTCTCTCTCTGCCCTCTCTCTATGTATATACATTTGTATTAACAAGAACCCAGTTCTCATTCATTCTGGGGTAAGGGGCTTTCAGAGAAAAGGTAAACACCCTTGAGGCTTTCTGAAATGTCTTCTTTTTTTAATAGTAATGACCCTTTCTCCTTTACAGTTGAGTGTGGTGCTTTGCATGAAGTCACCCATCTCTTTCCCTAAGGAGGCCAACTTTGAAGGATAGACTTTGAAGAAAGTTTATCTCAGTGCTGTTTGTTAAGTGGCTTACCCCAAGAGGCCTCTTGCAGAAGTAATTGTTAAAACCATGAGGCACACCTGAGAGAAAGGCGCCAGGGACTACCTAACAAAGCTGGCACCTCTGGAGACACTTTGGAAGTATTTAATACATATGCCCTGATGGAGCATCTTACTCTTCAAAGAAAACAGTTTTGAGGCACCTAAGCAATTATGTACTTATTGACTTTGCGAAAACATTTATAACATCTTAACAATACAATTATCTGTAAGCTTTCTAATGAGCCCCCAAGTGACCTACTAGTGGAACAAAAACTTTCTTGATAAGAGCCAGTTTCCAAGAGACCATTTTTAATTGTATGAAAACTGAAAAATGATGGTGTTAAGAAGCTGCTGTTAGCTCTGTGTAAACTGTGTGGACTCTTTGCCAGTACAGCCCTCAGTGAACACACATCTTTAATAGAAATTAGCAATTGCTATAACCTGTAGTCTTAGAAGAAAATAAATACTGTAGAGGCCTCCAAAGTTATTCTAGTTACCTACTCTCTATATTGGGAGACAGAATTCAAACTCCAAAATTTCAAATTCTTCTTTGTTTTATGTCTAAGTGGGTTAGAATAATCTAATAAAATACTCCCAATAAACAAATCAATCCTGCATTCTTTTTAAATGTTCTGTGAAAGCAATAAACCTTGTAGCTAATTTTCAGTATGGCATATACACCAGTTAACAATACATCTTTTAGAATCAGATGGTGTGAGTTTGAACAATGAACCACCAATTGTTAGGTATGTGACTTAAAGAAAGCTAGTTAATTTGGTGGCTCAGTTGTAAAAAAGATGGTAATAGTATCTCTCACATGTGGCATGTTAAATGGGTTAATATATATTAACTACATTAAATAACATCACATATAAGCGTGGAAGAGATGTTAGTGCTCATCATTCAGCCACCCTAGTAACGATGTATTATTTTCTATAGTTATTTCAAAAAATACTTTTGTATTTTTGTTTTTAAAAATTATTTTTATTTTATAGAAGAGAAAATTCAGATTAAAGAAACCATAACTATCTTGACTAAGATTGCACTGGTATTTATCAGTAGTGTTCAACTTCAAATGCACATCTTCTGATTATGAGAATGGTGGTTCTTCCATCACCTTATAGCTATTTCCACATCCATTTACAATTCAAGCTCTTCCAATACTGGAAGTGTTAAAAATGGGATGGAAAACTGTAACTGGAAGAAATAAACACTGACTATTTTGTTTCACTTAAGGTTAATCAAATTTCAAAATGCACATTCTTTTTCCCATTACGGTGGTATAAGTAACTCATTCTGTCTCTTCCCCTGAGAAAGTTAAAATTGTCCCTGATTGCATGTGGTATATTATTGTACATAAAAGCTATAAAGAATTTATCAAAAAACTGTTAGAAATAATAAATGAATTCAATAAGGTTGCAGGATACAAATCAACATATAAAAATTATTTCCATACACTAACAACAATCTAAAAAAGAAATCAAGAAAACAACCCCACTTACAATAGCTACAAAAAAAAGAAAAATAACATACTTAAGAATTAACATAACCAAGGAGGTTAAAGATTTGTACACAAAAAAACTATAAAGCATTGATTAAAGTAATTGAAAAAGACACAAATAATTGGAAAAACATCCTATGGATATATCCTGCAAATTGGAAGAAATAATATTGTTAAAACGTTCATGCTATTCAAAGTAATCTACAGAGTCAGCATAATCTCATCAAAATATCGATGACATGTTTCACAGAAATGGGAAAAAATCCTATAATTCTATGGAACTAAAAAAATAACCCAAGTAGCCAAAGCAATCTTGCAAAAAATGAACAAAGCTGCAGGTATTATACTACCTGATTTGAAAATACACTCCAAAGCTAAAGCGATTAAGACAGCATGGTACTGGCATAAAAACAGACAGAAAGACCAATGGAAAAAAATAAAGAACTCAGAAATAAATGTATGCATTTACAGTCCATTGATTTTTGACAAAAGTGCCAATAGCACACAATGGAGAAAAGACAGTTCCTTCAACAACTAATGTTGGAACAATTGGATATTTGCATGCCAGTAGAATGAAATTGGACCCTAATCTCACACAATATTTTTTTAAAAAACTGAAAATGGATTAAAGACATTTGGATTAAATGTGTAATTTGAAATTGTAAAAATACTAGAAGAAAATATTGGGGAAAAAGTTCCATGACATTGATCTGGGAAAGACTTTTTGGATATGACCTTGAAAGTACTGGCAATAAAGCCAAAAAGAGACAATTTTGACTACATCAAACAAAAATGCTTCAGCACAGCCAAGCGAACAATCAACTGAGTGAAGAGACAACCTTTGTAATCGGCCAAGCACACATCTGTTAAGAGGTTACTATTCAAAATATATATTACAAATAACCCAATTAAAGAAAACAAATAACCTGGTTACGATCAAATGACCTGAAGAGACATTTCTCAGAAGAAGACATGCAAATGGCCAACAGGTATATGAAAAAATACTAAATTAATAGTCAGCAGAGAAAGGCAAATGAAAACCACAATGAGATATAACCTTATATCTGTTAGAATAATTAATATTAAAAAGACAAAAGGTAACACATGCTGATAAGGATGTCAAGAAAAAGGAACTCTTCCGCACTGTTGATGCGAATGTGAGTAAGTATAGCCATTATAGAAAATAGTATGAAAGTTCTTTAAAAAATTAAAAATAAAACCACCATATGATCAAGGAATCCCATTACTTGGTATATATCCAAGGAAATGAAATCAGCATATCAAAGAAATATGTGCACTCCAATGTTTATTGCAGCACCATTCATAATAGCCAAGACATGGAATCAACCTAAGTGTTCATCAGCGGATGAATGGATAAATAAAATATGGCATATGTACACAATAGAATACTATTCAGTCTTAAAAAAGAAGCAAATTCTGTCATTTGTGACAACATGGATGAACCTGGAGAACGTTATTTTAAGTGAAGTAAGCTAGGAACAGAAAGACAAATGCTACATGATCTCACATTATGCAGAATTTTTAAAAGTTGAAATCATAGAAATAGAGAGTAGAATTGTGGTTACTAGGGGCTGGGAGGGGATGTGGTGGGGAGATGTTGGTAAATGGATACAATATTTCAGTTATATAGGAGAAATAAGTTCAAGAGATCTATTGTACAACATGGTGACTGTAGTTAATAACGTTTTGTATTCTTGAAAATTGCCAAAAGAATAGATGAGTTTTCTCACCACAAAAAAGTATGTGAGGTATTGCATACGTTGATTAGCCATTTCACAAGGTATACATATTTCAAGATATCATGTTGTACATGATAAATATAATTTTTATTTGCCAACTATAACAATAAACGAATAATAGTGTATGACAGGTAAAAAAAGATTGTAAGCAAATTATTTTCTTATATTACAAAGAAAAACAAACCTTTGATTCCTTTGATTTAAAACCTCATCAGTTTTTAACTTCCAAATCCACAGGTGTACCTACCATTTCTGCCTTCATTTCTCTAACTGTGGTGAACTCCTCCGGCTATGCTCAGTATGGTAACTGCTGCTGCTTTCTCAGGTGTATAATGCCAATGACTATTGGCTCCCTTTTCTGTTTCTTTATCCTCACTTCGCACAGTTCTTACTGTCCTTCCTTTTCTGTTTTGAGAAAACAGGGCTCAAATTGTCTGTGAACCTCTCTAGTGGTATTGAAATGGGAAAAGTTCCCTTGTCCCCCTCGCAGGGCATGCGATGGGGATGTGGCTCGCTTTTTCAGGGCCCCACTGCTCAAACAACTAGGGGAGCTTACAGACAGGCAGACTGTGGAGCTCCAACCCCATGGCAGTGTTTAGGGGTGAATGTTTGCAGCTTCTGAAGCCCCAGTGGGCGTGTGTTACAGGGTGCTCTTAATTTGCTGTCTACAGGTGGCTTGTGTTAGCCCAATTAGACCTTCTACCTTGTCCGAGGACAGAGGGCTTTCTGTATCCCAGGGTTTCTTGCCTTGGTGTACCGGGAGAATTAGATCACACGTGGGCTTGGAGAATTAGTGTAAAGCTTTATTGAGTGGAAGTAGCTCTCAACTGATGGGGGAGCCAGAAGGGAAATGGTCTTCCCCTGGAGTTGGGCCACTCGGCCTTGCTCTCCTCTGCCGCGGCCAAACTCCACCTCCTCCCACCAGCTGATGGCCTGCTGGTATGCTGGTGCCTGTCTGTGTGCTCTTCTGCCTGCGTGCTCCTCTTGACATCCTCTCGAGGACCAGCCGCTTGCATCTTCTTTCGCCAATGTACTCCTCTGGACATCTGGCCACCTGTGTGTCTGCCTGCTGGGGCCTCGGGTTTTTATAGGCCAAGGATGGGGGCATGGTGGGTCAGGGTGGACTTTTGAAATGCAACATTTGGGCGAAAAAGCAGGAGTGCCTGTCCTCACCTAGGTCCGTGGGATGGAGCCCTAGTCAGGGAACACACCTTCCTCTACCCAGCACTTCTCTTCTCCCCTTTTGTATCATTTAAAGGGACCACGTTCTTCCCTTCCCAGCACTCCCTTATCAGTATGCTAGCATATTGCTTTTGGGATTCACTTCTCTAGGTTTTATTGTGTGTATTTTACTTTTTTTGTTTTTAATGTTTCTTTACTTATTTTCTTTAGTATACTGAAACTGAACAGCCTTAGATGTAACAAAATGCTATATTTGTTCAGAGCTGTGAGTTAATCATTGGAAGAGCATCAGAAAGTAAAGAAAACGAATGGGATATAAACAGAATGTGAGAATTGCAGTGGCATTGATAAAACAGATGGCAACTGATTTTGATTAAAGGGTTATGAGTTTGAATTAAAACAAAATATGGCGTGAGATTTGGTTGAATTTAGAATAGAAGTAAAAGCTGCAGATAAATAAAGTGAAAGTCAGTGGTACATGGTTAATATTTAAAGCAAAAAAAAAGTGAAAGAGGTAGACTACATTGAGACAGAAGAGCATGTTGTCAAAGTATGAGGCTTGGATGTTTCCCACTTTGGAAATATTTGATGAGAAATACGTGTTGACCAAAAAAAATTTTTTATCATCTAATAAGCAAATGTGTCAGAAAATTTTGACTTAAAATAATATTTGCAACCAACTAAATTATATCATTCATTATCTCTACTTATTCATCTATTCTGTGAACATAATATTCTGGAATAATATTCTATGGTGAATGAAATAAACTATGGGATGTGAGAAATACTAAAACGTATACTTCCTGTAAGATGTGTGTTAACTGGGAGCATAAAAAGTAGTAAGAAAGCAAAAACTTTCATGCACAAACCCTCTAGGATGTTCAATGTCATGGTAGTTTTATGGTATGTTTATATATATTTTAAATTTTATTTTATTTTAGGTTCCAGGATACATGTGCAGACGTGCAGGTTTGTTACATAGGTAAACGTGTGCCATGGTGATTTGCTGCACCTAACCACCCATCACCTAGGTATTAAGCCCTGCATGCATTAGCCATTTGTCCTGATGCTCTCCCACCCTCCACCCGCCGACAGGCCCTGGTGTGTGTTGTTCCCTCCCTGTGTCCATGTGTTCTCTTTATTCTACTCCCACTTATTAGTGAGAACATGCGGTGTTTGGTTTTCTGTTTCAGTTACTTTGTTGAGGATGATGGCTTCCAGCTTCATCTATGTCCCTGCAAAGGACATGATCCCATTCCTTTTTATGGCTGCATAGTATTCCATGATATATATGTACTACATTTTATGTATTCTATCATTGATGGGCATTTGGATTGATTCCAAGTCTTTGCTATTGTGAATAGTGCTGCAATAAACATATGTGTGTGTATCTTTATAATAGAATGATTTATATTCCTTTGGTTATATACCCAGTAATGGGATTGCTGGGCTAAATGGTATTTCTGGTTCTAGATCCTTGAGGAATTGCCACACTGTCTTCCACAATGGTTGAACTAATTTACATTCCCTCCAACAGTGTAAAAGTGTTCCTATTTCTCCACAGCCTTGCCAGCATCTATTGTTTCTTGACTTTTTGATAATTGCTCTTCTGACTGGCATAAGATGGTAGCTCATTGTGGTTTTAATTTGTATTTCTCTAACAATCAGTGATGTTGAGCTTTTCTTCATAATTTGTTGGCTGTGTAAGTATCTTCTGAGAAGTGTCTGTTCATATCCTTTGCCCACTTTTTGATGGGGTTATTTGTTTTATTATTGTAAATTTGTTTAAGTGCCTTGTAAATTCTGGATATTAGACCTTTATCAGATGGGTAGATTGCAAAATTTTTTTCCCATTCTTCAGGTTGCCTGTTCACTCTGATGGTAGTTTCTTTTGGTGTGCAGAAGCTCTTTAGTTAATTAGATCCTGCTTGTCAATTTTTGCTTTTGTTGCAATTGCTTTTGACAATTTCATCATAAAATTTTTGCCCATGCCTATTCTCTGAATGGTATTACCTACATTTTCTTCTAGGATTTTTATCGTTTTAGGTTTTACATTTAAGTCTTTAATACATCTTGAGCTAATTTTTGTATAAGGTGTAAGGAAGGGGTCTAGTTTCAGTTTGCTGCATATGGCTAGCCCATTTTCCCAGCACCATTTATTAAATAGGGAATCATTTCCCCATTGCTTGTTTTTGTCAGGTTTGTTGCAATTCAGATGGTTGTAGATGTGCCGTCTTATTTCTGATCTGTTGGTCTATGTGTCTGCTTTGGTACCAGTACCATGCTGTTTTGGTTACTGTAGCCTTGTATTATAGTTTGAAGTCAGGTGGCATTATGCCTCCAGCTGTGTTCTTTTTGCTTAGGATTGTCTTGGCTATACAGGCTCCTTCTTGGTTCCATATGAGTTTTAAAGTAGCCTTTTTTTTTTAATTCTCTGAAGAATGTCAATGGTAGTTTGATGGGAATAGCACTGAATCTATAAATTACTTTGGACAGTATGGCTATTTTCACAATATTGGTTCCTCGTATCCACAAGGATGAAATGTTTTTCCATTTGTTTGTGTCCTCTCCTAATTCCTTGAGAAGTGGTTTGTAGTTCTCCTTGAAGTCTTTCACATCCCTTGTTAGCTGTATTCCTAGGTATTTTATTCTCTTTGTAGCAATTATGAATGAAGGTTCATTCATGATTTGGTTCTCTGTTTGTCTATTGTTGGTGTATAGAAATGCTTGTGATTTTTGCACATTGATTTTGTATCCTGAGACTTTGCTGAAGTTGTTTATCAGCTTAAGGAGATTTTGGGCTGAGACGATGGGGTTTTCTAAATATACAATGTCATCTGCAAACAGAGACAATTTGATTTCCAGTCTTTTTATTCAAATACGCTTTATTTCTTTCTCTTGCCTGATTGCCCTGGCCAGAACATCCAATACTATGTTGAATAGGAATGGTGAAAGAGGATTTCCCTGTCTTGTGATAGTTTTCAAAGGGAATGCTTCCAGCTTTTGCCTATTCAGTATGATATTGGCTGTGGGTTTGTCATAAATAGCTCTTATTATTTTGAGATATGTTCCATCAATACCTAGTTTATTGAAAGTTTTTAGTATGAAGGGATGTTGAAATTTATCGGAGGCCTTTTCTGCATCTATTTAGATAATCATGTGGTTTTTGTCATTGGTTCTGTTTATGTGATGAATTGCATTTATTGATTTGTGTCTGTTGAACCAGCCTTCATCCCAGGGATGAAGCCGACTTGATTGTGGAAGATAAGCTTTTTGATGTGCTGCTGGATTTGATTTGCCAGTATTTTATTGAGGATTTTCACATTGATGTTCATCAGAGATATTGGCCAGAAGTTTTCTTATTTTGTTCCGTCTCTGCCAGGTTTTAGTATCAGGATGATGCTGGGCTTATAAAATTAGTTAGGGAGAAGTCCCTCCTTTTGAATTGTTTGAAATAGTTCCAGAAGGAGTGGTACCAACTCCTTTTTGTACCTCTGGTGGAATTCGACTGTGAGTCCATCTGGTGCTGGGCTTTTTTTGGTTGTTAGGCTATTTATTACTGCTTCAATTTCAGAATTTGTTATTGGTCTATTCAAGGATTTGAATTCTTCCTGGTGTAGTCTTGGGAGGGTGTATGCATCCAGGAATTTATTCATTTCTTCTAGATTTTCTAGTTTGTTTGCATGAGATATTTATAGTATTCTCTGATGGTAGTTTGTATTTTTATGGGGTCAGTGGTGATATGCCCTTTATCATTTATATTGTGTCTATTTGATTCTTCTCTTTTTTCTTCTTTATTAGTCTAGCTAGCAGTCTATTTTATTAATGTCTTCAAAAAAGAAACAACTTCTGGATTTATTGATTTGCTGAAGCATTTTCTTGTGTCTGTCTCTTCTTCAGTTCTTCTCCGATCTTAGTTATTTCTTGTTTTCTGCTAAATTTTGGATTTATTTGCCCTTGCTCCTCTAGTTCTTTTGTTGTGATGTTAGGGTGTCAGTTTGAGTTCTTTCTAGTGCTACAAATTTCCCTCTAAACATTGCTTTAGCTGCATCCCAGAGATTCTGGTATGTTGTCTCTTTGTTCTTATTGGTTTCAAGAATGGTTTAGTTTCTGCCTTAATTTCATTATTTACCTAGAAGTCAGTCAGGAGCAGGTTGTTCAATTTCCATGTCATTGTTGGTTTTGAGTGAGGTTCTTAATCCTGAGTTCTAATTTGATTGAACTGTGGTCTGAGAGACTGTTTGTTATGATTTCAGTTCTTTTGCATTTGTTGAGGAGTGCTTCACTTCCCATTATGTGATCGATTTTAGAGTAAATGCCACGTGGCACTGAGAAGAATGTATATTCTGTTGTTTCAGGCTGGAAGGGCTTGCAGATATCTATCAGGTTCACTTGATCCAGAGCCAAGTTCAAGTCCTGAATATCCTTGTTAGTTTTCTGTCTTGATGATCTGTCTAATGTTGAGAATGGGGTGTTAAAGTCTCTTAGTATTATTGTGTGGAAGTCTACGTCTCTTTGTAGCTCTCTAAGAGCTTGCTTCATGAATCTGGGTGCTCCTGTATTGGGTGCATATACATTTAGGATAGTTAGCTCTCCTTGTTGAAGTGACCCCTTTACCATTATGTTATCCCCTCCTTTGTGTTTTTTATCTTTTTTGGTTTAAAGTCTGTTTTATCAGAAACTAGGATTACAATCCTTGCTTTTCTCTACTTTCCATTTGCTTGGTAAATTTTTTCCATCCCTTTATTTTGAGCCTATGTGTGTCCTGGCACATGTCAAGGATCTCCTGAATACAGCACACTGAGGGGTCTTGACTCTTTATCCAATTTGCCAGTCTGTGTCTTTTAATTGGGTCATTTAGCCCATTTACATTTAAGGTTAATATTGTTATATGTGAATTTGATCCTGTCATCATGATGCTAGCTGGTTATTTTGCACACGAGTTGATGCAGTTTCTTTATAGTGTCATTGATCCTTGTATTTCAGTGTGTTTTTGCAGTGGCTGATACTGGTTTTTCCTTTCTGCCCCCCATGTTCATATATTTATTCAGGAGTATTTACCACCTATGATAGGCCAGGAATTATTCTCTTCTTGGCCCTAAAGATAAAGAGGTGAACAGGATACATAATTCTGATAATAATAACTTTAGATAACTGCTATGAAATGAAAGACAGAGTGGAGTTATCAAGAGTTATTGAGTGGGGGAGTGGTGAGAAGTTGTAATTTTAAATAGATTAGTCAAGTAACTCTCACTACCACCACCACCACCATTTCAGGCAGTACCATGTGATTTAAGGAGGAATAGAAAACATTAGGTGGAATGATGGAGGAGAAAGTAGATTTTGAATTGAACTATAAAGAATGAAGAGAATTTTGAACAAATAAGGGAGGAGATGTGAATTCCAAATTAAGGGAATCGTCATAATAGTGGTATGTAGTCAGGAAAGATCAAGCCATACCTGGAGAAGAATTATTTAGGGTTCCTGCAGGAGATGAGTTACAAAGTAGGTAGTACTTAGATTTTATAGACAGTGGTTACAAATATATTTAGTTAAATGAAGAGTGTGCCAGTAAGCCAGTAGAGTTTATTAAAACAAAAACAGTATAGGAGACTGTACATAACACCATGTTAAGAAAGTTAACTCAGAAATGATGTGCAGGGTACATTAAACAGAATAGGAATGGAGACAAGGCACTCCACTAGAACACTATGACAACATTACACAAAAGAGGGGCTGGGAAGTCAAGACTTAATCAAGGGAGGCATCAGTAGGTATGGGAAGAAAAAGAAGACGGTCCTGAGAGAATAGTGAAGAAAGACACTAGACAACTTGTATCTACCTGATCTATAAGCCTTTTTCTATCTCTCTTTCAATCTCTTAGGCTCTTACATTGTATGTTATTTATTTTCCCTTCTTGGTATCTCTAAGTCTCTTTATCTTTTAAATTTTCTCTCCAGTGTCTGTATTTATTTCTCTCTTCCACCACTTAGTCTTCCTTCCCATTTGTCTTGACTTCATAACTGTACTTTACATGGTAATAACACATAGAAAATAGTAATTAAGTACTTTTACTTTTAACATTAGTAATTTCTACTTTTTTTTCTAAATTTAGTCATTATATAACTAAGACTTTTTATTCCCCATCAAAAAACCCTTGTTTTTTCTGTATGTTTTATCTGATTCTGTTTTCTAAATTTTTAGCGAAAAAAGTTTCCCAAATTTAAGATACTCTATAAAATAGTAATATGTTTTGGGGACTTAGTTTTAGAAAAATCCCTCAGGAAATTCTGCCTTTTGAATAGAATAAAGAATGCATGTCAAATGGGATTGAAAATTATGACTGTCTTCATTCCAATGTGAAGATAAATTGGCCTTGGCCCATGCAGCAGGTGATAAAATTAAAATTAGCTACCAACAGATCTGGAGGTAAAACATCACTTTACTGTGTTTACATTTCTTAATCTATTGGTGATGATGTTTTATTAAGAAGGGCCTACTAAAGAAAGAAAGGTCAAAAGCATGGCTTAAGTAGTAAGAACAGAAAAATATGACACACATATGAGGAATGTGAAGAAAAATATTTCACATTATTTAATATACAGAAAGCAATATGAAAAAGCAGGGAAATTTTCAAGTGATGAAGTCCATTAAACAAATATCTCATGAAAGAGGGAAACAGTCTTTGAATGCAAAATTCAGGAATGGAAAAATAAATAAGAAGATAATATCTAAAGAGAGCAACATTGATATCTCTCATAGAACTAACTAAAGCTCAAGAATAAGTACACTTAGACTGGAGTGTATCAACTCTTCAATATCTGTCCCAACATTGCAATTATCTTTTAAACTTTCAATAAAAACAGCTGACTGGTGAAAAAGTTAATTTTGTAGTATAAGATTATTGAACCTGTGAGGTTCAATAAGTGAGTTTACTATCCAAAGAGGAAATTGGTGGCTGCCACTTGCTCCCTATAGTTTTGACAGCTTCTTTGATGTCCTTATTCCTCAATGTGTAAATTATAGGGTTTAGCATGGGGGTAACAACACTGTACAACACTGAAACCAACCTATCTTTCTTTAATGAGTAAGTTGAGATGGGCCGTACATATGTAAAGATGGCGCTGCCATAAAAGAGAAAGACAATGGCCAGGTGGGAGGCACATGTAGAAAAGGCTTTTCGTCTTCCCTCTGAGGACTGGATCCTCAAGATGGTGGAGATTATGCAAATGTAGGAAAGTACGATACAAAGGAAAGGAGTCCAACCAATGAAGACCCCAGTGGATAGCAGTGCCAACTCATTGACAGAAGTGTTTCCACAAGACAAGATCAGCAAAGGGGGGATGTCACAGAAGAAGTAATTAATCTGATTGTTGCCACAGAAGGGCAGGCAGAATGTCAACACTGTATGCACCACTGAGTTAAGGAAACCAGCAGCCCAGCATGAGGCTGCTAATTGATTGCATAGAACCTTGCTCAGAATAACTGAATACCTTAAAGGATTGCAGATTGCAATGTAACGATCATATGCCATTGCTGCCAGTAGGAGACACTCTGATCCTACAAAGAAAACAAATGCAAAAAGTTGAACCACACACCCCACATAAGAAATGCTTTTTTTCTTTGAGAGGAGGTGCACCATCATCTGGGGGACATTGCTGGTGGTGTAGCAGATGTCAATAAAGGCCAAGTTCCCTAGAAAATAATACATAGGTGTATGCAGGTGTGGATCAGTCACAGTCGTCAAGATAATTAATATATTTCCTCCCAAAGTACAGAAATAAGTCAGAAAGAAGATGGTGAATAGTAAAAACTGCAATTCATTTAGGTTGGAGAATCCCAAGATGATGAATTCAGTTATAGCTGTTTGATTCTTTCTTTCCATGATGTCGCCTGGTTTCCTTTCAGGAATTGGGCAAAGAGAAGACCAGATTATAAAAATGAATCATATGCTGCAATAGCATGACCTGAAAAATAAGGGAAAAAACGGTTACAAATAAAAGTAATCACCATTTATGTCAAACCAGAGAAGCAGCATTCTTTTGCAAACCATAGCTCCTACCTACCATGCAACACAGATATAAATACATCCAATGTTTCACCTGCAGATCAAATCTTTTTAAATATACAACACTGGAAGTTTTAAATTAGAATACAAATGGACACCATATGTCCTAGAGTTCTCTGTTAATAATGGCTGGGTCATGCTCACCGGCATTTTCTTGGGGATGTGTGAACTTGTGCTGTAGAATGCGATTTCTAGAAGAATCTCTGGTATTCATTTGCTTCTTTGAAGCCATCCCTGCTCTCCTTTTTCATACTTCAACGTTAATATAAATTTTGTTTTATATTCTTTTCCGATTAAAATTAATGTATTTGTTTTAGAATATTTGGGAAAAATATAGAAAAGAAAATTTAAAACATTAAAAATCTTTAGTAGTCACCAGAGAAAATCTCTATTAATGATTTGGTATATGTTCTTCTGATCCATTTTCCATATAGAAATGTTGAATAGAGGATCAAAAGTACCTATTTTAATCTGATTTTTCCTTAATTTTCCGTGGCAATACATTTTATGCTAAAACATGATCTTTGAGTTGTATTCAAGTATTTGTATGAATATAGCAAAGTTTTTATATATCCCACCCTTATTAATGAATATTTATATTGTTTTATTTGTTCATTTTTGATATGATAAATTTCAACAAGAAGCATATTGAATTAGATTCCCTGAATTTGGGGTTAGGTTATCTGAATTTTTATAAACTTTCCAAGAGACTTATCCTAATGAATTAGAAACCTATTGCTATAGATCATCAATCTGGAAAATTCAAGAGCTATTTGGCTGGTGCAGGAATTAGTGTCTGTTTCAACAAATTATTGTTAAGTGCTTCATATAGAAGGATGCTGATAATCTCTGAGCACTTCCTACACAGCATCTCATTTAGTCTTTACATAAATCCTTTAAGATAAGTAATATTTATCATTCCCATTCTCTGGATGAGAGCACCAAGCCTCAGCAAGATAAACGTCTGGAAGATGTCACGCAGCTAGCAGGTAAAAAAAAGGTAGCTTTATCACTCCCAAAGCTAATATACTTTCAGTTGAGTGGCTAAAAATTTAATTTCCATTAACTTATGACAACAGAATGCCCTTAAAAAACACTTCTCTTGTTTTGAATATAACCTACGTTCATACAACTGAATTATTTTAACTGGTTACAAATTGTTATGACTTCTATTTCTGACTGTTAATGGCAATGTGCTATGCCTGCAGTGTTTTGATGGTTAAATCCAATTGTTTCTAAATACCTGGTTTTTATTTGAATATGTTTATTTGAACAATCAATTTCTAGTGTAGTTTTTTATTTCCTGGACCAGCTATAGATTAATTTAAATGTTCATGTTTGTGTTATTAAAAGATACTCTTCTAGAGCTTAGTTTAAGTTGGTTAATAAAAATGTTTAATAAAATTAAAACAGTTGTAGGGAGAATCCCCTAATTTAAAATGCTCAAGGCCTAATTCAAGTGAGAAAAATTAATCTGCAGTTTGATGTTTGAAGCAAATTATAAAAACTTAGATAAATAAAACAAAATAAAAACTTAAAAATGAAGATAATTGTTGTATATTCATTCAAACTATATACTTTATCGATTGCCCTCACCTATAGACAAATATGCATTTCAATGTCAAGTTTGAGAGGTGGCTTAATTGTGCTTTTGTTGTAATTGCTGTCTTCTTTCCTCGTGAACTACTGTGGATATTTTTAATGAAGGGAGAGGATAAGTTGAAAAAATTCACATAATATAGTATTTCACATTACCACAACTGAATAAATTCACTGGGACAATTTTCATTCCATCTACAGAAGAACTCCAAAATTGTATTCTCAAATCAATCTTTTTCCCTATTCCAAATCTCTATCTCCCCTTTCATCTTTTTTAACATTTCCTTCCACTTCTGAGGAGGAATTAACCCTTCTACTCATTTTATTCAACAAATGTATTTTAAGGCAAAAATGTGGAAAAAAGGGAACTGGCACAGTGTTAATGGAAATGTAAATTAATAGAGCCATTTTGGAAAACAGTGCAGTTTCTTCAAAAAACTAAAAATGCAACTACTATGTGATCCAGCAATTCCACTTCTGGATATATATTCAAAGGAATTGAAATCAGTATCTCAAAGAGATATCTGCACTCCCATGGTCTTTGCAGCATTATTCACAGTAGCCATGGAAACAACCTAAATCTTCACCAATAGATGAATGACTAAAGAAATGTTATATATACCTGGTGGAATACTATGCAGCCTTTAAAAAAAGAAAATCCTGTCATTTCTGACATGGGTTAAGCTAGAGGACATTATGCTGAGTGAAATGAGCCAGGCACAGAAAGACAAGTATTGCATGATCTCCCTTATATGTGGAATCTAAAAAGGTCAAATCTATTGAGGTAGAAAATAGAATGGTGGTTACCAGAGTTTGAGGTAGGAGTGGACAGGGGTGGACTGGTCAAAGGGTACAAAGTTTCAGTTACACAGGAGAAGTAACTTCTAATGATTTATTGTATAGCATGGTGACTATAGTTAAAATGTATTGTATATTCCAAAATTGCTAATGGAGTGGATTTTAAATATTTTCCCCACAAAGTAATGATAAGTATGTGAGGTGGCAGATATGTTATTTAGCCTGCTGTACTCATTCCAAAATATATACATGCATTATAACATCACGTTATATATATACTGCAGACTAGAGTGGTGACAATTTGGTTGGATAGAAATAGAGGCATTTGAGAGATATTAGAATATACAGTGTTACAATTTTGGTATAAAATGACGAAGAAGGATAAATTAAGGATAGTAGTTATAACCAACATATATTAAATGCTTATTATAACATAACCATTCAACAATCATTGTATTACCCAGTTCACATGCCCACACACACTAAAAACGCACACGCACACAATGAAAGAGACATATTATGTCCACATTACAAGTAAAAAATTTTAAAATAAGTTTCAGAGAAATTAAATAATTTGCCTAAAGTTACTCAGACTTGCAGTGGTGTTATTGGGTTTTACATTTCACTTTGTGGCCTAAACGAGTGCACTGTGCTGATCTAGATTCCTGGATTGAACAAGCAGATGGCTGGGGGTGTCATTCTCTGAAATGAAAGCAGGAAATTGGCACTTGTTGGCAAATCTGGCAAGATGGCTGAATAGGAACAGCTCTGCTCTGCAGCTCCCAGTGAGACCAATGCAGAAGGCAGGTGATTTCTGCATTTCCAACTGAGGTACCAGTTAGGTAACTGGTTAGGAAGCAGGTGCAGCACCTGGAGGGCAGGCAGAAGCATGGTGTGGCATCGCCTCACTCGGGAAGTGCAAGGAGCTTCCCCAGCCAAGGGAAGCTGTGAGGGACTGTGCTATTCACCCACATACTACACCTTTCCCACGGTTTTTGCAATCCGCAGACCAGGAGATTCTCTCATGTGCCTACACCACCAGGGGCCTGGGTTTCAAGCACAAAACTGGGTGGCTGTTTGGGCAGACACTGAGCCAGCTGCAGGAGTTTTTTTCATACCCCAGTGGCACCTGGAACATCAACAGACAGAACTGTTCACTCCCCTGGAAAGGGGGCTGAAGCCAAGTGCTCTCACTCAGCGGGTCCCACTCCTATGGAGCCCAGCAAGCTAAGGACCACTGGCTTAAAATTCTCACTGCCAGCACAGCAGTCTGAAGTCGACCCTGGATGATCGAGCTTGTTGTGGGGAGGGGCATCCACCATTAGTGAGGCTTGAGTAGGCAGTTTTCCCCTGACAGTGCTAAGGAGGCCTGGAAGTTTGGACTGGGTGGAACTCAACACAGCGTGGCAAAGTGGCTGTGGCCAGACTGCTTCTCTAGATTCCTCCTCACTGGGGAGGGCATCTCTGAAAGAAAGGCAGCAGTCCCAGTCAGGGGCTTAGAGATAAAACTCCCATCTTCCTGGGACAGAGCACCTGGGGGAAGGGGCAGCTGTGGGCGCAGCTTCATCAGACTTAAGCATTCCTGCCTGCCGGCTCTGAAGAGAACAGTGGATTCTGACAAGGAGGGTTCTCCCAGCACAGCGCTCAAGCTCTGCTAAGGGACAGACTGCCTCTGCCAGTGAATCCCTGACCCCAGTGCCTACTGACTGAGAGAGACTCCCCAACAGGGGTTGACAGACACCTCATAGAGGAGAGTCCAGCTGGCACTGGGCTTCCCTTTGGGATGAAGCTTCCAGAGGAAGAAGCAGGCAGTAATAGTTGCCGTTCTGCAGCCTCCACCGGTGATACTCAGGCAAATAGGGTCTGGAGTGAACCTTGAGCAAACTGCAGCAGACCTGCAGAAGAGGGGCCTGACTGGTAGAAGAAAAACTAACAAACAGAAAGCAATAACATCAACATCAACGAAAAGGACCCCCACACAAAATCCCATCCAAAGGTCATCAACCTCAAAGATCAAAGGTAGATAAATCCACGAAGATGAGGAAAAACCAGCACAAAAATGCTGAAAATTCCAAAAACATTCTTCTAGAGAAAAATGTCTTTTCTCCAAATGATTGCAACTCCTCTCCAGCAAGTGCACAAAACTGGGCAGAGAATGAGTTTGATGAATTCACAGAAGTAGGCTTCAGAAGGTGGGAAATAACAAACTCCATTGAGCTAAAGGAGCATGTTCTAACCCAATGCAATGAAGCTAAGAAATTTGACAAAAGATTACAGGAACCGCTAACTAGAAGTTTAGAGAAAAACATAAGTGACTTGATGGAGCTGAAAAACACATCATGAGAACTTCATGAAGCATACACAAGTATCAATAGCTGAATTGATCAACCAGAAGAAAGGATATCAGAGATTGAAGATCAACTTACTAAAATAAGGTGTGAAGACAATATTAGAGAAAAAAGAGGGAAAAGGAAGGAAAAAAGTCTCCAAGAAATATGGGACTATGTGAAAAGACCAAACATGTGATTGGGTGGTATACTTGAAAGTAACATGGAGAATGAGACCAAGTTGGAAAACACACTTCAAAATATTATCCAGGAGACCTTCCCCAACCTAGCAAGACAGGTCAACATCCAAATTCAGGAAATACAGAGAACACCACTAAGATACTCCTCGAGAAGGGCAACCCCAAGACACATAATCATCAGATTATCCAAGGTCGAAATGAAAGAAAAAATGTTAAGGACAGTCAGAGAGAAAGGTCAGGTTACCTACAAAGGGAAGCCCATCAGACTAACAGTGGATCTCTCCGCAGAAAACCCACAAGCCAGAAGAGAGTGGGGACCAATATTCAACATTCTTAAAAAAAAAGAATTTTCAACTCAGAATTTTGCATACAGCCAAACTAAGCTTCATAAGTGCAGGAGAAATAAAATCATTTACAGACAAGCAAATGCTGAGGGATTATGTCACCACCAGGCCTGCTTTACAAGAGCTCCTAAAGGAAGCACTAAACAGGGAAAGGAAAAAGTAGTACCAGCCACTGCAAAAACACACCGTAATATAAAAACCAAAGACACTATGAAGAAACTGCATCAACTAATGTTCAAAGTAACCAACTAGCATCATGATGAATGGATCAAATTCACACTAACAATATTAATCTTAAATGTAAATGGGCTGAATGTCCCAATTAAAAGACACAGACTGGCAAATTGAATAAAGTGTCAAGACCCATCAGTGTGCAGTATTCAGGAGACCCATCTCATGTGCAAAGACACACATAGGCTCAAAACAAAGGGACAGAGAAATATTTACCAAGCAAATGGAAAGAGAAAAAAAAAGCAGGGGTTGCAATCCTAGTCTCTGATAAAACAGAATTTAAACCGACAGAGATCAAAAAAGACAAAGAAAGGCATTACACAATGGTAAAGGGATCAATGCAACAAGAAGAGCTAACTATCCTAAATACATATGCACCCAATAAAGGAGCACCCAGATTCATAAAACAAGTTCTTACAGACCTACAAAAGACTTAGACTCCCATACAATAATAATGGAAGACTTTAACACTCCACTGTCAATATTAGACAGATCAATGAGACAGAAAATTATCAAGAATATTCAGGACTTGAATTCAGCTCTGGACCAAGCAGACCTAATAGACATCTACTGAACTCTCCACCCCAAATCAACAGAATATACATTCTTCTCAGCACCACATAGCAATTATTCTAAAATCGACCACATAATTGGAAGTAAAACACTCCTCAGCAAATGCAAAAGAATGGAAATCAAAACAAACAGTCTCTCAGACCACAGTGCAATCAAATTAGAACTCAGCATTAAGAAACTCACTCAAAACCTCACAACTACATGAAACCTCACAATTACATTAACAACCTGCTCCTGAATGACTACTGGGTAAATAATGAAATTAAGGGAGGAATAATGAAGTTATTTGAAACCAGTGAGAACAAAGAGACAATAAACTATAATCTCAGGGACACAGCTAGAGCAGTGTTAAGAGAAAAATTTAGAGCACTAAATGCCCACGTCAGAAAGCAGGAAAGATTTAAAATCGACCCCCTAACATCACAATTAAAAGAGCTAAAGAAGCAAGAGCAAACACATTCAAAAGCTAGCAGAAGACAAGAAATAACTAAGATCAGAGCAGAACTGAAGGAGATAGAGACACGAAAAACCCTTCAAAACATCAGTGAATGCAGGAGCTGGTTATTTGAGAAGATTAACAAAAGAGATAGACTGCTAGCCAGACTAGTAAAGAAGAAAAGAGAGAAGAATCAAATAGACACAATAAAAAATGGTAAAGGAGTTATCACCACTGATCCCACAGTAATAGAAACTACCATGAGAGAATACTATAAATATCTCTATGCAAATAAACTAGAAAATCTAGAAGAAATGGATAAATTCCTGGACACATACACCCTTCCAAGCCTAAACCAGGAAGAAGTCGAATCCCTGAATAGACCAATAACAAGTACTGAAATTGAGGCAGTAATTAGTAGCCTAAAAAAACAAAAAATCTCCAGGATCTGATGGATTCATGGCTGAATTCTACCAGAGGTACAAAGAGGAGCTGGTACCATTCGTTTTGAAACTATTCCAAACAATAAAAAAGAGGGACTCCTCTCTAGCTCATTTTATGAGGCCAGCATCATCCTGATACCAAAACCTGGCAAAGACACAACAAAAAAAGAAAATTTCAGTCCAATATCCCTAATGAACCTCGATGCAAAAATGCTCAATAAACTACTGGCAAACCAAATCCAGCAGCACATCAAAAATCTTATCCACTACAATCAAGTCGGCTTCATACCTGGGATAAAAGGCTGGTTCAACATACACAAATCAATAAACATAATCTATCACATAAACAACCAATGACAAAAACCACATGATTATCTCAATAGATGCAGAAAAGGCCTTTGATAAAATTCCATACCCCTTCATGCTAAAAACTCTCAATAAACTAAATATTGATGGAACATATATATAAAAAAAGACCTATTCACAACAAACCCATAGCCAATATCATAATGAATGGGCAAAAGCTGGAAGCGTACTCTTTGAAAACCTGCACAAGTCAAGGATGCCCTCTCTCACCACTCCTATTCCACATAGTATTGGAAGTTCTGCCCAGGGCAATCAGGCAAGAGAAAGAAATAAATGGTATTCAAATAGGAAGAGAGGAAGTCTAATTGCCTCTGTTTGCAGATGACATAATTGTATATTTAGAAAACCCCATCATCTCAGCCCAAAACTCCTTAGGCTGATGAGCCACTTCAGCAAAGTCTCAGGATACAAAATCAATGTGCAAAAATTACAAGCATTCCTATACACCAATAATAGACAAGCAGAAAGCTGAATCATGAGTGAACTCCCATTCACAATTACCATAAAAAAATAAGATACCTAGGAATACAACTTACAAGGGATGTGATGGACCTCTTTAAGGAGAATTACAAACTGCTTCTCAAGGAAATAAGAGAGGACACAAATGAAGAGAAAAAAATTCCATGGTCATGGATACGAAGAATCAATACTGTGTAAATGGCCATACTGCCCAAAGTAATTTATAGATTCAATGCTATTCCCATCAAGCTACCATTGATTTTCTTCTCAGAACTAGAAAAAACGACTTTAAATTTCATATGGAACCAAAAAAAGAGCCCGTATAGCCAAGACAATCCTAAGCAAAAAGAACAAAGCTGGGCCGGGCGCGGTGGCTCACGCCTGTAATCCCAGCACTTTGGGAGGCCGAGGCGGGCGGATCACGAGGTCAGGAGATCGAGACCATCCCGGCTAAAACGGTGAAACCCCGTCTCTACTAAAAATACAAAAAATTAGCCGGGCGTAGTGGCGGGCGCCTGTAGTCCCAGCTACTTGGGAGGCTGAGGCAGGAGAATGGCGTGAACCCGGGAGGCGGAGCTTGCAGTGAGCCGAGATCCCGCCACTGCACTCCAGCCTGGGCGACAGAGCGAGACTCCGTCTCAAAAAAAAAAAAAAAAAAAAAAAAAAAAAAAAAAAAAAAGAACAAAGCTGGAGGCATCATGTTACCTGACTTCAAACTAGACTACAAGGCTACAGTAACCAAAACAGCATGATACTGGTACCAAAACTGATATATAGACCAATGGAACAGAACAGAGGCCTCAGAAATAACACCACACATCTACAACCTGACAAACCTGACAAAACCTTTGTTTTGACAAACCTGAAAAAACCTGACAAACCTGACAAAAACAAGCAATGGGGAAAGGATTCTTTGTTGAATAATTGGTGCTGGGAAAATTGGCTAGCCACATGCAGAAAACAGAAACTGGACCCCTCCCTTACACCTTATACAAAAATTAACTCAAGATGGATTAAAGACTTAAACATAAAACCTAAACCCATACAAACCCTAGAAGAAAACCTTGGCAATACCATTCAGGACATAGGCATGGGCAAAGACTTCATGACTAAAACACCAAAAGCAATGCAACAAAAGCCAAAATTGACAAACGGGATCTAATTAAACTAAAGAGCTTCTGCATAGAAAAAAAAAAAAAAACTATCATCGGACTGAACAGGAAACCTACAGAATGGGAGAAAATTTTGGCTATCTATCCATCTGGCAAAGGTCTAATATCCAGAATCTACAAGGAACTTAAACATATTTACAAGAAAAAACAAACAACCCCATCAAAAAGTGGGTGATGGATATGAACAGACACTTCTCAAAAGAAGACATTTATGTGGCCAACAAACATATGAAAAAAAGCTCATCATCATGGGTCATTATAGAAATGCAAATCAAAACCACAATAAGATACCATCTCACGCCAGTTTGAATGGAAATCATTAAAAAGTCTGCAAACAGCAGATGTTGGCGAGGATGTGGAGAAATAGGAAGGCTTTTACATTGTTGATGGGAGTGTAAATTAGTTCAACCATTGTGGAAGGCAGTGTGGCAATTACCCAAGGATCTATAACCAGAAATACTATTTAACCCAGCAATCCCATTACTGGGTATATACCCAAAGGATTATAAATCATTCTACTATAAAGACACATGCATACGTAGGTTTATTGTGGCATTATTTAAAGTAGCAAAGACTTGGAACCAACACAAATGCCCATCAATGATAGACTGGATAAAGAAAATGTGGCACATATATACCATGGAATACTATGCAGCCATAAAAAAGAATGAGATCATGTCCTTTGTAGGGACATGGATGAAGCTGGGAACCATCATCCTCAGCAAACTATCACAGGAACAGAAAACCAGACACTACATGTTCTCACTCATAAGTGGGAGTTGAACAATGAGAACACATGGACACAGGGAGGGAACCTCACACACTGGGGCCTGTTGGGGAGTAGGTGGCAAGGGGAGGGAGAGCATTAGGACAAATAGCTAATGCATGCGGGGCTTAAAACCGAGATGACGTGTTGATCAGTGCAGCAAACCACCATGGCACATGTACACCTATGTAACAAACCTGCACATTCTGCATATGTATCCCTGAACTTAAAGTAAAGTATATTAAAAAAAAAAAAAAAAAAAGGAAATCCAGGGGGAGATCATGTGTTCAGTTTTGGCCATGCTGAATTTGAGATATCTGAATATCTAAGAAAATATGTTTATTTGACATATTTTGGTATGTGGCCTCAGAGGAGAGGTATGTACTAGAGATACGAATTTGTAACACATCAGCATATAGAGGATAGTTGAAACTACTCCTATGGATGGGAGAGTGTGAAGTAGGAAAAAAGAGAACACAGAATTGAACTTTCTCAGAACTAATTTCCTGCATGTAGAAGCTAAACTATGAGACTAAGAAGGAGAAGCATAAAAGTAGAAAGAAATTCAAGGAAGCACTGAATTACAGTTAGTGTATGAAAGAGTGCTGTTATTAAAAGAACTGTTTGTGAAAATAAGGGGCCCCATTTTTCTTGCCAGACCATTCCTCATGAGAAAAGCTATCCTGCAGAGAACTGCCCTCCAACACAAACATAGGTCATTATGAGATGGTATCAGCTGTCCAGTTCTCAAAATAGCGAAGGAGGACACACTTGGCTCAGCAGCCCACCTCCCTTCTCAGGGTTTCTTACACATTAAGAGAAGGAATTACTTTCTCCTGGGGATCTCCTGATGCTTTTGTTTTGTTACCCAAGTCCTCTATGTTCTGTGATCATTGCCCTTTACTTCAAAACATGCCTTTCCCATGTCCCTATTTGTGGGGAAGCTGTTGTGATAAAACGACTAAATGAAATAACTTAAACAATAATGTATTACTCCTCTAAGGTTATTTGCCTTAAAATAAGAATTTTCTTTTTCAGAATAGCCTCTTAATTTTAGTCATTTTTTTATCCACTCAGCCTGTATGTTTTTCTTCCTGCTTTCATTTCTGTCTGCTAATCTACATATTTTTAAAGCTCAGCTTAAATGCCTCTTTTCTCTTCAAGTGAAATGCTTCTGTCCCTTCCTGGAAAATCTATAGGCATTTGTTTCAATCTTGATTATGACACATAACACACAACATACTTATTTGTGTGACATATCACTTGTTTGTCCATAATATCTTATGGTGCATATTCTGCCTTACTAATCTATTTCTCAATGAATTAATACGTAACTGGGGACACAGTGGTCTTACATTCAGTAATGGATTACTACTGTTGGAATATAAGGCAGTATAGCAAAATTTTCCAAGAAAACAATTGTATTTCCTCCCTTTTTTACATACTTATTATGATGTAGAACTTGGAAAAAATGTTCAGACCTTACATATTATTTTTATTCTTATAACATTTATATTAGTTAGAGTAGAGGAGTCTGTAATTTATGGTGGATTACTTATAAGATCAAATAGTTAACAAGTAGTGAACTAAGAGTAGAAAAAAATTCTTCTATTTCCAAATCTAGAACAACATCCTGCAGCTGGTACTCAAATTGTGCTACATGGGTCATTGTTGCCTCTCATAGGCATAGATTGACCCTGAGACAGAATAGAATTCACCACGCAAAGCACAAGTATTTCACACAGAGTTATAGGAAAATTACTGCTTTTCCAAGCAGCCATGGTCTTGACTCCTTACTAAAGAACTGAAACTTGATATAATACAAGGACAACTGAGAAAATGTTTTCAGAATTTCATATCATAGTAAAGAGCTCAAGAATGGCCTCTAAGAACCCACAAGGAGAGGCCCCCAGAAAATTCACGAGAATGTTTGCCCTCCAAGCTCAGTCTTGACTTTTTCATTTCCTTCTAACAGACCCAGTAGCTCTTCATTAAAGAGTGTTCTCAAAAAAGAGACCTTAGAAATTCAGAATCTTAAAATTTCAAATTTTCTCAAAATATACTATCCAATTTCTTACTAAAAACTGAAATCACATAGCAAACGTGAAAATCAGTGTGGCTAAAGCTCAATCAATAATAGCTAGCATGCAAGGTTATTAGATCCACATGAAAGATGGTTTCTTGTGAGAAAGTCACACGAAGTGTGTTCCTGATACTATTCTCTGCAGTCCAGTGGCATTTTAGTCTCTTTTTGCAGAATAAATACACTGTCCTTTATTTAATAAAAAATCGGCAAACCAGCAGAGGGCTATTCTGAATGACATAAAAATTACCCAAAATGAAAGAAGCTTCCTGATTCACATACTCAGTAGGCTGATTGTCACCCAAAGCATGGGACAGACAATTTTATTATTCCCTCCTTTGGAACTCCTCAGGTCATTACACTTCCATCTCCTACACAGTTAGTCTCATATCCAAAAAGCAAGACAGAAAAGTGTATCTCTAAGAGCAATGAAGCTATAGTTAAGCAATTAAAAATACTTACTCACTCACCTGTGATTGGAGATATTGAGCAGAGATTACCATTCAGACTCTGAGAGACTGATATGGGGCTGTTTTTAAGAATACAACGAAGTAACACAAAATAATGTTCCCTACAGAGTCTGTGCTGATAAACTTCTGAGTGATGGGTTTTCTAGGTGAGTGCCAAGACTCTACTCAGTCCCTGAAGGCCAGTGCATGGGACTGGAGTGAGTAAGGAAAATGCCCTTTGGATTAAGAAGATCCCCACATCTTATGGGAATATTTCAAGAGCCTCGGAGACACACGTTGGGGATCTTCAAGCACAAGTCCTGAGACTCACTACTTCTGGTTCCTGCTTCAACCCCTGAGCATCTATTTGTCTTCTAGTGGCTCTGTTGCCATCATAATTATGCTTCAGAAAGTGTCCTGTGGAGTCCGACCTGCTCCAGGTGGACCACTACCTCCTGGCCCACATCTGTCTAGTGAGAAACAACCCACATGCTTCCCCTATTAACACAGGAAATGCAGTTCTCTAGATTTTGCTTCTTGGCCATGTAAGAAATATCAGTCTTTGGACTCCAAAATTCCAGATGTAGAAATCAAGCTCTCTAACTGGTTTTTCTCTCAGCTTAAATTAGGAGAAAGCATCCTCATTTCCTCCTGGAGGTGGGGGAAGCTTACATTGCACACTACTTCGCACTGAAGAAATATTCTTCAGCCACCGAAGACTGATTAGTCCTCCAAATATCTATTCCTTTGCATGTTATGTGTTCTTGAAGATGTATCAAAAACTCACTAACGAATATACAGTATCCATATATTTTGTGAGAGATTAAATATTAATTTTGAGCATGACTTGTAAATTAAAAGTATAATTGCTTGATTAATTTTGATCCTATAATTATTTAAGAATTGAGGCAGCTAAGTATGCCACTATCACATAAAAACAGAATTTCTGAATCCTTTGACCTCTAATGATTATATTGCCTGCCCTTTAAAATTAAGAATTTGGATTAAAGAAGAGTTATTTCTCCCAGATTCATATGGTTCTTAATCATCACCTATGGCTTAAAATCAAATCTCAATTCTCAACAAATTAATTACCTACTAGGCATTATCCAGTTTCATCACTTGCTAAATTCTTACCGGCTGACTTGGGTACACACAGCAAGAGAGTTATCATCTGAAGATATCTATGAGTGGTTATTTCACTCCAAAAACAGACGATAATAAATTTTGCATTATTCATTTATTGTATCTAACATTCATTACCAATAAGTCTTTTTAAATTTTTTTATTTTATATTTATTTTTAGTTTTTACTTTTTTAAAAAAATTCAACTTCTATTTTAGACATAGTGGATATATGTGCAGATTTGTTACATGGGAATATTGCATGATGTTCAAATTTGGAGTATGGATCTCACCACCCTGGTAATGAGCCTAGTACCTGGCTTGATAGGCAGTTTTTTAACCCATCCTCCCCCATCCCTGAAGCCTCTGGTAGTCCACAGTGTCTATTGTTCCCATACCTATGTTCATGTGTGCTCAATGCTTAACTCCCACTTATAAGTTACAACATGCAGTATTTGGTTTTCTGTTCCTGTGTTAACTTGCTTAGAATTATGCCCTCCAGCTCCATCCATGTTGCTGCAAAGGACATTATTTTATTCTGTTTTTATGGCTGCATAGTATTCCATGGTGCATATGTAACACATTTTCTTTATCCAGTCTGTCATTCCACATCTTTGCTATTGTGAGCAGCGCAACAATGAACATGTGAGTGTATGTATCCTATTGGTAGAATGATTTATTTTATTTTGATATATACCCATTAATGAGATTGCTGTATTGAATAGTAGTTCTGTTTTAAATTATTTGAGAAATCTCCAGACTGCTTTTCACAGTTGCTGGACTAATCCACATTCCCACCAACAGCATATAAGCATTCCCTTTTCTCTGCAGCTTTGATAGCATCTGTTGTTTTTTGACTTTTTAAATAGTCATTCTGACTGGTGTGAGATAATATCTCACTGCAGTTTTGATTTGCATTTCCCTGATAATTAGTGATGCTGATAATTTTTTCGTATGTTTGTTAGCCACATGTATGTCTTCTTTTGAGAGTGTTTTTTCATGTCCTTTGCCCATTTATTAATGGGATTATTGGCTTTCTGCTTGTTGACTTGTTTAAGTTCCCTATAGATTCTGGATATTAGGCCTTTGTCAGATGCATTGTTTGTGAATATCTTCTCCCTTTCTGTAGATAGTGTGTTTGCTCTGTTGATAGTTTCTTTTGCTGTGCAGAAGCTCTTTAGTTTAATCAGGTCTCACTTGTCTATTTTTGTTTTTGTTGCCATTGCTTTTGGTGACTTAGCCAAAAATCTTTTGCCAAGGCCGATGTTGAGAAGAGTATTTCCTAGGTTATCTTCCATGATTTCTATAATTTGAGGTCTTACATTTAAATCTTTAATCAATTTTGAGTTAACTTTTGTATAGGGTAAAAGGTAGGTATCCAGCTTCAATCTTCTGTATATGACAAGGAAGTTATCCCCGCACCATTTATTAAATAGGGAATCATTTCCCCGTAGCTTGTTTTCTTCTTATAAATCTAGGAGTTTGGGGTGTCTTTGCTTTTTATGATGTATAATAAGGGATTTACCAATAATGTGTGCTCTCTAACATTAAATCAGCTGTTTTTTTCCAGTGAATAAATTGAGATTAAATGAGTGTACGTGACTATAAATGGCCATAACAAAAAAGAAATAGATAGGGTAGAGACAAAAAGGAAAAAAAATTTCACTTCCTTTTTAAAGATGATCTATTCAGAATAATAAAAATGAGGTGAAAATAGGAAAATATTATTAAGAGCAAAATAATAGTAGAATCAACTCTTTTATAGAGATATACTCATAGAACAGAGTAGGAAAACAGGGACATCATACACTGAAATATTTGCTCTGTTTGTTTCTACAAAAAAAGGAGAAAAAAAGTTAACAAAGTGTGAATTTAAGATAAGGCCTGGAGTGCTGGCTCACACCTGTAATCCTATCACTTTGGGAGGCAGAGGCAGGAAGATCCCTTGAGCCCAGGAGTTCAAGACCAGCCTGGGAAACATAGGGCGACTCTGTCTCAATTTAAGAAAAAAAAAATATAAGCATCAACCCTGAACAGTATTGCCAGCTACATATGTTGTACCTCGATCAGGAGTGACTACATTAGTGCCTGTGATTTAGATTATATCACACTAATGTTATTGATACTAGAAAGTAGTCGTGTGTACCCACAACAGATAGGAAGATCTACATTCCGCAACCTCAAAAATAATGATTTTTGTGTTTCATTACTTGCCATAATAAAGTAACGAGATTTTCTCTCCTGATTAAACATCTAAAAAATGGAATAAAATATATAAAGCAATGATTTTAATACACTGTACAAGACAGGGTTGGGTATGTCCCATGACCCATCAGCCTGATTGGAACAGCTTGTAATAGACAAGGACTTAGGTGGAGTCCTGAGAAGGATATTACCTTAGTAGTGGGGGCTAAATTAATCTCAGAATAAACAATGTTCTGGATCTACCTTAACAAAAAAAAAAGTATGCCTCAAAATAAGCATAATAATTTAGGGGAAATACAGACATAAAAAGAGAGAGATTTTTTTAAAGACCCACATAGAACTTGTTTAAATAAAAAATACAAAATATAAAGTGAAAAATGCAGTGCATGGAATAAACAGTAGATTAATTACTGCAGAAGAAAAAATCAAGGAACTTGGAGATATAGATATAAAAACAATCCAAAATGAAGCACAGAGAAATCTTTTTAATAAAATGGACAAAGTATCAATGACCTATGTCATAATTTCAAGCAGTCTAACATATGTGCAAGTGGAGTACTAAAGAAGTGTTTGATTAAAAACATTGAAGAAGTAATGACTGAGTTTTTCCAAATTTGATAAAATATATAATCTATAGATCCAAGAAGCTCAATAAAAATTAAATAGAATAAATATTAGAAAACTTTACAATGAACATCATAATCTATTTGCTAAAAAAGTCATAAAGAAAAATCTTAAAATCAGCAAGAGAAAAATCAACACAGTTATTACAAAGGAATAAAGATAAGAATGGCAGCATGCATCCCACCAGAAATTATGTGAGACAGGTAATGGAGCAACAGCTTTAAAGCACATAAACAAAAGTCTGGCAATTTAAAATTTTATATACAGAGAAAACATCTCTTAAAAATAAGGGCAAAGTACTTTTTCATGCCAACAAAAGCTGAAGTAAATTATTACCAGCAGAACTTTACTACAAGAAATAGTTAAGGAAAGTCTTTAGACAACAACAACAAAAAAATGATATGAGATGAAAATCAGTGTCTCCATGAAGGGACCAAAAGTGCCAGAAATTATAAATATGTGTTTAAGTGTAAAAGACATTTTTATTATTTTTAATTACCTTAAAAATAATAGAATTTTTCAAAAAAAAACAGAATTGCAGTATCTTGGATACTAATAACATAAGTAAAAGTAAAATGTGTGACATTAAAATCACAAAGCATGAGCAGGGAGATGGAAGTACAGTATGGCATGACTCTAGCAATACATCTTAAATGGTGTAATATTATGTGAAGAAATATTTTGTGAATTTAAAATGTACATTGTAAACCCCAGAGTAACCACAAAAATATAAAATAAAAAGGTATAAATAAAAGGACAATAGTGAAAATATAATGAAATCATAAAAATATTCCCATAAAAAACAGTAAATGAAAGAAGAAGCAATAACGGACAAATAGGACAAATGAAAGGCAAACAGTTGGAGGACAAATTTAAATTTAATTCTATCAAAAATTTAGTTGGAGGATAAATTTAAATTTAATTCTATCAAAAATTTATCAAATTTAAATTGTGCAAACACTCCAACTGAAACAAAGAGCTTGTCACATTGGCTTAATGGGTATGAAAATGCAGTTAGATAGAATGAAGAACTTCTAGTATTCAACAGTAAACTAATGCAGGGACAGTAATGTAGGTTTAGCTTGATTGTGGTAGTCTCTTCACAATGTATACATATACTAAAGCATCATGTTGTGAAGCCTAAATATATGCAATTTTTATTTGTTAATTATACTTCAATAAGCTGGGGAAAAACAAGATATTTTCAATGGCTAGAAAAATCTCTCCCTAAAATTAAATACCCATTAAAAATTCTCTTCAAGAATTAAGATTAACAAAAATGATATTCTAGATAAAAACTGTTGTGAGAAAAATTATCATCAGTACATTCCTGCTGAAGGAAACACAAAAGGAAAAAAAATAGGCAAAAATAAAGATTATCTCATATGGAATTTCAGTAAGATACTTCTATTACTTGGAAAATTCCAAAGGTTTTTGTCCTAGGAGAAATGCCACATTCTTTTTTACACAGCAGATTCCTACTCTAACCCTCCCCATACTTCCTACCTCCTTAGTTCTCCTTGCCACCGAATTATCCTGACATATGTACTTACGCGTTTGGTTATTTGGGGCCTCCATCACATTAAACTTTATGTTTGATGACATTATGGAATTTGTTTTGCTTGCTCCTGTGTTTCTTGAACCTACTACACTGCCTAATATAATATGTGCTCAAAATTTTTGAAAGAAAAATATAAACCAGGTAAACAAATCATTTCTTACAGTGAAGTGATGGAAATCAGTCTTAATAGAAATCAGATATCCCTCATTAGTCCTAGTGGTGTTGCTGCCAGTCTTTAAACAACTTCCTACCAAAGATTTTCTTCAGAGCCATCATCACTTCTTTGTTCCTAAGGGTGTAGATTAGTGGATTCAGTACAGGGGTGACGGCGCTATACATGATGGCCATTATCCGGTCCTGAATCATGGAGGTGGCTGAAGCAGGACGAATATATGTGAAGCCCACAGGTCCATAGAAAAGACATACCACCATAAAATGGGAGGCACAAGTGGACAGAGCCTTGTGGAGTATTCTGCAGGACCTGTTCTTAAACAGAAGGAAGCCAATTACATAGAAGCAGGAGAGAAGAGTCAGAAAGAAAGCTCCCATGGATATGCTGCCTGTGACAATGGAAAGAAGCCATTGATTGAGTAATGTGTCACTACAGGCCAATTCTAAGAGCGGCTTGACATCGTAGAAGAAGTGATTGAGTTTCTGAGAGCCACAAAAACTCAGGTGTGCAGTCATGACAGAATGCATCAGAGCGTAAAAGAAGCTGATGAGCCAGGCCGCAGCTGCCAACAGAATACACACCTGGGGGTTCATGATGACAGTGTAGCGAAGAGGATTGCAGATGGCAACAAAACGGTCAAAGGCCATGATAGCCAGTAAAATGGCCTCTGTGCTTCCCAAAAAGTGGAAGAAGTGTAGCTGGATGATACAGCCTAGAAAAGATATAGCCCTGCGACTGCACACGAGGTTTACGAGCAGCTTGGGCAGTGTCACTGAAGAATAAGAAATATCCAGACAAGAAAGGTTTCCCAGAAAAAAATACATAGGGGAGTGGAGTTGTGGTTCCAAAACAACCATCACCAATATAGATCCATTTCCAATCAAGTTTATCAGGTAAATGATTAAGAAAATCCCAAAGAAGAAAGGCTGCAGCTCCTGAACACCAGTCAGGCCAAGTAGAAGAAACTCATTCATTGTAGTGACATTCTCCATTGCTCTGGGAAGCAAATTTAACAATAACAGAATTAATTTTTCTGAATTTTTAATTTTACACTGTGAGGATTAAATAAAGCAAGTTTACTATTTGGAGGAACCTAGGGGTGAGCAACAGTGTGAAGAATAGTTACGAACAGTAAAACTAAATTTATGTACAACAAAATTGAGGAAGACTAATATACCTGATAAATTCTGAGCTGTTAAAATGGCACTAGACTAATAAAAGCATTATATTATGAACAAATCAGATATAGATAAAGGGCATTTGTTTTCAAAACTAGGAAGTGTAAGATTTGATGGACATAATCATAACCTCATGTATGGCATTAGAATTATGTATTACAAAAATTTTAAACATACAAACAGGGAATAGTTTTTCAACTTATGATTCTAGGTTCTGGCAAAAATTCAGATGTAGCTCAGTGGGGATTTCATCACTTCTTCTAAGATACATAAAAGCCACAAGAGAGTAACACATGTCTTCTGACAACCCAAACTTTCAGTGAAAGTAAGAAACATAAACACCCACAAACCAAATGTTGTATGAGTAGAGGAGAAAAAAACAGCAAAATTAGCATCATTAGTCACAAGACTGTGTCATAGCAATGAGGCAGTGGATGTAGTTGGGAAAAACTTGAAATAGTTAGAGGTCCCATTAGTAGAAGAACTTCGAAAACACCCCCAATTTTTCAATCCAAAAGGGGAGTACCTCCCAGGGAGTGAGAATTTCTGTGGGGCAGGGGATAGAAAAAGGCACAGTCTAAGCACTGAAGGTGATGGAGAGAAGAGGTATAGTAAATATATGAAGAACAAAGGAAGCTTGTCATTTGTAAGTAATTAATAATAATAATAATAATAACAATAATAATAATCACCACCTTATCAACAGAAGAGGGAGCCCTTGCACTGAGGAATTGGAAAGGCTAACTAGGATACTCCTCCCACCCATGCCTACTAAGATTCTTCTGCTAATAATTGGTCCACAATATCATAAGTTCTCCAGTGTAAGTTCTCCATAAAATAACTCTAAAAATAGACAGAAATAAAGACATAGTTAAAACCACAATCACAATGAGAAGATTTAACAAGTTTCTCTCTATACCTGACAGAAGAATCAGCCAAAAAGTCAGTAAGGATATAAACATCTGAACAACATAATTTACAAATTTGATTAACATATAAAGAACACTGAACCCAACCAAAAAATAATTCACATTATTTTCAAGTATATCTTGTACATATTTACAAAATCAAGCATGAGTTGAGTATTACCAAAAGGCTTCAAAAGGTTTCAAAAGGTTGAGCTATTCAAAGAATGTCCCTTGACTACACTGGAATTAAAAAACAATAAGAAAAATGCATCTAGAAACTCACCAATTGCTTCATATTATGTAATACACACAAATAATTCATAAAGAAAAAATTCAAATAAAATTAGAAAAAAATTGAAATGAACAATGATGAAGATGAGATATATCAAAACTTTTGGCATATAGCTAAAGAAATAAATAGAGGGAAATTGTCAGCCTTAAATGCATATGTTAGAAAAAAAGAAATATTGAAAAACCAATAACCTAAACTTTCATTTCAAACAGCTAAATGAATGAATGCATGAATGAATGAACAAATAATCCAACAACTCAAACCTAAACAAAGTAGAAGGGAAATAGCTAAAATAATAACAAGAATAATTGAAATAGAAAACAAAAGTTCAATAAAGAAAAGTCAACAAAGTCAAAATTTAGTCATTTGAAAAGATTAATGAAAGTTATCAACTCAGTAAAATTGTTAAAAGAGAGAGAGAATACAAATTTTAAGCTAGTATCACTACAGATACTATCAACGTCAAACATTGTAAAAGGTCGTTATGAACGACTTCATGCCCAAGAATTTGGCAATTTAAATAAAATTTTAAAATTACTTAAACCAAAAGTAACTTACCAAAATTGACAGTAGAAGAAAGACAATTTCAATAGTTTGATATTTATATAGGAAAGTGTAGTTCTTATTCAAAATTTTTCCAGAAAGGAAACACCAAGTCCAGATTTTACTGGTGAATTCTACCAAATAATTAAGGAAGAAATAATAACTTACACAAATACTTTCAAAACAATGAAAAAGGAGCACTTCTATATTTCTTTTATAAGGTTAGCACAACTTTGATACCAACACTTTAAAAAGAACTCAACAGAGGCCAGGCGCGGTGGCTCACGGCTGTAATCCCAGCACTTTGGGAGGCCGAGGAGGGCGGATCACGAGGTCAGGAGATCTAGACCATCCTGGCTAACATGGTGAAACACCGTCTCTACTAAAAATACAAAAAATTAGCCTGGTGTGGTGGCAGGAGCCTGTAGTCCCAGCTACCCGGGAGGCTGAGGCAGGAGAATGGCTTGAACCCGGGAGGAGGAGCTTGCAGTGAGCTGAGGTCGCGCCACTGCACTCCAGCCTGGGCGATAGAGCGAGACTCCATCTCAAAAAAAAAAAAAAAACAAAAAAACTTAACAGAAAGGAACTGCAGACTAACCTGTCTTGTGACTATAGATGCAAAAATCTTGAAAAAATGAATAAAAACAAGCAATATCTACATCGCAACCAAATAAAATTTATTTCAAGATGTAAGGGTAATTTAACATTAAAAAATAAATTAATACAATAGCCATATTAGAGAAAGAAAACAAGAAACACCACAGATGCAGTAAAAGCATTTGATTATATTTAGCACCCACTCATGATTTAATAAAATAATCCTTAGCAAACTAGGGATACAAGGGAAATTAGTTTATTTGATAAAATTAATAAAAAATACCATAAGAAAAGATCATACCTAATGAAGAAACATGAAAAGTTTCAGATCAGGAATGAGACAAGGATTTCTCCTATCATCACTTTTTTGAACATTGTCCTAGAGGTTCTAGCCAGTGTCATAAAGCAAGAAAAAAATAAATAAAATACTTTAGAATTAGAAAGGAAAAAATAAAACTCATTTTCATAGATGATATGCCTGTATGGTTAGAAGATTTCTGAGATATGAGGACATTAAACAAGAATTAAATATATTTTATATGCTAACCACAATCAAATGAAAATAAAATGTCCAATGATATTTTCAATAGCATCAGAAACAATAAATGTATAGAAATAAAACTAAACAAAAATATATAAGATCTCTATCCTAAAAACTACAAAACATTATTCTGAGGAAATAAAGAATATCTAAATAAATAGAGGAATATGGTATATTCATGGGCTGAAAGATATACTGTAATGAAGATGTCTACTCTCCTAAAAGTAATCTGAAAAGTCAACGCAATCCCAGTACAAGTCCCTGATTTTTAAAATATAAAATTGTCAAGCTGATTTTAAAAGTTACATAGAAATGCAAAGGAATGGGGAACCTGAAAACCCCCTGGGGCTGGGTTCTCACCTGCATCTGGAGACCTTCCTGAGCCCCCAGCAACAAAACCACAATGCAGTGCCACTGCACAATAACTAGAACAGTTAAAATAAAAAAGTGATGGAAAACACCAAGTGTCAACAAGGATGTAGAGCACCCTGAGCACTCATATACTCCTCCAGGGAGTTTAATCAGCATAGTGATTTTGGAAAACAATCTGGCAGTATCCTCAAGCTAAACATACGCATATATGAATAAGCCAGAAATTCCATTCCTAGGTATATAGCCAATAGAAGGTGCACATACCAAAATATATAAAAATGTTCATAGCAGCAATATTTTTTATCAAAAACTGACAACTATATAAATGTCCATCAACAAAATGAAACATTGTGAAGGAGTCAAAATGAACTACAGCTATATTAAGTAATATGGATGAAGCTGTTTCTTCATGTGGGTGTGTTGGTTATACAGATATGTCATTTTGTGAAAATTTATTGAGACTCAGGATTTATCCACTTTTCTGTATGTGTGTTGTACTTTATATGTCATATAAACTTTTACAGAAAAAAAGAGAATAAGGGAGGAAACAATAATCTTGGATTTGGAAATGATTTTCTAAATATCATAGAAAAACCTGAAGCAATAAAAGATTACCAAATTTGACTACATAGGCATCGAAAATGTCTGCATGACAAAAATCCTACAAATAAAAGATCAAAACGCATCCAGGAATAAAATCACAAAGCAAATTGTAGACCATGTGCTAACATTCTTAATATATAAATTATTTAATAAACCTAAAAGACACAGACCAATTTTTTTTAAAGAGAGAAACATACAGACAATTTATAGAAAAGGAAATATGAATAGATCTTAAAGATAGGAAAAGATGCTCAACCTCATTAAAAATAAGAAAAATGCAAATTGAAATATGACATGCAGGCAAGCGCTACAGCAGGCTGCCGTGAGCACTGTAAAGAGCACCAACGCGCTGCACCTCGACTCCCACCCCACTTAGTCACAAGCACATGCCCATCTGCTCAAGGCATGTTCTGCCGCTGCCCAGCTCAGGTCTAAGCACCCAGCAAGTTTGAGATTTTTCGAAATAAAATAACTTAAAAACAGTGATTTTGACTTCCGGATAAGATGGTATATACAGGTTTCTCCCATCTCCCTTCCCATTAAGTACAACTACAAACCGTAGAAACAATACAAGAGGTAACCAAAAAAGAATTCTCAAATGTGGGAAGGTGAACTGCTTTGGGATTCCAGAACTGTAGGAACCACACAGCAGCAGGGCTGTCCCTTCACCCAACTAAAGAAGGCAATTAGTTTATTTGACAAAAAATGTTTGCCTCTTCCAACACGCCATCCCACAACAAAAGGCAGCCTAGGTAGGTTTTTTCCTGCCTCCTATCAAAAGGTAGTTCCTCCAACAACACAGCACTTGAGTAAGGGGGGCCCATCAGGAATTCTACTAACCCAGAGAAGTACTCTACTCAGCTCCTCTCTCCCTGCTGTCTGGCATTCTCTTCCCCTAAAGAGAGACAACAGGGCAGTCAGGTGGCATCTGGAGAAGGACCCCACCATAACAAGCATCCTGGCCCTCTGGCCCTGCAGGCCTGAGACTTCCTTCTGCCACCCACAGACACCAGAGTGAGAAAGGGGGAAAGAGGGCACCAGCAAGAAATATTCCAATTTGACAATCATCCAGCAAGTAGCAGTCTCTGTCCGGCACAAGCAGGCAATCCCGCCACAAGCACCCCGACAGGGAAGCCTCTTTGTCCTCATAGTCTTGATATTCTCTCCACCGCACAAGGACACCAGAAGGCTTAGCCTAAGGAAATCCCTTCTTCTGCCTTCTCAGGCAGTACCAGCAGAGAACAATGGAAACCCCAGTAGTACCAAATAAAACTAGAACACAAAAATAACAGCTAAAAGTCTCTTAAAAAATTGCCATTGGATGCACAGCCTACAAAATTAGGTCAGGACCTGTGTGCTAGGTCTAAACAGAGTGACTATCTGCTAAAATTAAAGATTTAAACAGGACCTAAATTCCAGTTTATAGTTCTGTAATAGCCAAAATGTCCAAGATACAATATTTTAAAACTCTACCTGTTATAAATTATAGAACTGGAAAGTTCAGTAACAGAAATAAAATCTCACTGAATGGGCTCATTAGTTAAGTGGAGATGACCAAGGATGAAATCAATGAGCATGAGGACAGATCAACAAAATGTAGCCTATCTGAACAATGGGAGAAAACAGACTGAGAAACAATGCAAAGAACCTCGGGGACCTATGGGACAATAACAAGAGATTCAACTTTCATATCATCAGAGCTCCAGAAGAAGAGGAGAAAGAAAATAATGCCAAAGGGTATTTAAATAAATAATAGTTTAAAACTTCCCAAATCTGTTGAAAACATAAGCATATACAGGTTGAAGAAGCTGAATAAACCCCTTGCAGGATTAATCTAAAGAAATCCAAGCCAAGAAACATCATAATTTGATTAACATTACATATACTATTATACTATATAGCATGTGTATATATAAACACACAAACATAAATATATAGAGTAATATGCAGTTCAACTCCAAGGACAGTACGAAACAAAAAAAATACATTCCAATATCTCTCATGAATATAGACAAAATATCCTCAATCAATTATTAGAAAATAGAATGCAATATGTAGAAAGAATTTACATAGGCCAAGTGGATTTATTTCAGGTGTACAAGACTACATAGACATTTGAAAATCAGTAAATGTAATCTATCATATAAATAGAATAGAGAAGAAAAATTATATGATCGTATTAATTGAGGCAAAAAACAAATTTGATAAAATCCAACACCCATTTATGATAAAAACTCTCAGCAAGCTAGGAATAGAGAGAAATTGTGTCAACTCAATAAAGATCATCCATAAAAATCTTCCAGGTAAATGCTTTCCTTCTAAGATTAGGAATAAAGCGTGGATGTCTGCTCTCACCACTTGTAGTAGGCAAGAAAAAGAAATAAATGACACATATATTGAAAAGTAATAAATACAAATGTACTTATTTTCAGATGTCATTATCTATGTAGAAAACTCCCTGGATTCCACATAAAAATTCCTATAGCTAATACATGAGTTCAGCAAAGTGACAGGATACAAGATTAACACAAAAAATTAAATATTTTTAATAAACTATGAATATGTGAAAACCAAAATTAAAACACAATTTAATTTATAATCTCTCAAAATATGGAAATATCTGGCTGTAAATCTAAAAAAAATGTTTAGGAGTTGTATGCTAAAAACTTCAAGCACAGATGAAAGAAATAACAAAAGATTTACATAAAGTTAGAGACATATTATATTCATGGATTGTAAGATTTAACATAGTAAAGATGTCAATCCTCTCCAAATTGATATACAGGTTTAACACAATTCTTATCAAAATCCCAGAAATATTTCTTAGTAGACATAGATAGGATTATTCTAAAATGTGTATGTAAAGGCAAAGGAAATTGAATAGCTAACACAATTTGGAAAAAGAAGAATAAAAGTGGAAAAATCAAATTACTCAATGTTAAAGCTTATTATTTAACTATAGTTATCAGGTTTTGTATGGTATTAACACAAGTGATAGTGAAACAGATCAATGGAACAGAATAGAGAACCCATAAATCAGCCCACACAAATATGTCCAACTGATTTTTTATGAATGTGCAGAGTAACTCAATGGAAGCAAGACTGTCTTTTCAACAACTAGTTCTGAAATAATTGGACATCCATAATAGAAAAGAAAAAACAAACTAAATTCAAATTTCACCTCATATACAAAAATTAACACAAAATAGATCATGGACTTATATGTAAAATGTAAAGCTACATATCTTCTAGAAAAAATAGAAAACAGTATTCAGGGTCTAGAGCTAGGCAAGGAGTCCTTAGATTTTCCACCAAAAGCATGACACATTAAAGGAAAAATTTTAGTTTGACCTAACCAGAAAAAAAAAAAAGCTCTGCCAAAAGACTCTATTAAGAAAATGGAAAGACAAGCTGAAGACTGAAAAAAAGAAATACTGTTTCAAATCACATATCTGAGAGAACTCTCAAAACTTAATAGTATTCTTAAAAGTCCAAAAACATGGGCAAAAACTAGGAAAAGACATACAAACATAAACAGAAAATGATATATAAATGGCAAATTAACACAGGAAAAGGTGTTCAAAATCATTTTCATCAGCACAATGCAAATTAAAACCAGTAAAATGCTACAACACATCTATCAAAATAGATAAAATAAAAATAGTGACAACACCAAATGCTAGGGAGGATACAGAAAGACTGGATCATGAATATAAAACTGGTCAGGATATAAAATGGTACAACTGCGCTGGAGAGAGTATAGTCGTTTCTTACAAAATTAAACATACACTTACTATATGACCCAACAATTGCACGCTTTGGAATTTATGTCAGTACAATAAAAACATGTTCACACAAAAACTTGTATGTGAATGTTCATAGACTATTTGTAATAGCCAAAAACTGGAAATACCCCAAATGTCCTGCAATGGAGAAATGCTTACACAAACTGTGGTATATCCATACCATGGAATGCTACTTAGCAATAAAAAGAAAACAACAATTTGGTAAACTCTCCAGGAAATTACGCTTAATTTTTTAAAAAGTGAAATCCAAAAAATTATATACTGTATGATTCCATTTATATAACATTTTTGAAATAATATTTTAGAAATGGGGAAAAGATTGGTAGTTACAGTTGGAGAATGAAGTTGGAGAAGGAGCAGAAGAGAGGTGTGTGTGGTTATGAAAGGATACCAAGAAAGATCCTTGTGGTGGAGGAACTATTCTGTATTTTGACTATGATGGCAGATACAGGAACATGAGATAAAACTGTGTAGAATTAAACTCAGATACACAAAACAAATGAATACAAATAAAACTGGGGCTATCATTAAGATTCATGGGTTGTATCAGCATCAATATCCTGATTGTGAAACTGTGCTGCAATTTGTTACCATGGGGAGGAACCATGTAAAGGGAAAACAGCATCTTTGTGTATTTTTTCTTACAACTGCATATTGTAATCATACATAAGATTTTAATTAAATGGCAAATCATATTTGTACAAAGATCAAAATACTTAATAAATTATATGTGTTTGAGAATGGCTAAATAGGAATTTCTGATGATAATTTGTACTAGTTATATGCTGGGTAATTTTTTCAATAGCTCTCAAAGTTGAAAATTGTGAATCACATACTTTGTGTTATAATTTACCTGTAGATATTATTCAATGTGTGGAAATCATTATTATATACCATAATATTTATTTGAGTATTTTAAAAGCAAAAATTAGACAGAACCCTAAGAGCCAAAGTAGGGGACGAGGTGAATTATTACACCTATGAGAGAGAATAATATGCAGCTTTAAAATATATATATGTACATATATATACACACACAAAGAAAATAGCCAGGTGGATAGATACGGAAAGGTGCACAAATCATATATATGCAAATTTTTACATATGTACCTATATACATATAAATTATATATGTTATGAATGCCAAGGTGACTTGTTAAATGATATAATCAAGATGCAGCACAATGTGAGTAGTATGCTAAAACTTCTGTTTAACATTTTTTTCTATACGCACATGTACTTCTGAATGGACATAAAAGAAACTGATAACTGTTGTAGTCTCTAGGAAGAGAAACTGGCTGTCAAGGAAACAAAGGCAGAAGAAATACTCTTTTTAGTATATTTTGAATTTTGTACCATGTTCATATATTATGTACTCAAAAAACGAAATTATTTTCTTTAAAAATAAGCATGGCAATACTATGCACAAATATATAGTTGTGAAAAAGAGCAGTGAACTGAGCATCTAAAATATTTAGGCCCAGTAATATTATGTATAAATGGCAGTGTATATGACAAGTACAGTCTGTTTTATAGATGGCAAAGTGGAGACTGTGACTTACTTTGGACTAGAAAGTCGTTACTTCGGCATCTGTTTTACAGATTATACTTGTCATACGCACTTCTCTGTTTTATCAAATCAAAGGCACTATTCCATTTATTCTTTTTTTTTTTTTTCAAGACTGTCTTGCTCTGTCACCTAGGCTGGAGTACAGTCGTGCAATCTTGGCTCACTGCAACCTCTGTCTCCTGGGTTCAAGCAATTCTCAGGCTTCAACCTCCCAGATAGCTGGGATTACAGGTACGCATCACCACACTGTGCTAATTTTTGTATTTTAGTAGAGACAAGGTTTTACCACGTTGGCCAGCCTGGTTTCTAGTGCCTGATCTCAAGTGATCTGCCCACCTCGGCCTCCCAAAGTGTTAGGATCACAGGTGTAAGCCACCATGCCTGGCCACCATTTATTCTTATAGGTAGAATTTTGCATGTCTGTCTACTCATTGGAATATCAGATTATTAGAGGTGAAAAAAACTGAAAGTATCTTATTCTTCATATTCTTACAGTTCCTATACCATGTAGAAAAACAGAACAATGGTGTAGAAAAATAATCTATAGAATAAAATTGGTCACTTATTCTGGCTATCCATGTACTCTTACAAATGACTGTTATTCTAATATAATAATTAGTAAATATGAAATAAATTCCAAGAAAAAATGAACATAATATTGAAAGAAAGACAAATAGTAATATCTTTAAGTGACTTTGAACTAGTGACTTTGATATCATAACTACATGTCTTCCAAGTATAAAATTTATTCTGGCTATATAGCTTCTAAGAGGGAGATCTCTTGTCTAACCCCCACTCTGAGTTCTAGACTTACCTAATTTCATATTTGACTCTCCACTTGAATTCACACAAAAGCTTGTATTCATATATTCATAGAATCTTTATTCATAACAACCCAAAACTGGAAGTAGCCCAAATGTCCTTTAATGGAGGGATGGTTGAATTCTTTACTGAATTACAAAAATCAACACGTCAAACAGAACGCATCCTCTTTCCAAGCATGCTCTCACAGTGTTTCAACGTAGTGAACAGAATAAAAACCATCTAGTTGTTCAAACCAGAAATGTGAGAACCACATTGATTTCTCCTTCGCTTCAATCCACTCTCTTTAAGTCAGTCATCAAGTCTCTGAAACATCCCTCAAATTCACGTCTCTTTATCCACACTGCCGCAATCCTGGCCCAAGTCATGATTGCCTTTAAACTTAACTACTTCAAAGCAGCCCTACAGTTCTTTTCTTCCCCTACTCTCAAGCCATCTTCATAGTGTAACCAGAATGATTGTTTAAAGGCCTGCGTTACAGTATAAATTTCTATGTGAAACATTTCAGTACCTTCCAACTGGACAAGCTTACAAACCCTCCATGAATGTCTGTGGCTTATCTCTTCAGTCTCACCTTTTATATTACTTGGATGTGATCCTACTGGATATCTTCCAATTCCTCAAATATATCAAGGTGTCCCTTGACAGGGACTTCATTCATGCTTGTCCTCCCTGGATCACTCTTTACTTCCCCTGTCCCTTTTTTTTTTTTTTTTTTTGAGACAGAGTCTCGCTCTATCGCCCAGGCTGGAGTGCAGTGGTGCGATCTTGGCTCACTGCAAGCTCCGCCTTCCCGGTTCACGCCATTCTCCTGCCTCAGCCTCCTGAGTAGCTGGGACTACAGGCGCCCACCACCACGCCCGGCTAATTTTTTGTGTTTTTAGTAGAGACGGGGTTTCACCATGTTAGCCAGGATGGTCTCGATCTCCTGACCTTGTGATCTGCCCTCCTCGGCCTCCCAAAGTGCCGGGATTACAGGCGTAAGCCACTGTGCCTGGCCTCCCGTCCTTTAATGTAAGAAAATATCTATTTATCCTTTGGGTTTCAGCCTATCTCAAATTAAGTTAGACCCTATTACGATACCCTTCTATAGGTTTCTGTACTTCCATTTGTCTGATAATCATTATTATCCTTCTTCAGCTACTTTCTCCTATCATTAAACTCTAGATTTATTACTCATTACTCACTAGTCATTAATAACTTCAACCCTTCATGATCTCAGTAATAAGCATCCTAGACTCCAACTACCACCAGGTAAATTCATAATTTACTCTCTCCAATACCACAAATCCTATAATCTTTATCCCCTAAATTATAGTTATTCTATTTCATGTTCTTTACTACTCTCATGTACTCACACTCCTCCTTACTCATCTTAAGTTCCATATGCATATTTATAGTCACTTTATAGTAGCATATATCCTTACATCCCTTGACCAATTTGTGCTTCATGTCTTTACCTGGAAAAAGTCAAACCACTCTCTACTTACTCCACATCTAAACCTTTGCAGCTGAACACGATTGGAGGAAAATGCACCTGTGCTCACTTGCCTAGATCTAAATTCATTAATACTCAACTGCATTGAAATCTTGGGAATGCCATTGACTCAGCCACCAGGCCCACCCACCTGATGACCCAAGCACTAAGCCATCCTGCCCAGGACTCCAGGAACAAACCTACTTCCAGACCACGCCATATGACCTGCCCAGAATCTCTGGATAGGCTGATGCATGAAGGGCGTTCCCTGCCGAAACAGTCTGTAAAGACTGGAATATATGCCTATTTCTTCAGATGCACAGACACCAACGCATGACCACAAGGATCATGAGCAATAAAAAAAAACCCTGAAATCTTAGAGATGCCAATCAATTACATATTTCCCTTTCTCTTTACAGGCCATACCTCTAACTCTTCTCTCTCATCCTCTCTCTCGGAGAGTGACATTGTTTCTTTTATTTTGGAAAAGTAAAGGCAGTCAGAAGAGAGTATCTCCAAGTTTCATCCTAGTATCTACCCACAGTTTTGTAACTGTGTTCATATACTGTGCATTCACTCTGTTTCTAATGGTTTCATAATTGATACTCCTGATGAAGACCACCTCTTCCACCTGTGTCCAAGAACCCATTCTCTCTCATCTTCTAAGAACACTGCTCCAGTTATTTTCTCATCTCTGTCTTAAATCATGAAAATTTTCCTCTCCTGTACTACCTTTCTACCTCCATTCCATTTCTGTGTTCCCCTTTACAATTAAATTCTGTAAACATTTGCCTATACCAGCTGTTTGCAATCCTCTTTCCATTCCCTCCTACACCTATACCAATTAAAATTTTACCCTCACTCTTCTACCAAAATTTCTTTTATAAACAACACCAATAACAATTACATTAACAAATCAGAAAATGAAGATTCCTCCATTTTTATCAAAGGACATGGCAACACAGAACATAAACATGTATATTTGTAGAAAAAGTAATGGTTTTTAGCCAATAGGTACAGGTTTTTCCACAATTCATTTTTGGCATGACCTGCTCTCAATGGCATTAATAATTCTTATTGATTAATTAGCATCAGTAAGTAGTATTGAATATTTAATTATAAGATTGGTGAATTGACACAAAAACCTAGGAGCTGTATTCCGTGGGTATAGATACAGAATAAATGTTCAAAGTGAAATTATTGATAGTGGAGAGAAGAGAATTAATTTCAGGAATCATAAACATAGCTGAAGGACATTGTAACGGATGCATATAATTAAGGGTTTGGGATGTACGCTTGTGAAACTACATAAGTAAATACTTTATACAACAGTTTCGAAATTATTTTTTCCTAAATAATTAACACCATCCCTCTTCTACTAAAAATAATACTACTGCAAAGTTATATAATTATCTAACATTAAATACAATCTAATATATTATCTAACACGAATTGGAATCTGCTACTTTTATGAAAACTGATTGTGATAGATACTAAAAGGTTACTCACCTATTTTTTTTTACTTCTCCCTCACTTCCTTTTCCCTTTGTTTCGTCTCTTTGTAACACAAATATACACACACTACCACTATCTCCATTAAACAGTCGTACACACTCAGACACTTAACTATAACATACATCTATACTTGATCATAGAGTCTGCTGCCCTGAAACCAAAAAAAGTCCAAAAAAAGCATAAGTAAATAGATCAGGAAATTTGAAGCTTCCCTCATAAATGTTTTATGTAATGAGCCCACCTGTTGCATCCTGTAATCTTCATAGCCTATATTCAAAGAGGTTCCTCCGTCACTCTAACCCACTCATTCCAGTGATCTCAACCTCTTTTCATCAAGAGTTTTTCTCTACTATCATAATATCATTTTTCTATTTAGTCTAAGCCAATTTTCTCTGCACATTCCTTTGCACGTATCTTAGTATAAATATAATTTTTGTGTCAAAAGAGTTATCCAAATATCATAGATCAGATGTATTTATTGTGTCCTTGAATAAAGTTATCAGAGAAAGTTCTGACTGCTCAAAACCTATTATAAACACCCTTATTGAAAACAACTTACATGGAATCTAAGCAAATCTCATGTCTTATTATGGACAGAAAATGAACAGGCTAAATCTTCTCAGTAAACCTTCCCAGTAGCATCTTGAGCATTAACACTTTGGGATTTTCTCTCCAAGGACTTATTCTCTTTATATTTCTCTTCCCCTGTGTATCAGTTTATTCCTTCTTTGATGTGCTTATGAGATCACTACATTGATTTAAGTAATAATAATAAATTTTTGGCAGAGCCCTTCATTAGTCATAAGAAAAAAAGAGTGATGATAATATAAAAGAAAGAGAAGACACAGCTCCTATCCTTGAGAAATCTAACATCTAATGAATCTGAAAAGTAATATCACTTAGAACAATATAATGAAAACTAAAAATGATTAATTATAAACTGAGGTCTACAGATATTGAAATGGAAAGATTTAAGCAAATTATGATCAAACAGGGAAGACTAAACAGTGGAGATAAATTTGGTTAACATACTTTTAGGGATTAGTGTTTATATAGATTCTTGGAAGAGACAACTTTATGTATGGAGCCCATTGAAATAATTAAAAACATCTAACTAAAGTCATTATTTGTACTATTATGATCAATGTTCTTTCTTACTGTGAATAAAGAAATGGTAAATTTCCTGAGCCCTATGTTAATTCATGAACAACCAATAAAATCAATTTTATGATTTACTAGAAATATCTCCAAAGTTTTAATTTCAACTATCGCTGTTACTTTAGGGTAAGTGTCAAAGACAAGTCATGTTAACACACAGATTAGTTGTAGGATGAGACTCACTGAAATAGCTCTTAGGAAACTGGGTCTTAGACAATTTAGTTTTCAACAAATTGGCCTATTCCCCTTCAAAGTCCCATACAATGGAGAGTTATGCTGCCAATATGGCCATGAAAGCTCCTTAGAGGAATAAAATGCAAAATAAATAAAACAAAAACTAAACATCCTAGAGAATGATTAAAAGCAAGCATATTTGTGAGTGGAATCAAAGATAGAAAAAAGGGATAGAGAACTAGGTGGGGTTTTTTTTCCTGATATCTGTATCTTTGGTACAGTTCTTATTCATAACCTAAATTGTTTTCCTGATTTCTTTGTATAATTTTTAAATACTGTCTGGTATCTCACTGAGCTGTTTTAGTATCAAAATTTTGAATACTCTGCCTGGGATTGTTGACATTTCTTTTTTATTGGGATCTGTTGCTGGAGAATTATTGTGTCCTTATGTTGATATCTGCATATCTAGTATAACAGTTACTTTTTTAAATTTTTTGAATTTGCTCTCATGGGGAGGACTTTTTCCAGAAGATGTATCTAAGGTGTAGTTTGGGTAGGGTTCTCTGGTTTTGATTCTGGGTGTGTACAATAGTGCAGTCTCTGTATGATTTCTTCATCTGTAAACAGTGTCAGTGGTGTCTGTGATTTCTTTGGTGGCTTAGGATATGGTTGTTAGTGGAGGCTGTGCTGAAGTCTTGCTAAGAACTGAGATGCCAGTTGGGCCAGTCTTCGGCTTCCATTGGTAGAATCAGTGGGATGAGCATGTGTGTCCTTGGGCCCCAGGGCAGCATACACTGGCACCAATGTTAGCGGGTTTAGGCAAGACAGTTCTTGTGCTTCCAAGTGGCTTGCTTGGCTTCTGGGAATGGCATCAGTAGTTCAGGTATGAAGTTGAATTCTTGAGCCCTTTGGCAGTGGATGTGGTGTGGGTGATGGCAGTAGCAGTGGTGGGACAGCCCTCTGGGACCCGTGTAGTCCATGCTGATATTGGCAATGGCTGTGACAGGTTGGGCAGGTCAGTTCCCAGATCCACAGGAGGCACATGAGTGTGGATGTCAGCTGTGGTGCCAGGGGAAGGTTGAGTGGGGCTGACCTCAGATCCCAGGAGGGGTGCTGAGGAGCTACCAGTGATGGACTGGGCTAAGTGACCCTCGGGCCCCTGTACGGTGTGCTCAGATTCTGTGGGTGGGTGAAGCCAGGCTGAGTAGACCTTCCCATGGGCTCCTTGGTGGTGTATGAGGCACTGGCTATGGTAGGCAGGGGCAGGGGGATCCCCAGGCCACAGATGGAATGCTCAGATAGGAGTGGTAGTGGCTGTTTTGTGGTCATGGACTGGGGAGGACTGGGTTGCTTTTCCTGGGAACAACCATAGGCAAGAAACTGGGGAGGCATGGGCTTTGCTCATGCCTCTGCCCCACAGTAGTTCATCATGGCAGCAGTTGCAGGCAGTGAAATTTGTCCTCAGGGCAAGTAAAAATGTGTCGTTGTCCCTCTGGTCGGGGTAACGGGAGGTGGGATTACTCCCTAGGGCTCTTGCCTCGGTCTCAGAAGCAGAGTAAGATGCAGTGCGTTGGGATCTGTGCTGTCAAAATGGTGCCGTGCTGCAGTTAGTTAGGACTTAGGGTTCGTGGGACCCAGTGTGAGGTTCTTTCTTGGGTAGCGCCTTCACGTGGTCTCCAGGCAGCTCCCTATGTTAGTCTCAGGGGCTACGATGGTTGAGGGGATCTCCTGTGGCTAGAATTGTAGGTATCTGTGGTGAAATGTGGGCTGCTGGGAGTCTCCCCCTTTCCCTTTTCCCACATTGGAGAGCCGCTCGAGACTCATATCCGATCTTGGTTGAACAGGCGGTCTCATTTCCTTCTCCTTTGCTTTTGGTGCTTCCTGGTCACTTCTCTGCTGACTTTCGGTGTTCTCTCTTAGATGATCTATTCAACGTGTGATTATTGACTGGTTATTTTGGTTACTTTACATGGAAGGGCCAAGTACCAGATGTATCAAGTCAGCCATGTTGGAGCCTCTCCAGCTCCATTCAAGGGGCCTGTTTTGAGTTGGCCCTAGGCCTTTCCCCGTAAGCAAACTTTCTATAACATTGAAATTACTTGGGAAAAAAAGCTGTCAAAAGACTTTGAGGGTGTTTTGTTTTGTTTTGTTTTGTTTTGTTTTGTTTTGTTTTATGGCGTCTCACGCTGTCACCCAGGCTGGAATACAGTGGCAATCTCTGCCTCCCAGGTTCAAGCAATTCTCCTGCCTCAGCCTCCTGAGTAGCTGGGATTACAGGCGTACACCCCCATGCCCAGCTAATTTATGTATTTTTAGTAGAGATGGAGTTTCACCATGCTGGCCAGGCTGGTCTGGAACTCCTGACCTCAAGTGATCCACCTGCCTCGGCCTCCCAAAGTGCCGGGATTACAGGCGTGAGCCACTGCACTCAGCCAACTTGGAGGTATTTTGGGGAAAAAAAAGAAGTAATGATTTTTCCTAACTTATGAGATATTAAGACCTACAATAACATCATATTACTTAAATTACAGCTTATTCAATGGAAAAAATAGTAAGTGGAGAAACAAACCATGTATTGAGGGGAACTTGGAATAGTATAAAGATGGCCTCACAAATCGATGAAGAAGGAATGGTTAGTCGGTCTACATAGAGACAACCAGAACCAAGACTAGCTGATTATCTCACAGGATATGTAAATATAACCTCTAGAAGACTAGAGTCCTAAATGACAAATATAAAACTCTAAATCTAATTAACAGAACCAGTTACATAATCTTTAAGTTTCAATGCAAGATAAAAAATGATAAAATTGAAGTGGGGGACATTTTGAAAAAATGGAAATTACATTGCAGTGATCCCTAAAACTAAAGAGCCTTATTTTGAATCCTAGTTTCACAATCCATTGCAAGGAAAAGGAAACTTTACTTAAATCCTTTGAGCCTTGGTTTTCTTGTAGTAAAGGAATAATTTTAATACTTTTACATTGGGTTTTTGTGAGAATTAAATGAGCTAATATATGTGAAGAACTCAGAACAATAACTTATACATAATGAGCATGCAATAAATGTTATTTATTTATAATATATTAGCAGTATATAAAATAAGGAATTATTTGTATGTGGAATGGCTCATACCTATAATCCCAAAATTTTGGGGGGATGATATTGGTGGATTGCTTGAGACCAGGAATTAGAGGCTGCAGTGAGTTATGATTGCATCACTGCACTCCAGCCTGGATGACAGAGCAAGACTCTGACTCAAAACAAGAAAAAAAATTAAAGATTTAAAAAAAAAAACAAAATTAAAAAATTAAAATAAGATATTATTGTGATAAATATATATAATAAACTTTTGCCAAGCAACAAAAATGGAAACTCAATAGAAAGATGGAAAAAATACATCATAGTTACAACTGTTAGTAGAATCCTTGGATTGATGGAAGGTCACGCATAGATACCCTGGTGTAATTCAGACAGAATTTTCTTACCTAAAAAATAGCAAAAAGTAATGCTACACATTGGTAAGACCAAAATCCTTATCCCAAACAGAGAAAAATGTGAGCTTTTGGACCCCAAAATTAATTATTTAAAATAATTTAGTATTATTAGCAACAGTGAAGAGTAAGATGTAGAAGGTACAAAAGTAATACTATTTCTCTTTATGTCTCTTTCTTTGGTTTTCATAGAACCACAGTAGAATATTAAAGATAATCATCTTTCTGTACTGATCAATGGAATGTGGGTGACCATATTTATTAATTTTTATTGCCAATTTTCTTTCACTTTATATACCAAAATATTTTCCAAGGGAGCCCTCAAGAAGAGAAAGTGAATCTGAACCTCTACCATAGGAAATGAAAGGAAATTTGACTAGGAAAAAGTATTTTAAATAAACAAATAAATATTTTAAAAAACAGTATTGTGAAAGGTCAAATAAAATATTGGGTTACTATTTTAAAGAAAAAATCCAGCAAATATATTAAGCTATTGAAAACTGTCTTGTCCATGGTTATGAAACCAAGGAACAAACATATTAAGAAAAAAAGATAAGAAGAACGACAACAACAGAAAAGTGGAATTCTACAGAGAAATTCCATATGGCTATCCCCTTATGCTGCAGGTGCAGAGAGACCTCCTGTTTATTCTCACGACAATCCTTCTCAGCACCCAGGGGACAGTTTCTCTCAGGTTTTTATGTCTAGAGATCTGCAGCTCATTGGAAGGCAGGCAGATTTTCAGAGAGGAAAAGATTTTTGAAGATAATTTATGCTGCAATCCCAACATCAACCATCACTTCAAATATTTTTCTATTTATAATCACTGGGAGTATAAATCTGAAAAGCTCTTTTACCTGTGATTCTGAACTCTCAATCCGGGTGAGAGAATAGAATAGGAGACAGGTTGGGAAGCTGCTCGTATTTTTTATCTGTTAATGAGTGACCTGACTGCTTGCGAGTATTAAAGTTAGATGCCCAGGATTTAGAGCTGGTTTCCTATTTTTATGATGGAGTCTTCATTGTAGTTGTAGATTATGAAAGCATTTTGTTTTCCGCACTTTTATTGCCATATCTCCTTCTCTATTCAACATGCCTGGCTCTCTAGATATTCGCTAAAGCAAATCTGAAATCCCTAAATATTGAAATTGCAGTGAAAGAAATATTTTCGTACAGAGAAGTTGGCTAAACAACATTCTTTAAACGTTAGGAAAATGTTGTTTTATTATTTATTATTTTTTAAATTTTCTTTTTACCAAATAGATTTTTGATACAATTTTATTTTATGGGTCAGAGAACCAAAAATAATATTTTATCTATCATTTGTACTTTTAAAAGACATGGTAAAAGTTTTGAAAAATATGCAACATACATGGCTATCAAATAAAGCTACTTTAAATTGTTTGGAGGCAGTCCTTCATGGAGGTGTGGTAAAGGTTAGATAATCTCTCAAAATTTCCTCTAGCTGTAAAGCCAAATATCCTATGGGCTCCCTAGAGATGTTTCCTAGTTCATTATTTTTTTTAACTTTAGTCACACCAAATCCTTTTCTTCTCTCATCAGCAATTTTTCAACCTCGAATTATTCCCCATTTATAGGAAACACTCTAATGTCTGCATCTTTCTTCTGATTTCCTATTGGTTCTTATTCTTTTCTAAGTGCCTGCCATTTCTATGGATTTCCCACACATTCTTGCTTCTTTTCTCCTAATATGCAAAAGTTAATCCACTACATTTGTACAAGAAAGGAACAAACAGGAAGCTATTTCACAAAATTATGTCTGCTTTTGTCAGTGCACCTATAGAAGATAATCCCAAGTACTTTGCAAATAATGTTAGAAAAAACCTTCAAAATATATTTCTGCCTTTCAGTAAACAGTATAAATTTAGTCAAATATTAAACCTCATTATAATTATCTTACTTATAATCCCTCATGTGTTTTAACAGTTACTGAAAAAATTCTATTATTTCAATTCTGCAAAAGAAAGAAAAATGAATACATTTCTTTCATAGAAAATGGAAATTTTATCTGATGGAAAGAAGGGGCAAATAGAGAAAACACATTTTACAAATGAAAAAGGCTAGAAATGTGTGGCAACTTTGGAGAGAACTGGTATGAAGCCAACAGACCTCTGGGTTGATGGAGGAGAACCTGACTGTCAGTGTCACATTGATGAAACTAGAAGAAAAGAGAAAATTCACTTGGATACAATGTTTCTTCACATCTAAAAAGTGAGCTTATTTCAGGCAAAATAAAAATAAGACTTAAGAAAATGCATCACAAGAGAAGACAGAACTTTCAGTGGTCTAAATTCTTAGATACTTTAGAAGAAGACACTATTGGGTAAAATGAAGGAAGAATTGTTGAGTCTATTGGAAGAGTTTTTCTTATTCAGAGATTCAGGGGTGTGAAAAAGGAAAAAGTCTCAGTGCAACTGGAAACTAAAGGAACAATAACATTTGTCATCAAGTAAGTAATTTGGGATTTACTTTGAAAAAATTTAAAGGCTTAGGTAGAAGAAACTAAGCACATTATCTGATATAGCAGTGATAAAACTTCAAATATACCTCAGGCTAATATTTGATTGATGTATTATTTTTTCCTTTCCCAGTAGAGCTCCATGACATTGCCAGAGATGTGGGTTAGAAAGAGATCAGTAAGAGAACATCTCCAGCCTCATCTACGTTCTAAGATGAGAACAAAATAATTACTACTATTTTAAAGAGGTTTTTATATCTCTTTAAAGACTTTGTGATTATAATGAGTTCATTTTTATCTTCCTCTCTTAAGTCAAAAAATTTCAGGAGCCATTTTCCTGGGTCAAGAGATATCCAAGTGGTGGTGCACTTAAAAACTGCCCCCTATTAACGCTGACTTGGGATAGGAAAGGAAAGTTGTAACAGAATACGGATGTATTCTTCTCAACCAGAGAAGATGTAAGTTAGCAACATGTTCTAAATCCCCAGAAGAAAGAAATACGTTAATGATAAACTTAATTTTAAAAAGTGGTTAAGTCATAGTCCATAATATGCATGAATCCTTAATATTGAAGAGACCAACAGCTAAGCTTCTATACAACTTCTGAGGTTTGGAAGAAGTACAACAGTACTCTCCTTCCAAGTATCTTTGGCTTGGTGAGAAAATTCTGAGCCGGAAGGATTCTGATTGCGATTAGTGTTCCATAGATTATTTTGTCTTTTGTCTGAAGTGATGCTGAATACAACCTCAGTCACCGAATTTCTCCTCTTGGGAGTGACAGACATTCAAGAACTGCAGCCTTTTCTCTTCGTGGTTTTCCTCACCATCTACTTCATCAGTGTGACTGGGAATGGAGCCGTTCTGATGATTGTCATCTCCGATCCTAGACTCCATTCCCTTATGTATTTCTTCCTGGGAAACCTGTCCTACCTGGATATCTGTTACTCTACGGTGACACTGCCAAAAATGCTGCAGAACTTTCTCTCTACACACAAAGCAATTTCTTTCTTGGGATGCATAAGCCAGCTTCATTTCTTCCACTTCCTGGGCAGCACGGAGTCCATGTTGTTCGCCGTGATGGCATTTGACCTCTCTGTGGCTATCTGCAAGCCACTTCGCTACACTGTCATCATGAACCCTCAGCTCTGTACCCAGATGGCCATCACAATCTGGGTCATTGGTTTTTTCCATGCCCTGCTGCACTCCGTAATGACTTCTCGCTTGAACTTCTGTGGTTCCAACCGTATCCATCATTTTCTCTGTGATATTAAGCCATTGCTAAAGCTGGCCTGTGGGAACACTGAGCTTAATCAGTGGCTACTCAGTACTGTCACGGGGACAATTGCCATGGGCCCCTTCTTTCTGACACTTCTCTCCTATTTCTACATTATCACTTATCTCTTCTTCAAGACCCGTTCTTGTAGCATGCTCTGTAAAGCACTGTCCACTTGTGCCTCCCACTTCATGGTAGTTATTCTTTTCTATGCACCTGTTCTTTTCACCTATATCCATCCTGCGTTAGAGAGCTTCATGGACCAGGACCGGATTGTTGCCATCATGTACACTGTGGTCACTCCTGTACTAAACCCACTGATCTATACTTTGAGGAACAAGGAAGTGAAGGGGGCCTTGGGTAGAGTGATCAGAAGGCTTTGATTTGAATAAACCAGAGAACTCTACTGAGGCATAAATAACCAGCAATGAAAAAGTAGAGATGTGTAATTTTACTGCTTCTCAGATGGTTTATAAGTGTAAAATAGAGGCAACTGGATAAAAGAAAAAAAAGTCCAATCTAGTTGTAGTAAACAATACATTTCTAAGTAATATGAGGAATACTTGAAAATGCAAGACACTAGCCATGGAACCCTAATGCTGAAAATTTTTTGGAATATCAGTTGATGTAATTGACTTATTATGTATTCTAACATGTACTTGTATGCAATTGCATGTAGAATTTTGCCTATATTGCCCATGTATTGTATAGATAGATGATATTTAGGACTGTTTGTCTGTGAGATCCTTTTAGTTTAACACATTTTAGTCTGATCAATAAAATTATTATGCTTTTTTATTTTAAGGATTGTCATGTAGGGCTATGTTTATTCAATTGGAAAAGTAAATGCTAACTTGCATATTATTTAAATAAATTTTAAAGAGGTATGTCATGATTTCTTTTCAGTTCGGTTGGTTTTTGTTCTTTTAATGGTGATTCAAAATGCAAAAGACATAGAAAGATGTCAAATGTTTCTCCCCATCTCTGCCCTCCGTCACTGACTTACTCTTCATATACAATCAATTTAATCAGTTGTTATCTGTCCTCACAGAGATCCTTTATGCTACACAGTCAAATACAAATATTTTCTTTAAAAAAGAATGGCAATGAACAATACATGTTATATGAGCAAACCAATGTTGAGGGCAATGTGTATCTTGGAGATCTTTCCCTATTAGAACATAGAGCTTCTTTATTTTTTTAACATGCATGGTATATGCCACTTTGTTCATGTATTATATTTGATAGATCAGTCTCCTATCATTGGACATCTATGTTATTTCCAATCATATGTTGCAGTGTATAATCTTGTGTACACGTCATTCTATATATGTGCAAGTCTATTTGTAGGACAAACTTCCAGACATGGAAATGTTAGGTCAAGAGATATCGTTATTGTAATTCAGATAGATACTGCCAAATTGCCCTCCCCAGAGGTTATAAAAAATTTCATCACCACTTGCAATGTAAAAGTGTTTAGATTTTACACTACATTGAATATGAATAATGCCAATGACTTATTTTGTAGATGCTTCCCTGAAAATATTCTACTTTTACAGCCTGGTTATGTAAAAAATGACATCCTAAAGACACTTTCCATAACATGGAAGTCTGCATAATTCTGCCATTGTTATAGAAAGTTTTCAGACTATTTGAAGCCCAAGCAAGATGGCAACTGGGAGAAAGGAAAAGCTAAGATTACAGCAATTCTTGTCATTGTTAGCTGGCACACAGGCAACATGAAGTGTTTTCCCCTACTTCAGCATAAAATACTTAAAACTTTCCTCTTACTACACCAACAGTTATTCATGTGAAAAATTAATCAATTGTGTTGTTTATTATTTTAATCAAAAAAAGCTCTACAGGTGTTAGATTTATGAAAGTCCTGCACAAAATAAAGGAAAGGTGCCCTAAAAGACCCACCGTTTAACTAAAGAAAATGAATCTCACACAGAGGACATGCTGCAGAGAGAATGAGCTACTGAAACACACTAGAATGTTTCATTTCTTTTATGACACAAAAAGAATAGGAAAGAGTGGAAAAAGGGAACAAACTTTTACTAAAAGTTGACAATTTTATTTTTACATTTTATAATACAAATGAAAAATGCTTTTTACTTGGTCCAGAGAGGCTAATAAGTAATTAAATTGAATGACATTGCAACCACTAATTAAGAGATAAAACAACCAATTGTTCAGCTAAGAGTTCTGGTACCTATATCTTCAGAGATGTTTTAGAAGTCAACTGGCCAGACTTCAAGGATTACTATGAAATACCATTAAAAGTGGAGCTAGGTAAAACAAACAAACAAACAAAAAACACCTCAAGAATCACTTTGTATCTCATTAGAGTGTTATAACCACTCGTATCTCTCCACCCTTGGTCATGAAAGATGATGACTTTAAACACTCTATTATTTTGGTTTCGTTTTCCTTTATCTGTCCTTATTTTGACAGACTGTAATGCATGTAATATGATGAAATACAGGTGAAATACAAAAAATTCATGAAAATTTATTTTTCTTTTCCTTTGGTACCAAACTCATACTAAGTGAAAACAATGAAATCATAACTGTGGAAGTATTTCTGGAGCTAATAGACAAGAATAGGTATGATGTTTCTTAGTTTCTAAGTACTTAGAAATGGATTCTGGCTCTGAAAAGATGTGGTATGCCAACATTTGTAACTATTTAGAGATACAAATAGACAAGACTATGGAAGCTAAGTTGAGCGGGTGGGCTGACTATTCAAAACCTCTGCCTTCACTTTTGCAAACCCAAACGATCTGACCTCTCTCTGGTACTTCTTCTATCTTCCAAGTCAACCTTCTTTGGTCCTTCAGTTCCAGTTTTGTTGATGAGAGAATGCCTGTGTGGAGAAGACACTATCCACCTGAACTATCTCAGACTATCACTTCTGTTGCTCAGAGTTTATTGCATAATCCCATCTACATGGAAGCTGTGAACTGTAGGAAAACACATGGGTTCTAGTTATCTACTGCTGCATAACAAATAGTAGCCTAAATCTAAATGGCTTAATTTATTTAATCAAATCCCAGGATTCTGTGGGTCAGAAATTGGGGAGGGCACAGCAGGAAAGGGTTGACTATGCTCAGTGATATCTGGATCTGCTCTCTCTCTCTCTCTCTCTCTCTCTCTTTCTCTCTCTCCAGTTTCTCAGTTGACTGTCATGTGCTTCTTTAACAGGGAAGCCTCGGGACAGACTTTTTCATGGGGGACAGCAAACCAAGACAAAAATTGTTAGTTGTCTCAAAGACAAAAACCAAGAACCAGCATTAACATAACTTCTATCATACTCTATTGGCCAAAGAAATCGCAGGCCAACTGAGCTTCTGTAACCTTCAATGGAAAGAGTGTCAAAAATTGTGTGGACATCCTTAATCTACCACAGTCCCATATCTAACCACTAATAATTCATGTTGTTCCCATATGCAAGGTACACTTACTCCTCTTCCTAATAATCTTAAAATCTCATCCCTTTATAGCATCAGCTCAAAGTCTAGGTTTTTAAAATCCAAATCATGACAAAGTGCAAATGGGGCATATTTAGTATGATTCCTCAAGAATGGTTCCTTTTGACCTGAAGACCTTTGAACTTGAAGAAGTCAGGTTATCTTCCTGTCACACACTCAGCACATAATGATAAAGTAGATATAAGATGACAGTAATAGAAAATGTTACTCCAAAAGAGAAAAAATGGGAGGCACATAACAGTTACATAGCAATTGTGAAACCCATTTGGGGACATTTTTCTCACTCCGTCCTCTAGAGTCTAAGATGATGCAATTGAAACTGATGATACCAATAAAATTCTCTCTCTTCTTCTTCTTCTTTTTTTTTTTTTTTTTTTTTTTTTTTACACGGATCTCACTCTGTCACCCAGACTGGAGTACAGTGGGACGGTGCAATCTCGGCTCACTGCAACCTCCACCTCCCAGGTTCAAGTGATTCTCTCAACTGAGCCTCCTAAGTAGTTGGGATTACAGGCATGTGCCACCATGCCCGGCTAAATTTTGTACTTTTAATAGAGACAGGGTTTCCACCGTGTTGCGCAGGCTGGCCTCAAACCCCTGATTTCATGTGATCCACCCACATGAGCCTCCCAAAGTGCTGGGATTACAGATCTGAGTCACTGTGCCTGGCCCACCAATAATATTCCTTTTAAAATATTTTAGGTTCTTAGGATTCTTATTTGGGTTTAGTCAATTAGATAAGTACCACACTCATACATCTCCTTAGGACAGGCCTTTCTCTGACTTGGGCTGACAATTAGTGTACTGTGAGACAACACCCTTGAGATTTCTCTCTGTCTGTCTTCATGCCAGTAGAATACTGTTTTATTTACTGTACCTTTGCAACATCTTGGGAAGTCAAGAAGAGTGATACCATCTGCTTTGCTATTCTTTCTGAAGATCACTTGGGCTATTTGAGGTCTTTCTTGAATAGTTTTTTCCATTTCTGTAAAAAATGCTTTTGGGATTTTGATAGTGATTGCATTGAATTCATAGACAAGTTATGGTAGTGTGGACATTTTACAATTTTAATTCTTCTAAGCCCTGAACATAGGTTATGTTTCTATTTATTTGAGTCTTCTTCAATTCCTTTCATCAATGTTTTTACAGTTGCCAGTGTACAAGTCATTCACTTCCTTGGTTAAGTTTATTGCTAAGCATTTTATTCTTTTTTATGCTATTTTAAATGAAATTGTTTTGGTTCTTCCTTTTCTGATAGCTCAGAAAAGCTAGATTGTTAATGTATAGGAATGCAATTGATTTTGTATGTTAATTTTATATTCAATTTGAATGCCTTCCATTTAATTAAAATAGTATAGTACTGAGATAAAGACAGACATACAAGCCAATAGAACAGAATGGAGAGTCCAGAAATAAATGCACATATATATAGTAAACTGATCTTGGACAAGATTGCTGAGAACACACAATGGAGAAAGAATAGTCCCTTCAATAGATGGTGTAGAATAAACTACATAGAGAAGAATGAAATTGGACCCTATCTCATACTATATACAAAATCAACTCAAAATGGATTAAAGATTTAAATGTAAAACTCCTAGAAGAAAAAGAATAAGGAGATAACTTCTTGATGTTGGTCTTGACAATGATTTTCTAGATTTGAAACAACAAAATAAAAAATAGACAAGCAGGACTATGTAAAGCTAAAAAGCTTCTTCACAACAAAGGAAATGATCAACAGAGTGAAAAGTCATCCTATGAAGCGGGAGAAAATATTTCAAACCATCTATCTGATAGGGGTTAATATCTAAAATACATAATAATCTTCTCAACTCAATAATATATACACACACACACACAACTTAAAATTGACAAAATAATTGAATAGGTATTTCTTTAAAGAAGACATATAAATGGCCAACAAGTATATAAAAACGTACTCAATACCACTAACCATCAGAAAAAGGCAACCATAGTCAGATATCACTTAACATATTTTAGGATGGTTATTATAAAAAAAAAAAGTGTTGGTGTGAATGTGGAGAAACTGGATCCCTTATACACTGAATATAGAAATTGCAGCCACTATGCAAAATGGTATGAAAATTCCTTTAAAAATTAAAAATAAATCTACAATCTGATCCAGCAATTTCTCTTCTGGGTGTATAGCCAAGAGAATTGAAATCAGGGCCTTGAAGAAATATGTGCAACACTCTGTTTATTTTGAAATTTTTTACAGTAGACAAAATACAAAAACAACCCAAGTATTCATTGGCAGATGAATGGATAAAGAAAATGAATATATACATGAATATTATTTAACCTTTAAAAGAAGGAGATCCTGCCAATTATTACAATATGGACAAACCTAGAGGATATCATGATAAGTAAAATAAGACAGTCTCAAAAGGACAAATGTTGCATGGCCATGCTTAAGTCAACCTCATAGAAATACAAAATAGAATGGTGATTGTAAAGGAATGTGTAGAGGGGGAGATGGGGAATTGTTTATCAGTGGGTATGGTATAAAGTTCCTGTTATGCAAGATAAATAAGATCTAGAGATCTGCAGTACAACATATTACCTATAACTAGAAAATAGTATTTTGCACTTTAAAATATGTTAACAAGACTATAGATCTCATGATAAGTGCTTTTACAGAAACAAAAACAACACAAAAGAGCATGAGGACATTTTTGGAGGTGGTGGATATGCTTACTACCCTGGTTGTGGTGATGATAGTATGTGTACATATGCCCAAACTCATCACGATGTATACATTAAAGACATATAATTTTTTTATGTCAATTGTACCTCAATAAAGCTAAAATAAGATTTCTGGAAACATTTTTGCCTCTAGCTGGAAATGTTGACAAGGCATGTCCATAAGACTCGTAGTGACCTCTGTGTCTAACATAGAGGGCTTAAGAGGCCTGTCTTAAGATTTTTAGAAACTATTCTAGGCTTCCCCATTATCTTTCTGAGCTTTCAACAATGGGTATTATAGTCACATCCTTGGGATCTTTACCTAAAAACCATACTTCACTAACAGCACCTTGGAATATGATCTTTGCCCTGAAGCCATTTCTTACTTTGAGAAACTTCTACCATCTAGACTATTTAGCACTAATATACAGTTTAATTTTTTGATCCTAGGAAGTCCTGGAATCTAGTTTTCCTCTAAATACTGATTGAAAATTGAATGCCTTGTTTTTTAGTTCATCTTACGTCTGCCCTATTTTGTAATAGTCAGCTAAAAGAATCTGTTGGAACTTTCACTATTTTGATGGTTTTTATGTCAGCTTGACTGAGGATGTCCACACTTTATTTAATTGAGCAGTTTTCTGGATGTGTCAGTGAGGATGTTTTTAGATGAGACTAACATTTGAATTGATAGATTGAGTAAAGCAGATTATCCTCCCTAATGTAGGTGGCCATCATCCAATCAATATTCTGTTGACTCTGTTTCTCAGAAGAACCCTGACTACTACAATCATTCTTCCTAGTAAGCACCTTAGCAACATCTGGGTTCAATAGATATCCTTTCTATCTTCTTTGTTACTGTGGATAGTACATGTCTACTGTACTACATATTACTATAGATAGTGGATGTCTCTCTTGACCGCCAGGCCAACAATTAGAGTTAAATCCCCATAAATTAATTAGGGTTGTGCTAGAGATGTTAAAATAGAAAAGAGATTAAACTGACAGGAGTGCAAATAGTAGTTACAATGTGCCAGCAGGAGTACCATGGGATTGAATTTTGAGTGTGCATGATCAAGGGACTAGAACACTAAACTGGGTAAATGAGAATATATTAACTAGGGGACATTGAATTCTTAGACACGGAATCTGGGGCTTAAGTAAATGTGCTGCTAGTGTGGCTCTTACAAGCACAGGGAAGGCATTGGCCCATGATGATCAAAGTTAAAATTACTGAGTTGCCCTGACAGATGGTATGGAAAGGAATAAAGAGACTCAGGAAAGTGGGGGTATTGGAAGAATATACTATATGTAGGTCAGAAAAGCCACCAGAATATTATGTTCCACAAGAGTACTCAGAGGAGACACACCATTCACAATTCAGAATGCTCTGGCAGAGGCGTTCTGGAATTACTAAGAAATTCAGTGGTGACTCTTTGTAGACCAGGGATAATGGTTACAGAAGTAATCACAGAGTTTGAATTGCTGGAGAAAAGGGGCCTACAGCAATAAAAATATATGGTAGCATTGAACCACTGGAAGCTAGTAGTTGGCAATTGCTGTAATCATCAGTGAGTCAAAAAGGTAGCCAAGTAGTCTTGACCTACAGGAAGCTGTGGTGATGGTTAATATAACATGTGTCCCTAAAGACGAAATTACAGGACAGCTGATGAGGTTGCTGCTTAAAAACTACAATCAAAAGAAGGCAAGAGTAGAGGAACAGGACACTGAGGGTGGTCTCTCTAATAAAATGGCCTAATTTCCTGCTCAGTTCACAGACGCAAGCTAATATTTAGGTGCATAACTTATTACCTGAACATTTAGTCATGTCCTCCAGAAAGAAGTGAACTTCAACATTGTGGTAAGCATTTACTGGAAAGACACCTATAGTTTTTCCCGAGAGGGAGCTAACATTATTTATGCAAATTACTGCACACTGGGAAAGGGGGAATACCCAAATATTTCAAGTACAGTTGTCTGAGTTGACACCGATACTCCAAGAGCCAAAGCATCACCATGGCCCAAATGTTACAATGAGCATACAGAAGCCAGATTACGAATGGAGTCATGTTAAAGTTTAGCTTACAGTACGTCACCCAGTACTGTAGGCACATCCAATAGTCGTTCCCACAGTCACTGGCTATACGATTAGGACTGATATACTTGGCAGTAAGAGAAGCCTCTACATCAGTCCTTGGCCAGTGGGAAATGCGCTATCGTACTGGATAATGCCAACTGGAAGCTTTGAAACTGCCCCATCTGGCAAGGATATTAAACTAACAACAATATCACATCCTGGGAAGGATAGCCAAGATTAGTGCCCCCTTAAATATCTAAAGACTGAAAGATCACTTGCAAAAAACAGATAAATCCTGAATAGCTGCAGACTAGTAGTCTTGATCACAGCTGTCATGTCAGACATGGTATCATTGCTAGAACAAGTTAACAGGGCTTCAGGTAAATGGTTTTTGTCCATTGATATGGCAAATGCATTCTTGTTTCTTGGGAGCATCCCAAGAGTGACTGTTTCAGGAGATCTATTAAGAAGTTGTAAGGTTTCTTTTAACGTACCTTCGAAGTTCCAGAACATCATTTTTGTTGCATTCTATTGGTGAAGTCACTGTGCCAGCCCAGGTTCAAGAAAAATGAACCACACAGGGCATCAATGCTGAGAGGCATGGTTCACTTGGCATCCATGTGTCTAGACTAGCTACCACATTGACTTGAGACTCATTTTGATAGTCCCGTCTGAAGATTAATGTATTTGTTTTTACCTAGCAAAAACATACATGGTGCATTGTATGTGTCAGACCCTATTCTAAGTACTTTATACATATTAGCTCATTTAATCATCGTAACAACCTTTATTCTTATTTTACAGATGAAGAAATACAGGAACAGAAATGTTAAGTCATTTGCCCAAAGTTTTTCCGACAGTGATTAGCAATGATAGATGTAAGCCCAAGCAGAATGGCTACAGTCATTTTCTTGAAAATTACACTGTGCTTTCTCAGCTGTTACATCTTTAAATACAGACCATTCTCTTTGTGCTCTTTTTCTGGACCTCCTTTCTAACAGATGTGCTGGGAAGTTCACAACGTATTTCCTGCAATCAGGCAAGAGAAAGAAATAAAGAGTATTCAATTAGGAAAAGAGGAAGTCAAATTGTCTCTGTTTGCAGATGACATGATCGTATATTTAGAAAATCCCATCATCTCAGCCCAAAATCTCCTTAAGCTGATAAGCAACTTCAGCAAAGTCTCAGGATACAAAATCAATTTGCAAAAATCGCAAGCATTCCTATACACCAACAACAGACAAACAGAGAGCCACATCATGAGTGAACGCTCATTCACAATTGCTACAAAGAGAATAAAATACCTAGGAATACAACTTACAAGTGATATGAAGGACTTCTTCAAGGAGAACTGCAAACCAATGCTCAAGGAAATAAGAGAGGACACAAACAAACAGAAAAACATTCCATGCTCATGCATAGGAATAATCAATATCGTGAAAATGGCCACACTGCCCAAAGTAATTTATAGATTCAATGCTATCCCCATCAAGCTACCATTGACTTTCTTCACAGAATCAGAAAAAACAACTTTAAATTTCAAATGGAACCAAAAAAGAGCCTGCATAGCCAAGACAATCCTAAGCAGAAAGAACAAAGCTGGAAGCATCACACTACCTGACTTCAAACTATACTACAAGGCTACAGTAACCAAAACAGCATGATACTGGTACCAAAACAGATATATAGACCAACGGAACAGAACAGAGGCCTCAGAAATAACACCACACATCTACAACCAACTGATCTTTGACAAACCTGACAAAAACAGGCAATGGGGAAATGATTCCCTATTTAATAAATGGTGTTGGGAAAACTGGCTAGCCAGATGTAGAAAGCTGAAACACGATCCCTTCCTTACACCTTATACAAAAATTAACTCAAGATGGATTAAAGACTTAAACATAAGACCTAAAACCATAGAAACCCTAGAAGAAAACCTAGGCAATACCATTCAGGTCATAGGCTTGGGCAAAGACTTCATGACTAAAACACCAAAAGCAATGGCAACAAAAGCCAAAATAGACAAATGGGATCTAATTAAACTAAAGAACTTCTGCACAGCAAAAAAAAACTATCAGCAGAGTGAACAGGCAACCTACAGAATGAGAGAAAATTTTTGCAATCTATCCATCTGACAAAAGGCTAATATCTAGAATCTACAAAGAACTTAAACAAATTTACAAGAAAAAAGCAACCCCATCAAAAAGTGAGCAAAGGATATGAACAGAAACTTCTCAAAAGAAGACATTTATGCAGCCAACAAACATATGAAAAAAAGCTCATTATCACTGGTCATTAGAGAAATGAAAATCAAAACCAAAATGAGATACCATCTCACGCCAGTTAGAATGGTGATCATTAAAAAGTCAGGAAACAACAGATGCTGGAAAGGACATGGAGAAATAGGAACACTTTTACACTGTTGGTGGGAGCGTAAATTAGTTCAACCATTGTGGAAAACAGTGTGGCGATTCCTCAAGGATCTAGAACTAGAAATACCATTTGACCCAGCAGTCCCATTACTGGGTATATACCCAAAGGATTATGTATCATTCTACTATAAAGACACACACATGTATGTCTATAGCAGCACTGTTCACAATAGCATTGACTTGGAACCTACCCAAATGCCCATCAATGATAAACTGGATAAAGAAAATATGGCACGTATACACCATGGAATACTATGCAGCCATAAAAAGGGATGAGTTCATGTCCTTTGCAGGGACATGGATGACACTGGAAAGCATCATTCTCAGCAAACTATCACAAGAACAGAAAACCAAAACAGAGAACCGCTTGTTCTCACTCATAGGTGGGAGTTGAACAGTGAGAACACATGCACACAGGGAGGGGAACATCACACCCCAGGGCCTGTCAGGGGGTGGGAGGGTAGGGAAGGGGTAGCATTAGGAGAAATACCTAATGTAGATGACGGGTTGATGGGTGCAGCAAACCACCATGGTACATGTATACCTATGTAACAAACCTGCACGTTCTGCACAGGTACCCCAGAACTTAAAGTATAATAATAAAAAAAAGGAAGTTAAAAAAAATTACTAAGAGTTTCAAGACAGTGACGACAAAGCATTAAATCAAACATAGGGCCCTTCTGAGTGCAGGGTCCTTTGTGACTGCATGGGTCGCAGGCCCATGAAGCTTCCTTTGTAATAAAAGAAAATTTAAAACAAATAATATGTACAATCACAAAGAGACAATACATAAAGAAGAAAATTGCTGATCATGACTTCATTAAAATAGCGAATGGCTAGTCAACTAAGAAAATTGTAGATAAAATTAAGATGAATAATATTTGAAAGAGCACAATACAGTGATCACTAGAACTAAGGAGCCTCAGTTTGAGTCCTGGTTTCACAATATATCACAAGAAGAAAAATTTACTTAAATCCTTTGAGCCTCAGTTTTCTTGTGATATAAGATAAATGACTGTATTACTTACTTCATTGGGTTTTTGTGAGAATTAAGAGAGCTAATAGATGTAAAGAACTTAGAACAATACCTTACACATAATAAGCATGCAATAAATAGTATTCATTTGTATTATATTCACAGTGTATAAAATAACAAGAAGTTGAGGGCTGGCCAAGATGGCCAACGAGAAGCACCTATTGTGCACCGCTGTCACAGAGCAAAATAGAAGAGGCAAGTAAATACAGTATCTTCAACTGAACTGGGTACGTGCATTGGGATTCATCAAGAAAACAACCCAACCCACAGAGAACAGAGAAAAGCAAGGCAGGAGAACCACCCACTTGGGAATGACATGTAGCCAGGGTAGCCTCCCCTGCCCAGAGAAGTGGTGAGTGAGTGAGCGACCTTGGGAACCCATACTTTTCCCACAGAACTTTGCAACCCTCAGGTCAGGAGATCCCTCATGAACTCACTCCACCAGGGCCTTCAGTCTGACATGCAAAGCTATGTGGAGTCTCGTCAGAGCATCCACTCAGGCACACTGGAAGCCACAGGAGCTTTAGATACCCAGGCTTCCCAGCAAAAGTAACTGCAACTCTGGCAAACTGGGAGGTTAGACACCCCCCCCCATATATACCCCTAGAAAACGGTCTAAATCCACGGGGCTGAGCAATGACTATCTGCAAGCCCCATTTCCATGGAACATCACAGGATAAGACCCAATAGCTTTGAACTCTAGGCTGCCATGGGTAGCAACATTATACCTCCCTGAGATGGAGATCTCAGAGGGAGGCTTGGGCTGCCTTCTTTGCTGTTTCATAGCCTTAACCATTGGTGCCTTCAGGCTCTGGGGAATCTGAGGTGACTAGGGACTGGAGTGGTACCCCAGCACAACATAGCAGCTCTACAAAGAGATGGCCAGACCACTTTTTCATGTGGGTCTCAGATCCCATTTCTGTTTACTGGGAGGAATCCCCTGACCGAGGTCTACAACCACTTCTGCTGGTGTTTTCCGGCCAGTAGCAATCCCAAACCTCCCTAGCAGAGCTCCCAGAGGAGGGGTAGGCCTCCATCTTTACTGTTTTGCAGGCTTAGCCATTGTCACTTTTGGGCTTTGGAGAGCTGGAAGCAACTGGGGGCTGGAGTAGACCCCAAAGACAGCATAGCTGCTCTATGAAAAAGTGGCCAGACTGCTTTTTAATGCACCTCCTGATCCTGTTTTTCCTCACTGAGTGGGAACTTCTGGGATCCCCAGCCAACCCTGCCAGTGTGTTTGGGCTGGTAACAGGTCCATTCCTTCCTGGAGCAGAGCTCCCAGAGGGAGGCGCAGGCCGCCATCTTTGCTGTTTGACAAACTTCACTGTTGATACCATCAGGTACTGGAAAATCTGAAGTGACTAGGGACTGGAGCAGATCCCCAGAATATGGTAGCAGCTCTATGGAAAAGTGGTCAGACTGTATGTTATGTGGGTCCCCAATCCTGTATCTTCTCCTGGGGCAGATCCTCCCAGCCTAGTCTCCAGTCACCCTTACACTGGGACTATTGAGCCAGTAGCAGTTCTGCAATGCCCTGGGACAAAGCTCCCAATGGAAGGGGTGGGTTGTCATCTTTGCTTTCTCACAGTCTTCATCCTTGTGTCCCCAGGCCCTGGAGAGTCTGTGGGACCAAGGGCTGGTTGGGACCCATAACACAGAGCATCCACATCATAGAAAAGTGGCTGAACTGTTCTCCATGCAGATCCTGATCCTCACTTCTCCTCACTGGGCAAGGCCACATGACCTGGGACTCCAGCACAATCACCCAGCTGCCACCTGACCACTTCAATCAGAGGCAGTTCTGCAGTTAAAGGAACACTCACACACAGAGATGAGAAAAAAAAAAAAAGAACTCTGGCAACTCAAATGGTCAGAGTGTCTTATGTCCTCCAAATGATCACTCTAGTTCTTCAACAAGAATTCTTAAGCAGACTGAGATGGCTGAAATAACAAATAGAATTCAGAATATGGATAGGAATGAAGATAATTGAGATTCAGGAGAATGGCAAAACCCAATCCCAGGAAGCTAAGAATCACAATAAAACGATACAAGAGGTGACAGACAAAACAGCCAGTATAAAAACAACCTAACTGACCTGATAGAGCTGAAAAACTCACTAAAATAATTTTTCAATGCAATCACAAATATTAATAGCAGAGTAGACAAAGCTGAGGAAAGAATCTGAGAATTTGAAGACAGGCTCTCTGAAATAAGAGAGTCAGACAAAAATAAAGAATAAAAGGAAAAGGAATGAACAAAACCTCTGTGAAATATGAGATTATGTAAAGAGGCCAAATCTACAAATCACTGGTATCCCTGCAAGAGAGGGGGAGAAAGCAAACAACTTGGAAAACATATTTCAGGATATCAACCATGAAAACTTCCCCAATCTTGCTAGAGAGGCCAATAGTCAAATGCAGGAAATACAGAAAACCTCTGCAAGATTCTAGACAAGAAGATCATCCCCAACACACAAAATCATCTTATTTTCCAAGGACAAAATGAAAGAAAGAATGTAAAAGGCAGCTTGAGAGAAAGGGCAGGTCACCTACAAAGGGAACCGTATGAGGCTAACAGTGGACCTCTCAGCAGAAATGTTGAAAGCCAGAAGAGATTGCAGGTCTATATTCGATATTCTTAAAGAAAAATTTCTTTAACCAAGAATTTTATATCCAGCCAAACTAAGCTTTCTCTGTGAAGGAGAAATAAGATCTTTTCAGACAAGTAAACATTGAGGGATTGTATTACTAGACCCACCTTACAAGAGATCTTGAAAGGAGTACTAAATATGAAAAGAAAACACCATTACCAGCCAATACAAAAACACATTTAAGTACACAGACCCGTGACACTATAAAGCAACCAGACAAACAAGCAGGCATAATAACCAGCTAACAACAAAAAGACAGGATTAAATCTACATATATCAATACAAACATTGAAAGTAAACAGGCTAAATGTCCCAATTAGAAGGCACAGAGTGGCAAGCTGGGTAAAGAAGCAAAATCCAATTGTATGCTGTCTTCAGGAAACCCATCTCACATGCAATGACACCCATAGGCTCAAAATAAAGGGATGGAAAAAATCTGCCAAGTAAATGAAAATCAGAAATAAGAAGAGGTTGCAATTCTAATTTCAGAGAAAAACAGACTTTAAACTAACAAAAACGAAAAAAGACAAGGAAGGGCATTATCTAATGATAAAGGATTCAATTCAACAGGAAGATCTAGATATCCTAAATATATATGCACCCACAGCAGGAGAATCCAGATTCATAAAGCAAGTTCTTAGAGACCTACAAAGAGACTTAGATGCCCACACAATGGGAGTCTCCAGTAGGGTATTTCAACACTCCCCTGACAGTACTAGACAGATCATCAAGGCAGAAAATTAACAAAGATTTAAACAAAGATTGAACTCAACATTGGATCAAATAGATCTGATAGACCTCAGAACTCTCCACCCCAAAACAACAGAATGTGCATTCTTCTCATCAACACAGGCACGTACTCTAAAAATAGACCCCACAATTGGACATAAAACAATCCTCAGCAAATGCAAAAGAACTGAAATCATACCAAACACATTGGTGGACAACAGCTCAATAAAAATAGAAATCAAGACTAAAAAAATCACTCAATCCATGCAATTACATGGAAATTAAACAACTTACTCTTTAATGAATTTGAGGTAAGTACTGAAATTAGTGCAGAAATCAAAATGTTCTTTGAAACTATTGAGAATGAAGATACAACATACCAGAATCTCTGGGGCACAGCTAAGGCAGCATTAAGGGGGAAATTTGTAGCACTAAATGCCCACATCAAAAAGATACGAAGATCTCAAATTAACAACCTAACATCATAAGTAAAAGAACTAGAGACAGAAGACAAAACCAACCCAAAAGCTAGCAGAAGACAAGAAATAACCAAAATTAGAGCTGATCTGAAAGAAATTGAGATGAGAAAAACCATACAAAAGATAAACGAATCCAGGAGTTTGTTTTTTGGGAGAATTAATAAGATGAATAGACTCCTAGCTAGATCAATAAAGAAGGAAAGAGAGATGATCCAAATAAACACAATCAGAAATGACAAATGGGATGCTACCATTGACCCCACAACAATACAAATAATCATCAGAGACATGATGAATCATGAACACATATGCACATGAACTAGAAAACCTCGATGAGATGGATAAATTTCTATACACATACATCCTCCCACGTCTGAACCAAGAAGAAACTGATTCTGTGAAGAAACCAATAACGAGCTCTGAAATTGAATCAGTAATAAATAGCCTACCAAACAAAGGGGGAGTGACTCCTCCCCAACTCATTCTATGAGGCCAGCATCATCCTGATACAAAAACCTGAAAGAAACACATACATGAAAGGAAAACTTCAGGCCAATATTCTTAATGAACATAGATGCAAAAATTCTCAACAAAATGCTAGCAAACTGAATTCAGCAGCACATCAAAAAGCTAATACAAAATGATTAAGTAGGCTTTATCCCTGGGATACAAGGTTGGTTCAACATTTGCAAATTAATAAATGTGATTCATCACATAAACAGAACTAAAAACAAAACTCACATGATTATCTCAATAGATAACAGAAGAGGCTTCCAATTAAGTTCAACATTGCTTCATATTAAAAATTCTCAATAAACTAGGTATTAAGGAAAATACCTCAAAATAGTAGGAGCCATTTATGACAAATCCAAAGCCAACATCATACTGAATAGACAAAAGCTGGAAGCATTCCTCTGGAAAACCAGCACAAGACAAGGATGTCCTCTCTCAGCACTCCTATTCAACATAGCATTGGAAGTCCTGGCTAGAGCAATTAGGCAAGAGAAAGAAATAATGGGCATTATAGGAAGAGAGTAAGTAAAACTATTCCTGTTTGCAGATGACATGATTCTATATCTAGAAAACCCCATAGTCTTGGTCAAAAAGCTCCTTCAGCTGATACACTATTTCAGCAAAGTTTCTGGATACAAAATCAATGTACAAAAGTCACTAGCATTCCTATACAGCAACAACAGTCAAGCTGAGAGACAAATCAGGAACACAATCCCATTCACAATTGCCAAAGAAAGAATATAATACCAAGAAATGCAGCTAACAAGGCAGGTGAAAGGTCTCTACAATAAGAACTACAAAACACTACTCAGAGAAATCAGAGATAATACAAACAAATGGAAACAGATTTCTTGTTCATGGGTAGTAAGAATCATATTGTTTAAATGGCCATACTGCCCAAAGCAATTTACAGATTCAATGCTATTTCTATCAAACTACCAAAGACATTCTTGGTAGTTTCTAAACTAAAGTTTAGAATACTAGAATAAACTAGTTTATTCTAGAAAAACACTTTAAAATTCATGTGAAACCAAAAAAGAACCTGAATAGCCAAGCAATTCTAAGCAAAAAGAACAAATTTGGAGGCATCATGTTACCCTACTTCAAGCTATACTACAGAGCAACAGTAGCCAAAACAGGTTTCCTGAAAAATACCAGGGTATTCTTTCAGGAAAGTCCCAAAAATGGGAAAGTAAATCCATATCTCTGTCCTAGGAAATAAAAAGAAATTTGACTAAGAAAACATATTAAGCCATTGAGACCTGTGTTGGCCATAGTTCTAAAACTAACGAACAAACTTAGTAAGGAAAAAAAAAAAACAAGAATGAAAAAAACAAATGAAACTTCACACAGGAATTCCCCAAGGCCACTGATTCATATTACAGGTGTGGAAAGGCATCCTGCTAATTCCTAAAATCTTTCTCAACACCAGGGGACACTCTCCCTTTGGATTTCTATGTCTAGAGACCTGTGGCTCATTAAAAGGCAGACTGATTTTTCAGAAAGAGAGAAAGAGGTTTTTAAAGATGAGTTTATGCTGCAATCCCAACATGAACTATTACTTCAAATATGTTTTAACTTTTATAATCACTGGGAATATAAACATGAATAGCTTCCTTAACTGTGAATCAGAACACTCAATCAGGTAAGAGAATGAACTAGGAGACAGGCTGTGAAGTTACACATAATCTCAATATGTTAATGAATGATCTATCTACTTGCTAGTATTAAACACCCAGTATCTAGATCTCATTTTCTATCTAATGGTGGACTCCTCATTGTGTTTGTGAGATATGAAGGCCCTTGACTTACCATGTTTTTATTGCCATACCTTGTTCTCAATTCAACATATCTAGTTCTCTAGACATTATCCAAAGCAAACATGTGATTTCTAAATGGTGAAATTTCAGTGAAGGAAACGATTTACTACAGACCACTCTGACTGCTAATTTTCTCAGAAGCTAGGAATATATGTTTTACCATATGGATTTTTGGGACAATTTTGTTTTCTGGGTCCAAGAACCAAAAATTATATTTGAAATATAATTTGTATTTTAAACAGGAGTGGTAATTTTTAAATATACAAAATATACATGGTCATTCAAGAAAGTTATTGTGAATTATTTGAAGGCAGTCCTTCATGGAGGTATAGTAAAAGTTAGATTGTTTTTCAAAACTTCTTCCCAGCTATGAAGCCAAAAAACCCATGGGCTCTCTAGAAGTGTTCCCTTGTTCATTATTTTTTTTTACCCTAGTCACATCAAATTATATTCTTTTCTCCTCAGTGGTTTCTAAAACCTTGAATGATACTCCTTTTATAGGAAGCACTCCAATGTCAGCATCTCTTTTCAATTTCTTTACAGTTCTACTAGCTCTCTCAGTGCCTCTCACTTCTGTAAGTTCCCCACACATCCTGACTTCTTCCCTCCCAATATACAAGAGCTAATCCATTACAGCGTAATGAAAAGAACAAAGAAGAAGCTACTTCACAATATTATGTCTGCTTTTATTAGTAAACCTAATGAAGATAATACCAGTACTTTGCAAATTATGGAGAAAAAATTTTTCTAGAAAATGTAATGGATCTAGAAGAGAAGAAGGTGAATTTCACTTGAGGTAGAATATTCCTTAATATCTGATGAGTGAGTTTATTTCAGGCAAAATAAAAACAGAACTTAAGAAAATAGATCACAAGAGAAGACAATTTCAAGAAGGCTGAATATATATTTTGAGGAGAGGTTAGTATTGGTGAAAAAAGAAGAGAAACTACTGAATCTATCAGAGGAAATACTATTCTTATCCAGGGATTCACAGATTTCCTAGGAAAGAAAGAGTCTAAGATCAACTGGTGAATAAAAGCACAATAACATTTGCAATGAAAAAAATAATTTGGGATTCTATTTCAAAAAATGTATAAAGGGTCAGATTATAGGAAGAAACTGAGCTCATCATCAGATATAATAGTGATGAAATTTTAAATATTCAGGTTAATATGTGATTAATGTGGTCATGTTTCTTACCCCAGTAGGTCACTGCGACATTTCAGGGATGTGGGTCAGGAAGAGATCAGTAAGAGAATATCTCTAATTCATTTACATTCTAAAATGAGGAAATGCAATTACTACTACTCTTTCAAGATTTAAAAAAAAAATCGTGGTTTTGATGCATTGAAACCTGTCTTTTTATTTAAGTTAACATCCTACTGGTGGTTTCTTACTAGGCCAAGAGATAGCTATGTGGTATGCTTAAAAATTGCCCCCTGTGAGAGCTGCTTGGGAAGATGAAAGGAAAGCTGTGACCGAATGAAGATATTCACAGGCCCAGAGATGTGGCTAATGCCTGTAATCGCAGCACTTTGGGAGGCCGAGGCAGGCAGATAACTTGAGGTCAGGAATTCAAGACCAGCCTGGCATACACGGTGAAACCCCATCTCTATTAAAAATACAAAAATTAGCCAGGTGTGGTGGTGGACTCCTGTAATCCCAGTTACTTGGGAAGCTGAGGCGAGAGACTCTCTTGAACCCAGGAGGCGGAGGTTGCAGTGAGCCAAGATCACACCACTGCACTTCAGCCTGGGAGAAAGAGTGAGAATCTCAAAAAAAAAGAATGAAAATATTCACAGCCAGAGAAGACTGTAGGCTAGCAACGTTTTCTGATTCCTGGGAGAAAGAAATATATTAATGAAAAACATAATAAAAAAATAGTTGTGTCAGAGATCATAACAGATATATATATATATATCTTTAATATTTAGCCATCTAAAAGCCAAAAATGTAAAACTTGTGAGGTTGAATCATGCAAAACAACAATACTCTCCCTCCAGATATTCTTGGCTTGGTAAGAAAATTCTGAGCTGGAAGGATTCTGATTGTGATTAGTGTTCCATACATTATTTTGTCTTTTGTCTGAAGCAATGCTGAATACAACCTCAGTCACTGAATTTCTCCTTTTGGGAGTGACAGACATTCAAGAACTGCAGCCTTTTCTCTTCGTTGTTTTCCTTACCATCTACTTCATCAGTGTGGCTGGGAATGGAGCCATTCTGATGATTGTCATCTCTGATCCTAGACTCCATTCCCCTATGTATTTCTTCCTGGGAAACCTGTCCTGCCTGGACATCTGCTACTCCAGCGTAACACTGCCAAAAATGCTGCAGAACTTCCTCTCTGCACACAAAGCAATTTCTTTCTTGGGATGCATAAGCCAACTCCATTTCTTCCACTTCCTGGGCAGCACAGAGGCCATGTTGTTGGCCGTGATGGCATTTGACCGCTTTGTGGCTATTTGCAAGCCACTTCGCTACACTGTCATTATGAACCCTCAGCTCTGTACCCAGATGGCCATCACAATCTGGATGATTGGTTTTTTCCATGCCCTGCTGCACTCCCTAATGACCTCTCGCTTGAACTTCTGTGGTTCTAACCGTATCTATCACTTCTTCTGTGATGTGAAGCCATTGCTAAAGCTGAGCTTAATCAGTGGCTGCTCAGTACTGTCACAGGGACAATCGCCATGGGCCCCTTCTTTCTCACATTACTCTCCTATTTCTACATTATCACCCATCTCTTCTTCAAGACTCATTCTTTTAGCATGCTCCGCAAAGCACTGTCCACTTGTGCCTCCCACTTCATGGTAGTTATTCTTTTGTATGCACCTGTTCTCTTCACCTATATTCATCATGCCTCAGGGACCTCCATGGACCAGGACCGGATCACTGCCATCATGTATACTGTGGTCACTCCAGTACTAAACCCACTGATCTACACTTTGAGGAACAAGGAAGTGAAAGGGGCCTTTAATAGAGCAATGAAAAGGTGGCTTTGGCCTAAAGAAATCTTGAAGAACTCTTCTGAAGCATAAATAAACAATTAAAAAGATGAGTTTGTAATTACATTGTTTCTTAAATTATTTAGAAATGTACAACAGAGGGAACTGGATAAAACAAAAATATATGGAAAAATATGCTGTAGTTGTATTTAACAATGCTTTCCTGGATTATATAAGGGACATTTGAATGAATGGGATACTAGCCATGGAACTCTACTGCTGACTATGTTTTGAAGATATCAGTTGATAAAATTGATGTTAGGTTTTTTATATGTTCTTATGATGAAATTGGGTATAGAAATATGCCTGTTTTTCCCATATATCAAATATATGGATAATACTTGGGTCTATTTATCTATCTGGTCCCTCTAGGTTAATGCATTATAATATTATAAATAAAATTATTATGCTTTGATATTTTGAGGATTTTACTTTAGGGCCATAGTTACTCAACTGGAAAAGAATATGCTAACTGACGTATGAGTTAAGGAGAATTTTTAAGGGGTGGGTCTTGATTTCTTATTCTTCAAACAAGGAGACAAGTAATTAAAGCAAATGACATTGTAATCACTAAATAACAACAACAACAAAAACCCTGACAGTTCATCTAAATAGTTTTGGCACCTCTGTCTCCAGATATCTCTTATTAGTCAACTGTCCACACCCTCAATGATTACTTAAAATATTAAAAATCGGAGATAATTTAACAAAGCTCTTAAGACTCTTTCAATCTCGTTAGGATGTTATTGTTCCCTCAGCCTTTAATTGCGGAAGATGACGACTTTATCAAAATTTTATTTTCTTTTTCTTACTTGGCACCAAACTCATACTAAGCAAAGGCATAGAAGTCATAATTATTGAAGTATTTCTAGACATGAACTGCTATGTTCCTCACTTTTTAAGTTCCTATAAATGGCTTCTGTCCCTGAAAAAATGGTGGATTCTATAATTTATAAATATTTAAAGAATAGACAGAAAATACTATGAAAAGGCATTTTAAGCTGGTGGACTGACCCTTCAAGGTCCCTGCATGCACTTTTGTAAATCTAAACAATTTTATTCTGACTTCTCTCCATGCTTCTTTTGTCTTCTAACTTCACCTTCTTTGGTCCCTCAATTCCAGTTTAGTTTATAATAAAACAAAACAACAATGTGTGTGTGGAGATGGCAACTCCTAATCTCAACTGTCCCACACTATCAGTAATATATTTGATGCATATTTTTATACAATATGTTTTTTCTGTCATTTCTGGTGGTGAGAATCTGCCACATAATTCAAACTTCAGAGAGTTTGTGAACTGTAGAAGAGCACATGGGGTTCTGGTTAACTATTAGTGCATAACACATTAGGACCCCAAAATTCAATCGCTTAAAACACTTAAGTTACATGCTTTGTTGGGTAAGAAATTTGGAAAAACACAGCAGAGAATGGTTGACTCTGATCCATAATGTCTCTGACCTTTGCTGGAATGACTTCAGTCTGGTCACGGAATAGCTGAGAGCTGAGTAAGTCTCTCTCTCTATTTCTTTTTCTCCTCCCTTAATTGCTCCTTGTGACTATCATATGCTTCTTCAACAGGGAAGCCTCAGACAGACTTTTTCATGTTCCAGTAGACCACGGCAAAAGCTGCCAGCCTGGGGCTGAGATTGACCAGTAATAAAATGTCTCCTATTCAAAAAAGCCCAGGATCTGATGGCTTTATTGATGTATACTACCAAACATTTATAGGATAATTAATGCCAATCTTCTTAAACTCACTCAAAAATATGAAAAGGAAGAAATACTTTCAAACTCACTTTATGAGGTCAGCATTACCCTAATACCAAAGCCAGACAACGCAACTATAAGGAAATGCAGTTACAGGCCAATATCCCTGATGAACATAGATGCAAAAATCCTCAATGAAAACTAGCAAAATGAATTCAACAGCACATTAAAATGATCATACACCATGACTAAGTGGGATTCATCCTTAGGATGCAAGAATGGGTTAACATACACAAATTAATAAATATGATATGCCACATTAACATACTGAGGGATAAAAACCATATGATAATAGGTGCAGAAGAAGCATTTGATAAAATTCAATATTCTTTCATAACTAAAAGAAACTTTCAACAAATTAGGTATAGAAGAAACATAGCTTAATGTAATAAAGATAATGTATATCAAGTCCACTGCTATTCTCATTATCAGTGTTGGAAAGCTAAAAGCTTTTCTTCCGATATCAGGAGCAAGTCAAGGAGGCCCACTTTCACAATTTCTCTTCAATATAATTCTGACATTCCTAGCTATAGCAATTACACAAAAGAAATAAATAAAAGGCATCCAAACTAAAAAGGAAGAAGTAAAATTTTCTGTTTGCAGATGACTGGATCTTACATCTAGAAAACCCTAATGACTACACCAAAAACTGTGAGAACTAATAAATTTAGTTAAGTTCACAGGATACAAAATTAACTTACAAAAGCCAGTTGCATTTTTACAACAATGATCTATTTGAATAGGAAATCAAGAAAACAATTCTATTTACAATAATATCAAAGGTAAATAAAATACTTAGGGATAAATCTAACCAAGAAGGTGAAAGATCTGTACCTTGAAAACTATAAGGCATGGATGACAGAAATTGAAAAAGATACAAATAAATGGAAAGATATTCTTTATTCATGGATTGGAAGAATTCATATTGTCAAAATGCTCATACTTTCCTAAGCAAACTGTAGATTCTTTACAATCCCTATCAATATTCTAATGGAATTTTTTACAGAAATAGCAAAAGTACTAAAATTCTTATGGAACCACAAAAGACTCCAAATAGCCAAGGCTATCTTGAGCAAAAAGAACAAAGCTGGAGGCACAACTACCTGAACTCAAAATATACCACAAAGCTATAGTAATCAAAACAGTATGATACTGGCATAAAAACAGATACATAGAACAATGGAACAGAATAGAGAGCCCAGAAATAAATCTATGTACTTATGGTCAGTTGGTCTTTGGCAAAGGTGCCAAGAACATACAATGGGAAAAGAATAGTTTCTCCAATAAATTGTGTTGGAAAAACTTAATATTCCACCTAAAGAAGAATGAAATTAAACCATTGTCTCAAACAATACGCAAAAATCAATTTAATTGGATTAAAAACTGAAAGGCAAGACCTGAAACTAAAACTACTGGAAGAAAACAGGGAAAAACTTCTCAATGGTGGTCTGGGAAATGATATTTTTAAAATATCATACGTAAAGCACAGGAAACAAAATCAAAAATAAATACGATTCTACCAAACTAAATAGTTCCTATTTAACAAAAGAAAACATCAACAGAATGAAGAGATAACCTATGAAATGGGAAAACAATATTTCATAAAGAGTTAATATCCAAAATATACATTTTTTAAAAACTCAATAGCAAGAAAACAAATAGCCTAGTTTAAAAATGAGGAAAGAATCTAAATAGACATTTTTTCAATGAAATAGATATTTCCACACAAATGGCCAAGTGTATTTTTTAATGTTCAACATCATTAAATCAAAGGAAATACAAACTACAACCACGAGATATCACTTCACATCTGTTAGAATGGCTTTTATCAAAAAGACAAAAAATAACAAGTATTAATGAGGATATAAAAAGAGAACCTTTGTACATTGTTTTTGGGAATTTACATTTGTACAGCCATTATGGGGAACATATAGAGATTCCTCAAAAAACATAAAGGTAGAAATACCATATGATTCAGTAATCCCACTTCTGGGTATATGTCTAAAGGAAATAAAATCAGTATTTCAAAACCAAACATTGTATGTTCTCACTGATATGTGGGAGCTAAGCTATAAGGATGCAAATACATAAGAATGATACAGTGGACTTAGGGGACTTGGGGTGTAGAGTGGGAGGGGGGGTGAAGGATAAAAGACTACAAATACGGTGCAGTGTATACTGCTTGGGTGATGAGTGCACCAAAATCTCACAAATCACCACTAAAGAACTTACTCATGTAACCAAATACTACTTGTACCCCAATAACCTATGGAAAAATAAAAAAAAAATTAGTATTTCAAAGACATATCTGCACTCTTGTGTTCATTGCAGCATGATTCTCAATAGCCAAGATACAGAATTAGCCCAAAGGTCCATCAAAACAGAGAAGTGGATTTAAAAATGTGACCTATATAATGTGCATATAGCGTGGTGATTATAGTTAACAATACTGTATTATATACTTGAAATTTTCTAAACTAGAAGATCATAAATGTTCTCACCACACACATACAAAAGGTTGTAACTATGTGAGGTGATGGATGTGTTAATTGGCTTAATTGTGGTAATCGTTTCACAATGTATACATATCTCAAAACATCACAGTAAACATCATAAATATATACAACTTCATGTGTCAGTCATACCTTAATAAAGTTAAGAGGAAGAAAACGACCACCAAACCCTCTAGGCAGGGGAATATATCAATAGGAACTTTAAAAACTGAAAAGCGAAGAAAACAAAGACTTATTAAAGCAGAGAAGAATATTCAAGGATTCTGGAAAAACTCCAAAATATGTAATACATACAATGGGAATATCAGAAGGAGTAGAAAAGTAGATAGGAACAGAAGAAATATTTGAAGCAATAACTGAAAATTTCCCCAAATTAATATGAGACATCAAACTTCAAATCTAGGAGGCTCAAGGAATACCAAGAAGCATAAATGCCAGAAAAACTATGGCTAGGAATATCATTTTTAAACTATGGAAAATTAAACAAAAATCAGAAAGTCAAAGATTTTTTTTAAATCATGAAGAAGCCAGAGGATAAAAAATACCATACCTTTAGGGAAGAAAAGATGACATCTGAGTTCGCAGAAGCTACAAAAGTTAGAAGAAAATAGAGTGAAATATTTAAAATTTTTGATAGAAGAAAAACCAATCTAGAATTCTGCACTACATGAAATTATCCTTCAAAAGTGAATGAGAAATAAACCTTCTCAGAGGAACAAAAATTGAGGGAATTTATTGCCAATAGACTTGCCTGGTAAAAAGTGATAAAATAAATTTTTTAGAGAGTAATAAAATTATACAAGTGAGACATTTCAATCCACCTTTAAGAACAGAAGAGCATTGAAGAAGAAATAAGTGAAAGTAAAATAAAAGAAAAAATATCTAATTACGTATGCTTATGTAAGTGTGTGTGTGTGTGTATGCTTTCATATGCTTAGGATGGTTTCATAACTTTGCTCTTGTGAAAAGTGCTGCAATTAACATACACATGCAGGTGTCTTGTTTGTACCATGATTTATTTTCCTTTGGGTAGATATCTAGTATTGGGATTGCTGAATCAAAGGGTAGTTCTAATTTTAGCCCTTTAAGAAATCTTCATACTGTTTTCCATAGAGGTTGTACTAATTTATATTCTCATCAACAGTATATAAGCATTCCCTTTTCTCTGCATTCTCACCAACATCTCTTGTTTTTGACTTTTTAATAATAGTTACTATTACTGGTATGAGATGATATCTCAGTGTGGTTTTAATTTGCACTTCTCTGATGACTAGCAATGTTGAGCTTTTTTTATATGTTTGTAGGTTTTGTAGGCTGATTGTATGTCTTCTTTTAAATGTAAGACCTGAAACTATAAAAATTTTAGAAGAAAACCTAGGAAAAACTCTTCTGAACATTGGCCTAGGCAAAGAATTTGTGACTAAGACCTCAAAAGCAAATGCAACAAAAATAAAAATAGACAAACAGAACTTAATTAAACTAAAAGGCTTCTGCACAGTGAAGGGAATAATCAACAGAGTAAACAAACAACCTACAGAATGGGAAAACATATTTGCAAATTATGCACCTAATACGGGACTGGTATCCAGAACTTACAAGGAACTTAAACAACTCAACAAGAAAAACAAATAAATAACCCCATTAAAAAGTGGACAAAGGAAATTTTTGTATTTAGTATATGCGTGAAATGTTTGTATTTTAAAATGTCAAAAGAAAAAAAAATTAGTACCTAACATTATCCTTTCGCACTGTGCCAAGAGTAGACATTCATTATAGTGCTTTTACATCTGTGAACACCCCCACTACATTGTGATCATTTCCTAGATTCCTTAACAGCTGGTAACAACCATGGAAATTAGGTCCTACCAATCAGCAAGACTATGCATGTGGAATTCAGTCTTCTCTGCATGAAACAGAGGAATCTGGTCCTTCTGGAGCATCAGTGATGGATCTAGAAGTACTCTAGGGTTGAGTAATGATGACAGTGATATTTACGCCAACAAGAGACCCTCTGTGTTTCTGCATCTCATTCCTGGCAGAATAATTCAGAGTCTGACTCTCTTTACCTACAGGATAGTGTGTGAGCTATCAAATATTATATAAGAAAAAACAGCAGCTTAAATTAGCCAGGGTAGCTTATGTTGTTTGCAACTGAAACCACACCAAGAAAATTCACTTCTCTCAATTACTCACTCCTGATTTTAGTTACATATGCACACAGACACACAGAATAGAGCCTGATATGGTTTCGTTTTATGTCCCCACACAAATCTCATCTCAATTGTAATCTCCCATGTCAAGGGAGGGACCTGGAGGGAAGTGATTTCATCATGGGGGAACTTTCCCCCACGCTGTTCTCCTGACATATACACTAAGTAAACAGAGCTCTGGTCTATATAACCCTGGGAACCAACCACATCCTCTCTGTACTACTTACCTCCAGACTTCTTTTACTTGAGAGAAAAATTAACTTTTACTTACATGACAATTTTTACTTTTAAAACTTTGTATTGACAGTTTCTAATAGCTAAGTGTGATTCCTGGCTGACTGATATATAATGTACTAGAGAGCCATTTATTAAAATGGTGAATTTTGGAATTGAAAAAGGAACATAAAAACATTTGGAATAAAAGTTAATCATCACCTTTCCACAATGGATGATTAAAGTATTAGGGAAAACGTTAATTAGAAACTGAGTAATTGATAGATCTGACTGATACCACCTCAACTCACTGGACAATAATATAAATAGCATCTCTAAGAGTGGGACAACTAAATATCATGTGTCTCAGGATATGATGCAATAAAAATAACATAGCAACTTAAGTCAATGGCATGACAAAAAAGTGGGGTCTGCTATGTTATAAAGGGACTGGAAAGACAATAACAAAATACATTGTGTGAACCTTGTTTAGATCCTAATTTTAAGAAATTACTTAAAGATCAATGGAGAAATTTGAACATGGCTTGTGTATTAGATGATATAAAGGAAATACTGATAATTGTGCTAAGTATCATAATGGTATTGTGGGCATGGTTTTTTAAAATGTCTTTATTAGTCACAGATTATACTAAATACATATGTGGAATATGTACATACATAACTTACACAACATAATAGTTATACAACATCTGGAATTTGCCCTAAAATTTTCCATGAAAACTAACAAACAAGGAGCTGTAGCTAATTAAAATAAGATTAGCAAAATGTTGATGTTGAAGCTGGATGGTGGCTACATGGAGTACATGGGGGTTCACTGTGCTCTTCTCTTTTATGTATGTTTGAAATGTTCTACAAGAAAAGAAGTTTAAAAGAAAAGGAATTCAGCTTTAGATTTTTAAAAACACATATCCTTAGATCTTGCAATTTAGGTGCTAAAAGTTTATTACAGGAAAATCCAGATGTAAACAATGTACAGTAAAAGAATAGAATACAACTAAAAATTCCCAAAATAGAATAACAAATCATGTTTAGCCATACGATGAAGCCCAGAAGAATAAAGAAATAGATGCTTGTTAATAGAAAAAGTTGTTCGTGACACAGTGTTCAGTGGAAAACCAGATTACAAACTCCATGATCCAACTTGTATGTATAAATATAAATACACATAGAAAGAAATTTTTAAATGTCATACAACAATAATATAAAAAACAATATTTCTAGGTTTATTTTGGTATTGCTGTATTATTTTTAAATATTTATGACATATTTAATAAAGAACTAATCAAAGTTTAAATAATTTTGATTATTTGACATGGATGGAATTGGAGGCTACTATCCTTCGCAAACTAACACAGGAACAGAAAATCAAATACCGTATGTCTTCACTCATAAGTGGGAGCTAAATTATGAAAACATATGGATACATAGAGGGGAACAACACACTGAATCCTACTTGAGGGTGGAGGTTGGGAGGAGGGAGAAGATCAGGAAAAATGATTAATGAGTACTAGGCTTAATACCTGGGTGATGAAATAATCTGTACAGTAAACCCCCATGACACAAGTTTACCTATGTAACAAACCTGCACATGTACCCTTGAACTTAAAATAAAAGTTAAAAAATTGTTGCCCTATCATTTTCATTTTTAGTATAACTGCAGAAGAGTTCAAAGAGAATGGTCGAATAAGACAAAGTTACTCCTCTCCAACCCATCCTGGAAGAGTCCCCAATGGAGGTGTCCGAAGTCCAAAATAACATCTTCATTACTCTCCTTCAATCAAGTGTTTCAGTTTGTTTGATACAGAGAATCTTCCGAAGTGCCTGATGCACCTCCTTGTTCCTCATGGTATAGATCACAGGATTGAAGAGAGGGGTGACCACAGTGTAGAGCAGGGAGAAGACCTTGGAGAGGAGCTGGGAATGGACAGCAGAGGGTGCAACATAAAAGATCATGAGCGTTCCATAGAATGTGGTCACTACAGCTAGGTGGGAGGAGCATGTGGAGAAAGCCCTTCTCCTGCTTGCCCCAGCAGGAACTCTCAGCACTGCCACCACAATTCTGGCATAAGATGTCAGAATCAGTCCAAAAGGAATAGTGAGGCAGAACACAGACAGAATGAGAGTTGTCACCTGAGCCACTCTGGGATCCGAGCAAGCCAGGCCCACGAAAAGCATAAAGTCACAGTAAAACTGGTCAATGTGGTTGGGGCCACAGAACCTCAGCTGGGCCACCAGGGCCACAACCAGTCCATCTACCACAAATCCAGAGAGCCAGGTTGTGACCACCAGCCCCATGTACCGTCTGGGCCCCATCAGGAGTGGGTAGTGGAGTGGGTAGCAAATTGCCAGGTAGCGGTCATATGCCATGACAGCCAGCAGTAAGCATTCAGCTGTGGCTAGAGAGCCGAAGATAAAGAACTGGAGCAAGCAACCAGCCACAGAGATAGTTGCTTCTTGCAGGAAGCCCTCCAGCATTTTTGGCATCACTGCGGAGGTGTAGAGAATATCCAGGAAGGACAGATTCGCCAAGAAAATATACATGGGTTTGTGGAGCCTCTGGGAGCTAACCACTGCTACAATAATCAGCATATTCCCTATGATGATGAAGACATAGACAGCAGTGAATACAATAAAAAACAAGAAATGCAGTTCAGGGATGTCATAGAAGCCAAGGAGGACAAATTCAGTAATAGTTTCGTTTCCTGTGGAGACAATTTCCATGTCGATCGTCCAAGTTTCTGCTTGGCAATAATTGGGGGAGAAATTTTAGCATGTCTCTGCATCTTCTATACCAAGCCTAACGTTATTAGAGCTAAAACAAAACAAAACAAAAAAGACAAAAATGAGTCTCTAAAACAAGACTCGCTCACGCAAGTCTTCAACTATCCCCCTTCTTAGTTGTCATTCCTTCCTCAACTCTCATCCTTCCCTGCCTTCCTTAATTGTGCATATTCTTTAACGCTCAGAAGAGTTTATCCAAACTCATAATTTTAGTCTTTCAAAGACCTTTACCCCATTAATTCAATCTACTACCTCTTTCGCATAATCACCTCTATCATTCTTATCTGTATAGTCAGCCATAGCCTCCTTCTTGTGCACCAGTATAATATTCTCCAAATGTGTGCTATATAGACATGGCCCACAACTGCAAACTCTTCTATCTTTCTCAATCACAACCAATTCCTCTATGAGTGGTTTGAGAATTCTGTCTAATCCCCATGGTCACTATCTCATTCTTCTCATTATCTCAACCGCCCCTTTCATTCCCCATCTCCTAATCAGTGATACCTTACCAACTGTTCCTCGGATAATTCTTATATATTCTTCACTTATTGCCTTCCTTAAATAGTAGTTTCATCAAGTCATTCAGGAGTTGGTAGTGAAAATGTGGTAAATGGTAATAGGGAAGGAAGTAGGTGCCATGGGAGCAGAGAAGGACCAAACCCAGCCTGGGGTTGTGGGGCAGAAGGTGTGGGATCAAGGTCGGGGAAGGCTTTCTGAAGATAGAAGCAAGTAGGCTAAGTTTTGAGGGCCAATTAAGAGTTGGCCAGGAGGCCGGGCTTGGTGGCTCACGCCTGTAATCCCAGCACTTTGGGAGGCTGAGGCGGGTGGATCACGAGGTCAGGAGATCGAGACCATCCTGACTAACACAGTGAAACTCCGTCTCTACTAAAAATACAAAAAAAATTAGCCGGGCGTGGTGGCGGGCGCCTGTAGTCCCAGCTACTCGGGATGCCGAGGCAGAAGAATGGCGTGAACTCAGGAGGCGGAGCTTGCAGTAAGCCGATATCGCGCCACTGCACCCCAGCCTGGGCAATAGAACGAAACTCCATCTCAAAAAAAAAAAAAAAAAAAAAAAAAAAAAGAGTTGGCCAGGCAAAAGACAGGAAACCAGACCAGGCAGGGCATCCCTGGCAGGAAAGCATATGCAAAAGCAAAGAGTTGTAATTGAGCATGACACTTCTAAATATCTGAAAATGGCTCTGTCATACCTGCTGGAAGGTTTTCATATGCTATTCAAAGCAATATGTGTTTATTAACTGAAGACAATGAGAGAGAATACAGGGAATGATTAGAAACAGTTGAGAAAGGTAGAGAAAAAAAGCAGATATCATATAAATAAATATAAATACATAATACTAACAGTGTTACTTTCTAGAATATGGGATTAATAAACATACATTATATTTATTATCACAAAAAATGTAAGTTATCTTTAATACAAATAGTCTAGAACATCAGTTTCCTAAGAGGTGAAAAACTGGATGCCTCAGGGACCACAGTGCTGGGAGCCTTCACGGCACACTGTTTTGTAGTTTTGCCTAAGACCAAATCTGCCTTTTGAATGGAATCCCATTTTCCATACCTCTGCTCATTGCTAACGTTAAATCCTCGAAGACCCAGCTTAAGAACTTATCTCTACCAAGAATCCCCCTTGACTAATAGAGCCCTTTATTTCTCTCCCAATCATGTACTAAGGATCTAGTGTATAGAAGATATTACATCTGTTTCTGAGGATAGTGGGCCAAACAAAACTGGTCCATACTCTTAAGGAGTTTACACTCTTGTGTGACAGATGGACATATCAACAGAAAATTGCAATACGCCAAAAGACAGTTAATGAATTCAACCTGAAAGAAATAGTACTAGGAGGAAGTGATGCTGAACTGATGAGTGATTGCAGTGGAAAATGGAAAGAATGGAGGTGAGGGCATTTTAGGTAAAAGGAAAACCATGAGTACACACTGAGGCAAGAAACAACATTGGATGTGAGGAGGAGAAAGAGGTAGCAGGGGGTAAGTAGCCAAGGGTAGCTCAAACAATCCCCTCGATTCTGAAGGAGAATTAGGATTGAGGTGAAGAATGGGGGAAGACAGGGAGAGAAAGGGGCCAGGATCAGAGTCTGGGGACCCTTGCTTGTCACAAGAAGGAACTAGAGCTTCATTCTATAGGCAGCAAGGCACAGCTGAAGGCTTTTAAACAGTACAGTGGCATGTTTCAACCTAAATTTAAATAGTATTATGGAAGCTACATCCAAGGTAACAAGAGTGAAAGAAGGGATGGCCCCACTCATCTGATACCTGATGTGCAAATACATGCTGCCTTGAGTTCATCATTAATTATCTTATGGTATGCACTTTCTCTTTTCCAAAAGACTAAAAGTTCATTTAGCACAGGATTTAAATTTTTATAAGTGCTACTGTACCGAAGTCTTACAAAAAGATATATTCTCAATGAATACTTAATGTTTAACACCATGTCTTCCTTAACCTAAACCCATATGAATTGATCAGAGAAGAATGCTGTTCTTCATAGACTACAAAATTCCACAGGTTCTGTTATTGCCCTCCAACTCCCGTCTCTAAAGCTATTCTCTTACCCTTTGATCCCATCTGCATTTCCTTGTGAGTGAATCTGGCACTCCCTATGTGGGCCATCTTTAACTCTAGATTATTTTATCTGGTCCAAACTCATTCTGAGGCTTGGAGTCTTTCTATAGGATTCCTGCCAGGAGAGAGGTGAGCATGTAAATCAGGCAAGAATACCTCTAATAATAAATAGCTCATGACCACTACCTCCCCTGGAAATCAAGAGTATCATTGGAGCTGGAGGCTATTATTTTAAGTGAAATATCTCAGAAACAGAAAGTCAAATATTGCATATTCTCATTTATAAGTGGGAGCTAAATAATGTGTGCACATGAACACAGAATTCAGAATAATAGACATTGGAGACTTGGAAAGGTGAGGTGGGAAGGGGTGAGGGATGAGAAATTACCTAATGGGTATAATGCACACTATCTGTGTGATGGTTACACTAAAAGCCCAGACTCAATCGCTACACAATATATTCATGTAACAAAACTGCACTTGTACCCCTAAATCTGTAAAAGTAGATATGAAAAGAAAAGAAATGGGAAAAACACAGAAACAGTAGGATATATGAGAGGCTGTTATTCCCTTAAAGACAGAGGGGAATCAGGGAATAGAGGAAGTTGATGAATTTAGAGTTGAAAACTCCAAGGAATAGAGCTGAATTTGGAATTGGAAAACTCAAAAAACTGCAGGAAGAGTTTGAAATCAACAGGAATTTCACCATACTGACTGGTAGAGAAGTGAGAATAGTGCAAAATGCCTGTTTGTTGTCTAACGAACAATCAGCCACACACTCAATTCTAAGTAAAAACCATAACCCTCATTCAACCCAGACTCTGAGATAGCATAGAGTCCTTAATTAAAACGAGCAATTCAAAGAATATTCCAGGAAAAAATATTTTAAAAAATATATACAAAACTGTACATTTTAATTCATCTTTAGGTATTAGAAAAAAATTTATTCTCATATTTTGAAATGTCTGCTAAACAAACATGTTATGTTTGTAAGCAGAAAACCAAAAAGTTAATTCAGTTTGATTTTTTTAATCTGTTAATTCTCCTCAAGTCTCTTCAGTAATTACTCCATAATAAAACATTAAAATATACTTAAAAGGTTTTAAAAGAAAACAGTATAATTTTAAGTATATCCCAGTTTTGTCAAGCCATGGGATAGCAGGAGGAAAACTTTCCACCATGAAAACATTAGTATGAGGGTGTCTCGCTTCTTCCTACTCTGTAACATATCAACTGAAGCTTGGGGAGCATGAATATCTACTGTTCCCCATCTCCAAAAGAGAAGAGAGAATTAAAAAAATAAGTCAGTATGCACCCAGAAGGATTAGAAATCAACTTTTAAAAACATCCAATGGAGAAAAGAGCAGCACTGGTATTCTAGAGAAATACTGCGGGACTTCTTGAAATGATTTTTAATAAAAGACTTTTTGACTCTCTGGGTTAATTGAAAGTTGCTAGTGATTACAGGATAAACAGCTATAAAAACCAGCCATTTAACTTTTTTAAAGAATCTGTGAACTAAGCTGTAAAGAATTTTACAAAAATAAACGTACCCGAAATATCGACCCTGTTCTCTAAAGACAGGACTGTGAGGAGGAGATGATCTGCTAAGATTTGCTGAAGACTTCAGAATGTTGGAATTTCCTACCTTCAGCTCCCTCCCTGCTTGAGCTCAACCTGAAGTAACGTAGAACATTGATTACAAATGTCACCCTTGTTACCCTCCACTCCTGAGCCATTTTCTCTTCCACCCTCCATCCCCTTTTCTAGCTCTCAGGCTATTCTGTCCTTTCATCGCAGTCCTTTCCCTCTATCACATGGGAGGGCAGGAAATTGCCACAAAGGGAGAGGCCCCTGAGAACCAATTACAGATTTACTGGAGAGCAGCCTGAAATGAGCAAGACATAGCAGGCCCCTAAGGAAATTGTATTTTTTCAAAGGCGGTTTCCTGAACTGTTGGCTTGACCATAAACGGAGCAGAAACCAAAAGAGCCAAATGGAGCCCACCTTTCCATCCCCTTGGGGACAAATGCTCTCCATTTCACCAAACATCTAAAGCCCCAATTCCTAGTCTCCATAACTCACCAGAAAATTCTGATTTCTCTGCAACATCCCTAAATTCCCCATTACCAACAGTGGTCCTCCCAGGAGCCTGCCCTCAACTTTCATTCTCCAATCTACAGCCTCCAAATCGCCCTCTTACCATCCCAGGCAATTGTTTCAATAGGTACCACCCTTAGTAGGGGTGTTTTATATAGATCATCAAAATCTTGCCAATGCTGAGCCTGATTTAAGGAGAAGGAAGGTGGCGTGATGTTACAAAATGACGTTGAAATGGTTATGTAGCGTTTCAATATCCTTCCTGACCAAATTACTGCCCAACAACTTTGTCTGCCACTACTCCCTTTTTTGAAGCTTCCACAGAAATCAGGCTGATATATTTATTTCTCATCCCTAGGAGTGTGTTGAAGGCACTTCTGTGTCATTTATCAAACTCAGACCCTAACTTCAGCTCCACTTTCTCCCTGACCAACCGAGAACACTTTTTCTCTGAACTACGTTGTCTACTATCTGTAGTTCACAGTAAATGCCACCCTATTTTTTCTTGGCAGCAGGAGGGGTTCTCTTAATCGTTTATTTTTTTCATCAAACAGCAGCATATGCTAAAAGGTAAGTATATGTGTCTTGAAAAGAAAACTTTTGGAAAAATGTAGCATTTTTTAGTTAGCCTACATTATTATGATTTTTAATTGACAAATTAAAATTGTATATATTTATGATGTATAACATGATGTTTTGACATATGTATACATCATGGAATGACAAAATCAAGCTAATTTACATGAACCATTACCTCACATACTTATCATGTTTTTGTGATGAGAACACTCAGATCTACTCTTTTAGCAATTTTCACATATACAATTCATTAATTATAGTCACCCTTTCATATAATAGATCTCTTGAATTATCTCTCTTGTCTAACTGTAATTTTTGTAACCTTTGACCAATATCTTCTCAATTTTCTCCCTTTCTTCCAGCCCCTGGTAACCACCATTCTATTCTCTGTTTCTGTGAGTTTGACTTTGTAGATTTCATGTAGAAGGGAGACCATGAGGTATTTGTCCTTCTGTGCCTGACTTATTTCAGTTAATATAAGGTCCTCCAGATTCATCCATGTTGTTGCAAACAACAGAATTTCCTTCTTCTTTAAGGCTGAATAGTATTCCACTATGCATATATACCACATTTTCTCTATCCATTCATCTGCTGAGGGATGCTTAGGTTTATTCCACATCTTGGCTATTGTGAATAATACTACAATGAACATGAAAGTGTAGATCTCTCTTCTTATTTCCTTTGAATATATACACAGACAAGGGATTGCTGGGTCATACAACGGTTCTATTTTTAATTTTTTCAGAATTTTTCAGAAACCTCCACAGTGTATTTAATGACTGTACTAATTTACGCTTCCACCAAAAGTGTATGAGTTCTCCTTTTCCACATTTTCATCAACATTTATCTCTTATCTTTTCTGTAGTAGGCATTCTAACAAGTGTGAGGTGATATCTTATTGTGAATTTAATTTGTATTTCCCTGATGACTAGTGATGTTGAGCATTTTTTCTTGTACCTGTTTGTCATTTGTACGTCTTCTTTTGAGAAATGTCTATTCAGGTGCTTAGCTCATTTTAAAATTGAGTTATTTGTTTCCTTGTTATTGATTTGTTTAAGTTCCTTATATAGCTTGAATTTTAGCCACTTACATGTATCATTTACAAATATTTTCTCTCAACCTGTGGGTTGTCTTTTCACTCTATTGTTTCCTTTGCTGCGGAGAAATGTTTTAATTTGATGCAATCCCATTTGTTTACTTTTGGTTTTGCTGTCTGTGATTTGAGGATCATATACAAGAAATCTTGCCCATACCAACGTCATGGAACTTTTCTCCTATATTTTCTTCTAATAGTTTTACAGTTTGCAGTCATATGTTTAAGTCATTAATCCATTTTGAGTTAATTCTCATATATTGAGTGTCATAAGGATCCAATTTCATTCTTCTGCATGTGGATATTCAGTTTTCCAACATCATTTATTAAAAAGACTTTTCTTTCACCGTTTCATGTTCTGTTTATATGATCATATGGTTTTATCTTTAATTCTGTTAATGTTATGTATCACATTTATTGATTTGTGTGTTGAACCATCCTTGCATCTCAGAGCTAAATCTCACTTGATCATGGTGAAAGATCCTTTTAGTATACTGTTAAATTTGGTTTGATAGAGAAACACAACTTCAGAGATAATTCAAGTTTAAGATGGGAAAGTCTGACTAATCTTAATTCTTACAGATATTTTAGCAAACTTTTTGTCAAAATACATTTTATGGACTTTTTAAGGTCATCAGTTCAGACCACAGTCCCATGGATAAAGACAAGGATCTGTGGGGAGTAGATGTTTGTATTGTTAATCACCCTGGTGAGAGGTTAATCCTGGGGTATAAATGAAGTCTCCAAAAGTAGGTGATATATTAGCATGAAAAATACATTTCTACCTTCCCTTGTGTCCTGGGGTCAATTTGGCCTAAACTGCAAGACGTGAAAAGATTATAAGTAGTTCCAAATGAAATGAAATATACCCTTGGCCACATAAATTACCTAGTGGAATTCAAGTGTGTGTGGATCAGTATAACAGCATATAATTCTCTGCACTACATTTACTTTCCACTAAGTTAGAACTACAGTAAATTATTCTATAAGCTACAACTTGATATATGTTGTACTAGGAGAATTCTAAGAGGGCCTGTGGCCTTGCTTAGAAAAAGCAGGTACAGGGGACAGTGGTTGCTGTTCCCACAGCCAGGGTGGAGAAAGCAATGTCAACCACTGCAAAGGATGACAAAATAAAAAGAGTCAGTCAGCTCTCACAGAGCAGCAGCTTGAAGGCACAGAAAAGACACAAGAGAGGAAGGACCAGAGGAGACATTCCTGAACACATCTTGCAAACTCTCAGAAGTGACTATGGGATGCTTCACGGGGGCTAACTTCAAGCTCAAGTTTGACAACCATTTATGTTGTTTGGCTTTGGTCACATATATATCCTATTTTGTATCAGTAATTCCAGTTGGAAAAGAAACCACACATTTCCATGAGTCTCCCATGTTACTAAAATATTTCATAAGCTCGAGCTCAGTGATGTTTTCTGATTATTTGTTCCTTAGACTCCAGCCTAGGCATCCAAGGCAATCTGAATCCATAGAAACTTTAATAACAGTACATCATGGACCTAACCCAAAATATTGTTCAATCTCTTATCTTTGAAAACTTCTTGAGGATTAACAATATATTTTAATACAAAAGAGATAGTATTCAACCCAGCAGGATTTTACAAAAACAAATTATAGCTCTTTGTGGTTTCTGTTAGAGATTTACATAGTCTTACCATTTAGATTTCTTCTTCACTAGACTACGAATTAGAAGTAAATATTATCCAGGGCAGATGGTGTATCCTATTCATCTTTGTATCCCAAGAATATTTTAGCTGTGTCATAAATGATTAGTGAATAAGTAGCAATGCATGAATGCATGAATGAAAAAATAAAAATGGTCACTTGATTCATAATCCCTGGCCTTCTAAAAATATATTAACACAATGTCCGGTTGAAAAGAAAGTTCCAAACATTCCACCAGTAGACATGACTAGCAATAGAGTTGACCTTCATTATTTGTGGATTCAGTATTTGCAAAGTCACCTGCTCCCTAACATCTATTTTTAACCCCTAGCTCAATACTCACAGCACCTTCGCAGTCGTTCATGGACAAGTGCATGAACACAGTGACAAAAAGTTTGAGACACACTGTATGCATCCCCACCTGATGCTGAGCAAGGAAACGCTCTGTCCTCTTGTTTCAGCTATTATACTGTAAACAAGTGTCCTTTTCATGATTTCCTGATTTGCTGAATGCCATATTTTTCACATTTTTTGTTTGTTTTTTGGTGATTTCATAATTCAAAATAGCCCCAAATGTAGCGCTGAAGTGCTGTCCCATGCTCCTGAGCACAAAAAGGTTGCAATGGATCTTACGGAGAAAATGCATTTGCTAGATAAGCTCTGTTCAGGCATGTGTTATAGGGCTGTTGGCTGTGGGTTCAACGTTAATGATCAACGATATATATTATATAAGATGTGTTTAAACAGAAACACACTTACAATAAGGTTATTTATTGATCAGGTGACAAAAATGTGACCAAAAACTCATAGGAATCTAACCCTGCATCTCCCCTAAAGCAAGGAATTATTTAATATTTGCTCCTACAGGGTTCAAGGCAACTTTATAGAATGCAACTGCAGTGAATAATAAGAATCAGCTGTGTCTGCATTTTAAAGATGAGAAATATGAGTCTCATTAAAATGAAGTGAATTGTACAAAGTTATAGAATAGGTTAGTCATAGAGCCAGCATTAAAACCCTGGCCTAGTTCAGTGCTCTGTCAGCTGTATCTTCAGTTCTGAAAATGCAATAAGAAAAGATAAAATACGGAATTCAGTCGGCCAGTGGCCCGCAATCCTCTTCTCTCGGTTCCTCTTTCCTCGCTCAAGATGGCGCTGCTCGCGAAGCGTTCTTGGCGTTGGGCGGCCGCAGCGGCTGCTTTCGAAAAGCGCCAGCACAATGAGATACCATCTCACACCAGCTAGAATGCCGATCATTAAAAAGTCAGGAAACGACAGGTGCTGGAGAGGATGTGGAGAAATAGGAACACTTTTACGCTGTTGGTGGGACTGTAAACTAGTTCAACCATTGTGGAAGTCAGTGTGGCGATTCCTCAGGGATCTAGAACTAGAAATACCATTTGACCCAGCAATCCCATTACTGGGTATATACCCAAAGGATTATAAATCATGCTGCTATAAAGACACATGCACATGTATGTTTATTGTGGCACTATTCACAATAGCAAAGACTTGGAACCAACACAAATGTCCAACAATGATAGACTGGATTAAGAAAATGTGGCACATACACACCATGGAATACTATGCAGCCATTCTGCATCTTTCTAATGACAAGAATATTCTCCAGCATAACCACAATACTATTATTACACCCAAGGGAATTAACATTGAACCAATAATATAAAACCCATATTCAACTTTCCCACTTGTTCCAAATCTTTTTTATAGTTGTTTTTATTTTGTTTTGTTGATGACGTAGGATCCAGTCAAAAATCATGAATGACATTTTATTGCCATGGCTTTTGGTCTTCTTCAATCTGGAACGATGTCATCTCCCATCTTTGCTTTGTCTTTAAAGACATGGATATTTTTTAAGAGTTTGTGTCAGTTGTCTATAGAATATGCCACAATATGGATTTGTCTGACTGTTTTCTTATACTCCAATTAAACATTTTTAGCAATAATACTACATAGGTTACACTAAGAGTGGACAAATAGCAATCCAAATTATTCTACTCCATTCTGTTCCCTGTAACATTAATGGCATCATCTTCAGCCATAACAGGGCTACACTCTGGGAGTAGATGACTGATGAGCTGAGAGAAAACAGATTCCTGAGGAATTCTGGATCAGAGCAGCCATATTTCCCTGAACTACAAATCTTTAGACATTTAAGTGAGAGATAAATTTTCATTCTCTTTGAGCCATTGGCATTTCCATTACTTTCAGCCAAATCTAATAAATAAATGAAATGATAAAATATAAAGGAGTCAGAAGAAAACTAAGTACGAAATCCAGTTTATGTAAACCCTGAACTTCTAGTTATATAAATTAATAAGTAAATTTATTACTTAAACCCGTTGGAGTTGGGGCTTGTTATAATGGTTGGTATGTCTTGAAAACATTCTATTTGACACACAGCTTTTATCACATCTATGAAAATGTATAAAAACACAGAAGAAACAAATCAAATAATAGATACCAATGATAAAAATGCAAAGAAAGATTTGTATAATAAATGAAAAAGAAATCAAAGCAAGAAAAATTAGTGACAATTGTATAAGAAAATGACATTTAGCACCTCAATTAGGTCAAAACATGTTTATTTCTCTTTTATATTATTAGTTACCTGTAGAATCAATAAAACCTGCAAGGGACCCTATAAATAGTTATCAAATAAATTGATTACTGGATTATATCAATATACATAAGAAGGGTAAAATTGCATTATTACTTTTTGTAGATGTACTAGAACATCTACAGTGATGGGAAAAAATCATGAGAAAAAAGAAGAAAATTAAAATGGTTGAACCAGAGATATGGGAGAACTAAGAGAAACCAATAGCTCTGGATATATTCTTTGAAATGTTCTTAACAGGTCATTCTGTATTTCTTGCAATCTAAGAAACAGATTCAAAATAACAGATTAATTGGTTTTGTGAAGCATTCTCCCCATTGGAAAGCCAAGAATGCTTGGAGACTCAGATCCTCAGAGAGCTTAAAGAGAGACAACAAACCTAAGAGAGGCTTCCTCAAGAGGGATCCACTATGTAGATAAAAAAGAAGATAAGCAAGTCACAAATGCCATCTGCCTTCACTGGTTATTTCTCCAAATAGAAAATAGAAAGACACCTTTGAGATAATATCTTCTGGAAAACACTGAAAGAGCCCCCAGAGGAGAATGAACCAAGGGCTCTTCAACTGCAAAAGGATATCAGTGTGTGGACTTGTATTTCTAATACACAACCTTGAATATGGCTGGAATATTGAATTTGTGTATATATTCAAGTGTATCTTTGGGTGTTTATAGTTTTATGTTCAGTGTATTTAGACTTTTACTGTTATCTGTAATAATGCCAATAGAATACATGATTTGCAACTTTAGATAAATCTGGCATCTGGGAATATTAGGCTATTCTTCTGTGCCTGTATTTTGAAATATAATTTGACAGTGTGTGAATTTGTGGAGTTTATGTGTGTAGTTTGGGGATTTTCATGTTTACAATGTAAGAGGACTAAGTTTGAAAGTCTGTAAGATGCAGAAATAAGCAATTAAGGAAGTTCTTGTCATCTTTTGCCTGAGCATGTTTTAAAACTAGAGAAATGCTCACCCCTCTAAATAGTTGAACTGTTTAATGCTATAGGAGCTTAAAAAGAGAGGATCTTTCTCATTTTTTTTCTCCTCCTTGAACACTGTGAAATTTATGGTAAAATGACAGAAAAAGAAGAAAGACTAAGTGAATCTGGTAACTAAAGAAAGAGCTGGAAAAAAGAAAACTAGAGGGCAAGAGGTGATAAGAGAGGTCACCTCTTATCAGACAGGAGACAAGTTGATGGAGAAAAAGATCTGCTATGAGGGAAAATTCTGTCTCCAGCCCTGCAGGAAGAATTGGAAAATCAGAAAAGAGTGAAAAGGGAGCTAGACTGACTTAATCTTCAGCCCAGGTAAAACTGGAAAGACAGTTTAACATGTTCTTTAGAATGATAGGCACTATCAGGAAGAGATGAAGTCAGGGATTCAGGCTCAGAGAGACAAATACTCATCCAGGATCCCAAGAGTGAGCAAGGGTGGAATATGGACTCCAGGCAAGGCTGCCTAATTTCAAAGTCCATGATATTCTAATAGAAAGGGAGATCTAGTGCTGCGATCAGATGCAGAGAGAGGTCATCTTTGCCCATTTCACGATTCCATAGTTGTGATTTTTCCTTGCCATTTCTTTTGTCTTCCAGTCAAAGGTATGCAGGCAGGATGAGTGCAAACACCTCCATGGTGACTGAGTTTCTTCTTCTCGGCTTCTCCCACCTGGCCGACCTCCAGGGCTTGCTCTTCTCTGTCTTTCTCACTATCTACCTGCTGACCGTGGCAGGCAATTTCCTCATTGTGGTGCTGGTCTCCACTGATGCTGCCCTCCAGTCCCCTATGTACTTCTTCCTGCGCACCCTCTCGGCCTTGGAGATTGGCTATACGTCTGTCACGGTCCCCCTGCTACTTCACCACCTCCTTACTGGCCGGCGCCACATCTCTCGCTCTGGATGTGCTCTCCAGATGTTCTTCTTCCTCTTCTTTGGCGCCACGGAGTGCTGCCTCCTGGCAGCCATGGCCTATGACCGCTATGCAGCCATCTGTGAACCCCTCCGCTACCCACTGCTGCTGAGCCACCGGGTGTGTCTACAGCTAGCTGGGTCGGCGTGGGCCTGTGGGGTGCTGGTGGGGCTGGGCCACACCCCTTTCATCTTCTCTTTGCCCTTCTGCGGCCCCAATACCATCCCGCAGTTCTTCTGTGAGATCCAGCCTGTCCTGCAGCTGGTATGTGGAGACACCTCGCTTAATGAACTGCAGATTATCCTGGCAACAGCCCTCCTCATCCTCTGCCCCTTTGGCCTCATCCTGGGCTCCTACGGGCGTATCCTCGTTACCATCTTCCGGATCCCATCTGTTGCGGGCCGCCGCAAGGCCTTCTCCACCTGCTCCTCCCACCTGATCGTGGTCTCCCTCTTCTATGGCACCGCACTCTTTATCTATATTCGCCCTAAGGCCAGCTACGATCCGGCCACTGACCCTCTGGTGTCCCTCTTCTATGCTGTGGTCACCCCCATCCTCAACCCCATCATCTACAGCCTGCGGAACACAGAGGTCAAAGCTGCCCTAAAGAGAACCATCCAGAAAACGGTGCCTATGGAGATTTGAAAAGGGGGCGATAGTGACTTCTGTGCAGTGCTCTGAGTCAGTCCCAAATACCTAAGGATCAAAGAGTCTCCCTTAAGGTCTTTCTTCACATTAGGGGAGGGCCAGCCTGTCAGAAAGACAAACTTATCTTTGAAAAGCTACCGTAGTCAAATGCGCTCCTCAGACCCTCACAACACATACATATTCTATTCCGCTTTCTGTTGCAAGAAACAAGAAACCCAGGATGGAGGATCAATTTCAGAAGCAGAGCAAGTTGACAACCAGGGATAAAGTTACAAAATATTATCCTTATCAGACTAGCAAGGTAATAAAATTTTCAGCCACAACAATGATCCTTAAAGTCATTTGACATTTGTACGTCCTAGGTAAGGCATTTGTTTCTTGGGTGGTACTACTGGTTAGTACCTTAGCAAACATAATTATACCTAATTAAATCTACTACCAGCTAAAGACAGATTCCTCAAGAAGTAAGGAGTGGCCACAAAAGTTTCAATGAAGGTAAGTTCTTATGGAAATTCATATGCCGCAGAGGTTAAGAGAACAGATTCTGATGTCAGACAGACTTAAAGTCAAGTCTTATTTTTTCCAGCTAGTTAGCTAAGTGATCACAGGTGAATGATATAATCTCTCTGAGCCTTAATTTTTTTAAATTTTATTTTAGATTCAAGGGTACATGTGCAGGTTTGTTATATAGGTAAATTTCACCTCACAGTGATTATTTAGTCACCCAGGTAATAAGCATAGTACCTGATAAGCAGTTTATTGATCCTCACCCTTCTTCTATCCTCCACCCTCAATTATGTCCTGGTATCTGTTGTTCCTTTCTTTGTGTTCATGTGTACTCAGTGTTAGGTCCCACTTTTAAGTGAGAATATATGGTATTTGGTTTTCTGTTCCTGTGTTAGTTTGCTTAGAATAATGACCTCCAGTTCCATCCATGTTGCTGCAAAGGACATAATCTGTTTGTTTTTTGTTTTGTTCTGTTTTGTTTTTATGTGAGCCTTAATTTTCTTATCTATAAAGTTGCGGTAACAACAGAGTCTAATTCATTGGGTTTTTGTGAGGATTTGTAGACTTGCAAACAATCAAGCTTAATATCTGGCACAAAATAGTATCTTGATAGATGTTTTTGTTAGCAAGTCAGACAGGTCAGCGCAAAGGCTAATGTTTGGCTCACATGGGGTGACTTTGCTGGGAAGAGAAGGGTATTCTTGAAATATCAGTGGCATTGGAACCCACAAGAGACCCAGAGGAAGGTGGAAGAAGAGGCTCTATACATCACTGTTAACAGAAACTGCTACCCAGCACAGATATGAGCCAAAAACTACCAAGACACGGAAGAGCAAATATAAGGGCTATGATATGCAGGAGAGTCAGTGAACTGCAGAACAAATAAGTGGAATAAGCTGAGAGGGTGAATCAAAAACAGCCATCTCCAAGAGGCAAGTATTTATTAATAATTAAAAGTGCAATCTACATACTTTATATCATTCCAACACTTTATTCAAATGCAACAGTATTTATTGCAAACTTTCTATGTGCCTATTGCTCTTTGGCACTGTGGAGAATATCAAGTACATACAGGGTGGTGATTCTGTCCAGAGAGCACTTGCTGTCCTGTTAAGAAAGCACTGATTCTCATGAAACTATCAGAGAACAGTTTGCAAAGTAAGAAAACACTCAAAATGTAAAGCGAAAAGACAAAGGTGTTACTCCCTGTCCCCACCCCCCAAAAGGGGTTGTGTGGCCTTCCTCAAACTCATTTTATCAATGTGGAAAACCTCACAACTACTGCTCTTCAATTGAACAAAACTGCAATAGCGAGGAACAGCATTTAAGAAGGGTTGCCTAAAGGATTGTCAAAACAGCTTTTCCTCTGATAATTTAAAATCTAAATCTTATCCCCAAGCTAAAGCAGATGAGCACAGAGCTACACATTTAAAATGCTGAAATATTTCCACTTCCTACATATCTCCATCAACTCATCTTTCCTAGAACTGGTCTTGCTAAAGAGTGTTTTGGCATTAAGCCATTGGTTTACATTGAGAAAGATTACAAGAAGCAACATTATGAAACTCTCAGAGGGATCATTTTTCTCATATCTCAGTGATAGGAATCACTGTATTTTTCCTGTCATATAAGCAATAACATTTCCTCACAGTTTTATGGAAGTACAATTGGCATATGACAAATTGTACATGTTTAAGTGTGCAATTTGATAAGTTTTGACCCATGTATGCACCATGACATTATAGGCGCAATCACGAAATGAACATATCCAGCCCCCGTGCTCCCTCACACTCCATTGTAATCTCTCTCTTTCACCCCTCCCTGCACTCCTCATTCCCAAGCAACCTCTGATCTGCTTCCCAGCACTATATTTTTCTTTTTTCAGAGTTTTATATAAATGAAATTATAAAATATGTACTCTTTTTAGTCTGACTTATATTTGGAGATTTGGCCATGTTGTGGTGTGTACAGCAGCCATTCCTTTTCATTTCTGAGTGATACTCCATTGTATAGATATGACATAATTTGTTCATCCATTCACCTGCTGAAGGAAATTTGGGTTGTTTTCACAATTTTTTATTCATTCACCTGCTAAAGGAAGTTCAGGTTGTTTCCAGTTTTTGGTTCATAGAATGAAGGTTCTATGAACATTTGTGTACAAAGTCTTTGTATGCTTTCATTTCTCTGGGGCAAATACATAGATGTGAAATGGCTGCATCACATGGGAAGTGTATGTTTAATTTTTTAAGAAATTAAGTAATCACTTTTCCTCTTAACATGACAGCTAGCAAGTTTCCACCTGAATTTGTAACTCATCTCCAGGAAATGTGCAATTCCTCACGATATATTTTTGAGATATCTAGTTTCTGGTCTCACTTGCTGTTGTTGTTGTTGTTCTATTCTACCTTTTTCTTTGTCCAGTCTCTCTCATCCTTATTTTCTGTACATTTATGTAACCCAGCACATTAGTCTTTCTGGAGCAAGACTTAGAGCCACCAATCAGTAATTAAAAAAAAAAAAATAGACAGGGGAAAGTATTGAATGGAAAATCCCTGGTTATATGGTTTGGCTCTATGTCCCCACCCAAATCTCATCTTGTAGCTCCCATAATTCCCATGTGTTGTGGGAGGGACCTGGTGAGAGATGATTGAATTATGGGGGTGGATGTTTCCTGTGCTGTTCTTGTGATAGTGAATGGGTCTCACATGATCTGATGGTTTTAGAAATGGGAGCTGCCCTACACAAGCTCTCATTTTTCCTGCTACTATCCATGTAAGATGTGATTTGCTCCTCCTTGCCTTCCACCATGATTGTGAGGCCTCCCCAGTCATGTGGAACTGTAAGTCCAATAAACCTCTTTGTTTTGTAAATTGCCCAGCCTTGGGTAAGTCTTTATCAGCAGTGTGAAAACAGACTAATACACCTTGGTAAAGATTGAAGACATGGGTTGTGATCTCTACTCCGTTACTAAAACTTTACAGGACCTAGAGCAAACTCTTTGCATCATCTTTTTGGTTTTCAATTTCATCATCAATAAACATAAAGGCTAAATCAAATGAGCTCTGGATTGAGTTCCAGATCCACTATTCTGTGCTTATTTGTCCCAAGGACTATATGCTTCTTATAGCTGATACTCTCACAAAGAACCAGAAGGAAGATTGCAGCAAATGCTCTTTCTCCACCATAGATAGCTACCAAGGGACCTTGAACTACATTAATCCTGGGCAATATAAGCACAGTCATTGGTTTTCAAGACAAACACCACTCAAAAGCTAGGGAGAGTCCATCAGTGATCCCCATATTGAGTCTTCCCCCACTGTATTCTACCTTCCTGAACCTCACATCTCCCTTACTCACACCTGCCATTGCCCCTGAGCAAAACTTGACCTGCTTCTTGAAATCCCACTGCTCTGTCCCTAATATTTCCTCCTACCAACCTTTCTCCCTGACACTCCCTTCCTCAACTTCCCTAATCCCATGGGACCCACTCACTATAGTGCACCCCAGCTCCTGATGGTATCTGCTACCAGAAGTATCCTCATTCTTTCTTTCTTTTTTTTTGACAGGATTTTACTCTTGTTGCCCAGGCTAGAGTGCAGTGGCACGATCTTGGCTCACTGCAACCTCTGCCTTCTGGTTTCAAGCGATTCTCCTGCCTCAGCCTCCTGAGTAGCTGGGATTACAGGAGCCTACCACCATGCCCAGCTAATTTATGTATTTTTAGTAAAGACGGGGTTTCACCATGTTGGCCAGGCTGGTCTTGAACTTCTGACCTCATGATCCACCTGCCTTGGCCTCCCAAAGAGCTGGGATTACAGGCGTGAGCCACTGTGCCCAGCCAGTATCCTCATTCTTTAGCTTTGCAGAACTGAAGTAAGAAGTGACTGTGGCATCAGGGAGGGAGGGTAGAAGTCAGATGGAAGGGAAGGGAGAAGGAGAGAAAGAAGAAACAGAGGCAGGCTGAAGAACTGAGCAGAGAAAAGAGAAAGAACAAAAAAGACCTCAGAGGAAGACTCACCGGCTCACAAGGAAAGCCATCTCTGTGCATCCCAGGCCAATCTCTTCACAGGGCTTGGAGAAACCTCCCAACCAGAGCTCACTCCCACAGTCTATGCTCACTGCTTCCCTGCATCAGCTCCTCCTGTGGCAGCATGGTCCCCCTGCGTTTCTGCTCCCCACTGAGCTCTCTGGGATTCACAAATCAGTGCCCTAGGGAGGGCTTGGAGAGCCTAGCACGTGGGGATCTTACACAGGGGCCAGGAAAGGGATGTAGGACTCAGGAAGAGACACTGAACAAAGGCTGTGGCTCAGTCCTGGAAATGGGAGCGTGTGCTTGTCCATTGCCAGCCTCTCTGCCTCTCTAGGTTGTGTGCCCTCACTGGCCTTAACTCTTTCCAGTCAGGGAAGACTAGGAAAGAGTTGGAAGAGGAAATATTGTAGAAGAAAGAAGAGAACTCAGGTACATCAGGGCCACCAAGAAACAGGGGCTCTGGGTCTCCCAGGGACATAAGGAGAAGGATTAGGAGCTGACCAGGCTTGCTACACAAAAGATTCCAGGGTTGATCCTCTGAGAGTTGAGAAAAACAGAAAGTGGGATCTCAGTGCAAACTTCAAGCTTCAAAGATGCCACCCATCATCTATTCAACTTTTTTTTTCTTTTGGCTAACCCTTTACACTTCTTTCAAGTCTGCGAATAATTATCAAGTTCCCACAGTGTGCCTTATTCTACATAGTGCTGGCAATCTGGTCAACTTCCTTTGTATTTCTCCTCTGCTCAGCTTTTCAGTGGATCCTCTTCATTCTCCTTCATTCTCACTGCAGCCCAGACCCACTTCCTCCCTTCCCTGAGCTTCCCTTGCCTATCTCCCTCCTCATCACCCAATCCCATTTCCTGCAAGAAGAGGCAATATTATTAATCTGTCTCATCTACCATAACCACCACCTGGTTTGTGCAATAGCATTTTCTGGATGTTTCCTCTCCTGGCAGCCAGGACTGACAATGTCACCTGCCAGGGGCCTGGAAAGCCAAGCCACAACCTTCTTAACCAATTAGAGGCACTGCAGAGAAGCAGCAGGAGTCAGGGCACTTGCACCCAAGAATGATAGATATATTTATTCACCACATATGTATGGATATAGTTAGAGAAACAAGCCTCAAGGCACAACGATTGACTGAGGTTAGACATTCGGCCACTTGAGAGAATGAGGAGGTGGAAGCACAGAAGTTAAAAGTCATCTCTCTCCCATTTGCTTCAACCTCAGCATGCCTGAAAAAAACATGGTTGATAATATACCAGTCAGTGACCAAGCCCTAATGAAATGACTGACTTACCAATACTGACTTCTCAGGAGGCTGATTTAGAGCCAAAGTAACTGCTGAGTTCTGAATAAGCAGCACACCTGGTCTGCATAATAAGATCCATTTTGCAATCACCCTCTTCAGAAAGCCAAATAATAGGTCAAAAGGTGGTTTAGAACCCAAGCAGCGGAAATAACACAGTTGAGGACTCTGTCGACCATAGGCACCCTGATGGACCTAAATAAATTACTCAACTTTTCACGAGAATATTTTACCTAATAACTGGAACTTATCATCCAGAACAATGTTTTCTGCCTCTTTGTTTTTCAGTTCATGATATTCCTGTGGACTGGCTTTACTCCTAATTTCCGACCCCAATAAGATCCTGGTCTAGTTCTTGGTATCTAGACCTAATTCCCCATTTGCATAAAAGAATACAAATGATAAACATAGAAACCCTGACCATCCTTGACTCCAAGGGTAAAAATACTGCCCTAGGCAATCATGATGCCTCTTATTTACTGCCTTTCAAATAGAAACTTTCTAAAGCAGCCATTGGGAAATAGTTCATTTTTGCAATGGACCACAGATACCTATACACATTGGGCTTATCATTTTGATCTTTATTCAGCTCCTAAAAATAGTCAATTTGAAAAATGGGGTTTGCATTGACAGTTTTATATTATTGATGCCAATTTGGAATTTTATACTTGATAATATTTATTTGTTGAATGAATTTGAACGAGTGGTAGAAGACTCTTCTGGCTGGAGCACTTTTAAGTCTTGCACTAGCATGGGTCTGGAAATGAACTGAAGGAGGACTAGAGATAAGTACAGGGGTGCGTCCCAATTGTGAATGAGAATGCAGGCCATATACTCTTTGGAGAATCACCATTATGGGCCCTCTGGCAGTATAAATGAGGACATTGTAGAGTTATTCTTCTGTATTATCCAAAGAGAGGACCTAAAACAAATTAGTGAAATAAATACTGTAGGATTTCTGCTAGATGATGAGGCTTTTAATTCTTCCTGTTTCTGGGATGGCCTGGCTGGGCCTCCTTAGGAACTCAGCTCATTCCCCATTCCTCCTTGACACTGGATATGCATTCTTTGCATTCCTTGGCTTTCTCTCTGGTGTTCTATAGAAAGTAAATGAGTCACAGTTCCTTCAGTTCTTTCTTTTAGCCAGTCTATAGCACTCTACTGGTCATCAAAAAAGATCCAAAAGTGATCAACATGACCCTTTCTTTTTTTTTTTTTTTTTTTTTTTTTTGAGAAGGAGTCTAGCTCTGTCGCCCAGGCTGGAGTACAGTGGTGTGATCTCGGCTCACTGCAACCTCCGCCTCCTGGGTTCAAGCGATTCTCCTGCCTCAGCCTCCCAAGTAGTTGGAACTACAGGTGTGCGCCACCACACCCAGCTAATTTTTGTATTTTTAGTAAAGATGGGGTTTCACCAAGTTGGCCAGGATGGTCTCGATCTCTTGACCTCATGATCTGCCCACCTCGGCCTCCCAAAGTGCTGGGATTACAGGCGTGAGCCACCACACCCAGCCACACGACCCTTTCTAAGGAAGTGAAGATGGCACATGGAGACCAAGTACAGAAAGGACTACTGGGGGTCTTGGATGGCCCTCCAATGCTGTTGTCTCTCCAGTTCCTCTTGGATAATTCTGGTGTCCATGAATTATTATGTTGCCACATTTGGATGCCCCATAAGGGTCACTTGAGAAAATCATGAAATCTGGGAAAGGAAGGGCAAGTCATAGAATCCTGCCACTATAGAATAATGTCTGACAACCAAGTGATACATTCTGTTTAAGTAGGCACCAAACTGTCGGCAAAAGCCCCATTTTCGAGTTGGCCAGTTCTGGCAATTTTCTGTGTCCATTCTGCATGCCACTCAACTCCTCTAATGAATTCTTATTCCTTTTCAAGCCTTCTGTATTCCTTCTTATCATACTGGACACTTTGACCTCTGGTGTCCTAGAACTCCTGCTTCCCATGACTTCCATCTCCAATTCCAATAAACACCTTCTTTTTAAAAATTTCCTGATATTACCCAGTAGCTCTCATCCCTATTTCCCTTTGAAGTACTCATGTTTTTTATGATCCCTTCTCCCAACACTTTTCTTGCCTTCAATGTATTTTTAATGACTGGTGACCTCTTACCTCTCCTTCTTTTACTTTAACCTCTAACTTCTCCTAATCAATATGCCTTAAAACTCTTTCAGTGAAGGCAAAATGATGAAGAAAGTAGAAATATCAGTGGTTTCCAGAGGTTACAGCAGGAGTATGGGGTCAGAGAAGGAATGATGAATAGAAAGCACAGAGAACCTTGGGGCAGTCACACTATTCTGTATGTACTAGGATTCACTTGTCCAAACACATAGAATATATAGTACCAAGAGTGAGTCCTGAAGTAAACAATGGACGTTGGGTGATAATGATATGTCAGTGTAAGTTTATCAGTTATAACAAATTACCACTCTAATATGGGATGTTGTTAGTAGGAGAGTCCACCTAGGGAGGAAGGGCAGGAGGTATACAGAAAACCTCTCTACTCTCTGTTCAGTTTTACTATTTAAAGAAAAGGAAAGAAGAAGAAAACTTCAAATACCTCCCTATAATCCTATACTAAATGATACTCTAGCTATCTTGCCCCCTCTTAATTACCAGAAGTTTCTAATCTCTACATATGTTAAGTACTCAAAAAATATTTCAAAAAATCAAATATCAAAAATAAATTACTCAAGCTACGTCTCACAAAAAAGTATCTTTCTTTCCCAGTTATGATTTTTCTTCCTTCTTCTGATATCCTCACAACTGAACATTTCCTTCGAATACACCCACCCACCCATAAATGACCAATCTTTCTCTTTTTTTTGTTGTTTTGGAGATGGAGTCTCGCTCTGACTCCCAGGCTGGAGTTCAGTGGCATGATCTCGGCTCAATGCAACCTCCACCTCCCAGGTTTAAGCAATTCTCCTGCCTCAGCCTCCAGAGTAGCTGGGACTACAGGCATGCACCACCACGTCCAGCCAATTTTTGTATCTTTAGTAGAGATGGGGTTTTTCCATGTTGGCCAGGCTGGTCTTGAACTCCTGACCTCAGGTGATCTGCCTGCCTCAGCCTCCCAAAGTGCTAGTATTACAAGCCTGAGTCACCGTGCCCGGCCCAAATGACCATCTTTCTTACCACTCATCCACAAAGCTCACAAAACGAGAAGCTGCTCAAAACACTGAGATGCCCCTCTAGGCTGGTAACAGCGTGACTTAGAATAAGTCCTCCAACTTTTCTAGCTTTCTCACCGAAAAATGGGCCTGTGGCAGCACAGTTTTATGAGTAACTAAGATATGGGATGTAGAAAGACCCTAGAAGAGGAAAAAAAACACAACAATGGTCATTGTTAAAACAGGGGACTACATTTGTCCTTGGTTCCACCACTGTCCCACAGCCCCAGCTGGTAGTTTGGCTTCTCCCATGCAGCCTCCCTCTTAGGCCCAACCATAGTATCAAAACTCTCAACAGCTATCCCAGACCTGCTGGGTCATCCCTCACAACAGAAACTCAGTGTTTGGGTAGAGTGGAGAGGCTTGTAGTGATCTTAACTTTCCTGAGAATGCTCAGCCTAATTATGTCCCGGGTATAGAATCCAACCTCATCCTTGAAAAACTGAAAGCTGTCCACAGCTATAATCCTAAAATATTTTATTGGAATCTTAAAAGCAGACATATGTTCATTACAACATCCACTGCTCTGTTAAGTACTCCATCTGGCATGGCACAGAATATGGCAACAATGTCCAAGCTGAGAGACAAATCAACAGTGCAATTACATTCACAATAGCCACACACACACACACAATACCTAGGAAAGCAGCTAGACAGAGAGATGAAAGACCTCTACAACAAGCAAGCATTACAAAACACTGCTGAAGGAAATCAGAGACAACACACACAAAAAATGGAAAAAACATTCCATGTTCATGAATAGGAAGAATCCGTATTATCCAAATGGTTATATGACCCAAAGTAACTTACAGATTCAATGCTATTCCTATTAAACTACCCATGACATTTTTCACAGAACTAGAAACAACTATTCTAAAATTCATATGTAACCAAAAAAGAGCACAAATAGCCAAAGCAATCCTAAGCAAAAAGAACAAAGCTGAGGACATCACATTATCCAACTTCAAGCTATACTACAAGGTTACAGTAACCAAAATAGCATGGTACTGTTACAAACACAGATACATAGACCAATGGAACAGACCAGAGAACCCAGAAATAATGCCGCACACCTACAACCATCTTATCTTCAACAAAGTCAACAAAAATAAGCACTCACTATTCAATAAATGGTGCTGGGCTAACTGGCTAGCCGTATTAGGAAGATTGAAACTGGACCCTTTCCTTTCACCATATGCAAAAGTCAACTCGAAGTAAATTAAAGATTTAAAAGTAAAACCTAAAACTATAAAAACCTTGGGAGAAAATCCAGCAAATACCATTCTGTACATACAAATGGGTGAAGATTTCATGATAAAGTTGTCAAAAGTAATGGAAACAAAAACAGAAATAGACAAGTGGAACTTAATTAAACTAAAGAGCTTCTGCACAGCCAAAGAAACCATCAAGACAGTAAATAAACAGCCTACAGTATGGGAGAAAATGTTTGCAAACTATGCATCTGACAAAAGTCTAATATCCAGAGCTTATAAGGAACTTAAAGAGAAAAAAAATTTTTTTTAAATGGGCAAAGGACATGAACAGACACGTCTCAAAAGAAGACATACATGTAGCCAAGAAGCACATGAAAAAAATGCCCAATATCACTATTCATTAGAGAAATGCAAGTGAAAACCACAGTGAGATACCATCTCATATCAGTCAGAATGACTCAAAAAATAACAGATGCTGGAAGCATCGTGGAGAAAAAAGGAATGCTTACACACTGCTGCTGAGAATGTATGTTAGCTCATACATGCTGCTGAGAATGTATGTTGAAAGTGGTTTGGAGATTTCTCAAAGAACTTAAAACTGAACTGCCATTTGACCCAGCAATCTCATTACTGGAAATATACACGAAGGAATATAAATTATTCTACCATAAAGAGTCATGTATGTGTATGTGTTCACAATAGCAAAGACATGGAATCAACCTAAATACCTATCAACAGTGGACTGGAGAAGAAAAATGCATGGTACTTATATACCATGGAATACTATACACCCATGAAAAATGAAATCATGGCCTTTGCAGCAACATGGATCCTGATGGAGACCATTATCCTAAACAAATTAAAGCAGGATTGGAAAACCAAATGCTGCATGTTCTCACTTGTAAGTGGGAGCAAAACATTGAATACACATGACCACAAAGAAAGTAACAATAGACACCAGGGCCTACTTGAGTTGGAAGAATGGCAGGATGGTGAGGGTCAAAAAACTACCTATTGGTTACTGTGCTCACTACCTAGGTGACAAAATCATTTGTACACCAAACCCCAATGACACGCAATTTACCCGTGTAACAAACCTGCACCTGTGCCCCTTGAAACTAAAATAAAAATTAGGGGAAAAAAAGGAGAAGAGAGATAAAAGGGCAAACAAAAAAATTGTTCAAAAAATGTTGGCAAAATTTTTTCAAATTCGATAAAAATAGCAATCCACATTATCAATACCACATCTACATACATCATAAACTGAGAAAAACAAAGATTTAAAAAGAAAAATCTGAAAACCCGCTGAAGTGGTAGAGACATATTGCATAATAAGGAATAACAATAAAAATGACTGCCAACATCTCAACAGAAACAAAGGGAGTCAGAAGGCTATGAATTATCTTTCAAATGTGAAGAGAAAAAAAATCTGCCAACTTAGAATTACCCAGTGGGGGAAAATAATCTTTCTTAAATGAAGGCAAAATAAAGCCATCTGAAATTAAAAAGAAGCTGAGAAAATTTGTTGCCAGAAGATACTCACTAAAAGAATAAAAAAGGATAAAGGAAGTTTTTCAGGCTATAGAGAAATTATAATATTTGGAGTTTCAAATCTATGAGAAGGAACGAAAAACTTTCAAGATTGGAAACATAAAAGTGTATATAAAAGTTATCTTCTTCCTTTTCTTAAATTCATTAAAAGTCTAAAAATAATGATAATATATTACAAGGGTTGTAACATATGTAAAGTAAAACACGGCAATAGCTGCACAAAGAATGGGAGGAATTATAACTAATTTTATTATTATCAGATTTTTATATTCTATGTTAAAGGTATTGTATTAAGTCAGAGTAGACTCTTATAAGTTCAGGATCCATATGGTATCCCCAAGAAAAAAACTTGCACTTTAAATATAAAGACAGCTTAATCATAAATACACTTATAGATTAAAAATAAAATTATAATATAAATTATGAAATAAATAATAAATATAAATTAATATATATACATTAAAAATAAAATTCACCAGATATGGTGAATTAAAGAGGACAGCAAATCCTTCCTTCCTCCACCTCACAAATAAATTATAAAACCAGAAAAATTGTCAAAAACAATCATTTCAGGTGTCTGGAAATAAACCAAGGCAAATAATAAATTGAGAACCACTTTTTCATAAAGCAGTGCTAGAAGCTTAGGTAAGAATCATAGGTAACTGTGCCTGTCCTGTGAAAAGTGCTCCAGTACTACTCCAACTTAGTTGATGGTAGTTTTGCCAGTCAGGAATGGCCATGAAAATCAACAATTACACTATTAAAGAGGGTTGAGATGATTTGGAACAAAGATAAAAACTCATGCCTAGGGTTTATGTCAGTAAAAGTAACAAACTCAATCGTGTTTAAGGCTCAGGTATCCAGAGGTTACAGTTTTAATGAGGCGAACAGTGAACCTATCAGAAATGTAATGGGAAGATGCTGGGAATTAGATAGCTATAGAAGAATTAGATAAGATCTCTACACATTCCTGGCTGACTGGGAAACTACAGGTATGTACAGAAGAAACATGAGAGAAACCAGCATGAAGTAAAATCCAAGACAAACTTAAAAGCTCTCTGAATTTGAATATGGTCCCAGCACAAAGGCAGATGCATTAGCAGAGAATGGAAGCCTTTTGAAATCAAAAGTATTTGACCAAAACCTTCACCCAATCATTGACTGAACACTAAGCTGTGCAAGAACAAGGGAAACTTCTGGGATCCAAGATTTTAAAATATGAATTTTTAAGAGCTAGGTTGAGACCATGGAAGCCATAAATGGTGGAAGATACACAGTCCACAGATTATGTCCAATAATGTTAACAAAATAATTCTTAGAAAAAAATAAGAATATAAACTTGTCAATATAGTATCTAAAATGAGACATGCAAAGAAACAGGAAAGTATAATCAAGTCTTAGAGAAAAGACTGCAGTTAATGGAAACTGACTGTAAGTGGGACTGCTGTTGAATTTAGCAAACAGAGATTCAAAACATCTAATATAAATAGTTAAATTAAAACCATTTTTAAAGAATTCATGGACAATATAGTCTTTCATTGGGTAGGGAAGATCCACTGTCAATATAGATGGGTATCATCCAATCAGCTGGGGCCCAGATGGAAAAAAAAGGCATGAAAGGATGCTCTTTATCATTGGTTATTAAGAACATGAAATTAAACACAATACTTACAAGTCTACTAGAATGACTATAATAAGAAACTGATGGTATAAGATGTTGACAAAGATGTGAAATACTGATTAAGTGTTGGCAAGAATATGTCAAAATTGACAGAGCCACTTTGGAAAACAATTTGGCAGGTTTTTTATAAAAAAAATTTACTATACAACCCAATAATTCCACTGTCAGGTAATATCCAAGACAATTTAAATCATATGCCTTCAATGACTCTTCATAAGAACATTATTAGTAACACCCAAAAAGTAGAAACAATCCAAATGTCATCAACTGGTGAGATCAGTGGAACTGAATAGAAAGTGCAGAAATAGAGCCAAACACATAAGATCTATTGATTTTACACAAAGACACCAAGATAATTCAATACAGGAAACGATATTCTTTGCAACAAATGGTACTGGAGGAACCAGATATAGGTATAAAAACTGTACCATTATGATTTGTTTAAAAAAGCAGCCATTTTTTTTATCGCTTCTCGGCCTTTTGGCTAAGATCAAGTGTAAAAAAGCAGCCATTTTCATAATATTTTATTATATGTATGAAAATGAATTATGACTCCTATATCACAACATACAAAAAAATTAACATGGGTCATATAAATAAACATATAAGCTAGAAATTAAAAGCTTCTAAAGAAGAACATAAAAGAAAATATTTATGACCTTAGAATAGGTAAAGATTTCTTAGGATTCAAAAAGCACTTAACTGCAAAAAGATAATTGATGAATTTTGAGTTAATCAAACTTAAAAGCTTCTTCTCCTTTGAAGACGCCATTCAAATTGAAACATCAAACCACAGACTGAAAAAATAGCACAGTGCATTTATTTGACAAAGGACTTTTATGCAGAATATATGAAGAACTCATATACTTTTATCATAAAAGGAAACACTATAAAATATGGACAAATGACTTGAACAGACACCTCACAAAAGAATATATAAATGACCAATGAAAAGATGCTCAATGACTTAGTTGTTGGATAATTGTAAATTTAGAAACTACTGTGAGATTAATAAGTCTAGAGATCTAATGTATAGCCTGAGGACTACAGTTGACAACATTGTATTATATACTGGAAATTTCTAAGAGAATAGATTTTAAGTACTCTTACCACAAGAAAAGTAACTGTGAGTTGATAGATATGTTAATTGGCTTGACCATAGTAATCATTTAACTATGTATATCAAAACATCATTTGGGAGGCCGAGGCGGGTGGATTGCCTGAGCTCAGGAGTTCGAGACCAGCCTGGGCAACATGGTGAAACCCCCTCTCTACTAAAACACAAAAAAGTGGCCGGGTGTGGCAGCATGCGCCTGTAATCCCAGCTACTTGGGAGGCTGGGGCAGGAGTATCGCTTGAACCCAGGAGGCGGAGGTTTTAGTGAGCCGAGATCGTGCCATTGCACTCCAGCCTAGGAGACAGAATGAGACTTGTCTCAAAAAAAAAAAAAAAAAAAAAAGGAAATCCTGTATATCCTAAGCATATACATATACAACAAAAAATTTTCAAAATTAGCCTGGCTTGGTGGCTTACACATGTAACTCAGCACTTTGGGAGGCCTAAGCAGGTGGATCACCTGAAATCAGGAGTTCGAGATCAGCCTGGTCAATGTGGTGAAACACCGTCTCTACTAAATATACAATAATTAGCTGGGCATGGTGGTACATGTCTATAATCCCAGCTACTCAGGAGGCTGAGGCAGGAGAATCACTTGAACCTGGGAGGCGGAGGTTCCAGTGAGCCGAGATCACACCACTGTACTCCAGCCTGGGCGACAGAGTGAAACTCAGTCTAAAAAAAAAAAAAGCCGGGCACGGTGGCTCACGCCTGTAATCCCAGCACTTTGGGAGGCCGAGGTGGGCGGATCACGAGGTCAGGAGATCGAGACCATGGTGAAACCCCGTCTCTACTAAAAATACAAAAAATTAGCTGGGCGTGGTGGCGGGCGCCTGTAGTCCCAGCTATTCGGGAGGTTGAGGCAGGAGAATGGCGTGAACCCGGAAGGCAGAGTTTTCAGTGAGCCGAGATCGCGCCACTGCACTCCAGCCTGGGCAACAGAGCAAGACTCCGTCTCAAAAAAAAAAAAATTAAATTAAAAAGCTATAAAAGCTATAATGAGATATCACCTGATATCCACTAGAATGTCTATCACATGACCCTGAAATTCCACAAATAGGTTTTGACCAAAGAGAAATGAAAATACACATACACAAAAGACTTGTACATGAAAGTTTATAGCAGATTGATTCACAACAGCAAAAACTGGAAACCACCCCACACTGTTTCTCTATTACAGCATAAAAAGTTATCCCAAAACTTAATGGCTTCAAACAACAAATATTTATTATCTCACAGTTTCTATGGGCCAGCAATTCAGAAGCAGCTAAATAGTAGCTGGTGATTCTAGCTTAGGATCTTTCTTTTAACTTTTTAAAAACTTTTTGTGAATACATAGTAGATGTATCTATTTTAGGATCTTTCTTGACATTGTAGTCAAGAAGTCAGCTGATTGTATTTCTAAGATTTGGATGAAGCTGAAGGATTCACTTACAAGATGTCCCAGTCACATGTTGCACGTTTTTAGTAGGGAGCCTTAGTTTCTCCCCATATGTGTGTTTCCATTCACTGCTAGGATGGCTTCCTCCAAAGTAAACAATCCACAAAGAAGAAGTCACAATGTTACTGTGACATAGTCTTTGATGTCACATCCCATCGTTTCTACCAGATTCTATTTGTTAAAACTGAGTCACTCAGTACAGCTCCCATGCAAAGGTAAGGGAAGTAGGCTCTACTTTGTGAAGGGGATATAAGAAAATTGGGGGCCATATTTTAAAACAACCACAAACCTGAATGTTCATCAACAAGTGAATGGATGAAAAAATTGTGATATATTTAGGCAAGAGAATACTACTCACTGATATTTTTAAAAAAGAATTGGACTATTGATACACAAAACAACAGGGATGATTCTCCAAACTGTGGTACAGAGCATAACACACCAAACACAAAGAGTATGTGCTGAATGAATCTTTTATGTGAAGTTCTGGAAAAAGCAAAACAAAATGATAGAAATCAGAGCAGTGGTTGCCTAGAGCATGGGGAGAATTATTGTAAATGGGCATGATGAAATTTCTGGAGTGATGGAAATGTTCTATATCTTCAGTAGGGTAATGGTTGTCTGGATGTATACATTTGTTCACATTCAGTGAATTGTCCATTAAAATATGTGCACTTCATTATGTAAATTATACCTTAATTTTAAAAAGAGAAAGGAAATAAACCAAAGTCAGGGGGGATTGAATGAGCACATTCGAGGCTTGAGAGGAAGGCTGGAAATATGGGACACTCAGAAGGTGTGGATCAGGAGAGAATAGTGCCCTTTTACTCCCCAGTGACACGGAGAAGCAGTGGTGACCTTTTTATATGCCAAAGGGAACTCAGTTGCTGGCACACTTCCTTTGAATCTTCACATTCCTTCTTAACCATTAGTAGCTGTGGCCAATTAGCTGTCTATAGGTTATGGGGCACCTAGTCTTGGCAGAATTAATGAGCTACTTCTCTCTATGGGATGGGAGTCTTGGGATTCCTCCCCCCATCATCTCACTATGCCTTTTTTTCTGCCTTTAATGTCACTAAAAGAGAGGTTAACTTACTGGATTGAGGAAAAGAAGTCGTTAGCAAGAGTTCCATAGTAAAGCGCTAACTCTAGCTCATGTGTCTGGCAGAGCAATGGTGGAATGTGGTTAGCGCATAGCTTCTTCAGCCAGCCCACCTGGGTTAAAATTTGGTCTTTGGCGCTTACTAGCTATACTTTCCAGAACAAGATATTCAACCTCTACATGTCTTCAATTATTGATCTGTAAGGGAAGGTAATAATAGTACCCACCTTTTGAAGTTATAAGGAGCCGTAAATATGAAGCGCTTTTTTGAGTGCCCATGGAAGTAAGCACTAGCAATCAATACTCTTAACTGAAATCCAAGTTCCAATAATCATCAAGAGTATAACATTCCTCTTTAGTTTGCTTTTAGTTCTCATTGTGAGATCACAAGTGGAGGCTCCAACCAGTCCAGAAGTTCCTTTCTATGGGGAAGCTGTGGCAGCAAGGCCGTGAAGAGAGTCTGACTTAATTGCAAGTAAGTCACAAGTTTATTCCCCTACAGCCCATCAATTTCCACATGTTCTTAAGACAGTTCTGAATCAAACAGGGTCTACAATCCTGGCACTGACACTCATTGGCAGGGTAACCCTGGGCAAGTTACTTAACCTCTTTGAGACTGTTTGTTCTTCTGCAGAGATATTAACTGTCTAGCAGGGTTCTTTTAAGAAGCAGATATTCCAGGAAATTATTTAGCACAGTGTTAGTATATAGGACATCAACAGATAGTAACTGTCAAAACTATAAGTGGTTATTATTATTGAACTGTAGGGCAGAATTTGTCTCATAACTTTGTAGCAGTTAGTACATGACTGGCTCTTTGAGGACCAAAAAAGAATAAATTAATGTGCTTCTGTGTGGAGTTAATGGGATGTAGGGAAAGTAGTGCTTGCCTATTATTGGTGTCAGAGAAAAGGACCAGAAGAAACAGGGTAAGGAAAAGGCATGTTATTAAAGATAGAAAATAGGAGAGTGCAGAGGGTCAAAGGAAGATATAAACTGAAGAGATTAAGAAAAAACATACAGTGAGACAAGTTGCCAAGAGAGTAAGAATGTAAGAAATGCTGCAGTTTATGGATGAATAAAACTCTGGACAATTGCTGAGACACAAAAGATATGAGGCTGCAAAGTTTAAAAAGGAACGATACATTTAAAATAATCAGAATAGTGTTTACTTCTTCAGTGGGAGAGAAGGAGATGTGATCAGGGAGGAGAACACAGAAGACTTCTAAGATACCAGTAATATTTGATCTGTTCTTAAATCAGGAGGAGATTCAGGTACACCATGTGTTTATTATTCCATAAAATCCATAGATGTGTTTTATATACTTTTTGTTTATATGATTTTTAAAAAATTAAGGGAACAAATCTTATCCTCAAGGAGAGACGTAATGATGGAGGAAGGAATATAGAAGGAGACAAAAAGGAGGGAGTCTTGATGAAAAGGGAGATGGGAGGCAGCTTTTAACACCAGACAGGGTCCTGTGATGCAGAGGTGATTGTGCCATCCCATAAAGTCCCAGGGCACTGTCTGCCAATGAGACCACCAACTTGCTTGCCCTAAATGGCCACATCCCCTAAACGGCCCTCCTGCCATTGTCTGTGCTCAGAAAACCCTCAGTTTCTGCCTCTTACCTGCCAGGGTGGTGCCGCATCCCACCCCCATCATTGAGCTTGCCTCATGTGTCTCAGCACAGTCTTTTACAGCAAAAATGCATGTCACCTCCTCCTAAAGGCTTTCCGTGGCCCACCCACCCAGATTCCTCCTTTATTGTGCAGACTCTTTCCTAACCCACACCTCATCTTAATTTATTTGCCTTCAATTCTGGGCGGCGGTGTTGGGGAGGGTCTCAATTTTCCCATGTATTTCCCAGTGTTTATTGAATACATGAGGCCATACTCTTCTAGTCTCTCTGCTTCTCATGCTAGGAACTGAACCGACCAGCCTATACTTTAAGGCTTGTTATTTCACTGACTAAGGAAAGGCTACTTAAGAGGGCAAGCTCAGACATACATAATCTGGAGTGGATCTTCCATGGGAAAACACGTATATAACAGAAATTATTGGCAAAACTATAAGTATGGTCTACAGAGTAAGTAATAATATTTTATTATTTATTTAGTTAGTTTTGAGACAGAGTTTCTCTCTCGTTGCCCAGGCTGGAGTGTAATGGCACGATCTCAGCTCACTGCAACTTCCACCTCCCAGGTTGAAACGATTCTCCTGCTTCAGCCTCCTGAGTAGCTGGGATTACAGACACCCACCACCACACCCCGCTAATTTTTTTTTTTTTTTTTTTTTTTTTTGTAGAGACGAGGTTTCACCATGTTGACCAGGCTGATCTCAAACATCTGACCTCAGGTGATCCGCCCGCCTCAGCCTCCCAAAGTGCTGGGATTATAGGCGTGAGCCACCACACCCGGCCAATAATACTTTATCAATGTTGGCTTTCCTGTATTTAGTAACTGAGCTGTTTTTACACTAAAAAAAAATTCTATCTTAGAAACATGAAGAAGTGAAGAGGCATTATATATACAACTCACTGTTCAGTAGCTCAGGGTAAATATAATTGCATATGCAAAGATAAAGATGTAATGATAAAAATGTCAAGTGTTAGCACTTTACTAATATAGATAAAGAACATTCAGAAATTCTTTAAATTACTCTTAAAATTTGGGGGTATGAATTTTTATAAAAATAATGTTTTAAATCTTAAATAGTGAATAGAATTAAGAAAGTAACAAATTCTAATTCCTTCCTTTTTTTCTTTAAATTCTTCTAGATCCTGAATAATTTCTACTTAAACGTCCCAATATCAACTCTCTATTTTGCTATTGACATAATCTTATTTGAGAGGCAAAAAATTTTAAAAATTATATCATCTTTTTAATTTCTAAGCCCCAGAACAAGACAATTGGCAGCATTTTTTTCATGTCATTTTGCTACATTCTACATAATGTTAAGTTGAGGTTAGGGATTTTCATTTGTGGAGGAAGCTCTTACATTTAGTTTAATGAATCATAATTTTTTTAATGGAGAAGGAACAAAATACCTCATTGATTTTTCTATGAGTGGAGTTAATACACACAGCGGAGAAATCTCTTTGTTAATTCTACACTCTGCCTCTGATTGACACCTCTGCAAACAAAGATAAAGTAGATAAAACATGAATAATTCCAGGAAACTTATGCCCCAGAATACAGAATAATTTTGCATACATATGAATAGTAGGGCAATTCTATCAAATGATTCTTTTCTAATTCTTTATGGATGTACATAATGAAATATTCAGAACTACCACAACATTTAGAATAAGATAGAGCCTAACAATTTATTGTTGAATTAATGAAGATCGGTTAATTAATCCATGTTTTACATCAGCTTTCTTTGCCCTCAACCAGGAAGTCAGAGGCACCAATGTGAGGTTCCACCTGCTTTCCAGCACATTCTTGGTTTCCTCACTTCTGCTAGACAACGTTTGATCAGAAGGAACAGGGAACGAGAAGGAGCTGCTGGATGACGATAAGCCTGGGAAAGGGAGGCTGGGTGAGCAGAGACAGAAAAGAAACACCTACCTGCTGTGACCTCACAAACACCCAGGCTGAGTTTTGATAAGACAGGTTGAATCACACTGGGGTGACAGCCTCATCCCTCCAGGTACAAACAAGAACAGGCCATGGTTAACCAAAGCTCCCCCATGGGCTTCCTCCTTCTGGGCTTCTCTGAACACCCAGCACTGGAAAGGACTCTCTTTGTGGTTGTCTTCACTTCCTACCTCTTGACCCTGGTGGGCAACACACTCATCATCCTGCTGTCTGTACTGTACCCCAGGCTCCACTCTCCAATGTACTTTTTCCTCTCTGACCTCTCCTTCTTGGACCTCTGCTTTACCACAAGTTGTGTCCCCCAGATGCTGGTCAACCTCTGGGGCCCAAAGAAGACCATCAGCTTCCTGGGATGCTCTGTCCAGCTCTTCATCTTCCTGTCCCTGGGGACCACTGAGTGCATCCTCCTGACAGTGATGGCCTTTGACCGATACGTGGCTGTCTGCCAGCCCCTCCACTATGCCACCATCATCCACCCCCGCCTGTGCTGGCAGCTGGCATCTGTGGCCTGGGTTATGAGTCTGGTTCAATCGATAGTCCAGACACCATCCACCCTCCACTTGCCCTTCTGTCCCCACCAGCAGATAGATGACTTTTTATGTGAGGTCCCATCTCTGATTCGACTCTCCTGTGGAGATACCTCCTACAATGAAATCCAGTTGGCTGTGTCCAGTGTCATCTTCGTGGTTGTGCCTCTCAGCCTCATCCTTGCCTCTTATGGAGCCACTGCCCAGGCAGTGCTGAGGATTAACTCTGCCACAGCATGGAGAAAGGCCTTTGGGACCTGCTCCTCCCATCTCACTGTGGTCACCCTCTTCTACAGCTCAGTCATTGCTGTCTACCTCCAGCCCAAAAATCCGTATGCCCAAGGGAGGGGCAAGTTCTTTGGTCTCTTCTATGCAGTGGGCACTCCTTCACTTAACCCTCTCGTATACACCCTGAGGAACAAGGAGATAAAGCGAGCACTCAGGAGGTTACTAGGGAAGGAAAGAGACTCCAGGGAAAGCTGGAGAGCTGCTTAATATACTTTCGAAAGTAAGAAGAGTTTCTTCAAGATTTATGAACATGTTAAGTTTTCCAGACTACTACCCTTCCCACATACACCTGAGCCACTGTGGTGGGTCACAGTGTGGCTATGTTATCTATGAGAGGGAGAATGAGAAAGAGAGGGACAGAGAGATAAAAGAAATTGGGTGAGAGGAGATAGGTAGCTCCATAAGGCACACAAATTCAAATATTATCATTCCTATCACTGTCCATTCTTAATATTTCTATCCTCCATTCTGTTCTTTTTACTGTCATCACTTCTATAGATTTCCTAACTCCACCATGCCTATTTCTGGTTATATAATTGCTCTCCAATTGTCATGTCAGTGTAGGGGAACTACTCCATCATAGCATTCTGGACACCTTGCATGTATCTACGTAGGTCATGTAAGCAAAGGCTTGAAGAACAGCTAATCTGAGATTTAGAAGAATGCTTTTTGATCCTCCTGGAATATGAGAGGATGGGAGGCCCTTTAGAACCTGCCTCAATGCCATCTCTCACTCTCCTTCTTATATCCCTGGGAGTATGTCATGTGACAAGTCTTTACTGTCTCCCAGGTTTTGGATGGAGCATGGGGTTTTCTGCCCCACACCCTTTAGGATATAGCTGAAGAATATAATGAGGAATAGCTGGATTCTAGAACTGACTCCTCACCAGTGGTATATTCCACAACAGTGTCACAGTCGTCTGGCCCCTTTGGTTTCCGTGTCATCCTTTTTGGTGTGTAGGACAAGGAGCCAGGGAATTGGCACGTTTGGCTTTTACTTCTTTTTTATATGTAAATAATAAGCCATCTAAGTGTAAAAGTGGCTCATATCTTCTCCAGCCAAATCAGCTAGGCCATGGCCTTGCCTTGCTTCTCATGAGTGTGCTTGACAGTCATCACCGTCACTCTATCTTCATTTCTGGTTCTTACCGTGTTAGCTTAGTTCATTCAAGCTACTATCACAAGCTACACATAAATTGGGTGGTTTATAAATAACAAACATTTCTTTCTTACAGTTCTGGAGGCTGGAAACTCCAAGATTAAGGCAGATTTCATGCCTATTGAGGGCCTGCTTTCTGATTATAGAAGGTGACTTCTTGCTGTGCCCACACATGGTGAAAGGGACTACCAACTCTCTGGAGTCTCTTTTATGAGGGCACTAATTCCAATTATGAAGCCTCTTCCCTCGTGACCTAATCACTGCCCAAAGGCCCCATGTTCTAATGCCATCATCTTGGTGGTTTAGGATTTCAACATATGAATTTTGGAAGGACATAAGCATTCAACCCCCTGCACATGTCTTCTTTCCTACTTCCTCAAGGTTCTTTCTGTCCAGTTGCTCCTTCTTCTATTGACCCTTTTTTGCCTTCTCTTTCTCCTTCACTGCCTCAAGTTACAGCCAGAGGAAAGGAGGAACTAAAACTTAGCAAATCTATAATCACATGCAAATACACAGAATGGATTGTTACAACCAAAATGCAGGCTCTATTGTTTTCAATTTAGCAGCCTTTCAAATGTATATGGTTCTGGCCACATTAAAGTTGCAAATAACACTTTTTTTGAGACTGAAATAAAGGTGAAATATTGGAAGGAAAAGTTTAATGTTTTATTTGTAGTATTTTTTTCCATTTTCCACTAAAGAGTCCAGAAAAAAAAAGCAAACTTAATATAACCTTTGAGTTATAACAGAATATTTCAACAAGAACTTTGTTGCTATCAAGTAACCATATAGTATAGGTTACACAGAACTCCTATCTTCTGGATTAAGACTCCGTCTTCAAAGTATTTGGGCACCCTGGTTACTGAACATGAGCCAGAAGAAAATGAACTGCTTTTCCTTAAGCATCTCTCTACCCCTGGGTCACCTCCAGTGGAGTGGTATGTCAAGAAATGTAATTTGTCCTTTCTGATGCCATAATCTACCATATTTTTTTAAATTAAGTCATGCCAGGAGGAGATTTCTCTGCTCCTCATCACATGTTTCCACCAGAAACATGGGCAGCTCCGCATCTTGGGCTTCACCACCTTTAAGGTGAGGTGGATGGTCTTCTTCTTGGAAATTTCATAAGACGATAGCATTTTCTTGGGCTTTGGGGTCTTAAAGCCCAGCAGAAAAACCAAGTCCTGCATGGGAACCTTGGTCTTAGACCAGAGCTGTTCACCTACCTTCTTCACTCCATTTTAGCAGCCAATGTCATTAATTCCCATTCCTCACAATTGACACTCATTTAGGCAATTCTATATAAAGTTAAAATATTCTTCAGAAACGAAGATGAAGTAAAGATATTCTCAGTGAAAGTAGGTATCACCAACTCATCTGATTTAAAAGAAATGCTTTTAAGCATGGATTGCACTGCTTCAGGCAGAGAGGAAATAAAACCAGAGGGAAAATCAGAATATCATGAATGAAAAAGGAACAACAGAAAGAGTAATTATCTGGGTAAATGCAATCGTATATTATTCTCTTTTTGAATTATTTAAAATATGTATCTCTGTTGGAACTAAAAAGTACAACACTGATGGGGATTCATACAAATGTAATACATATGACAATTACTGAATAAACTAATAATAATAAATGGATCTATTCATTCTAAGTAGACCATGAAAGGGTAAATATTTATATCATAATCCCTAAAGCAACAATTCCAATAAAACAAAAAACCATACTGTTGTTATAGGCGTTTGAACCAGAGTGACTCCATCTTGAGTAGTGGCTGGGTAAAGTAAGGCTGAAACCTGCTGGGCTGCATTCCCAAAAGGTTAGGCATTCTCAGTCAGAGGATGAGATAGGAGGTTGGCATAAGATATAGGTCACAAAGATCCTGCTGATAAAACAGGATGCTGTAAGGAAGCCGGCCAAAACCAAGATGGCAATGAAAGTGACCTCTGGTCCTCCTCACTGTTCATTATACTCTAATTATAATGCATTAGCATGCTGAATGACACTCCCATCAATGCCGTGACAGTTTACAAATGCCATGGTAATGTCCAGAAGTAACCCTATGTAATCTAAAGAGGGGACGAACTTTCAGTTCTGAGAATTGCCCACCGTCTTCCCAGAAAACTTATGAATAATCCACTCCGTGTTTAGTATATAATCAAGAAATAACTGTAAGTATACTCAGTTGAGCAGCCCATGCCACTGCTCTGTCTATGGAGTAGTCATACTTTATTCCTTTACTTTCCTAATAAACTTGCTTTCATTTTATGGACTCGCCCCAAATTCTTTCTTACATGAGATCCAAGAATCCTCTCTTGGGGTCTGGATTGGGGCCCCTTTCCAGTAACACAGTGACATCAACAAAAATAACAGAGTAATGACTTCCAAAAATGACCTACTTCCTAAGAGTAAAATGAACTATGGAAGAATTGTCAGAATTAATATTGTTTAGAACTCTAGAAATTAACCAAAGGCTTGCTGCAATCTGGGGAGTGTTTGTTCAAGAATAATAGCTGAATCTTGATAAGAACAGTGAGCTCTGTGATGTTTTAACTGGTTCCACTCCTGTTCCTTCCTCCTCAGCTCTTAAAAACCAACGGTCCACAATCATGGTGAAAACCAGCAGACATGAAATCACTGGAGGGGACACAATAGGGTTACAGATCCTTTAATCCCTTATTTCCAGAGGACTGTTATTATTTTACCTGTCTGGTTGTTCCCTAGAACTCACAATGCTATCCTTATTTGACTTGACTCAGAGCTATCCCAGAGAGAACAATGTATTTCCTGGGGAAATGAGTAAAAAGAATCATAGGCAGTTGTTGAACATCATGGTTGCCGATGGTCATAAATAACAGTTGGAACAAACAATAGCCTAACCAAGAACTTAAAAACGAAATGTCAGGGAATGAGATGCCCATAAAGGGGATTGAAAAGCCTTAATATACTCCAGAAAGTTCCGACGGCCACATGCATGCATAGATGTGGGCATGACAAGTGCTGCATATATGCTTTGAACAGACCTGAGCAGGCTCTAAGCTCTAACCCTGAATAAGTTTGAGGCACTGCACAGACAGGAAATGAAGGCTAGGACACAGTGTAAACTGCTTGGTTGGGCTTTGAAGACCTGTATCTACCTGCACACAGAGCCTCTCTACATACACTGGGAGACATTACTTCCAGGAACCTAAGGAAATCTTTGTCCAGTCTTTACCTGGCCACTAAGCTAACCAAGCAGAGACTTCAGTGGCCACGTTGAACAACAACAACAACAAAAACAAAACAAAACAAAAAAACAAAAAAGAACAGACTTGACAGATAGTTTTTAAAAACCTGATCAAAAAACATCCACTAGCAATAGTAAAATCTGGGAACAGAAAAAATATGACTTCCAGAGTTGCCACATTATACTGTTTAAAATGCTAAGTTAAAAAAGAAAGAACGAAATAATACAACATGCAAAGAAACAATAAAGTAAGGCCCATACACAGAAAAACAAGCAGTTAGTAGAAACTGTCTCTGGGACCAGGCTCTGAAGGAGGTGTCTGCCTCAGTGCATCCAAAACAGCCAGGTAACCTTTGCTTTGGGACTGAAGTAATGGCTCTGATTCTGAGATGAGAGCTCACACTAGCCCTTAATTTAATCTTTACTTGAGGTGAAATTCAATGGATTATTAGAATGGGCCCTAATCCAGTAGGACTAGTGTCCTTATAAGAAGACGAGATTAGGATACAAACACCACAAGGGACAACGATGTGAGGACACAGGGAGAAGATATCCATCTAGGAGCCAGGGAAAGAGTCCTCAGAAGAAACCTATCCTGCCCACTCCTTGATCTCAGACTTCCTGCCTCCTAGAACCGAGAGAGAATAAACTTCTGTAGTTTAAGCTACTCGGTTTGCGGTCTCAGTCACGGGAGTCCAAGCTGATGATCACAGTTGTGATGAGAACTTTACAAATTGAATCATGGGAAGTCTTGCAATAGTGAGATCTACGACCTGGTAGATCCTATAATCCTATAATCTGAGATGCTGATTCTACAACTCTGAGCTGCTAACGCTTTGCTTCTGGGTCACAGAAGCTTCTGGAAATAAACTTGTCCCACAAACTGATAAATGCCTGTGATTTTTCTAGAAATATGCCACAGGCAACCCTGGCATCTGCAGTCACATGTCAGTATATCAGTGGGGTTTCAGGAGAAGTTTAGGGATCAGCTCCAAGTGAACCTAGTGTTTCAATCTTCCCTCCTTGCTGGGATGATGGAGTCCCCTTCAGTCAAGGCTCTGTTGAAATGAAAGGGTCTGTTCCCAGTTCCACTCTTCCCACCCAGGGTTCTGGACTGTTAATGGTTGTCCTTTTTTTGTTTTCTTCCCGTTGATTCTTTTACCATCTTCCTCCTCTTACTGATTTTGCGTGAAGGGGGGTTTTGATGGAGGTAAGGTAGCTGATAAGAAATGAGGTAGTGAGAAAACTAGTGAGGGGTCTTCTGGCTGTCCCCAGACAGTCCTCGTGTGGTCCCCAGCCCAGCCTGCAGGTTCTGGGCTGGCTACCTCTTGGCCTCTGTGCTGTGTGTCTAGAGCTGGCCTCTAAGGGAAGGGCCCTGTGAGACCTGGCAGAACAGGGTAACTGGTCCAACAAACATCCCTCCTTTCCTCTGGCTCCACAGCTCAGGATTAGATCTAGATAGCATGTCCAGTAGGTGCCAGACTACCTCATTATATCCTGTGAGATGGGCCCAGAGGGCCTTGAGGTGGGTAAGCTTGAAGCTGGGCACCCAGAGCCTGAGACTGACAGTTCCTCCCTCCCTGTATCCTGCAGGAGGGGCCCTGTCCCAACAAGAGCCCCAGGGCCTGGCCTGAGGGTGTGGATGTGGGGAGAGGAGGGTCTGTGGGCCCAGGAGGGGGCATTTGTAGGGGACATTGAGTACTGCAGCTCAGAAGACATGAATGACAGGGTGGGAGGTGTCTTCCATGTCTGTCCATGGCACAGCACCCCTGTGATTCCCAAGGGCTGCCAGGGGCCCATTCATCTGAGCTCTTTATAGATCCTACATATGAGTCCTTCATCAGATGTGAGATTGAAACCACTTCCTCCAGCCTGGAACTTGCCTTTTCATTCTCCCCACAGGGTCTTTCAAAGTGCACACATCTTATATTTTGATGAAATCCAATTGATCAATTTTTTCTTTTATGCATCATACTTTTTGTATTCATCCAAGAAATATTTTCCTAACCATAAGTTACACTGATATTCTCTTTTCTTTTCTTACATACAGCTTACAGCTTTAGGTCTTACATTATGGTTTATGATAAATTCTGAATTAATTTTTATGTATGATGCCACGTATGGATTGAAGTTCTGTTCATATGTGCATATGTATATCCAATAATTCTAAGGACCGTTTGTTGCTAAGATTGTCCTTTCTCCACTGAATTTACTTTACACCTTCTTCAAAATCAATTGAAGATATATGTTAGGGTCTATTCTGGACCCTCTTCTGTTCTGTTGACCTATTTGTCCATCCTGTTACCAATATCACACCATCTGGATTTCTGAACCTTTATAATAAGCCTTGAAGTTGGGTATTATAAACTGTCTCACTTGCTTCTTCTTTTTTCAAAGTTTTTTTTTTTTTTTTTAACTATTCTAGGTCTACTGCATCGCCACACACAGAATCACTTTCTCATGAACATACATACATGTGCACCAGAAATATAAATATATGCACATCAAGACCAAGTGAAATTTATCCCAGGGATACTAGGCAGGTTTAACATGAAAAATGAGCCAATATAATTCACCACATTAACAGATTAAAAGGCAAAAACATTATTTCAGCAGATTCAGAAAAAGCATTAGACAAAATCCAATAGGCTCATAAAAAATTTCAGTCAACTAGGAATAGAAACGAAGTTTCTCAAAATGATAAAAGGCAGCTACCAAAAAAAAAATCCTATGGTTGATATTTAGTGGGTATTACCCTTAATAATGAAAGACTGGATGCTTTCACCCCAGATGAGGAACAAGCCAAGAATGTTGGCTCTCACCACTTATTTCAGCGTCTTAAGAAGATACCATCAGGGCAAAGGACTCCTTCCTTAAATAGACACAGATTTCCATGTGGAGTCATTATTCTCTTGCTGGATGTATGTCTTTTACCACTTCTCAGTCTGCATATCTCCTGGTGATGATTTGTTTCATCTTTTTTGTGTCTCCAAAAACCTCTTTATTTTGCCATCTCTTTGGGAAATATTTTGACTGTGTAAAAAATTTTAGGCTGACAAATTTATTTCTTTTAATATTTTAAAGAATTTTCTCCACTGTCATACAACTTGCAACTTTCCAACAAGAAATCTGCTTCATTCTTATCTTTGATTTTCTGTACATATATGTCTTGTTCTTCTCTGGCTGTTTGTAGGAGGACTCAGTTTCCTGGGCATAGATATGCACGGGAAAGATGCAGTAACTACATCAAGTGTGGTGTTGTCCAAGGGTGGATAAATAGGCCAACAGAACAGAGCAGAAGGCCCAGAGACAGACCCACATAAGTCTAAACATGATTGATAACCAAAAATCAGAACAATAGTGAAGGACTATATTTGTTATAAATGTGCTGGGACCATTGGATAACAATCAGCTAAGTGGGCCAAGCAGCCTTTTGGCTTAGGCTGAAGCAGGATAATAATGTTACCTATTAATAGAGTGTGAAAACTGGCTTCATGTTTTCACAGTGATTAGAGCAATATTGAGATACAGTAAATCATCAGTGAACATATTTGCTCTAGTTGCTATTGCTACTATTCATCTTCCTGTCCCGTGCAGCGTCTTATGGTTACCATGATTCAAGTGCCTCCTGGTGAGGCCGAAACTCCACAAGACACTCTGGTCAGTCCTGGGGTACAGTTTCTTCCAGGTGGCAGAGGCTCAGTCCTGGTCACCCGCTGATCCCTTCTCAGGATGTGCCACACAGTTCTGCCCTACTGCGGGGTGAATGCTGGGATGCCTCTCTCTTTAAAAATTCCAAACAAGGGAACTGGTGTGAGAGGGTGGGTGCCTCCACTCCCTCAGCCCTTATTTCCAGGTGGGGATCACCCCAGAGGAGTAATTCTTGAGATGTGGTCCCCAACACCTTTTTAGGGGAAGGGAGGCCAACATAATCTTCAGGTAATACTTGAAGTATTGAAGTGAGTCTGTGTTTCTCACACTCATGCACTCCTGAGTGAAAGTGGAGTTTTCCAGAGACTGTATGAGGTGAGATGAAGCCGCCAACTGGAAAACTACACCAATGCAGAAGCAGCTGTGAATGTCCAGCTTGCTGCTGGGCCTCTAAGAGGTCTGCAAAATACAAAACCATCTTGCTCTTCTCAATAACATAACTTTTTAAAGAAAACATAGTTATTTTTTCTAAAATTTATTCATGTTTACATGGAATAGGCATACAATTTATGTTCTAAAGGAGTTAATAAGTAAACATTTGTAAAGTTCTGAGTTATAATTACTAATACTGTAAATATTGAAAGATACAACCCTGATCCACAAAAGTTCTTTGAGCTGCTCAATACTATTTAAGACTGAGAATCTCAGGTCTATTTTAAGCTCTGGGCTCTCTCTCTTTCCCCGCACTTTTTCCCTCCCGGGGAGAAGGAAAGAAACTGATGAGTGAGTTTGGAAGAATAACCTGGAGTGAGTGCTCCCTTCACCAGTGGGTGGTGAGTTCCCCAGAAGGACTGCTTTCCTCCAAAGAGAGATGGGCAGGAAGAGGGAGGAGGGATGGGATCCTCTGGAGTAGGTACCATTTAAGGGGCACTTTTGAAAGTCAGTTTTTTAGACATCCAAGCCCCTTTCTCCAGTTCAATTTTAGGAGCAATAGAAGTAATGCATTGTTCTCCATCTGACACTGTCCTCATTCCTTCATTCACTTTCATCAGTAGTTCTCAATTCCAGAGGGAAGGAAGGGGATTACTTACTAAACTGTAATAGTCCATACCTAGCCTTGACATTTTTGTTTTTCTGAGTGAGTGAGAGAATTCAGGAAACTGAGGACTGTCTGTGTTGCCAGGAGCTCATCAGCTGCAAGGATAATAGAGACGTTTCCACAAAAAACTAAAGAACCATAAGCCAGATGCTCACCTCCAAGGGAACTGTTGGCCCAGGGTAAAGGCACATAAAATGCCCAAATTGTATCCCCTGCCTGAACATAGCAGCAGCCCAACTCTGTGAGATCAACCTGCCTCTTACTTCCAGGCATCCAAACTTCACGGGCTAAAGTCCTAACCCTGAATGTGACAATATTTTGAGATAGGGCCTTTAAAGAGATAATTAAGGTTAAGGAGCTCATAAGACTGAGGTCCTAATCCTAAAGAATTAAAATCCTCATAAGAATAGAAAGTGTCCCCAGGGATGTGGGTACACAGAAAAAGGCCATGTCATGACACAGGGAGAAGGCGGCCATCTCAAGTCAAAGAGGGAGGCCTCAGGGGAAGCCCACCCTGCTGATACATTGATCTTGAACTTCCAAGCTCCAGGACTCTGAGAAAATAAATATCTGCTGTTTGTAGCCTAATCTATGGCATTTTGTTAGAACAAAACACGCTGACTAAAGACAGGCAGCCCGGATCAGCCCTTCTGTGCTCTAGGGCCAGGGTTTCTGCCATTCACTTATCAAAGGACAACATCAAATTATGTAAATCAAACTCTGTTTCAAATTCTAGTGTGATGTGAAACAAACTAATAGGAGATATGAACATGTCCCTATCAATTTTGTCATTTACACTAGGCAGAAATCAATATGATCCAAGTAACAGCATTTAAAGAATTGCTGTAATCTAAACATCTCAGAATTGCTTTAGAATGTATCACATTGAATATCTAAAATAAGAGAATGTACATTGCTTACCAGTATCACTGGCACATTTACAAACCTGAGCAAGTTTTCGGCAACAGAGAAAACAGTGTGAATTTCACATAACAGTCATAGTATTATACAAGTGACATTTTCCAAGTGAGTAAAAAACTGACAAATCAATTACAAGAACACTGGGAACAATCTCCAAAGACGTGTTCGTCGAATTCTAGTTAGAATATGGTTGGGAAGCCTCAAGAAGGCAGAGACAATGAAAACATGTGGAAACATGCAAGGTGGAAAGGTGGACTAGTGAGCGATGGATAACATCAGATGATGGGGGGTTAATGTCAGACTTGCAGGGCATTTTGCTACTTGCTGGGAATTTGCTAGGGTAGGAGGAAGGTGTGGCCTCTGCCCTACTGGGGCTTCAAGTGCAAATGAGGCAGGAGTACAATAAACTGATAACAACACACAACACAGAATACATAGAAAATAATTATAGACAATTATCTTCACATTAAAAGAAACAAACCTTTTAGAGAAGAGTCAAAAAGGGGTGGAGATTTAAATGGGGTGGTCTGGACAAACATCTTTAAGGAGTGAAGGGTGAAAAAGAGTAAAATGTACAGATAGTGTTGAGGGAGTGCTCTAAGCAGGGAAGGGAGAAAGGGACCTTGCAAGGTTGGGCGCGAGTCTGGTGCAAACAAGGGAGAGAGTGAATCCTGTGTGAGGATGTCATGGGACAAGGTCAAATGGTGCACCTGAGGACAACTCAGGGGGTGGACACCATCCTGAAATCTAAGAGTTACGCTGGCTGGGGTGCAATTGAACAAATGAAGCAGGGTGATGTGCTGCTGTGATGGCTATAGAGCATTGACGGGATGGAGCTGGGGCTGGTCAGGGGCTCTCATTAAGGTTCTGACCATGGTGGGTGCCGGGCAACACCCTGGTCAGGGTGGGGAAGAATGCATGACATTCTGCAGGGTGGGATTCCTGTGAAGAAGCACAGGCGCTAGATTGTGTGATGAGTCTGGGAAAAACACAGAGAGTAGCCTGTGCGTGGAACCTGGAATGAGCAGAGTGAAACAGCTTGGAGAAACCAGGCTGTAGGCCAGACTGCCAGCGTTAGATCTCTCCACAGTGAGCAACGCCAGAAACAACTTGTTATGGCACTCTTACTGAATCGCTTTCCTGGCTTTTGTAGGAAGGGATGGATGGAAACTTGAGGCCATAATGGTGGAGGAACATCAGGATCATGAATCAGTCTCTGCCCAGGGGTCCCCAGGAAGGATGGACTGGGGTGACAGAGGACAGAACTCCGAGCAAGGTGACTGAATAAGGATGAATGACACTTGTCACTCTCAGAAATATGGAGCTTGCAGAAGCCAGGAAGGTTGAACTAGTTTACAGTCCCACCAACAGTGTAAAGATGTTCCTATTTCTCCACATCCTCTCCAGCACCTGTTGTTTCCTGACTTTTTAATGATCACCATTCTAACTGGTGTGAGATGGTATCTCATCGTGGTTTTGATTTGCATTTCTCTGATGGCCAGTGACTATAAACTAGTTCAACCATTGTAGAAGTCAGTGTGGCGATTCCTCAGGGATCTAGAACTAGAAATACCATTTGACCCAGCCATCCCATTACTGGGTATATACCGAAAGGATTGTAAATCATGCTGCTATAAAGACACATGCACACGTATGTTTATTATGACACTATTCACAATAGCAAAGACTTGAAACCAACCCAAATGTCCAACAATGATAGACTGGATTAAGAAAATGTGGCACATATACGCCATGGAATACTATGCAGCCATAAAAAATGATGAGTTCATGTCCTTTGTAGGGACATGGATGAAGCTGGAAACCATCATTCTCAGCAAACTAGTGCAAGGACAAAAAAACCAAACACCGCATGTTCTCACTCATAGGTGGGAATTGAACAATGAGAACACATGGACACAGGAAGGGGAACATCACACTCTGGGGCCTGTTGTGGGGTGGGGTGAAGGGGGAGGGATAGCACTAGGAGATATACCTAATGTTAAATGATGAGTTAATGGGTGCAGCACACCAACATGGCACATGTATACATATGTAACAAACATGCACGTTGTGCACATGTACCCTAAAACTTAAAGTATAATAAAAAAAGAAAAATAAAATAAAATAAAATAAAATAATTAGCTGGAAAAAAAAAAAAAAAGAAGAAGCCAGGAAGGTCTGCTTTGCTCCTGACCTGCCTTTCCAGAGGGTTTCCATGGGAATTGAGAATAATGGGCTATCAACAGAAGCAAAGTAATTTTGTCTTGAATTCAGTCAGAAATCTGGTTACTCTGAAAATACACAAAGGTAATAAATAATCTCAAGAACATTCACCCTGCTCCTTGGAGGATTCAGCATGTTTTCCAGACATGATCCCTTTTACAGCCTTGTGCATAGGCAGTCCCTGCCTTTGTGGAGGAGCTGAGCCCCCTAGAAGAGCAGTTTGTTTCCAGCTGTGAGGCTGAAATCTGCCCTGGGATCGGGGGCCTGAAACGCCTCATTTTATCCATGCCTCCATCTCACTCAACAAAGCCCTCTGAAAAACAGCCTTTAGGGACTCCCTGTGCCTCTTCCTGTAGAGTTACTCAGCCAAGAAGTAGATGACTAGGTGAGGCATGCTGACCACAATGGACAGTAGCAACAGGAGGTCAAAGGCAAGGGTCAGAAACTTTCCTGGCAGGCACACAAGGACAACTAAGGGCAGGACCCAAAGGAAGAAGCTGATGATCACAAAGCAGACAACATGATAGGTCCTGATGGGGGAACACCACTGGGGACAGCACAGACCCCAGATGATCAGGATCAGCTTGGACATGCCCATTACAAAGCAAATAAGTACATGACATGTCATAAAGCCTCATGAAATTGGTCACATGCCAAGCACTTCTCCCAGTACTCACAGACCTGGCTAACTGCATACAAAGAAAGGGCCAGGGCCCACCTCACCATGGCAGAGGTGTGCTCTGGGCGGTGGCAGCACCAGGTGGGACAGAGGGCACAGAGAAAGCTCTCAATACTCATGGCCACCAGGAGACAGAGACCCACTGTGTCGGAGAAATAGGAGACAGGATCCAGAAACACAGCCACCTGCAATGCCGCCTGGTGATACAGCATGAGGATTTTCTCCAGCAGGATCACAGTTACACAGGAGAGGTTGACCATATCAACAGTGGCCAGGTTAAGGATGTAGGTCACATAGGGGCTGCTCCAGACCTGTGAGTAGAGAAGCCAGCAGATCACATCATTGCCTACCAGTCCACAGAGGGCCACCAGCACTGTCAGGGAGAAGACCACCTGCCTGTCCACCAACCACTCACCTCCCGTATGGCTCATGTTCACATGTCCTGAGGTCTCAGTCTCATTGTCCCAATCCAGCTTTCCAGAGAGGGTTGCGAGAAGCTAGGCTATGGTGGGCTACCTTTGCTGCCTGCGCACATCCTGCAAAAACAAAGGCTGGTAACATACCAGGTCTGGAGAGGAGAGTCAGGGTTGCCCTCTGTCCTCAGAGGTTCCTGCTGAGCCTCATGAGATTGGCAGGGATTCTGCAGAGCAGAGTGGAGGAAAGGAGCAAGCTTCTTGTGGGAGACCCATCCCTTCCCTCCCAGATTCTCCATTGCAGGATGCCCTCTCATGCATACCCTTACCCCTCTCTCCACCGCATTCAGTTATCCCTGATGCTTCATGCTGTGCCCAAGGCCCAGTGTGTATCCCGTGCACCCAGATTATCTATAAGGCTGCATAAAAAAATACATTTGTTTACATTAGCCCATAAGGATGGTTCTCCAACTTTCCCACTGGTACAGGCTGTTTTTGTGACATCGTTTTGGTGGGGGCACTGAGTGACTACTTTACCTTGAGGTTCTGAGACTCCTTGAGTCCTGGATGGGGAGGTTGCTGGTCAGTACTCAAGGGAAGGGCTCCCAACCTTGCTCCTGCTCACCTCTTCTCTGTTAGCTCTCAGGCCTCCTCCCTGGACCTTTGCACATGCTGTTCTCCTGCTTGGAAGAGCCTCTGTGCCTCAGTGAGCTCGGTCTCCTCCTTCCAGTCTCTGCCTCAGGGTCACCTTCCAGGTGATCTTCTGCTGATCAGCCTTTAAACATTGCACTCTTGACCTGCTGGCAGTCTATGATATTCACTTACTTGCTTTTGTGGGAATCATGCCCTGGAATGGAAGTTCCATGAGAATTTACTTTGTCTTTAAAATTCTGTTCACTGCCTTTTCTCCAGCCCCTGGAACAGGGTTTGACACTGAGGAGCTACTTGGGGAGGGTGCCTGCAGAGGACTTAAGTTGCTCTGTTACATGTAGGTGAGAGCAGGGGACCCTGCACACCAGAAGCTGCTTCATGGGGTCCCGAGGGAGACATGCACTTGAGCCATGGGCTCTGTCCACTTCAGGAGCAGGCACTCCGCTTCAGGCTGCCAATCACAGGTCTTTGTGTGAAGAATTGTGCAGGGAGGGCAAAGGTACCACTTTGCCTTAGAATTTCCTAGTTTGTATTCCTGAAAATTCCTTGTCCTGAATATCCCGATAGCCCTGGGAAAACCAAGCTGGTTGGTCACCTAACTAAAAATGAAACGGGAGAGGATCAATACCTCTTCTGGGAACCCACAGCTGAGTCAAACCTAGTAACCTGGGAGTTCAGGCCAAGGGTATGAAAGCTGATCTTATGTGGGCAAATCACAGCTATCTTTGATAAGCAGTGGATCCTTTTCTGCCTCAGTATTCCCAGCTATCTAAGGGTTGCTGTTATTAGCTGAATTGTGACCTTCTAAATTCATATGTTAAGGTCCTAACCCCTAATACTTCAGAATGTGACTGTGTCTGCAGACAGAATCTTTGAAGAGGTAATTATGTTAAAATGGGTCTTTAGGTTGGGCCCTAATCCAATAGGACTGGTGTCCTCATGAGATGAGGAGATTAGGATTAGTTAAACACACAGGGACAACCATGTAAGCATGCAGGGAAAAGACAGCCATCTACAAGCCAAGGAGAGAGGTCTCAGAAAGAACCGACAGTGCCGACCCCTTAATCTCAGAATTCCAACCCCCAGGACTGTGACAGAATAGACTTCTATCATTTAAGTCACTCAGTCTGTGGTCTTAGTCATGGGAGTCCAAGCTGATGATCACAGTAGTGAAGAGAACTTTATACATGGAATCATGGGAAGTCTCAGAATGGTGAGACGAACCTGGTCCTACAACCCTGAGCTACTGAAGCTTTGTTTATGGATCACAGAGGCTTCTAAAACAAAGATTGTTCCACAAATTGATGAAAGCCTAAGATATGCCAGGAAATATCTCACACGTGACCCTGTGATCTGCAGTCACATATTGGTGCATCAGTGGGGTTTCAGGAGAGTGCTAGGGACCAGCTCCAAGTGAGCCCAGTGTTTGAATCTTCCCTCCTTGCCAGGATGATGGAGTTCCCCTTCAGTCAGCAGCTCTGTTGAAATGGAAGGGTCTGGCCCCAGTCTCGCCCCTCCCTGTGCCTGTTGCCTAGACTTTCTTATCTGAGGCCAGGAGAGGAAAGCAGATCCAGCTTATATCTAATCTGGTCATAAGACGAGGCTTGGGGCTTAGTAACATTGGTGTCCATGGAAACATCAGGCTGATGTGCGGTTCTGTGCCCAGGCCAGGGTGTCAGAACTCGTGATGGTGACAGAAGAGAAACTGCAAACAGGACTCCATGGCCCACCCCAGGCCACCAGGGCACCAAGCAGGAGCAGCTGGGCTTTGGTCTCCAACAAGGAGAGGAGATTTATAGATAAAATAGTTTCATGGGAAGAAGTGACTTCCCCTCCAGCCAGAAGAAAAGATCCGCTATGGAGGTGGCATGTGGCCTCAGGGGCAGAGTCATGCTTCCCATTCCTGAGCTCATTGAAACCCAGCTCATGCCCAGAGACGACCACTGAGCCCAGTGACTGAGCAGTACATTCTTCATTGTCACCTAGGAGGAGGAGGCAGCCCTCCTGGGGTGGAGAGGCCTCGGCATCTGGTGTGGCCCCAGCACTGGGCATAGAGACATCCTGGTACTTGGAAATGTCATTTGTGGTCTTGGGAATGTCATTTCCAAGTTGGGTCATGAGCCAGGCTCCCCAAGGAGTAGATACAACAGGCTGGATCCTGGGATTCAGGGAGCCAGCGCTGTTGGAAGTGCTCAGTTTGGTGCAGCCAAAATAGCCAAGTAGCCTTTGCATTGGGATTGAAGTATTTGCTCTGATTCTGAGGCGAGAGCCCACCCTCCCCACTTAATTTTTATCTGAGGTGAAATTCACATAACATAAATTAACCAATTTAGAGTGCACAGTTCTGCCTCACTTTGCCTCTTCACAATATTGCGCAACCCCCAACTCTATCTAGTTCCAAAACATTTTCATGCCCCATAAGGATGCCCTTAGCAGTTACATCCCTTTCTCCCTCCCAGCTCTTGGCAACCACCATCTGCTTTCTGTCTCTGCGCATTCACCCATTCTGGACACGTCCTATTAGTGGAATCAAACCTTCCGTGACATTTTGTTTCTGTTTCTTTCACTCAGCCTCATGTTTTCATGGCTTGTTCATGGTGCAGCATGTGCCAGAACTTCATTTTCTGTGTTAGATGAGAATTAAATACGAATATAGAAGCTGGGAAATTGGAAAATCTGAAAGGTTACACCCAGAAGTCATAGACCACACCTCAGTAACACAGTGGCTCAAATCCTACTTCTAACAGAAAAACACACCCTCTGCCCATCTACACAGCCAGGGCACCTGTGAACCAGGGACCAGAACACAGAAGTAGCTCACCCACTGGGGCTACCTTGGGAACCGCAGGCCCTCCTTTTTCCAGGAAACTGGTTTCTATCCTGTCAATCTTCAAATGCACCTTCCTCAGTAAAAAAAAAATCACAAGGTTTTAAATTTTTTTAAAAAATGAGTCTTTGAGTTAAAATGCTTTGAAAATGAAAAAAAAGGTAGAGACCTTTTTTCTCATACCTGGGAGGACTTGGACGGACTTGGTATCACAGAGGCCAACCTCCTGAGAGATCAAAGTTCTGCCCTCATGTCAGGAAGCTCTCTAAGCATATCTGCTTTGAACTGGGTCTTGACAAGCAGTTATCAAGTTCCCTGTGTCCCTTAGGTCTTCCTGTACCAGGGCCACTTGCATATCAGAGCCCAGGCCTTTAACTGAAGCATCTTTATCTCAACATCTCACGATATCCCCCAATCCTGTCTGACTCTATTACTCTGTCCTTAAGAACTGTCCCCTGAAACAAAGAAGAATCTTTAAGAGAAGTCAGTCTCTCCACTTTAATGCATCTCCCAGACTGAGGTCCAGCCCAGCCCAACCCATCCTAGAAGGCAGAAGAGGAAAGTCAGGTCAGCATTTTCCCAATGAACTCAGGAATTCCAGTAGCTCAAACGTGCTCCTTGGATTTTGTCATGAATTGAATTGCATGTTTTGTAAAGTAAAATTAATGTAAGAACTTTACTTTGCTGTCTTCTCAAAGATCAATTTGCTCTTTCTTGATTTTCTCTAGTGCATGTTTGTTTTTGTTGGAAAATTAGTCATGAATGATCCATAAACATAATGTAAAGAAGTCTTGGGAATGTTTTTGTGCTGTGCCACTTACCAAGCAGGTTCTGACACAACATATTGGCAAATTCTTACTGAAAGCCAGATCAAGCTCACACTCCATGTATCCTCATGCTATTCCCCTCCGTTCACCTACAGCTGTTTGTGAAGGAGCCAGCTGATCATTTCATATAGACTTTTGTTCACATGTGGCTCAACTTGAGAAAAATGAGATGGATGCAAGGCTCCTTTCGTTGGTTTCTCTAGCAATTCATGCATTTCTAGCTTGAAGTTGCTTCTTATCCCTGCAGGAAATAATCTTTTATTATATTCCCTCTTAAAACCTTGTGGTTAAATGTGATTCACATAGTGGGGCAGATGGTTTCTGTATGGTTCTACAGTGACCAGGAAGGAGAGATATATAAGAATGAAATACACTATGATCAAAGGGTGACAAGATGTTAAAATACACCCCTCCTTGTCCTTCGGTGCTGACTGGCTGTTTACCTCACTGCAGAGATAGAATCTGAGAAGACCTCAAGGTCACATAGGGAATGTGACTTTATGGGACAGTACTGATCCTCCCTACAAGGGAGCCATTAAGGGTCTAGAGCAGCTGTTACCTTTGGTCCTATCTCCTCTATATTTCATGTAGTTTTTATATTCAAGAGATTGTGGATCTTGAATTTTTTTATTATATGTACCCAAATTATTTTTTCATTATTATTATTTTTTAAATTATACTTTAAGTTCTGGGATACATGTGCAGAACTTGCAGGTTTGTTACATAGGTATACATGTACCATGGTGGTTTGCTGCACCCATCAACCCATCGTCTACATTAGGTATTTCTCCTAATGCTATCCCTCCCCTAGACCCCCACCCCCAACAGGCCCCAGTGTGTGATATTCCCTGCCCTGTGTCCATGTGTTCTCATTTTTCAATTCCCACCTATGAGTGAGAACATGCCGTGTTTGGTTTTCTGTCCTTGCGATAGTTTGCTGAGAATGATGGTTTCCAGCTTCATCCATGTCCCTGCAAAGGACATGAACTCGTCCTTTTTATGGCTGCATAGTATTTCATGGTGTATATGTGCCACATTTTCTTAATCCAGTCTATCATTGATGGACATTTGGGTTGGTTCCAAGTCTTTGCTATTGTGAATAGTGCCGCAATAAACATACGTGTGCATGTGTCTTCATAGTAGCATGATTTATAATCCTTCGGGTATATACCCAGTAATGGGATCACTGGGTCAAATGGTATTTCTAGTTCTAGATCCTTAAGGAATCACCACAGTCTTCCACAATGGTTGAACTAATTTACACTCCCACCAACAGTGTAAAAGCCTTCCTGTTTCTCCACATCCTCTTCAGCATCTGTTGTTTCCTGACTTTTTAATGACTACCATTTTAACTGGCATGAGATGGTATCTCATTGTGGTTTTGATTTGCATTTCTCTAATGACCAGTGATGATAAGCCCTTTTCATATGTTTGTTTGCCACATAAATGTCTTCTTTTAAGAAGTGTCTGTTCATATCCTTCACCCACTTTTTGATGGGGTTGTTTGTTTTTTTCTTGTAAATTTGTTTAAGTTCTTTGTAGATTCTGGATATTAGCCCATTGTTAGATGGATAAATTGCAAAAATTTTCTCCCATTCTGTAGGTTGCCTGTTCACTCTGATGATAGTTTCTTTTGCTGTGCAGAAGCTCTTTAGTTTAATTTAATTAATTTGTCAATTTTGTCAAATTTTGTCAATTTTAATTAGTGTAATTTGTCAACTGAACTAAAATTTGTCAATTTTAATTAGTTTAATTTGTCAATTTTGGCTTTTGTTTCCATTGCTTTTTGTGTTTTAGTGATGAAATCTTTGCCCATGCCTATGTTCTGAATGATATTGCCTAGTTCTAGGGTTTTTATGGTTTTAGGTCTTATGTTTAAATCTTTAATCCATCTTGAGTTAATTTTTGTATAAGCTGTATAAAAGGGGTCCAGTTTCTGTTTTCTGCATATGGCTAACCATTTTCGCCAACACTATTTATTAAATAGGGAATCCTTTCCCCATTGCTTTTTTCTGTCAGGTTTTTCAAAGATCAGATGCTTGTAGATGTGTGGTGCTATTTCTGAGGTCTCTGTTCTGTTTCATTGGTCTATATATCTGTTTTGGTACCAGTACCATGCTGTTTTGGTTACTGTAGCCTTGTAGTATATTTTGAAGTCAGGTATCGTGATGCCTCCAGCTTTGTTCCTTTTGCTTAGAATTGTCTTGGCTACACAGGCTCTTTCTTGGCTCCATATGAAATTTAAAGTAGTTTTTGCTAATTCTGTGAAGAGAGTCAATGGTAGCTTGATGGGGATAGCATTAAATCTATCAATTACTTTGGGCAGTATGGCTTTTTTCACGATATTGATTCTTCCTATCCACAAGCATGGAATGTTTTCCCATTTGTTTGTGTCCTCTTTTGTTTCCTTGAGAAGCAGTTTGTTGTTCTCCTTGAAGAGGTCCTTCACATCCCTTGTATGTTTTTTTTTAAGAAACAGAATCTCACTTTGTTGCCCAGACTGGCATGGAGTGAAATGATCTCGACTCACTGTCTCAAATTCTTGGTTTCAAGAGCATCCTCTGTTCCCACTCTCTCATGATACCTAATACTGGTGATTATCAGGCTCAAGTCCTGCCTATAGTCATGTATCTGAAACACAATTGGGATTCTATCCAGGGACTCTTGTCCACAGGACACCCCTAATAAGATTGGCCTCCCCCATATAGTGTATCTCTTATGCTTTTCTACCTTTGAGAACCAGCACTATTTGCTTCTATCACAGTAAAAGCCACACTCAGATAATTTTATAAACATAAATCTAGGCCCTGGTTTAACAACAATGGGCATCAATGTATGAGGCAAGCTTATCTAGTACTAGGATTCCAGTTTGCTGTGTAGCATTCCCATAGAAGGCTGTCTTTGCCTTTTCATTCAAGGATAAGAAAATATTTCCAGTTAGAAATGTTTTTGGCTGCCAAATAGAGAAGCTCAATTAAACTAATTTTAGCAGTCAGTGATGTATAATATTGAAGCACAAGACACCTGTAGATAGGGCTGCTGCAAGATGTTCAAGTCAGTGGCACAATGTCTTGAAAAAATTAGAATTATCCACTTTTACTTCTGGCATCTTCAGAATATTGTCCTCATTCCTCACTGGGCATGTTTTCCGAATGCTTAGGATATGACTTCATACTCAGAATATGATATAAAAAATGCGAGAAAAAAGAACTTCCTTTCCTTCCATCTCTTTTTATATCTGTGAAAACTCTTCTTAGAGTCATACCACATAGAATGTCCTGCGATATCTCATTGGAATGCCCTCACCATAACCAACACTTAGGCCTTTTTCACCTACCCCCAAATTATATACACCTCCCTCCCTTGTCCAAGTTAAAATTAAAATATTTGCATCTATTTGAAATGCATTCATTATTTTGTCAAGAACTGTATGTACCTAGTATCATCTTGTTACTGCCTCTAGCTCCATTCTGGCACCCACGTGACAGGCATTTAATTCCATTCATTCAGTGAGTGTCCTTTCCAGCTAGACATTCTTGGGTAAAAGAACAGACAGAATCACACTTGTTGTCAGGAAAGTAAGTTCCATCACTCTCAAGCTCACAGTTCTCTGTTCTTCTCATTGGAAGGATTCACCTAATCTATTTAGTGAATTGTCCATAGACACTGGAACTTCCCTCTGGGAGATTTTCCTTATTTGGTTTATTCCGTGGCCACACCTGGGTGTTTGAGGTGAAACACCTTTCTAATGTTTGTTCATATTTCACAATCCCATTTCTTTTGGCAAAAGGTCAGGGTTCAGGTTTGGACCTTTGGGTCTGAACATATGATGTTATTGGCCATGTTATTTTCACTTATTAGTTTGATTTTATTTGTTTTATTTTTTCCTTTTATTTTAAGAGGTGGGGAGTAGTAATTTCATTAAAAACTTTTGTCTTACAAATTCCCTGGAAACAATCTCATGAAAATATTTATCAATGTAATTTGTGTGTGTGTGTGTGCGTGTGAGAAGATTCCTGTTCCTAGCTATGGGCACCAGTTCCTGCTAAGTCCTACTTCATGGCTTTGCCTTGGAGAAGTACATAACAGCTACAGGTGTGAAAGTGCCCAGTCACCCAATCCCTCCCAGATGCATCTCTGCAGTAGGGACAGTGGGATTTTCTGCCGTGGGAGCAGGTAAAACCAGTATTGTTGCAATAAACACCCTGTCACGGATATCACTTGGTAACACTATTTTGTCTCTGTAAAATGGAGCAATAAAACTTTAAACGTTGATTATAAGTGTATGTGTGTTTATAATTTTAAGGTACAGTACTCAATTTTTCCCCAACAAAAGCAATAACTTAAACTCACCACTTTGGTTGCAGAAGACATTAAATCCTCCATATTCTTCTGTGTGTCCAGCCATTAAAGCTTATTAATAACAGGGGTAGAAAATCATATCTCATTATGCAGTGCTCCTGATGACTAACAAAGTTGAATAATTTAACCGTTTAACAAAAAAGATTAAAGTGGGCTTATACTTCACACTATCCTCCAGTAAAAAAAAATCAAATTGATCAAATATTTACATGTTTACAAATGAAATAATTTAATAGTATAAGACAGCATAGATTCATTTTATATTATCTCATGTAGGTAAGACTTCTTTAATCATAACTCAATACATAAGCCATAAAAGACTGACAAATTCAAATTTATAAAAACGGTGTGCTTGACAATAACATGTTTTTAAAATCATAACCGAAGTAAGTGACCAATGAAAATGTTGGAAATTGTATCTGCAGCTCAGACAACTGAAAAAGGACTAATCTGCTTATAGATGGAGAGCTAACAGAAGTGGAGAGACAAAGACCTGTCCACGAGAAGTCTCATGCCCCTTCCTTCACTCTGACACCTCCTTAACATGCTCCTGAAATGTCAGCATCATGAGACATGAGCTACACAATGATGCAGTATGGGAATTAAGAGGTAACCATATATTTTAATATCAGACTTGAATGAATCTTCTTTGTTTTGAGTAACATGTACACATAATTGAATAAGCACATATAGAAATCATTAAAAAAAGTTATTTGACAAATTACACCTTAAAAGGAGACTATACATTATTTTAAACACCATGGTGGACAAAACTGACCATGTCTTCAGCCACAGAGTAAATCTGAAAGAAATACAAATAATAATATTAATAATAACATTTTGTTGGTTATATTATTTGACCACAATAAAATAATATATACAATAACCAGAATTTAAAGCATATATATATATAAAGCAATATTATAGAATGGCAATTCTAGTCCTTGAAGGATTGTCTAAAATCACAGATATAAAATTAATAAGGCTTAAATAAAGGGTATGTACTTAAAGGGAATGCAATTTTTATTCAAATTACAAAGAGGTATTATTAAAACAACTTATTATGTACAAAGCACTGGGACATTAAACTGAATCATGAAGTAATGACTTCAACCTCACAAAACTTCTCGTCTTCTAGGGGAAGCTTAAAATAAGACCAAAATGGTGGAACCATTACAAATTACAATAATGTTGTAAGAAATAAAAGATCAATAAGACCAGCCAGAGAATGTGATCATAGAAATGCTCTTAAAGTTGACCTTTTTAACTAGAGATAAAACATGGAAAAGGCAAAAACAAGGAAAATTGTGAGTGACATAATTCCTCACAGAGGAAAGAAAATTTGCAAAAAGGATGTGTTCCATTTAACAAAAGAAACCCAATATGAGAGTTTTGTAAGCAATGTAAGCAAGATGAAGAATTAAATGGTATTAAGTTGGAGAGAGGATGAGGTAAATTTGCTTTCTTCAAAGTAAAAGGTTTGGGTGTAAATTCTAACCTAGTGAGGAGGGATTATATTATCCAACGTAATGTTTTTGTACATTTATTCAACACACTGCAACATATTCATCATCCTTACTAAATAATTGTTACACATGTTGTAAATAAAATCCAAGGAGTCCTGTATATTCATAAGGTTAATTAATCCTCACACCAACCATGCATATTAAATACCAACTTTATCCTCCTCTTGCATAAGATGAAACAGAGTTACAGAGAGTTATTTGCCCACAATAACATGCTTTGAATGGGAGAGCCAAAGTTTGGACAAAGGCAATCTGGGTCCAAAACCCTGACTCTTACTCTTATGTGATGATGCCTCTTGGTAATTCCGACAAGCTCAAGCTCTATCTAAGGAGGAGATAGACAAAGGGAGGAAAATCTGTGGCTGGATTTGGAGGATGTTCCAGGATAATGATTGAGAATAATGCATGGCCTTTTGTATGGTCTTTATTTGGGATTCCACAGGTACCAGGAAAGTCTCACTGGGTCCCATTCCCCTCATCGTTGGAACTGGAGCACATTCAAACTGGGCTTACTGCCTAGGAAGGAAGTTAATGTCTCTTCCAACCACAAACAGCAAGGGGTTGTTTTGAAAGTCCATGAAAGCTGAACTTGATTAGAATAAAGCATTGATTTGATGCAGCAGCCTTATGATGCAGAACAGGCTGGGTTACTATGTGTACAATTCCCCAGCTCAGATGTGGGAAATTATGTTTCCACATCGACCCTGTGCTCCCTGGGAAGAAGGTTCTCCACATGCTGAGTAGAGTGTGGTTGCTCCATTGGGTCGATGCCAGCTGCCTTTTTGTTCCTCCCCACCTCTGGCTTATCTGCTAACGCCCGTTGGAGAATCACTCTGAGAGATTCCTTCAGCCTTTTCTTTCTGAGGCTCCCCACAAAGAAATAAATGATAGGGTTGGCGCTGCTGTTTATAATGAGGAACAAGGAAATTAAATAGGAGGTGGTGACAAACATTTTGAAATCTGTTATGAGGGGTGCCACGCTCAGGGGTAGGGCCCAGAGTAGGAACATGGGGGCCGAGATCTGCACCACCGCATAGACCCTGGTGGCCTTTTGCTGCTGGGAGCAGCACAGGAATCTAATGAGTAGAGTCAGACTCGACACACACATCACAAGTGAAAGGATAGCATGGAAGAGCCCAGAAAGCTTTAGAAATATGACACATGCCTTTACATGTTTCCAGTAAGTTAGGAAAAGTGATTTTACTATGTTGATGCAAAAAGGCAGGCCCCAGATGAGGGTGCAGACAACATTAGATGTGTATTTTGGGCGGTGGCATCTGTACCAGATGGGGAAGAGGACACACACACACCGCTCTGTGCTGATGGCCACCAGGAGACAGAGACACACCTCAAAGGAGAAGGGAGACAATATGGCCAGGAAATCAGGGATAAAAAACACGACTCCATGATAAGTTAGCAGAGTCACCTGTAAGAACCCCACTGCCGAGCAGCAAAGATAGATCACGTCAGCAGCGACCAGGTGGAGGATGTATACCATGTAGGGATTCGTGGCCCCACAGCAAAGCAGCCAGAAGACAGTGCCATTCAATAAGACCCCACAGAGGGAGACCAGCACAGCCTTGGGGGCAATGATATTCAAGGGCAGGGCCTGCTGTCCCACTGCCATGCTCATCTGCATATGTATGGTTTCATTCGTCTCATTTTGAAGAAAGACGCCACAGAGCTGAGATACCAGGTTTGGGTTCTGTGCCTCCTGGTCACCACTGTGGAGACAAAGGCTACATGAGAGAGATATCTGTGACTCAGCAAACACTGTCCATCCAGCCCTCTGGCTGAACCAGCAAATTTTCCCCCAGACCATGGGGTGCTGGGACCTGAGTGGGCCACAACATCACAGTCAGGAGCAGTGGTCCATCTAGTGGTGTCCTCTGGCCTCAGACCCCTTGCCTCTACATTTTCCTAGGCTGGAATAGAACACCCATTGTTGGGTGTGCTTTTTAGGAACAGCTGAACATTAACTACATATCAGAGTGGATGGGAGTATCTGCTCTGCAAATAGCTCTCCATGAATTTGTGATCTGTTCTCCCTCCCCTAACACATCTCCTGTTGTACAGGATGCCCCAGGCCTACCCACATAGACCCAATATCTTGTTGTTGGGCACTAATGAGGCACTAAACATTGGGAATGGAGATTTGTGTCTGGTCCAGGTTCTACTCATGAGACACTAGTGTCTCATCTCTTTTTTTTTTTTTTTTTTGAGTTGGAGTCTCACTCTGTCACCCAGGCTGGAGTGCAGTGGCGCGATCTCAGCTCACTGGAACCTCCACCTTCCAGGTTCAAGCGATTCTCCTGCCTCGGCCTCCTGACTAGCTGGAACTACAGGCACCCACCACCATGCCCGGCTAATTTTTTTGTATTTTTAGTAGAGATGGGGTTTCACCATATTGGCCAGGCTGGTCTCAAACTCCTGACCTTGTGATCCACCTGCCTTGACCTCCCAAAGTGCTGGGATTACAAGCGTGAGCCACGGCACCTGGCCATGTCTCATCTCTTTCAAACCCAGTCCTGGGCATCCTTGGGTAGCCATACAGGATGCAGCAGTGCCACAGTATGGCATTTCCCTGGGCTCAGACAGGTACAAGGGAGCACTGAGATTTCCAAGGCAGGCATTTCACAGCAGTTGGCACCAAAGAAGTCCTTTCTATGGCTGGCAGGACTTGACCTGGAAAATAAGGAAATCTGCGTTTCTCCAGGGGCGTGAGTCTCAGGCAGTGTCTGTGTGGGCATCATCGACTGCTATGCTCCAAATGTCAGCTGAGGAGAAGGAAATGAACAGACTTAGGGTGCAACAAATACAAAAGAGGCCTAAGAATATTAATATAAATATTAATATAGAGAATAGTATTTTAATGCTATGTAAATATATTAATATAGAGAGACTAGCATATTAATACTATGTAAATATTTATATATTAATAAATTATATTAATATAACATTGCTATATTAACATGTTATTAATATTGATGTTAATATATTCACATTATATATTTATGTTAATATATTAATTATATTAATATAACATATTCTCAATTATGCTATCAAGGATATTGATAATTAATATTGACATTAGTTTATTAATATTTATGTATTTATTTATTGCTGTTGTCCCAGGTTTATTGAAAATAAAATCCAGTGACTGCTGTATATTACAGCATTGGAGAAAGAGTCAAACAGCTCCACGAGGCATTTTGAAATTCATCCCAACTGTAGGCCGAGTGACCTGCAGGTTGGACAGGCTGCCAAAGTCCAAAAGCTTCAGCATTTCCTTAGTGTCAGGATCTACTTCGATGATCTCCTGATCCAGGGCTGAGACCTTGGGGACATAATTGTCCCTCCTTTCTTTCTCCTCCTCCTGTAGCTTGATGGAGATACCTCTCACTGGACCTCTCTGAATCTGGTTCGTCAGATGCGTGACGCAGCCTGCTCTCCTGTTGTGGAGCTTCTTGCTGAGGATAATGGGGATCTCCTCACACACACTTGTTTGTGTGGAAGTCATTGCCCAGGCACATGTAGTACTTTTCTACGATGACCTAGGCCACCTTCGTCACAGTCTTGATGCCAACACGACCCATGTTGGTGGGTCTTTGGTCATTAATATTAATTGATATTAACATTATTCAGTTTATTAATAATGTATCATTAATAATATTTATACAATATTAGTAAAATAGTTTATCAGTACATTTTAATGTTGATATGCTTTCAATATTAAGATATTAATGTATTATTGATTACATGTGAATATATTAGCATATTAACAGTATATATTAATATATTTGGTATACTATATTAATATTATTTATATGATATGAATATGCTATTAGTGGCATATTAATAACAATATATTAATAATATAATGTGATTAATAGTTGTATGTGATTATTAATTATTTATGATTATATTATGATTAACAAGTAGTACTATTATATCTTGTTTCTAATGAATAATTATTATTAATATTCAAAAAACTAATAATAATTGTTATTTTTATAGAATCTGGAATTGTGGAGCAGACTTCGCAAGGCTTCTCTGACCTCTGCCTCCCGCTCTGGGATCTGTGAAACACACTGGGCTCTTCTTCTAGACCTCCCTTTTTGAAGCTCCTCCAAAGACCGTTTCATCATCTCTACTCAACAGTCTCCTCAGGAAATTGCCTCTTCAGTAGGCAAATGTCACTTGCCACAAACTTATCTTTGGCATGAGGATAAGACAGTGCTAAGGTAGAACTGTCTGTACCTTCTTTGGGTTTACATTGTGATAACTGCAAGGAGAAAAATAAATTGGGCTGAGTGGATAGAAAATGATAAGGGTAATGGATGTTTCCTAGTGGGATAAATGAGGGGAGTTTCTTAGTAGGACGTGGAGATCTGAATGACCTACTGGAGCAACCAGGTGACAGCCAGAAGGAAAGAGCCACAGGCAGGCTCAGCAAGTTCACCACCCTGGGGCAAGTGGCTTCATCTGCTTTGTTAATCTTTGATGCTCCTGTCCAGAGAGGGCCTCTTAAGCAACTTGAGTGCAATAACTATTTTTCTATTATTGCGTTAATAAACCCCAAGAAGGTCCCTGCAACTCTAGAGAGTTAAAGACTTATAAGCCATTTTCAAGATTGGAGAATATTCTTATCTCAGCCATCAGTGGACAGAAAGGGGCAGCCAGGCCCCTTCAGAGCAGCACTGAGCTACTGTCCCTGGAGTGGTGGGGCCTGACCACAGCTTCCTCTTTCAACCATGGAATCCTTATCACTATTTTGCAAACACCAAAGATGTAGCCTCAGATGTGAATCTACTCACATGCTGGAAGTTTGTCCATGATGTTGAGAGCTCGTTTAAGTGGAAGATCCTGGATGAGTGCAGATACAGACTGTGAGCAGGAGAGCTCTGCTCTGTCTCTTTTCAAGACTCTGAGACAGAGGCCAAGAGCCTAGCATGCAAAACACCTCAGACAATGCATCCAGGGTAGGGGAGAACTGATATGAACCATTCACCCTTAGCCAAAAACCTGCTCACCTTGGGCAGGTGTGGTACCTCAAGGCTGACCACAGACTAGAGGAGATCTCATGTGTCTTCCTTAGAGAGATTCCTGTCCACCTTCCTGTCTCAGGAAGATGGATGGAATCATTTCATTGGAGGATGCCAACATCCCCTGTCCAGGGCCCACTGCCTGAGCCTTGGACATTTCGGCTGAGCTGGCTAGGCCTCTGAGAATCAGCCCTGATGACCCTTGATGCCCCACTATGGAGTCCAGAACACTGAAGAACTTAGGATGCTTGAGAGGTGAAACGCTCTGGGCCCAAAGAGATCAGACCATCCTTTCCTGAGATCCTGAACACTGATAATGACTTCTCATACTTTAAGACAGCTTCACAGATGAAGTTGCCAGAGAAGCTGAGCTCACTAAAGCAGGATGTATCTGTAACAAGAAAAAAATCCTTAAATGAGTTGCTATAGCTGATCCATGGGAATGCCCAAAAAGATGTTACAGATTTCACTAGGGCTTAATCTTAGTCCTGCAGCACCAAGTACACACTCTTCCTCCTACTAACCTGGGAAGAGCCAGTTCAGGGGAGAACGGGAGGGAATAACCCAAATGTCCATTAACAGAGAGTGCCAACAGCTTCCAAAATGTGTCTCCAGTCAAGGACAGGCCAAGATGACTCATCAAAGAAATGCAAATCAAAACCACAACTAGATAGCACCTTACGCCTGTTAGGATGGCCATTCTGGAAAAACAAAAGATAACAAGTGCTAATGAGGATGTGGAGAAAGGGATCCCTCACACACTGTTGGTGAAAATGCAAAATGGCGCAGCTGCTGTGAAAAGCAGTATGGAAATTCCTCAAAAAATTAACAGTAGAACTGCACCGTATGGTCCAGAAATCCCACTTCTGAGTATTTGTCCAAAAGAATTGAAATCAGGTTTTCAAAGAAATATTAGCACTCTTATGTTTGCTGCAATACTATTCACAATAGCCAAAATGTGGAAACAACCTAAAAATCCATCAAAAAATGAATGGATAAAGAAAATGTGATATAAACATAAGATAGAATAGTATTCAGCCTTTAAAAAGGAAGAAATTTGGCCAGGTGTGGTGGCTCACGCCTATAATCCCAGCACTTTGGGAGGCCAAGGTGAATGGATCACGAGGTCAGGAGTTCAAGAGCAACTTGACCAACATGGTGAAACCCCGTCTCTACTAAAAATACAAAAATTAGCTGGGCATGGTGGCAGGTGCCTGTAATCCCAGCTACTTGGGAGGCTGAAGCAGAGAATTGCATGAACCTGGGAAGCGGAGGTTGTAGTGAGCCGAGATTACACCACTGCACTCCAGCCTGGGCAGGGGAGGGAGACTCCATCTCAAAAAAAAAATGGAAGAAATTCTGTCATATATGACAACATAGTTGAACCTGCAGATCATTATGGTAAGTGAGATTAGCCAGTCATAGAAGAATAAATCCTGCATGCACTTAAATAGGGTATCTAAAATAGTCAAATTCATAGAAACAAAGAGTGGGATGGTTGTTCCCTGGGCTGTAGGACAGGAAGTAGGGAGCTAGTAGTCAGTGGGCATAAAGTTTCAGTTTAACAAAATAGATAAGCACTAGAGCTCTACTGCACAAAAGTAGTAGTTGCCTATAGTTAACAACAGTGTACTGGAATGTTTTTGCAACTGAAGCTGCTTCATCTTTTTGAGCCTCTGGTATTTCCTCTGCAAAATTAGAATACTGATAATACCTACTTGTGGGTTTGAAAATTAAATGGGTGGATAGCATGTAAGTGCATGGAACAGTGATGAGCATATAGTGAGAGATGAATGAATAAATACTGTCCTGTTGGGACAGATGAATGTCAATAAGCAAATGCAGTAAATTGGATCATTTCAGACGGTGCTTACTACTCTGAAGGAAAAAAAAAAGTGGCAGTGGGATGGACTATCTTAAGGAAAACGGGAAAGACAGTGAGCCACTTAGGTTGGTCCTTTCTGAGCTGACAATATTTTCTGGCTTTTTCAGGAAGCCAATCCTGGGAATATCTAGAGGAATAGTGCTGCAGGTAGTGGGAACAGGAAGTACAAAGGCGCATAGGAAGAACAGTCGTATGGTTGAAGAAAAGAAAGAAGGCCAGTGTGGCTGAAGTTTAGGGAGGGAAAGAGAGAGTGAGAGAAATAAGCTTTTAGAGAGGTAGGCAGGTGTGGAATCATATAGGCCAAGATAAGAAGTTTGAATTTTAAGTGCAATGTCCAGGTGTTGGAAAGTTTTAAGCTCAGATAATAATATTATCTGGATTTATTTATTTCTTTAGAGACAAGGTCTCACTCTCTCACCCCCAGGCTGGAGTGCAGTGATGCAATCACTGCTGACTGCAGCTTCCACCTCTCCAGCCCAATCGATGCCTCCACCTCAGCCTCCTGAGTGGCTGGGACCACAGGCGTGTGCTGCCACATCTGGCTAGGTTTCTTTTTTAATTTTCTAATTTTTTTCTTTTTGTAGAGATGGGAGTCTCCCTTTGTTGCCCTGTGCTGGTCTCAAATTCCTGAGCTCAAGAGATCCCCTCCACCCCGACCCCACAAATTGCTGGGATTACAGGGATGAGTTGCCATGCCCAGCCAAGGATTTGCATTTTAAAGATCACTACTGTGCACTTAAAATTATTAGGATAATAGATCTCGTGTCAAGAATTCTTACCAAAATGAAGCAAAATTCGCACACAAAAAAAGAATAAGCAAGGATGGATTCCAGTCCCCAGTCCTCAAATGAAGGGTTGCACTGTCCTGATAATGTTCTTTCCCTTGGGGAAAACACATCTAAAATCCTTGCAAAAACTCCTCCGAATTAGAGAGATGAGAAACAGAGTCAGATGAAGAGAGAACACAGTTCTCATCTTACCTGTGACATTTTTCCTGGGGGCAGGGGTAAGTCAGGGGGCAGTGAGGCTGACACAGACACAGAAGGACAGGTGACACCTCTGTGGACCAATGGTCTGGAATTGTCTTCCTGTCCTCTGAATATGAGCTCTCTCTTGGGCTTCCAGAAGTTACTGGACCTTGAGCAACTTTGATCAAGATTCCCATGTGCTCCTTGTTTTTCTTCTGGCCAATGAGTGGCTTCTATCTGTGGGGACAGATAGCTGAGCATCCCGAGGTTTATCACATGGTCAGCTGCTCCACTGTGGCTTTATGTGCCCAGGCAGGTCCTTCCTGTCTCCATAGGGCTCCTTTCTCTTACTCTGGTCAGAGCTCCGCATAGCCCTGGCAGCCCCTGACTCCCTCATCCTAGGGACAGGGAATAGGGCCTTGCAAGGAGTAGACCCAGTTCCAAGTTGGATATGTTGAGTCAGTTTCTAGTGAGCTGAACTTCATGGCATTGCTCTTGATAAACACAAGATCAAGATCAAATTCAGAGAACCCCTCAGGCAAAAGCTTTCACCATGCTTCACTCCCAAAGAAAGCACCCCTTGAGGGGTGTTCCAATACAATTTGTGCAGAGAGAAGCCAGTAATGTGGCCCTTTCTTCACCTCAGTAAGAAAAGCTTGGCCCTAGCCCTCACAGTTTGAAAAGAGTGTCCTCCTATTACAGGCATGGGTATGTATTGGGACTTCTGTGTCCACATTTCACCTGCATTCTCAACTCTCAGGGACCACAGCAGGTCTGAGAGATTCTGCCTGTCTTTCTGACACACATCGGGTCAACCCTGTGCACTGACTGATGTCTTAGGACTCAGATTCGGGGTTGCCATGAGCTCACTGTCATTTTACCTTCTCAGTACTTTTCCCTTGCTCTGATCTCACCTGCCACATTCACTTTAAGAATGCACATTTCTAGATTATTGATTTTCCAACTGAGTTGTCCCGAGGGCTGATGTTCTGTAAACAGTTATTTCATTTTCTCTGTTCAAAGATGGTTTGTACCCACCATCTTCATGTAACAGTTTCTTGGTCACTTACCATGTGAATATGCAGTCTCTGGGCATGGAGTCCCCTGGACTCTCAATATCTTGTGTCCTGTTTTGCCACCTGATCCTAGTTAGGACAGGCACTGAAAATCAACACCAATGACGTATTGTTACCCTGAGAGAAAATGTCTTGCTTAAGTGTAGAATAACATTTTCTGTTGTCTCTTGTCACCCCTCCTAGCCTTTTCCCCACAATCCCACAGTCATGTAGATGCATGCTGAAGGGTGTTATGCCCCACTCTGTTCCTCCCACACTGACCGGCTTTTCTCACCCATCAGCTCTGAAGTACAAGAGGCTCCTGGACTTCAAGGTGCTCTGCAAGCTCCTCACCTGTATCTGCCTCCCAGTTTCCACAGTGCCCTTTCATGGCCTTTCTCCTGGACATACGAAGTGTGCTTCTCAGAGGAGTTTTACTTAGTGGAATTATCTGTCTCTTAAAGTGTAATCTGTATCTTTTGAATGAAAAAAAAAAGACCTACATTTGTTCTCTCTGGTATGCAGACACCAGACTCTTTTGTGACCCCTGAAATCAGTTTCTCTGTTTCTGATGAACTCTGGAGGTTTTGTCACTGCTGCTGCACTGCTTTACTTGATTCCAGGAATTCGTCCTTTGTCCTCTGTGGAAGTTTTAGTTCAGGTCTCATTTTTTTCCCTTAAGCACAAGACCCCTCCCTTAATGTAACACCACACGTTCTCCAGCGCAGGCCATCTGTTCTATTGAAGCGATTCCAACAGCTTCTGCAATTAACTTGTCAAGAGAAGGAAGAAAAGAAAGAAATGAAATGGTCAGGTATCCCTTGAAGATTCTGATGGTCACACAGAGGGAAAGAGCCTTGTGTGTGGGACCTTGAGTGTCAGGCCACCTCTTCTCCAAGATGGGCAGGGTTTGGTCCATCTTCCCAAATGGAGCTAAAGATCCATGCTGGAAATTTCCCTGCTCTAGAACAGACAGCTTGGAGTGATGAGTCATGATGAAGACCTTTCTATTGATTCTTCATTGCTGGGGTTTCCAACCTACAGGGATGAGGACTGATGCATCTGTGAATGAGCATGCCATTCCCTGGCAGACACCTGAGTTCATTGCTTGCTAAGAACTTGGTTCTACATCACTTCTTCTGAAATAGAAGGGCCTGCTGGCTTGTCAGCAAATAAGCAAAGTTTGGCTTGCTGTTTGGAGAAGCCTAATTTTATCAGTGTCAGCTCAACATTTAAATTTGAAAAAGGAAATTCAGCATAAGCAAGGTTCACATTCAGGTGTATGCTTAAATTCTAGGTATTCATCTCATTCATGAACTCAATCAGTAGCCAGAGTTTCCAGGATGCCTAGGGATTGCCCCCAAGGATCAGTGCTGGTTTGCAGCTACAATACCAGAGTTTGACTCTGATGCCACACTCTGAGGGCAGTCCTCACCTATTGTGATAAAACCCTTCAGGTCCTGTGGCGTAGCCATGGCCCATCCTGGACATGTTTAACTTCACCCACCAGGCACCCATCTCACTAAGAAGACTTTGATGTTCATGAGAAATGAATTTCTGCTGCCTACAGGAAGGAGATAGGACTTCTCTGAACCGTTGAGGCTCCTGCTACCTCCAGAGCAGGCAACAAAGATTAGACCCTGCCAGGAGGGAAGCACACCAGATAAGGATGGAGAATTATCTTGACAAGGGGCATGAAAAAAATTACTGGATGACAAAAAAAATACATCACCAAAGATCAATAAAACATTTGTAGAACACCCCACGGAGATGTGATCTGCCCACTGTACAGATCAGAAGAGCTTCCTTTCTTCTTCTGCGTCAGAAAATATCTGCTTGCTGGTCAATGTCCAGAGGATGATGTGAAGATGGGAAAGGACATTTTCCCTGGACACCATTTCTGAAGTTACATCTCTGTGTGTGCTTTCATTGGTGATGCCATTTCTCTTTGCTTTCTCTTCTTTTCTTGGGAAGACTTCTCTGTCTACATTTGTATATTTATTTGGCTGACTTTCCCTGAATTTGCTGCCTGACTGAGTAATTTATTTCAAAATAACTACATGGCAAGCTGTTTTATGCTGTTTAACTAAATCCATTGATTGAAGCATTTTCTGACACCTGGCCGTCCACATGGAGATTTCTCTTTTCCAGTCTTCCTAGTCTGGAAAAGACGTCACCATCCACAGGAAGTGTTTGTCATTGTACCCAATCTGGTCTCAGTAGCACCATTTACATACCAATAGTGTAAATCTCTGTGTTTCTTATAGACACATGATATGGTTTGGATTTGTGTCCCCGCCCAAATCTCATATCGAATTGGAGAAGCCTGGTGGGAGGTAACTGGATCATGGAGGCAGATTTCCTCCTTGCTGTTCTCATGACAGTGAGTGAGTTCTCATGAGATCTGATGGTTGAAAATTGTGTGACCTTCCCCCTTCACTCTCTCTCTTTCTCCTGCCACCATGTGAAGAAGGTGCTTGCTTCCCCTTGGTGTTCTGCCATAAATGTAAGTTTCCTGAGGCCTCCCAGTTATTCTTCCTGTTAAACCTGTGGAACTATAAGTCAGTTAAACCTCTTTTCTTCATAAATTAGCCAGTTTCAGGTAGTTCTTTATAGCAGTGTGGTAATGGACATAATGGACTAACACTATCTTGTTCTCTGGTATCTTTATTAAAGCATTTTCAGTGTCTGCTCATGCTCTCTTCTTTAACAATAATGTGCTTTCTGTGTTTATTCCTGTGACATGCAGCAGCCAGCACTGCCAGCCCCCATGGCTCTGCATGTCCCCACTGAGGTCCTGTTCCAGTGTCTGCAAGTCCCTCCTGATATTAACATATAACCACTGGCAATTATCTCAACATTTCTATTTTCTAAATAATTTTCATTTTAAAATCCTCCAGTACCAAAAGTTGTTTAAGACAAAAACAAATAGTTAATTTCCAGTTAGCAAAGCTTTCTCTTTGTATTAAGTATGCTTTAATCACATATTCAAAAACATGTGGTTTCTATTTTAATAACTTCTAAAAAATAATTTGGATTTTGTTTTGGGTGGATTATATTGTATGAAATCCCTTGTCTTTTCATATTTTGACCATTGTATTTTAATGTTTTGTAGCATGTCTTAGAATGAATGCAGGCATTCCTTTGGAGCATATATCCAACGAAAAGGAGTGAAATTACTGGGTCAGCAACTTCTTTTTTTTTTTAATATTTGATTAAATGAAATGTTTTACATCTCTCTGTTCCTCTTGCTCTTCTGTACATTATCATTCTTGTGGCTTTTTAAATTCAACTTTTAATTTTTAGATAATTGTAGATTCACATGTAGATGCAAGAAATAATGCAAACAGATCCCATACCCAGTTTTCCAGTGGTAACATCATGCAAAATTATATTATAATATTTTTAATGTGGGTGTTTATCACTGTAAACTTCTCTCTTAGAACTATTTTGCTGCATCCCATAAGTTTAGGGATGTTGTATTTCCATTTGTGTTTGTCTCAAGATAGTTTTTAAATTTGCCTTTTGGTTTCTTCTTTGACATACTGATTGTTCAACATGATATTATTTAATTTTCAAAAATTTGTAAATTTTCCAATTTTCTTCCTGTTACTAACTTTTAATTTATTACCATGGTGGTCAGAAAACAGACTTGATATGATTTTAATCTTCTTAAATTTGTTAAGATTTGTTTTGTGGCTTAATATATGATCTATCTTAGAGAATGTTCTGTGTATGCTTGAGAAGAATGGTCATTCTGCTGCTGTTGAATGTAATGTCCCATAAATGTCTCTTAGGACCTCTTGGTCTATCGTGTTGTTCAAATCCAAAGTTTCCTTTTTGATTTTGTGTCTGGACAATCTATCCGTTGTTGAAAGTGGGGTATAAAAGTTTCCTGCTAATGTTGTGTTGCTGTCTGTTTCTCCCTTCATTGTGTTCATATTTTCGTTACATATTTAGGTGCTCTGAACTTGGGTGCACATACACTTAAAATTGTTATATTTTCTTGATAAATTGACTCCTTCGATCATTACAAAATTATCTTCTTTGAATCTTGTGGCAGTTTTTAACTGAAAGTCTATTTTATCTGATGTGTGTATAGCCACCCCTCTTCTCTACTAGCTACCATCTGCATGGAACATCTTTTTCCATCCCTTCACTTTTAGCCTATGTGTGTCCTTAAAGATATATTGAATCCCTCAGATGCAACACATAGTTGGATCTTGGTTTTCTTTTTCTATTCATTCAGCCACTCTATGTCTTTTGATGGAGAATTGAATTCATTTATATTTAAAGTGATTATTGACAGATGAGGACCTATTACTGCCATTTGTTCAGGGGTTTCTGACTATTTTGTAGATATTTTGTTCTTTCTTCCTCTTGCTGTATTCCTTTGTAATTTAATGATTTTTTTGTGTGGTAATATGCTTTGATTTTACTCTTTTTGTCTTGTGTGTACCTACTACAGGTTTTTGTTTGTTGTTGCCATAAGACTTACATAAAATATCTTACAGTTTTTAGTCTATGTGAAGCTGCTAATAACTTAACTTCAACTGCATACAAAAACCCTACACTTTAACTTCTTCTCTCTACACATTTTTATGTTATTCATGTCACAATTTACATCTTTTCATACTCTGTATCCACCAACAAATTATTATGGCTATAATTGTTTTATTTTATCTTTTAATTTTATACTAGAATTAAAAGTGACTTATGCCATCAGAGTATGAGAGAAGTCTGAATTGTACTATATTCTTATTTTTACAGTGAGTTTTATACTTTTGAAATGAGAAAAGTTCCCTTGTTCCCCTCGCGGGGCACGTGATGGGGGTGTGGCTTGCTTCTTCAGTGCCCCACTGCTCAAACCTCTAGGGGAGCATACAGATGGGCAGATTGTGGGGCTCCAACCCCACGGTGGCATCTAGGGGTGGATGTTTACAGCTCCTGAAGCCCTAGGAGGAGAAACTTCTCATCTGCTAAATGGGGCTCCCTTGCAGCTCTGAGGTTCTGAGATCTTAATGTGTGCACTGTGTCTTCAGTGCACACAATACCACCCAACACAAATTCAATGCAATTGATTCCCCAGCAGTTGAACTCAATCACAATGCCACTGGCCTTGTTCTAAAAATTAAAGAACTGCTGCAGGAAGGGCCCTATAAATTTTGTCATCATAACTGCCTGAGCCAGAGATGTGGGGTGTTCCCTGCCAATCAGGGCAGAACAGGTTGACATGGGCCAATGAAGCCCAGAGGTCCTGGAGGAGATGAAAGTCACACAGGCCCCCTCAGAGATATCTGCCAACGTCAGTGTTGGGGTCTCTTCTGAAGGACGCTGTCTGTGAGATTGGGAAAGGTACCCAGCAGCCTTGTTTCTGTGGCCCAATACTTTTTCCACCAGACTCCTTCACGTGCCTAATTTGGGACATGGTTTCTGAGCTGCAGGTGTTGCCCACTCCAGCCCAGAGATCCCAGAACATCCTGCAAGCTCAGACGCAGGATAAAGGGCCACAGGAGCAGGAGCCTCCTCTCTCTGGGCAACTTCAGACTGTTTCCCCACTGTGCTGTCCTAGAAGGGGCTGATGCAGTGAACAGAGCCCTTGGGGCAGGTGGGGCCTGGGCTCAGCTGCAGAGACCAGGGGACGGGCTGGACCACATTCTCTTTCTGCCATATGCAGCTGCCTTACACTACAAGAGGGGGAAGAAGGGAGCTGAGGAGGTAAAAAGAGAAAAGACCCAGAGCCAGCGGGCTTTGTCACATCGGCTGTGACAGTTAAACCTGGCATTACTCGTAATTGCTTACATTTACTACACATTCATACAGAGGCCATGCTGTGGCTAGGCGTCTCTGGGCTAAGAATGTCTTATTCATTTAGAACTAGTACCTCGGACTCTGATTACGGGCCTTGCTGCGTGTAAGGAACAGCACTGCTTTAGCATGAAGCCTAGCCTATTGTCAGTGCTCAGAGAGCTCTGACACCAACAATTGGTTTTCCTACGAAGAATCACGTAATATTTGGGTTATAGAAGCAGGGCAGTGCTAACTGGATGTCCTGAAAGGAATGGACCTGGCATAAGAAGGGATGGAGAGCAGAATTTGAAAAGCATCCAATCCTGAAATTGGGCTGGAGGGAGCATGTCCCAAGCCTGTTAGGGACTGCAGGAAATTCATGACCAGTATGAAGGTGAAGCTGGGCACCTGCAGGCAGGCTGGTCTGCTCTCTCTGCTGTGACCCTCCTCAGGGCAGGCTGTGCTGTCAACAGGTGTTGTGCAATGCCAAGAACCCATGAGAATTCTCACTACGCCAGGGTTTTGAGGCACCCCTGTTCCCAGGTTCCTTCCTAGAACCCTGGTCGCCTTGGGATGACTGGGGGATTCTAGTTGACTACCCAAGGAAATCTGAAGCTTGGGAAGTTTGCAATGTTAAGTCTCGGTCCAGAGTCGGACCTGGCTCCGCGCCTGTCTGGCAGCAGCAGCAGCAATCCCTATCCGGGTCCAGAGCCCTGCCCAGTGGATACTGTGTGGTGTTTCCACAAAGTTGCATCTTTGAGCACCTCACAGAGAATCTGGAGCCTCTCAACCAGGACAACGTGAGAAAAAAATCTGAAGAAAAAGGCCCAGGTGCTTGGGGTAAGAACAGCCAAGCAAAGGGCAGAGGCTGAGTGGGTGCCAGGAGGACACTTTGTCACTTTGGAGACAGAGCCTTTGGCTTAAGGAGTTCCAGGCTGCTCTGGAGGCGTCGGGGGAGGCCTCTGGGACCACCTAGTCATTTTCCGCAAGAAAGTAAGAGATTTCCCAGTTTTGTGCTCATGGGGAGCATTCACCTGAGATATAAAACTTTGGCTGCTTAACTCATTTTAAGGGAATAATAACATATTTGCATACACTTTATTTGGAGGCAAAAGAAAAAAAATAGTCTGTTGAATAAATTATTCTAGATTTTACTTCCCAGGGATTTTTTTTTCTTTCTAAAAATTATAGACAATTCATCTCCTATTCTCCCTTCTTGAGAAATTAACCATTTGAAAACAGATATGTGCCCTTAGTCTGCCTTCCAATATCTCTCATACGATCCATGATTTTTAAAGAAATACAACTCCATTGCATGACCAAAGGGAGGAGGGGGAAATGGAAAGAAGGAGCTGGGCAACACAAGCACCAGGGGGAAGGGCCTGGGGCCCAGGGCCAGCACCTCCCTACTTGTGGGAGCCTCAGCTGTTCCTTCAATCCCCAGGCCACACCTAACCTTGGGTTGAAAAGTGCTTTCTGGGCTGACTCCGCTGTTAGAACAGGTAGGAGGTTGCTTGGTAAATGTTGCAAGAATGTGAACTCTTGTGGTAGAAATATTCTGAGGCTGATTCAGAGGCTGCCTGGGACCCCGTCACAGCTCTGGGGTCTGTCTCCCACAAGGAGCCATGCCCCGAACAGAGGTACCTGTGTCCACTCATCCTGCAGAGAGTGGGAGCCAGTTCCTGCCCCACCTGCTGTCTCCTAAGTGCTTCTTTGTGCCCAGGAGGGAGAGGGAGCAAAGGGCATGGGAACCTCCTGGGCTGTGACCAGTCATCACCTGGGATCCCACTGCCACAGCTCAGAGCTAAAGACAGAAACACCCAGCATTTCACTGCACGCTGATCTCAGCCAGCACTGGGAAGGGCTGGGAGCATGTCCTGCGTGCTTGGTTTCCCATGCCCCTGAGACGCTTTTCCTGCTTCCGCACTATCTCCTTGGGTTGCACAGAGAGTTCCAGCACTCCGCTTCCCTGGGGAAACTGACAATGACTGGCCCTTGATTGACTCACCCAGTGAGTTGGTTTCCTGGGGCCATGGTAACAAACTACCACAAACCAGATGGCTTTAAAAAAAAAAAACAAAAAAAAAACAAAACAAAACAGAAACTCATGCTCTCCCAATTCTGGAGGCCAGAGGCCATAGTCTGAAATCCAGGTCTGGGCAGGGCCAGGCTTTCTCTCCCAGCTCTGGTGTATCCTGGCAGTCCTTGGCTCTCCTTGGTTGCAGCTGCATCCCTCCCACCTCTGCCTCCGTTTTTGTGTGACATTCTCTCTGCCAGCATCTGCCTGTTTCTCTTGTCTTGTACCTACACCAGTCATACTGGATTAAAGGCCCTCCCTGCTCCACTCTGATCTCATCTTAACTGACATCCCAATGACATCTACAAATACCCTATTTCCAAAGAAGATCACATTCCCAGGTATCAGGGGTTAGGACTTGAACATATCTTTCTGAGGTCACACCAGGTGACCCTTCTTCCCTAACAGACCATCCAGATCCTCTGTGGCTTTGCAGTTATGAGCATGGGGATCCTTTTGGCATGTACTTCCTTTCCCTGTCACTTTGGCCCAGTGGTTCTCACCTTGGTGAGGTCTGGATACCCATTCGTAGGAGCCAAGTATGTGAGTAGGATGGGTGTTCATGGAGGGTGGTCTCTGGGATGGAGCAGGGCACAGACAACTGATATGCTACCTAGCAATGTCTCTGTGGAGAGCAAAGATGCAGGAATGGAACTTGTTTTGAGGGCAATCAGCCAGGAGTGAGAGAAGGCCTGGCAGGAGAAGGGGTTTTGCCAATGGGAACAGAATTGATCATCTGGCTCAAATATCAGTTCTTCCAAAATCCTCATAGTGCCATCCTCGAGGGCCCTGGGAGCCCTGCAGCTTCTCTCTGGGGTGACAATAGCATGTGTAGCCTCAACAGGGACACTATAAGAATAAAAGAGTGTGCTATTACTATTTATGCCATGATCACAGGAATACCCAGGACTGTCCCTGACACACTGGACATAGGGTCACCCTACTTCTCCCTAAGTTCAGGTGACACAAGGAGTAGGAGTGAGGTGGGCAGACAGCAAGTGAGAAATGGGGTGGACAGGGCACACAGTGGGGTGGCCAGGCTGGTGCATTTGTGGCCCTGTCTATGGGGCCAGCAGGACCAGTGGGGTCAGTAGAGCATATACTGAGCTTGAAGAGGTGGCATGGAGCACTTAGAAGCTCTATCTGCTGCTTGTCATCTCTTGGCATGTGGAAGGCCTTCTGCAGAGTTACGCTCCAGACATAGCCTCGGAGTCCTGAATATCCCCCAGGCTCCTGGAATCAAGGAGTGTCTTAGACGGCTTGAGCTGCTTTAACAAAAATACCATAAGCTGGGTGGCTTATAAACAGCAAGCATCTATTACTCACAGTTCTGGAGGCTGGAAGTCCAAGATCGTGACACCGACAGATTTGGTGTCTGGTGAAGGCTGTTGCTTGTTCATAGATAGAGCGTTCTCGCTGTGTCCTCATGTGGTGGAAGGGCAGAGGAATCTCTCTGGGTTCCTTTTATAAAGGAAGTAATCCCATTGATGAGGGCTTCACCCTTACGACCTACTCACCTCCCAAAGACCCCACCTCCAGATACCATCGCATTGGAGGTTAGGTATTTAGCACATGAAATCTGGGGGCAACAGACATTCAGGCCACAGCAAGAAGCTTCAGGAGAAAGCTTTCAGTCTTGTGAAATGTGAATGAGGCTTTCCCACAGCCTAGACCTGTCTTCACGCCCCAGCCGCAGCCTCTTGCATTCACGGTGGCTTTTGAGCATCCTCTGACCACTGAGTCACAAACCTCCCTGTTCCCTCTCTATCTGGCTATTTTCTTGGTAGGACCAGAAAAACTTTTTTTTATAGTCTTGCCACCATGCCATGTAGTTTTCGTACATTGCAGCTATTTCAAATTACTGCATTACCACAGAACACTTTTTCTGTAATAACCCAGAATCAACAGTTTTTTTCTAGCTGTTAACCTGGCCTCAAAATCTTCCCTTTATTTGGGCCCCCTTTTTCTTCTGTCCTTAACTCTGACTCTGGTAGAGCCCATGGAACTGACAGTTCAAAGCCCGCGTGGCTTTTCTCTCCCCACCACAACATCTTCATCTAAATAGAGTCTTGTAACATTTACCTGCCCTCTCTCCCTTGAAAATCACTGTTCCCTGGTCCCTGTTGGGGAGCCTGGGCCTTAAGCCCCTTTGTCTTTGCCCTAGAAGAACTTCCTCTCCAGCTGAGTCAGGTTCTCATGAGATTCTAGGGGTGGCTTGGCCTCCTATATCCACTTCCCTCAACATTGGCCTGTAGCCACATATGGCCTGGACTTTGGCCCAGCTTCCAGCATGCCCAATAATGTCAGCCCTGTGGGGAAGTTCCTGGAGGTGTACAAGGACGTGACAATTCAGTGGTAGGGACATCGGGGTGCTTGTTCATGTGGAAACTGACTTTACCATTTTCCTCTTTTCTGAGTAGTTTATCATTTCTGGATTGCTGTCTGTCATTTTGGGAAGAAAATCAAACAAGCATCTGGTGAGTATAGGAACAACAGTGCCTCACTTACTAAAAAGAGACTTTAGCGGAACCTCATCCAGTTGGATCTTTCCAAGGTTCAGACAAAGGAACTGAACCCCAGGTTGCTGACAAGTGTCCTTTGGTCAGTGGCCCTGTGGAAGTACACAGGGCCCACTGATCTGGGGGACACCTTTCATGATCCTCATTTTGAAGAGAGTCCTGTACCCTCTCCAGGCTCTGGGTGGCTTTATGGGAAAATTCTGCCTCATCATGACACCCTTTGGTGTTCACTGACCACCGGGGTTCAGGTCCTTGGTGAGCACAGGGGAAAGAGGACAGTGAGAGCATGGGCTGTTAGTTGTGCACCACAGCCTGGGTGAGAAAAGCATCAATCAAAAGAGATGAGCCTTGCTGGTGGGGGCCAGGAAGGGTGCAGAGTGAAAAGGGGGTGTTCAGTGATGGGTGCACATCTGATTGACAAACTTTTGCAGAATCATTTCCAGGCCTTTCTTAGGAGGCTAAGAGGCATGGGTTGGGGGACAGAGATGGGTATGGTGGAGATTCTGGTGACCTGGGATTTGGGGGTCTCCCTGTCCTGACACAGAAGCTGCCAAGAAACTGGCAGCCAAGCCTCAAGGTGGCAGTGCCAGGTTTGGACACTGTCATTCTCTCAGACCTCCCTCAAAGGATCAGATGCCCTTCTTCATCCCCACCCTCAGCCTCCCCTGAGCCCTCCAGGAAAGCAGCCTGTGTGGATCCCCTAAACAAGGGCAGGAGCACCAGCCCTACAGAGCAAGCAGCAGCTGGGTGAGGCAGACGGCGGCACAAGGTGGGGACCACGGTGTTCCAGGGCCACTTAGGCTCCTAGGAAATTCACCCGCCACCATCCTCAGGGACCTCTTCTTTGAAAAAAAGGGACTTTCTCAGAACATTCTGACAACACGAGTTGTGAATCCCTGGGGCTGTATGGAGAAATGGCCCACGACCTTTTTCCATCTCTTCCCCCATCACTGCCCAGCTCTGAGATTGAGCCCCTGGGAAGAGGGCCCGGATCTTTGCCAGAGGCTGCTGGGCATACCTGAGCACACGTGCCATGGGCTGCTTGTGACGGGCTGGAACACCTAGCCCAGGTGTCCCAGAAGCCACCACAGACATCAGCCTATTCCTCCCCTGGTGTTGGTCTTTGAAAAGTGAGTCTGGACACCGCAAAACTGGAATCCAGGTTTCCTACTTTCGAGGGGAGGTAGCACCCCATGGCGCAGCTGTGATTCTCAGCCCTCCTCTGGGCCGTGCCCCAGCCGGGATCTGAACATCCACCCTCGGCCCCAGGTGCTGTTGCCCCCACACTGAGCCCTCGTACCCCATGCTCCCTGGCCCTCCTGCCAGGGCACCCTTTTCACAAAGTGGAGTGGATGAAAAGAACAGGAAAGAGCACCAACCCTGCTGCTGTCCCCATATGACAGAGGCTGCTGTGGGGGCATCTGTTGTACTTGGGTGAGCAGGCCCCTTGGCCTCGAGCTCTACCATGCAGGGGTGCTGCAGACAGAGCCAGGTGATAGGAAAGAGCATGTCTGGGAACCCACCTGATGACAGCCTCAGCTCAGGATGAGGCAGGAGGCCTCTGGCTAGGCTTAGGGGAGATGGCTGGAGGAACCTCCTCAGGGTGCCAGTGGACTGGGTAAAGCCAGCAGGGGGCTTGGAGGTCAGGGAAGCTGTGATTTATCAAGCACTGTGGGCATTGCAATATTTTCTCTGTTCGGTTCAGTCCAATGGGACATCAGTTCTATACATATCTTCCTCTTCCTCTAGCCCTGCTCAGTCCTGGGTGGAGAAGCTACCAGAACCACATCTCCTGTCTGTCCCACCATAAGTCTCTGCTTCATTCACGCTTTCATGTGTCGTGCATCAAGCAAGCATTTGCCTGTAGGCTTGGGGAGCTCTGAGAGGGGTTGAGAGTGAACAAAATTAATCAAATCGTATAACAGAAGAGGAAGTCCCATCCTGCCGAGGATCCTGGATGTGAGAACCTGCTGCTGGCCTGGTGGGATCGTGGTGCCCCAGGAGCATGAACTGCTCAGGAGCAGACCCTGACCAGATCCCCTGCAGGCCTGGAACAGCCTGATCAGCAGCCTCCTAAGCCCCATGGCTGCCACAGTGGGCCTCATTGTCCTTCCCTATCACCTAGCCGGGGTGTTCCCAGCTGCCAGACAGTGCCAACTGGTGGTGCCTGCCCATCAGTGCCCCAAGACAGCCACTACTTTTCGAAGAATGAGACCACCAGCTGCTTTGTGGCCAGCTCCAGCTTACTGGTGAGTATTTTTAGGTAGAATCTTCCAGACTAGTGAAGTCTTTGAGATTTTCTGCTTCTTGTTCACTGCTTCCTTCTGATGTGGACCATGCGGAAAGAGGCAGAACACAGGAACCCACACATGGGAGAATAGCAGGCATTTGACTGGACTGTGCCAAAAGAGTTGTTCAAGTACAATATCAAGCAAGACTGTAGTTGCAAAAAGACATAACCAACAACTTGGTTTCAATTTGAGCACCTTAATAAACAAACTGATTTAACTGTCATAGTCTCAAGGGATGGGTTTTTCCAAGCAAGAACTCTAGGGTCAGGGTAGCGAATTGCTCAAGAAAGGCCAAGAGCTCAGGGAGACATAGGAACCTCATAAACAGGGTGGCCACAGGCTGGCAGTGCCCAGGTTCAGCCAGGCAAGAGCCACAGGTCAAGGGAGGCTGCAAGAGGCTAAATCCTAATTCCATCACATGCACAAAAATGGATGGGATGGCCAAAAATGACCCCAAAAAATCAGGAAACAAATACGGAATGGGCTTTTTAATTGTTGTTTGCAATCAGAACTTTATGAAAATGACAGAATGTGGTTTCGCATTCTCTGTTGCATTAGAGCCAGTCTGAGCATCAGTATTTGCTCTAAAATGTGTTTAGTCAATAAAGTCAAGAGAACATGTGTGTGGAACACTGAGAAAAGAAGGCAGAGGAAGTTTGCATTCCTGCAGCCATAGAGGGGGATATTCTAGGGGTGGAGAGGCAGCAGGCAGGGGGAATGTGTGCACAGCCTGGCCGTTGTCCCATCCCCTCATCGCTGGCTTCAGGCCATCCTCCCATAGATGGAGCAGCTATAATGGGAGTGGAGGGTTGAGGGGCAGGGGAGGCATCTGCTGAGCGGCTGGATGGGGTTTGTGTAGTGGGTTAGGATGAGCTCCTCAGAAACCAGCCTGAGCTCTCTGGCTCAGGAGCTTCTCAGGAAGAGCTGAGAAGCGGCAACCCCTGCCTGAGGGGTCCTTGTGTTCATTTCCCATGGCCACAATAACAGAGGACCACAAACTGGTGACTGAAAACAACAGAAGTGAATTCCTTCACAGTTCTGAAAGCAAAGTCCAAGATCGAGGAGTCGGCAGGGCCGCTCTTTCTCTGAAGGCTCTAGGAAAAAACTCTTTCTTGTCTCTTCCAGCTTTGGGGAACTCCAGGCATTCTTTGGCTTCTGGACACGTCTTTCTAACCTCTGTCTCCATCCTCATGAGGGCTTCCCCTCTGTTTGTCTCTGTGTCCTGTTCTCTTCTTATAAGAACACCAGTTATTGCATTTAGGGTCCACCCTAAATCCAGGATGATTTCACCTTGAGATCCTTAACTAATTGCACCTACACAGACCATATTTCCAGATAAGGTCATATTCTCAGGTTCTATGTAGACATGAATTTGAGGGGGGACACTAACCCACTATAGTCACAGTCTGTACAAATAAATTCTAGATTCTGCCCACCTGTGGCCTTACCTGTTCTACTTGGAAGTCATTGTTCCATGGAAGGTGACCCAGGGAAGCAGAATTGTTCTCCTCCTCAGGCAGATAGCTCCTGGGGACTGGCGTGAGAATTAGCAACTGTGCCAGCACATCACTTTGATTGGTCAAGGTGCCCCTTGCTGCCTCCCAGCCAAGCCAAGCAGGCCCACCCCAGGGAGCATAGGTGGGTAGCAGGTGCTGGCGCTCAGTTTACAAAGGAAGGCCTTCTGCCTCACCACCTCTGTGGACCTGCAAACCGCCCTAAGGGGTGAGTGGGAAGTCCCCATCTTACAGAAGATGAAATTGAAACCCAGACAGGCGGAGACTCTCCCTGGAGGCCAGATGAATGAAGAGTCAGGAGGCTCAGCTCAACCTTGGGTGTCACCTGCCACCTGTACTGCTGTCCCTGGAGTGGCCCAGGATACTAGGATATGACACTGTCTCCCAGATCATGAGCAGGTTGAGTCAGGTATGAGGGAAGAGGAGCCAGCAGATGACACTGTCTAAACCCATCTGGTCATCTCAGGAAGGCAGAAGGGTTGGCCAGTCCAGCACAGACCTCGTGCATCCTGCATTTCAGAGGATCCTGTCTGTGATGCTCCTCTTCACGGCATTGGAGCTCAGTGTCGCTATCCTTTCTTCTGTCCTCTTGTGAAAAAAGACCTGTTCAGATGTCCTCAGGGTGAACCTGCTGTGCCCTGGGCTCTGGGGCCTGGGTGGTGGCACAGGGCATGGTCCTGGGGCCAATGGCAGGTGGTACTAAGGTCGACCCATGAATCTTGACCTTAGTCGAAGTCGACAGGTTTTGTTGAGTGAGGCAGCAGCCGGCAGAACAGGATGAGAGCAAGTGCCCAGGGTGGAGGAATCACAATAGGAAGCTATGGGACCAAAGAGAGCACATCACACATCTGCTCATTTAGCAAAGCAGGAAACAGGCTAAGGTGCAGAAGCCCTCTGGTCCCTGGAACCCTCAAGTTTTTATATTTGTGTATCCCTTGTCTTTTGTTTCAAGATATTTTTTAATTTCTCTGGTTTGATTTTTTGGAGATAAAAGGCCTTCCACTCAGCGTACAAGGCCTGTTCACTTGCTTTGTCCTCTCCAGAATGTGTTTCCTGACCCAAAGTGACACAGTGATCACCAGCATGCCCCAGGCAGCATTTGCTGACACCGTCCTGGAGATGAACAAGGAGTGCACCCTTAGTGTGGGGGCAGAGAGAGAGAGAGCACATTGTCTGCAGGAGTCAGCTGAATGATCTCACAGACCCCACCTGCTGGGCTCTTCCATTTTATCACAATTATTCCGCCTGTTCACGTGCAGAGAGAACACTTGGGGCAGATTTTAAGACCTTAGAGAGTAACTTGTTTACAAATAAAATATCTCTTTGATGATGTATTTGGATTCCATGTCATTTTGCCACATTTCTCTTAATTTACTGGACACCAACAATGATATAAAAGTTAAGATTTTAGGAAATGTAGAAAATTTCTAAATAAAAATCAAAAAAGAAAATAAAACAACAAAATGAAGAGCTGCCTGGGAGAGATGAACCCATGGTCCCCGTCTTCACGCTAAGATGCAAAAGAGCAGAGCTTCCAGCTTCCAACTGGAGCTCCCACACAAAATACTGGGGAAATCTTCCTCCTTCCAACAATGGTCTTCCTATTGATCCTGAGACCTTGCTGGCAACCAGCCGTGTCTCTGCCCCTCTTTCTGTGCTCTCGTGACTCATCCCAGCTTCTCTCTCTGTGCCCCTTTCTTGTTCCCCTCTGCCCATTTCTCTTTTTATCTGAATCCCCAGATGCCCCTGCACAATCTGAGTGTGCAGAGTGGCCCAGCCCTCCCTAGGAAGGGAAAGCACTGGCCCCTTGCTTGGAGAGAAGGCAGAGACTGCTCTCCCACAAGACTGTAGTGCCCTAAAACCCCCTGATCAGCTCACACCTTGTTTCCTGGTGGCCAGGCCAATGATGAGGTTCACCACAGCCTACCTCAGCCAGGGACCTTATGACTTAATAGGGGAAGAGCCACAGAATATAGCCACATATATGGGCAGAAGTCCTGAGATATCCATGGGGCTGGATACTAAAGGGTCTCCATTTCCAAGTAGAACCTAAGGTTAGATGAGAGAGGTTTATTATCAATGCAGGAGGATCCTCACAGGATACAGGATTTAACAGCCTAACAGGGATTCCAGAAGATAGTTCAAATCAGATTCAAGGTAAGCTCCTGTAAGTATGGAAAAAGTGACAACTCCCCACGAAAGACAGAGGTGAGAAGGCTCAGAGAAGTGGATATGCTGGGGTGGATACACTCTGTAAATCCAGAAAAATCTACCTGCTGCCTATTTTTCAATTGTTCAATTTGCCTGTTAAATCATCTGGGCCTGGTCATGCTAAATTTTTTTAACTACCAATTTTGATTTACTTAATGATTGTAAATCTGGTTTATCCATTTCTTCTGTTTTTTAATTCACTCTGCATTGATATTTATACTACAACTCTCCAAACACTATTTCACAAATCAAGCTTCTATAGCAAAAGTAGGAAAACGTTTTAAGAAATTTTATTTTACCTTGTCAATGACCAAAAACACACAAGACTGGCATCCTCACCCAATTTCTCTAGACTTTGTTTCTGGGATCATCAGCTATCACATGTTGTATTAGTCCGTTCTCACGCTGCTATAAGACAGCCTAAGACTGGGTAATTTATAAAGGAAAGAGGTTTAATTGACTCCCAGGTCTGCAGGGCTGGAGTGGCCCCAGAAAACTTACAATGCCAGCAGAAGGGGAAGCAAACACCTTCTTCTTTACATGGTGTCAGCAAGGAGAAGGGCAGAGTGAAAGGGGACAGGGGGAAGCCCCTTTTAAAAAACCATCAGATCTGATAACAATTCACTATCACAAGAACAGCATGGAGGCAACCTCCCCCATGGTTCAATTACTTCCCACCAGGTCCCTCCCACAACATGTGGGGATTATGGGAACAACAATTCAGGATGAGATTTGGGTGGGACACAGCCAAACCATATCACATGTCTTCAATTTCTGCCTCCTAAAAATGACATCTTTGCCAGGTGTGGTGGCGCACACCTGTAATCTCAGCAGTTTAGAAGGCTGAGGCAGGTGAATCACTTGAGGTCAGGAGTTTGAGACCAGCCTGACCAACATGGTGAAACCCCATCTCTACTAAAAACACAAAAAACTTAGCCTGGTATGGTGGTGTGCACCTGTAGTCCCAGCTACTCAGGAGGCTGAGGCAGGAGAATTGCTTGAACCCAGGAGATAGAGGTTGCAGTGAGCTGATATCACATCACTGCACTCCAGCCTGGGTGACACAGCGAGACTCCATCTCAAAAAACAAAACAAAACAAAAAAATGACATGCTCAACCTTGGTCTTTCCTCAACTGTCAACTCTGAGTGCTAAGAACCTAAAAGATATCTCTGCTTTACTGCACAGCAAGGTCTTTGTTGTGAGTTGGGTTGTGTCCTCTCAAAATTTGTATATTGAAGTTCTAACCCCCAGTATCTCAGAATGTGACTTTCTTTGGAAATAGTGTCTTTATAGAATTAAAATGAGATCATTAGGGTGGGCCCTAAGAGGATATTAGGGCACGGACACTCACAGAGGGACAACTGTGTGAAGACACAGGGAGAAGACAGTTATCTACAAACCAACAAGAGAGGCCTCAGAAGAAATCAACACTGCGGACACCTTAATGTCAGAATTTTGGCCTCCAGGACTATGAGAAAATAAATTTTTCTTGTTGAAGCTTCCCAGTCTGTGATACTTCGCTATTGCAGCTCTAGCAGACTAATACACCCTTCAAATTCACCAGGGCCAAATTGAACCCACCATTCTCCTCTAAAAATTTCTTTTGCTTTCACCATTTTGTTTAAGGTCCTCACTCTTCCCATCACTCAAACTCTGAAAGTTCTTTTCCCATAGTGAAAAGGCCTAATGAAGGTGTTTCCCCATGGATTCTTTCCTTTTAGTTCTGTCTTGTGGACTGCAGCTGACTCAGCCCTGAGGGTGCCCTTGATGTCCCCGCTCAATTAGCATCTCTACCATTTCACCATTGCTTGCATGAGACAGTCGAAGGGTCATGAAAGCTTCTGTGATCTGGAAGACGTATTCTATAACAGTAGCGTTTCACAGCAGAAGCCAGACTTGCAACATTGCAAAGATCATGGGATTTGGAAGCAGAAAACCTGAGTTTCTATTTGGACTCTGCCACTTACCAAGTGTAGAACTTTTGGAAAAACCTTGGAAAGTCTTCCTATCTCCATTATGGATCAAGAGTGTGACCTTGGTTCACCCTCTCACCATTCTTTCCTTAATTTTTTTTTCTTATAAATAATAGCTTCCACCTTCCACCCTGCAGAGCAATTGTAAACTTCATAACACATGCGAAGCGCTTGACTCAAAAAACAGGAAGCACTAAGGACTGTTAATTTAACTGGCATCTCATTACTTTTATAAGAAAGCCTAGCATAAAGAAAAGGTGTGTCCACTGTTATGGGTTGAATTGTGCCCTCCCAAGAAAGATACATTGAAGCTCTACTCCCCAAACCTCAGAATGTGCCCTTATTTGGAAATAGCAGCATTGCAGATGTCATTAGTTAAGACAAAGTTATACTAGAGTAGAGCAGGCCCTAATCCAATACGGCAGGTGTCTTTACGAAAAGATAGCATGTGAAGACACAAACATACAAAGAGAAGGCAACCATGTGGTGACAAGAGGAGAGACTGGAGTGATGCTCCTGCAAGCCAAGATTGCTGGCAAACCACCAGAAGTTAGGAAGAGGCAAGGTAGGATTCCCTTACAGGTTTCAGAGGGAGGGTAGCCAGCTGACACTTTAGACTGCTAACCTCCAGAGTTATGAGACAATAAGTTCCTGTTGTTTGAAGCCGCCCAGTTTGTGGTACATTGTTGCAGCAGCCCTAGGAAACTGATACATCTACACAATGCAATGTCCTTCAGCCATAAAAAGGAATGAAACACTGACATTGGCTATCATGTGGATGAAATGTGAAAACAGCATGTTCAGTGAAAGAAGCCAGGCACAGAAGACCACATATTATATAATTCCATGTATGTAAAGTGTCCAGAATAGGTGAATCCATACAGACTAAACACAGATTAATGGTTGCCAGGGGCTGCAGGAGGGGAGAATAGGAACTGACGGCTAATGAGTATAAGCTTTCTCTTAAGGGTGATATAAGTGATCTGGAATTAGATAGCAATGATAGTTCCAAATCTTGTGAATATATTTAAAATTAAATTGTGTAACTTAAAATGGTGAATTTTATGTGGAATAATAGCAATAAAATTCAATAGAATAAAACAAAATGAACGACATGAAGCCCAACACCTCACTGGAACATGCAAAACCCTTCCTTTATTCTCTGGTGGATCCCATTTCTCGCCATTGTTCAGTGCTCTCTATGCCCCACCATGCTGTCCTACTCTCTTCATCCTCTGCCTTCTCCCATGCTGTCTGCCTACCTATAGTCCCTCTTTCCCCACGCCCTGTTTTGTTCCTGTGCTGCCCCTTTCTCACCCTGTACTCTTTCACTTTGAAGTCACTGCCCCAGAACCTTCTCTTTCACTCCACGATTGGGTTGTGTTGACCCACTTGCACATCATATGTTTCTGAGGGCAGAAATGTTGGCCCATAATTACAGTTGTCTGGTTATGTCTCTGTCTCCCTCACTAACATGCAAGCCCTACAGAAGCAGGAGCTGTGTCCAGCATGTTCACCAGGGTATCTTCCAAGTGTATCACATGATACTAGGTGCTCCGTAGACACCTGCTCAATGTCATATAGGTTCTTGGTCTTCTCTTCCAAATAAGGTAGAATAGTTATTTTTCATTTTACAGGTGAGAACATTCAAGTTGAAAGAAATGAAGAGAATATTTGATGTCCCGCAATACAGGGGAAAGCCGTTACTGCATCCCAGGAATGTTTGACCATAAAGCCCTTCCTTGCCCACTAGGCCAGGTATGTCCCATCATAGAGCCCCTCACCCCACTTGCAGGTTACCCTTCCAAAGTGCTGTTCCAAAAGAGCTCACCGAGACAAGGTGATATTGGAGAAGTGATAGACACATAGATCTATGGAAGACATTGGGAAGCTTGGGAATAAACCCACACAATTATAGCTAATTATTGACAAAGGAACAGCAGCAATTCAACAGAGAAAGGAAGGTCTTTTCAACAGTGTTAAAACAATTGGACAGTCTTTTTTTATTTTTTAGTTTTTGGTTTTGTTTTTGTTTTTAAGACGGAGTCTTGCTCTGTCATCCAGGCTGGAGTGCAGTGGCAATCTCGGTTCACTGCAACCTCCGCCTCCTGGGTTCAAGCAATTCTCTGCCTCAGCGTCCCAAGTAGCTGGGATTACAGGCGCCTGCCACCAGGCCCGGCTAATTTTTTGGATTTTTAGTAGAGATGGGGTTTCACCATCTTGGCCAGTCTGGTCTTGAACTCCTGACCTCGTGATCCACCAGCCTCGGCCTCCCAAAGTGCTGGGATTACAGGCGTGAGCCACGGCACCCAGTCAACAATTGGACAGTCTTATCCAGAATAATGAATCTTGATCTAAACCTCCTAATTTACATGTAACAAATTGCATTAGTTACAATATTAACTCAAAATGGATCGTAGATCTAAGCATAAAATATATAAATATATAATGCTTAGACTAAAACATAGGAGAAAAAATTTTTCCAATCTAGTTAGGCAAAGAGTTCATAGATGTGACACTGAAAGCAAAGTATAGCAAAAGGCAAAAATAAATTCAATAAGTTGTACTTCATCAAAATTATAACTTTTGTTCTGTAAAATACATTGTTAAGTGAATGAAAAGATGAGCTGTAGATTTGGAGAAAATATTTTAAAAAAGCACACGTCTGACAAGGACTCATATTCAGAACACTTAAGAATGCTCAAGCCAACCCAATTAAAACAATCAATTCAATTCAAAAACAAGAAAACAAAACCAGTTTCAGAAATGAGACAAAGACTCAGACATAAACTTCAGCAACGAGGGCACGCAGCAGGCAGAGCAGCCCAGACAAGGTACTCAATACTATGACTCACTAGGGGACTACAAATCAAAACCACAGTGAGATCCTGTTACACACCCATTAGAATGTCTAAAATAAAAACCACAAACACTAGTAGTGCCGGCGAGGATGTGGAGCAACAGGACTAACACATCGCTGCCAGGAAAGCAAAATGGCACAGCTGCACTGGAAAGCAATTTGTTTCTTGTAAGTTTACACATATACTTACCACGGGAACCAGCAATCTCAGCCCTGGTATTTCTCCTAAAGACATAAAAGCTTATGTCCACACAGACACCCGTACACAAACTGTTATAAAAGCTCCAGTCATAATAGGCAAAACCCAGAAGCAAACTAAATGTCCTTTAACAGGTGAACATGTAAACAAACTATGGTGCATCCATACAATGGAGTACTGTTCAGCAAAAAAAAAAAAAATACTACACTGTATACACACACAGGTACACACACATATATCTCCTAATGTTAGCAGAATTTTTTTAATGTGTAATACAGCATTGTTTACTATAGGTAGGATGTTATGCATCGAATCTCTAGAATTTAATCATCTTCCATACCCGAAATTTTACACAAGCTGAAAAGCAACTCCTCATGTCCCTCTTCTCACCTCCCAGTAACCCCCATTCTACATTCTGCTTCTATGAGTTTAACTATTTTAGGTACTTTATCTCAGTGGAATTATACAGTATATGTCTTTTTGTGACTGGCTTGTCTCACTTAGCACAGCGTCTTCCAGGTTCATCCATGTTGCAAATGGCAGGATTTCCTTCTTTTGCATGGCTGGATAATATTCCATTGTGAGGATAGCCTCCATTTCCTTTCATCTCTCAATGGACATGAGGTTGTTTCCACATGGCTGTGTGGGAGCAAGGGGGTTTCTTAGCCACTGGAGCGTCCCATTGGGATGGGGCACTGGTGGTGACCCCTAAGCAGGGATGTGCCCTAATGGACTTGCATCTGATAGGGTCTCCAGGCCACTATGGCCCCATGCCTGGGTGAGGTTAAGAGTTAAAGAGTAGAAAACAGGAGGCCAGTGAGGGGGCATTTTTGGGCCCATGGGAAGGTTTCTGAGGAGATGGAAGGGCTGCAGGTATAGGTTCCCAATATGTCCCCACCCCAGTTCAATTTCAATGACCAAGGGAGATAGCAGAGGTAAAGAAAACAGATAAGAGGGGGTCACCTGACACCTGGTGGACAGAAGCTGACATCCAAGAGGTGATTCCACCCACCTCCCTCCTGAGCTTCCTCCTTCCTCAGGTCCAGTTAGGCAGGGGACCTGGTCAGTGGTGCCTAGTCACCTGCCACTGTGTGACCTCAGACAGGAGATTTGTCCTGGGAGCCTCCTTCCCTTCATCTATAAAAGGGGAATGGACACAGCAGCCCAGAAGGCTTCGAGGAGGAGGAGGACGTGAGAAGGTGTGCTGAATCCTGCCCTGCTGAGCATGTAGGCCTAAAATTTTACACACAAACTGAGTCCCTATGAGGAAAGGGCAAGCCCTCTGCCCTCTGCCCTTCCTATGTCTGCATATCCAGAACTGCCTCAGGTGGAGAGGGCAGAGACTAGGGAGCACCCATAGATGCTCTGATGCTGGCCACAGCCCTTGGGGGTGACAGTGATGAGGACCTGGGTGCACATGTGGTGGAGCAGCCAAGACCAGCCAGAGAAGAGACACACTCATGCACACACGTGTTCACAACATACACATTCACACTCACACACAAACACATTGAATGCATGCGTGTTGACAGTTCAAGGAGTAGAGGACACTGGACCTGGGCCCTGCTGACCCAGGCAGGGCCCCACTCTGATGGGTGCTGTAACCCCAGACGTCACTGTTGCTGAACATCTGCCTGCCTCTGAGTTGTGGAGCAGCTGGAGACACACAGTGGTGTCTGTGAGTGTCTCTGTGTGCAGGACCCTTTTCTAAGTGAGAGGCACATCTCAGCACAGCTGACTGATCATTCTCGGGTAAGTGTGACCTGCTGTCTCCCCTTCCTGCTGACATGGGGGCAGATGCTACCAGATGGCATCACTGGCCTCCGGGGCGCTGTGGAGGGTAATGTCGCTGAGCTCCCACCAGGTGCTTTCTCTTCACTGACCATGTATTGCAGCCGTCTCATTCACCCTCACACTGACTTCGTGGAATGGGTGCTAATGTACCCATTTGAAGATGAGATGCCTGAGGTCAGAGCGGAGGCAACTGACCCAGGGACCCAGATGTGACTCTGGACTGTGATCTCAGCCCTGCCTTGTGCTGTCCTGCACTCAACTCCTGACCTCTGCAGCCTTCCTGCCTTAGATACAAAATCTGCTGAGGATTCTGGACCCCAGTGGGGGTAGAACCTGGCTCTGGAAGAGCCACAGGAATGGGGGGCCCTGTGGGTGGGGTTAGAGGCATCCCTCAGTCCAAGTCTGTGCAAGAAAAAGTTCCCCAGAGGCAGGGATCTTATCCATTCAGACTTTAAGTGTGGGCTCTGATGGTTACTGTGGGACCCACCAGGCACTGGAGTTTTCCAGTTTGGGAGCAGAGCTGGGAGCCCTCTGCCCTCGAATAGTTGTGGAAAATGAAGAAACCCTGGAGGTCTGGCCGAAAGGTGACAGTCATTCCTCCTGTTCTCTGAGGCCTGGGGACAGGGGTTTAACCTGCAAGGCCCTCTCTCTGACCTGTCCTCCAGACGTATCACCTTCCCTTTGTCTCAGGTATTCCCAGGAGAGATGGCCCCTCTGGGTGTTCTCCAGAACCTGTCCCCAAGAGTTCACTTGTTCTTTGGTGACCTGGGAAAACAAAGCCTCTTCCTGTATCAACTGCTCAGGACTGTGGAATCTGCCCTCCCTCCACCAAAGGGAGGCTGCTTTGGAGACAATAGATCAAGCCTTCTCCGAACCAAACATCCTCCTTCTTGACTGGTGTTATTCTTCAAATGGATTCACTGGCCACAGTGAGTAAAGATTTGAGTGGAACAGAACACTCATGAGATTTCTTCTTTCCTATAGAAAACTGGGCATCTTCATGGTGTCTGAACAATAGCAGGAGGCTGATCATATAGAGATTTCTGGTTCCTGGCCCTAGTCTGCCTCCAGGTGTCCATTATAGTCATCATGGCCCTTCACCCTGAGCAGGTAGATGCCGTTCATCCTGCTGTGGAGTGTGTGCCCATTTCAGGACATTTAGGGACAACAAGTCTTGTTGTCTAGGTCTCCTTGTTTTAAAGTCCTCAGGAAAGGGCCCACCTCTGGTCAGGCCCAGGGACTCCAGAAGTCCTGGCAGAGGTGGGGCCATTTGGCTTGGTCCCATTGTCCTGGGGGTGTTGGTGAAATGAAGTTCACCCGGCTGGCATCTGGGAGCAGATGTATGGGGTGTTCTCTAAAGCTCTCAGGTGCCATGTAATTTTGGGAGTATTTTGTCTTATAGGGTGGATATGGACAAAGACATGGATATCCTGCTCGCCCAGGAGTAAAGGGACATCATTGCCAAGTATAAGCAGACACAGGTCAGGCTGCTCCCTCCAGGGAGGCGGGTCTCACCTCTCCCTCTGTTCCCTGGTCTGATGGTCCTGGACTCCTTCGGGATGCAGGGCAAGGATGAGCTGCCCACACGCCCATACCCAACAACTTTTATTTTGGCCTCCCTCACCCTCTCTCCCTCTGCCTTGCAGGTTGCTGATCCAGGGCACCAGTGGACACAGGAGATGAAGATGTTTACATCTACAAGGTCATCAGTCAGCTTGAGATTCCACAGTGAGTCAGTCTTCTGTCCTCCCAACCAATTGCCAAGACCAGCTCGGTCGTGGAGACCCTAACCCAGTGGCGCTAGAGGAATTAAAGACACAGACACAGAAATAGAGTGTAGAGTGGGAATCAGGGGCTGATAGCCTTCAGAGCTGAGAGCCATGAATGGAGTTAGACCCACATATTAATTGACAGTAAGCCAGTGATAAGCATTGCTTCTATAGATTATATATTAGCTAAAAGCATTCCTTATGGGAAACAAAGCATTCTTAGCGAGGAGCAGAGAAACAGGCCCTGGCTGATATCTGCAGCAAAAGCATGTTGTTAAGGCAAAAAAGCATGTTGTTAAGGAATCCCCCTGCAGATGTGGAGTCAGGCATGGTCACTCCTGCTGGACGTTAAGAAGGTGAAGGCTGAAAACCCAAGTAAGTACCAGGTATGGTCCTTCCACACTCAGCCACAGCGGAAGAAACAGGCCAGGCCATGTCAGGAGCCCGGGTCTCTAGCTAGAGGAAAAGTCAAGCCTGAGTGATGGTCAGTCCCATATCCTAGGCACAGACGATGGCATGGGAACCACAAGTGAACTGGGCTCTGGTGACCCTCAGTGGCTTTGGAAATAAGATAGAGAAGGATATTTCTGCAAAAAAAAAAAAAAAAAAAAAAATCTTCTTTCCTTCCAGAAGTGCTGAATGATTGCTGTTTGTGGTAGTGAGCCTTTTGTCTGTTATGAGGCTGGTTCCTTCCTGAGGAACCAGCCCTTTAGCCCTGCCCTAAAGAAAATAAAGGAGCAGGGCTCCTATACAGGGCTCTCACTGTAAAGCAACTGCGGGAGAGTGAGCCCCAGGGAAGGACCAGCCCCATCCTCATCCACCACAGGTTATCAGTCCAGGTGGCCACTTAGGGAAGGGAAGAGGGTCTTTCTATGGGCTCACACTCAGGAGGGCCTAGGATTTGGGAGCAGAGGGAGCAGAAAATAAAGCAGCAGGGCAAGATGTCCTCAGCGAAAATAAACCAGATTGACCTGGACATGAAGTGCACCTTCAGACACCATGTCATGTTTTGGGAGCACTACAGAGTCAGGTAAGGCCTATGGGGGATGGAGGGTCCCAGGGGAGACGGAGGAATTCAGAGGAATAGGGGCATCCCATGCAGGAGTCCAAGATAGGACGTGACAGAGCCCCCCAAGGGCTCTCTTGGCCAGGGAGCAGCCAGCATCACAGAGCATCTACTGAGCTCCAAACCATGGGCCGAGCTGGGGCATGTGGGTCCAGAACCCAAGTGGCTACTGAGGAAACAAGCGGTAGCAAACACAATCATGCTGCATGGTGAAAAGTTCTCTCTATGACCCACAAGTACCTGAGGTAGAGACCCACAAGAGGGGCTCAGACTTCACAGGCAACACTGACAACACCAAACACCATAGAGGATGTGGAGCCACAAGAACTCTGTGCATTGCTGCTGCAAAATGCTGCTGCTGCTGAATGCAAAATGGTACAGCCGCCTTGGAAGACAGTTGGGAATTGCTCACAAAGCTAAATGTACTTGTACCACGTGACCACAAGTGTCATAGACGTTGACCTAGCTGACTTGAAAATGTATGTACACCTAAAACCTACATGTCACATTCACTGCCTTATTCATTATCACTAAAACCTAGAAGCTACTGAGATGACCTTCAACACAGGTCCCAGGGGAGATGGAGGAATTCAGGGGAATGGGCGCATCCCATGAAATGAGGTTATACCTGTTTGGTATAATAAAATTACAGGTTAAATCTATAAATATAAATTATAATTATAGATTATTAGGTTACATTTATTTGGTATAATAAAATTATACAGTAGGTATTGTCAAATATGAAATTAATATCTAATGATTGTATTATACCAAATAAGGCAAATATGTGTCTTTTGGACTTAAGGGGACCTAATATCAAAAAAATTAATGAGTCAAAAGGACTGAATTTAGAATTTAATTTTGAAAAAATCAAATATCAAAACTTTAAAACACCTGCTATCACAAAATAGGATCATTGGTCATTGGTCATTGTAAAATAAGTCATTCATTTAACCAAAGTGATAACTCAAAGATTTCAAAAAAAAAAAAGTCAAAAGACAAAACCATTACTCTTTGAGAGAGGAGACTTAATTTTCCAAACAATAAGCCCTAATAAAGATAGCATGAGGCCAATGAAATCTGTTTCTCAAATCTTATAAACAAATCTATTAAATTTTAATGATCTTCACCATACTATATAATTTCCAAAAACCTTTTTGTAACATTTTATAATTTTTTAAATGAAAAAGTGGGTTAATACTCCAAGAAAACCTTGTTAATCTGACACAGGAGCTCAGAGGTTAGTCTTGCATCAGTGAGCCTTTGATACTAATCTTTACAGAGAAACTGTAACCAAGATAAAACCAATTTTATCTTTCAAAATAGGCTCTTACAATCGCATGTACCCACATCTTCCACAATAGCCCCTGGACTTTGAGGGGTAAGATAGTTTCAATTTCTGGCCCTGTGTTTCATGAGTGCAGTTTCTTTTGATTATCATCTTCTCCTGGTTCTGAAGATACGGTTTTAGAAGCTTTCAGTGTTTAAGATTTAGCAGGACTTGGTGTCCTTTTTAGATACAGGAGTCAAAGCCCTGTAACTCAACAGAACAAGGACTTTAAAAGCAATACAGAACATTGTATGGATGTTAATAACTTTAATTTTTTAAATCTCAGTTTTCCTAGGCAAATAAAAAACTTAATGACATAGGAATTGTTTCAATAAAATATAAAATCTGTTTGTTAGGCCAGTTACCAAAAGGCAAAAAATAAATAAAAGACCTGCAGCAATTGCTTTTCCCTAGACTTCAAGTCAAAACTAATGAAAATGGTACTTGAATTAGTTAGATATAGGAAGGGTGTGTCTTGCATCATAAGTGAAAATTTTCAGTTTCATAGAAAAACTTCAAACCAAGAGCACAGAATGTTATATTGGAAGAAAATATTTCCTTTAGACCTTTAAGATAAAACACTTTTAGCATCATGTCACAGTAGCAGTTAGAACCTGAGGAAAAAAAATTATAGAAACTGACAAGAAAGTTGGAGAGAGCGATTATCTCAGGACTTATGAAGGGGAGAGAAAGGTGAAAACAGTGAGATTCAATAAAAGTTGAAATCTGGGGTAAAAAAATTAAAATATCTTGTAATTTGTTAAGAGTAAATTAATATCTTAAGAAAATTTTGTTCTTCTAGCCCATTCTTGAGTGGATTAGCATATTTTTAATATACAGTAAGTGCAAAAGCACAGTCTCTAGAAAGACTAATTTCCTTTTAATTATAGCCAACTTGATCAAATAAATTCTTTTCTCATAAAGTCTCTTTTTACAAACCTTACTATGACTTACACAAGCCACTTATGACATGCCTAGACTTCCTGTTTTATCCTAAACAGCCTTCTTTCCTAAATAACCAATCATTTTATCTTCTTTTTCTTTTTTTTAAGATTTCTTTGTTGTTGCTGCTGTTGTTGCTGCTGTTGTTTCCTTGAGACAAGGTCTCTCTCTCTGTGTCACCCAGGCTGGGGTGTAGTGGCATGATCACAGCTCACTGCAGCCTTGACCCACCCAGGCTCAAGCAATCCTCCCATTTCAACCTCCCAGGTAGCTGGGACTATAGATGTGCACCAGCATACTCAGTTAATTTTCTGTGTTTTTTGTATAGACAGGGTTTTACCATGTTGCCCAGGCTGGTCTGGAACTCCCAGGCTCAAGCAATCTGCTCACCTCAGCCTTACAAAGTGCTAGGATTACATGCATGAGCTATTTGCATCCAGCCATTTTATTTTAGAACAAACATTTACCATGCAAGATTTTTTTCTCATATAAAATTTTCCTTTTAACCTTTCTTACCAAAAATATCTCTTTATATTTTTAACTGTCTTTATATCGCTCTTATTTAGTGGTTCCTTTTATCTTGTTTCATAACCTTTAAATAACCTTTGAATTCAACAAAAATTATTTTCCTTTAAATAAGAACATATTCTTAGCAAAATGTTTTTCTGTAATTTTTTTAATTGTGAATGACCCAGACATTTAATAAATGCCTGTTATGTAATATAACTTTAGATTCTAAATTATATTATGCTTATTTACAAGCATTCCTTCCATTACATTTACCTAAGTTATTTTTAATAGTTTACCTAGATTACTTATGAAAACTGTGATAATCAACATTTAAAGGTATTTTCCTGTTAATCATTTATATAGCCTGTGAATTTCAGGTGTTTACCTAAGTAAGAAGCTTAAGGTTAAACAAATGAGTTTTTCGCCAATAACTCAGGATAAATGACTTATTTATCAAAAAAAATTACACAAGGATAATTATCTTTTGAGTTACATTTATAATTTTATAACCGTCATGCCAAATTTTGACACCTTATGTATATTAGCATTTAATCAAGCTGACTTTTAACCACTGAGCTTTAAAAATCCTTTAAAATCTCATTGCTGTAACCGAGTACACCCATTTTCCTGAGACATCAATTATTATTTTTTTTCTTTCCTTTTCTTGTTCCTTCAGTTCCCCACTCCCTACTTAGGCTTTTAGGAATGCAAATATAGCCTTTTACCTCCCCATTACCGGACTCTCCCTACAGTGCAAGTTCATCTAACTACACGCTCAAACTGGAAAGTCAACTTGAGAATTAACAGTTGATTTATAAACCAATCATGCCCACTGTGGAACTCTCACTCTTTAGGAGGTTGTCTCAAGAGATAACAGCCTGCCCATGAAGGTGCCAGCAGTCACAAGCTGATTGCCCCGTAGATAAGGCACAAGAGCTAGCATGGACCCCCCGCCACCACCCTTGCTCACTTCCTCCCCTGCTTTTTAAAAGTGAAGCCATATGGAGGACACCTGCATTTCTTCCCCTAAGCTAGTTTTGGAAATAAATTACTTTCTTTATACCAGACTTCACTTTTGTTAATTGGACTCTGCAAGCAACAAGCGACTAACCTGCATTTTGGTTACATTACCATGTTTTAGGTGGGACAAACTTCTAATATTTCAAATGTAACACAAATATCAAACCAGTAAAGACTTTATTTAGGAACCAAACCCAGGCTGCCATGGTGGAAAAAGGGCAGAACCTTAGCTACTGAACTACAGCATGGGGCAACCACTATTGCTATTTCAGTTTGGCTTGGCTAGCAAAGGGTTGTTTTGTTATGTAAATAAAGCCCTTCAGGTAATTGAAATCTTTCTTGTTTCGATGGCTGATTTTTCTTTTTTTTCTCTTTGTTTTTCCAGCTTCAGGAATTTAGCCAGTTCAGAGGTCTTGTTCCCCATAATTTAGAACTTTCCTTCAGGTTTGACCAAGTCAACTAGAGTGGTCAAACCCAATGGAAAAAAGACTAAAACAACAAAAACGGAACCAAACAAATAAACAACAACAAAAAAGTAAAGCAAAACAAATGATTGCACAATTTATAAGATTACTGAGCACTCTAATGGTAAGGAGGAATCAAGACCAGCTGGTAGTTAATCTTAACTTTCAGAGAATTTCCAAGACAAACCCCATTTCAGCTACTTATGTAGGAATAAGGCCCAGGTTGAAGATTGCTCTCTATCATCCTAGAAGCAGGAAAAAACTCAAAACTCATCTTCCCTGTTGGAAGCAAGCTGAAACTCTGGAAAGGAGTTGCCTGCTTTCCATTATCATGGATTCAGAAAAACTCATCTTTTTGGATGCAAGTAAAACTCTAGAAAAGGAGTTGAACAGCAAAATAAACCTTAGATCTCAACAACATTTTGAGAAATCAGGGATTCTCTGGAGATGATACCTCCCAGGCCTCAGCAAATCGTCCTGTTGGTTTTGTTACTGGCAGCAAATCCATATGGGTCTGCAGCAATCTCAATTCTTGCCTTCTCAGAAGAAAGAATTCGACTGAGGGGCATACGGCAGAGTGAAAGATTGAGGCAAGTTTTAGAGCCAAGAGTGAAAATTTATTAAAAAGCTTTAGAGCAGGAACTGAAGAAAGTAAAGTCCACTTGAAAGAGGGCCGAGTGGGTGACTTGAGAGATCAAGTTCATGGTTTGATCTTTGACTTGGGGTTTCATACATTGGCATGCCTCTTGGGGCGGGGGAGTGGTTTGCATCTCTTCTCCCTTGATTTTTCCCTTGGGGTGGGCTGTCCACGTGCACAGTGGCCTGCCAGCACTTGGAAGGGGCAACATACACATTGTGTTTACCAAAATTGTACACATGCTCACTTAAGGCATTCTTCCCTTACCAGCCGAGTGTTCCTGGAGAAAGGTTATATACTGGTTCAACTCTGCCATTTTGCCTGTTAGTGCACATGCTTAAGTCCACTAGCCCACCTCCTGAGATCTTATTGGGAAGCTGCTGATTACCAACTTGAGGTGTTTCTATTGGGAGGCTGCCTTTCCCTGGCACCGGCTGCAGCCAATTATTATTTTCAAGAGGCAGTTTAACAACTTCCTGACCACCATCTGATGGTTGCCTGACATTCCTGGGCGAGGGTCCCTCTCCTGACCTATTCATGTCTGACTAATTACCTATTGTAACAGTTTGAACAATAAAGATAGCTCAAGGCCAGACATGGTGGTTCATGCCTGTAATCCCCGCTCTTTGGGAGGCCTTGCAAGGCCAGAGGATTTCTTGAGCCCAGGAGTTCAAGACCAGCCTGGGCAACAAGGCAAAACCCTGTCTCTATGAAAATTACAAAAATTAGCCCGGTGTGGTGGCACAAGCCTGTAGTCCCAGCTACTCAGGAGGCTGAGGTGGAAGGATCACCTGAGCCCGGGAGGTGGAGGCTACAGTGAGCAGGGATCGTGCCACTGCACTTCAACCTGGGTGACAGAGTGAAACACTGTCTCAAAATTAAAACAGATAAAATAAAAATATAGCTCATACTGGTACCATGCACAAGTAGATTTGTCAAAGGTCAGGGCCACCTTCACTCAGAGTCTCTTCCGTTGGTTGCCAACTTGTAAACGAAAAAGTATGTCAGATAGGTCTCAATCAGTTTAGAATTTTCATTTTGCCAAGGTTAAGGACGCACCCAGGAAACAGGTATATGTACCTTTCTCAAAGATGATTGTGAGGGCTTCAATATTTAAAGGTGAGAAGTGGGCTAGATGGGAAAGAGGGTGTGGTTATCCACATGTTGCAAGAGAAAAGGAGTAGGCAGGAAAACAGTCAATTATGGATTCATCTCACACTCAGTAATAGGCCCTTTACATAAGGTGAACATAAGACTAGCTACTTGAGGAGCTATTTAACCTTCTATCTGTAGCTATCTGCTGAGGAACAAAAGGAAAGACAGTTTTTTGCATGACTCAGCTTTCAGCTTAATTTTTTCCATTTGGCATAGTGAATTGGAGTCCTGAGTTTTATTTTCCTTTCCCACCTCAAACCCCACAAGCTTTGCGTTGTTGCAGATTGTCCCTCTCAGAATATTTTACAAGATGGTGAAGTGCCTAATGAACATTTCTTTTGTCATAAAGTGAGTTTGGATCCTGAAGAAGCCATCATCTTAATCAGGCTTTGGGATCAAAGTTCCCCTTCACCCGAACCCTGAACAGCACAGCAGACAGGGAAGGACTTACTGAGATGGCTGCTCCCACTCTCCAGCCCCCACTTTCCTGACCATTCCTGGCAGGAAGAGCTGCTGAGCAGACTCCATGGGCTGCCCACACAGGGTCTGGACCTAGCTGTCTTCCTGTGCCCAGCAGCCTGTGAGCCATCCCAGTCCCCTATGTGCAGTGGTCAGCACCCACAAGCCAGCCTTCATAGGGATTCAGTTCATGGGTGTTGCCCTGAGCCTGGCACAGTGGCCTCCCCAGCTTAGCATCTGCAGTTCGGGTCAGGGTGTTCTTAACGGCCCTCACCTATGCCTTTTCTGGCCACACATGAGTTTGGATGAAGCAGGAGTCTCTTCCATAGCTCCTTTTCATCTGAGATGTCCATGACTGGCTCAAGTGAACCACAGTGTCAGGAGAGGGGCACGGAAGCTGCACCCTAAATTCCCCGGGACCTGTGGCAGGCCTTCCTGGTGACCTCTGCCTTCTCAGGTGACTTCTGCCCTCCTGGGTGACATTAGTTCTCCCCTCTCAAGTGATCTGTGCCCTCCTAGGTTACCTCAGCTCTCCCAGGTGACCTCTGCCTTTCCAGATGACTTCAGTCTTTTCAGGTGACCTCAGCCCTCCTAAGTGACATTAGTCCTCCCTGGTTATCTCTGCCCTCCCTGGTGAACTCAGGTCTTCCAGGGGACCTCTGCTTTCCCAGATGATCTCTGCCTTCTCAGGTGACATTAGTCCTCCTAGGGGATATTAACTCTCCCAAGTGACCTCTTCCCTTCCAAGTGACCTGTTTCCTCAGGTGACCTCAGCTCTGCCAGGGGACTTCTGCCTTTCCAGGTAACCTCTGCCCTCTTGGTGACATAGTGTGCTCAGGTGACATTAGCCCTCTCAGGTGACCTCAACCCTCCAAGGTGACGTCAGCCTTGGTGAAGTCTTTCCATGATGACTTTGGCTTTTGCCAGAGGTAGGCTACTGCGGGGGCATAAGCCATATCATGCCATGAGCCACTATCCTGCTCATGTTCCAGAATGAGGAGACATCTGGGTGCTGGCCCAGCTGCTGGCCAATGAGAGGCTTGCCAAGCATGGTACTCTCCAAGGTGACCTCTGCCCTCTCAGGTGACACAGTCCTCCCATGTGACATTAGCTCACAGTGGACAGCTACCCACGAGGCATCACACAGCCAGGACAGGGGACGGCCACACTGGCTGGGTAATTGTGACTTACAGACAAGGCACCTTCTGTCCCCTGCTCATTTTGAGCCTCCAGGGTATCCCCTGCTGAGAGTCCCACAGGAGCCTGTGACTGGCCAGGGACCTGACACCCCAAGTCAGATGCCTCTTGTCCCCATCAGCAAATGGGATCACAGCTGCCCTGTGACCACCTTCTGCATCCTGGTGTCACAACCTTCTGGCCCTGACCTTATGCAGGGGACTCTTACAACCCTGCTGGTCCTTCCACCTCCCAGCTGGCCACCCTCCCAACCACCCTCCCTGCCCATGGCTAGACCAAGCCCAGATGACAGCTTCTCTCTGTCCTGTGTCCCCTGCCCTGACCCCACATCCAGGAGAAGGCCACACACCCTCCAGCACCCCTGGTCACCCCACCAGCTCCCACCTGTCCTCACTGCTTCAAAGGCAGGCCTGCCCTTCTGGAGCCATGGCCCTGGAAGCCACTAAGCAGTGCCTCCAGCCAGGCCCCAGGGGCATTCCCACCCCTCCTCTCCTGGCCGAGACCACATGATGGGGTCACTGGATGGGACAGTGAAAGGCCTTGGGGTCTGGAAGCAACCACCACTGCCCAACTGCCACTGCCCAACCGCTGCTGCCCAACTGCCACTGCCCAACTGCCACTGCCCAGCCTGATGGCTCCACATCTCAGGAGTAGGCTCTGATTCCTTGGGGCCCCAGGAGCCTCTCAGGAGTCTACATCCCAAGATGTTCTAACTTCCAGAGTCTCCAAGCCCATCAAGAGCAAGTTTTGCTAAAAGTGTTCTGAGAGCTTATGAAGCACATGGTGAGTGGTCAGTCCCTCAGCTCTTCCCCAGAGGCCCTGGGTCCCATGGGGTTAGCAGGGACAGGGGAAGCCTGGGGCTGGTGAGAGGCCAACTTCCAGCCAGGGCTTGATCTGGTTTTCAATGGATTCAAAGTTTGGCCTCCTTTTCCTTACCTGGAGGGGACAGAGGCACTGGGACCAGGCCAAGCTCTGGCTGAGCCAGGGCTAGGGGAAGTACATCCACTGGGGGCCCATGCCATGGGGAGGTGTTGGGGCACAGCCACCACTGTTCTACCTCTTGGGGAAGGGTCTGCAGTGGGGTCTGGAATACAGAGGTTTTCACGGAAGCCCAGGGGACCCTGAACACTTCTATTCCTTCTATCAGGACAAGGAAGGGTTGTGCATCCGGCTTTCCACCTTAAACTGGTTTCTATGGTGCTTCATCGATGAGATAAGGATGCATAGGAGACCCCAGGCCAGGTACCTCCTTTCCCCACAGTGCTCAGCTCCCCCAGCCCAGGGGTCTGGCTTCCCCAGGAGGACCCAGCTCACCCCCACCCCACAGGAGGCACAGGCAGGTCTCTGCAGGGCACACAAGCCAGGACCTGTATGATGGGAGCTTTACACACCAGACACCAGGGAATTCTGGGCAGACTGGGCCAAGACCCATCTTGGAAGAGCCAAAGGAGCCAGGGAAGCCACAAGCCCTCAGGAAGCCCCTTATTCTGGGAACCACATTTCTGCTGAGATGAGTCCATCCCTATGAAGAGCTGCCGGACCTTGTCTGACCCAGCCTTATGGAAGATTGGGTGGGTCTCTTCCCAAGCAGAGGGAGCCTCAGGAAGTCCAGACTGAGGCTACAGTGGGCCCTGCTCAAGCCACCAGCCCCGAGGTTGGAAAGGCCAGGTCCTCCCACACCTGCTGTTCCCACAGACTTCCTTCATGCTCATCCTGTGGCTCTGGGATGTCTACCTACTGGGAGGTGAGTGTGTGGTGACAACTATGGTATACATGGCCTTCACAGCCACAGAATTAAGTCCCTGGGTGGCCAATGGTGCCCAGAAGGAGCATGCAGGACAGACCCTGGGACCTATAGCCAGGACAGATTCCTGGCTTCTGGTGTGTGATGACCTGAGAGCAGCATCCACACTGTCCACATGGCTCTCTGCTCCAGCCTGGAGGTAGGGCCAGACCAGGCCTGGTGGGCTGGGCAGGGAGTGGACCCAGGTACCAAACCCACTCCTGACACAACCCAGATGAAAGGCAAGAGTGTGTTGAGCACTTCCCTGCCCAGGCCTTCCTCCAGCTGTGGTTTTCTGTGAACATCTGGACCCCTGGGGCAGCCACAGTAGGATCCAGCACCGCCCAGTGGTGGGTGCCTGGGGCAGGAACAAGGTGCAGACACTGACTCTCCCACAGACCCCTCCCAGCCTCATAGTCACCCTGTCCCTAGAACACCCCCTGAAGCTGTTCCTGTTTGGCTTGCAGGAGTTCCTTCAGGACACACTGTCCTAGGCCTGGGCCCTGGAGGAGGACATGGTGATGAGGCACCCTGAGGCCTCCATGGGGGAACTGAGAAGCATGCACTGTGACCTGCACACCCAGGTGGGCTTCAGCACCAAGTCTCCTCCTGTGTCACCCTGCGGGGCAGTAAATAGTGGGAAGTGCCCAGACCTCACCAGCCCTGCTCCCTGGGCCTTCCTCCAGCCCCTCCTCTCCCTCCTCCTCTAAGAAGCTTCTGAAACCAGGCTGCCTGAGCCTAGGGCAAAAGCTGACCTTGGGTTTACTGGACATGCCTCAGAGACAATGAGACGTGAGCAAGACTCTTCCAAGCCCCTCCCCTGTACCCTCCTGCTCTCACTCCTGAAAGCCCCAGAAGGACACTGGAGGGGTCAGATCCATCTGTGCAAGCCCACAACCACACCTGTGAGTACCAGCAGCCCTGGAGAGCAGCAGGGGGTCTTCACTCCTGAGCACCCCTCCAAGGGCCTAAAATCAGTGTCAGAGACCCTAAGAGAATCTAGGGAGAGGGCATAGGTGAAACCCTGGCCCAGAGCCAGAATTGATTGCTCAGCCGAGTGTGGGAACAGTCCAGCCCTGGCATGGAGATCCCCCAGAGGAGTGGAGGGTGTCTCATCCACTGTGGAGATAAGCCCCCATATTGTGTGGCAAAGGGGCTAGGTAACAGTTAAGGCCCCATCCATCTGAGCTCTGAATCAAGGCTAAAGCCCAGGCTAAGCAGCCCTGGGGCAAGAGTGTGAGGCAGGAAGACTGAGTCAGCCTGAACCCTGGGGGCTGTCCCTGGAGTGACTTGAGCTTCCCTGACAGCTTCCCCACTCTAGGCTGCACACACACCTCGCTCTGGGAGTAGCAGCCTGCAGGAGTGTCCTCAGCATTAGACCAGGGGGACCACACGGGGACCCTGAGGACTGCAGGGACCCAGGTCTGTGGGGTCCAGCCTGGCAAAAGCAAGATGTTCTCAATGGAAAAGCTGACCAAATCTGCTTTCCTTTCAGCCAAACCTGAGCAAGCACCCCCACCACCCAGGCCTCTGCAGATATCCCCCAGCATTGAGACCCTCCCCAAGGGGATGGGCTGCTTCTCCCTGGCCCACAGCCCAGCTCCAGCAGCCCATGGGTATAGCCCTCCTGAAACAGGAGCCTCATCCTCCCTCACCCTCACCTGGCTATGCTGTACCCAAGGCCAAAGCCCAGAGGCATAAGGGAGCTTCTGCAGAGCCCAGGACAGCAGGCTGCTCTCTGGGGGCCCTGGGGACTCAGAGTGTGGCCAGCCCATCCCCAGCTCAGGATAGACCACAGAGTGCTTGGTGATTCCTGCATTGGAACTCCCTCTCTAAGCTCCCCATGGACCTGGACCTCAGAGGCCTGTGGTTTTCACAGTAGAGCTTGGAGCAGAGATGCTAGGCCCCTATCACTTCCATATGTGCCCTGGACACCTCTAAGATCATAGGACTGGCCTAGCCCCCAATACCAGACACTGCCCAGCCCCCTGATAGCCCAGAGGTAGGGCCAGAGACAACTCTCCTGCATGTGATGCCTACAGCTGATCACCCTTGGCAGACAGTGAACATCACGGCCCAGAAGGAGCCAGGGCAGCACTTGGCAAGCTGCCCCAAAGCCCCAGAGAGCTCCTTAGACATGGAAAGTCAATACTGATGGGGAAGCTGGACACTTGGAGGCCACTGGAGGGAGGGGTGAGCATGGTGTCCCCACAGCCCAGGCCACCCAGCAGCATGCCCTGCATCCATGGTCCCAACCTGTAGGGCAGAACCCCCCTCTCAACGCACAATTCCTAGACCCAGAGGGCCCTAGCCCAGACTCAACCTGAGCCCTGAAAGGGAAGGGGCACCAGGGGTGCCTTGGGGCCTCCAGCAGCAGCCAAGATACACAGGAGATGGAGCCCCCTGTGGCCCTGGCCAGAACTAGTATTTGGCTTAAGGCGGAGCAAGCCCCCTTGGAGCACTGCGTACATACCCGGGGCCTATGTGTGCCTGGCAAGGCCAAGCTGATGATGTTACCAAGCTCAAACTACCACTGGCCACCTTGGTGAGGGTGGGGCAGAAACACGTGGACCAGCCACCAACCTCATCCATTCAAGGAAGCAGAAATGGTCAGGCTCCTGCAGGATAAGTGGCCACCACCAGACCACCAATGGGGCAGAGTTCTGAGGCCCAAGGAGATGGCACTGGGGCCCTGCTTCCAGGGTCCACAATCTGCTCCAGGACACAAGACTGAAGAAAACTAAGCAAATGAGAGTCCAGGAGGCTGGATCCCTCATCTGCCATTCTTGGCAGTTGCATTTTGTGGTCAGAAAAAGTCAGGAAACTTGGCTCTACTCACTGCAGGAGGCTCCAAGGTGGGACCAGAGCTTCCAGCATAGATTCAACAATGCCTAAGAATGCCTCTTCTTGGGGAAAAGGACCCCTTCCTTGGCCTCAAAGCCCCCACTTATTTTGATTAAAGCACAATAAAGTCTTTGTTGTTATGTCCTGCCTGTTTTTGAGTTGCCCAGAGCTCTCTGCAGGAAGCCCTGGACATACTGGGGTGGATGGGAAATGAAGATGGCACAGCCCAGACCCTGACCAGCCTCTCACAGCCTCCCCATCCCAAAGGCCGCAGCAGGGCCAAGCACCAGAAAGGCCAAGGTTCCCACACAACTGTGAGCCACACTGCACTGCAGCCTCCCACTCTCAGGCAGATGCCAGGGTTAAGACCCTCCAGTAATTTCCTGTAATTCAAACTGCACCTGATAGGGACCCCCAGAGGGCTGGGAAGGGAGCAAAAGTTGGAGTTCCAGTGACATTGCTCATTCATGACAGTCTGTACAAAGCATCCCTGAGAGGGTCTGCTGTCACCTGTGTCTACTGTCCCTGGGTGGCTGGTCTCCGGCAGCCCTCCCTTCCTTTCTTCCCTCCTTCCCTCCCCACATCCCTCCCTCCCTCTCTTCCTTCTTCTCTTGCTTCCCTCATCCTTTCCATCTCATCTCCTCTCAGCATCTGGCAATCCCAGGTCCTGAGCCTGTGCCAAGGCGGGACACAAAGGACACCACTGACAACAAGGCAGATGACTAGCGGGGTCGGGGAGCCTTGTGGAATCAGAGTGGATGGGGAGGGGCTCATCTGTGCAGCCCAGGACTGCTGCCCCGGGAACAGTCTAGAACAGTGCAGAAGTGTGTGTCCCTGTGTGTGCACATGTGCACGTGTATGTGTATGTGTGTGCGTGCCTGTGCACACCTGTTTACTCAGTTCTGCTCTAAGTCCATGTCCACGACCCCAGAAGATCCCAGGTATGTCCTCACTGACGTCTGCTGAAATCAAGCATGGCCCCTGCTGGTAGTTATTGCACTGTGTAATGCCATCGTCGGGACCTCAGAGCAATAGAAACCAGTGGACCCCTTTAGGCTTTTCTTTCCAATGGGACATAAAGAAGTTATATGGACAGAAGTTATATCCTGTTTTCTTTCCATTGATTCTTTTACCACCTTTCTCCTCTTACTGATTTTGAATGAAGGGGGTTTTTCATGAGGGTAAGGTAACTGGCAAGAAATGAAATAACAGCCAGATGCAGTGGCTCACGCCTGTAATCCCAAGATTTTCGGAGGCCAAGGAGGGTGGGTTGCCTGAGTCCAGAAGTTCAAGACCAGCCTAGACAACATGGTGAAAGCCCATTTCTACCAAAACAAAAAAATTAGCCAGGTGTGGTGGCACGCGCCTGTAGTTCCAGCTACTGGTGGGGCTGAGGTGGGAGAATGGCTTAAGCCTGGAAGTCAGAGAGTGGAGATTGCAGTGAGCTGAGATCACGCCATTGCACTGCAGCCTGGGCAGCAGAGCAAGAACCTGTCTCAAAAAAAGAAAAAAAGAAAAGGAAAGAAATGAGATACCGAGAAACTAGCAAAGCTTCACCTGGCTGTCTGGAGACAGCCCTTGTGTGGTCCCCAGCCCACCTCACAGGTTCTAGGCTGGCCACCCTGTGGCCTCTGTACTGTGTATCTGGACCCAGGCTCTGTGGGAAGGGTACCTGGTCTGACAAACATTCCTCCATTTTTCTGGCTGCAGCTTGGAATAGGCCCAGACAGCATGTCCAGGAGATGCCAGACAACCTCACTATATCCTGTGAGACAGGCCCAGTGGGCCTTGAAGGAAGGGGTGAGCATGAAGCTGGGCACCCAGAGCCTGAGACCAACTGTCCCTCCCTGTGCCCTGGAGGAGGGGCCTGGCCTGTCAGTGTAGATGTGGGGAGAGAAGGGTCTGTGGACCCAGGAAGGGACATTGGTAGGGGACTTTGAGCACCACTGCTCAGGGGACATGAATGACAGGGTGGGAGGCATCTCCCATTTCTGCCCTGAGCACAGCACCCCTTTGACTCCTGAGGGCCACGAGGAGTCCACTCCCCAGAGCTTTTTGTAGAACCTGCATATGAGTCCATCAGAGGTGAGATTTGCAAATACTTCCTCCAGCCTGGGGCTTGTCTTTTCATTCTCCTCACAGGGTCTTTCAGAGTGCACACATCATTTTGATGAAGTCCAATTGATCATTTTTTTTTCCTTTTATGCATCATGCTTTTGGTGCTTATCTAACAAATATTTCTCTAATCCAAAGTCACACTAATATCTACCTTTTTCCTTATGCAAATTTTAAAGTTTTAGGCCTTACATTTTGGTTTATGATACATTTTGAATAATGGTGCCATGTATGGACTGAAGTTTTTAATATGCATATCTAATTGTTCTAATAGTATTTGTTGCTAAGATTGTCTTTTCTCCACTGAATTTGCTGTACAACTTTTGAAAAACAATTGAACACATATGTGATGGTCTATTCTGGACTCTGTATTCTGTTCTATTGATCCATTTGTCTAGCCTCTTACCAATACCATACCGTCTGAATTTCTGAACCTTTACGATAGGTCTTGAAGTTAGGTATTGTTAGCCATCTTACTTAATTCTTCTTTTTTAGAGGGTTTTTTATTTCTAATCTAGGTCCACTGCATTGCCACACACAGAAACCCGTGCCCTTGAGCATACATACATATGCAACACAAGTATAAATATATGCACAGAACGACAAAGTGAAATTTATCCCAAGAATGCAAGGCTGCTTCAACGTTAAAAATGGGCCAGTATAACTCACCATATTAACAGATGAAAAGACAACAGCACATCATTATTTCAGTATATTTGGAAAAAGCATTAGACAAAATCCATCAACCTTATAAAAACTTCCAGTCTATTTCTATTCCTAAAAACTAGGAATAGAAGTGAATTTTCTTAAACTGATAAAAGGCACCTACAAAAACCCTGTAGTTGATGTTTACTGGACGTTATTCTTAATGATGAAAGACTGGATAGTTTCACCCCAGAGGAAGAACTAGGTGAGGATGTCAGCTCTCACTACTTGTATTCAGCATCCTATGGAGAGTCTAGCAGTGCAAAGGGCTCCTTCCTTTAGTAGACTCAGATTTCCATCTGGAGTCATTATTCTCCTGCTAGATGGATGTCCTTTACCATTTCTCAATCTGTACATCTCCTGGTGATGATTTCTTTCATCTTTTGTCAATCTGAAAACCTCTTTATTCTGCCTTTTTATTGGAAAACAAAATTTTGACTGTGTAAAGAATTCTAGGTTGGCATTTTTTTCTTTAAAAAAAATACTTTCATACAACTTGCAATTTTCCAACAAGAAATCTGCTTTGTATCTTTGATTCTCTGTACATATATGTCTTTTTCTTCTCTATCTAGCTGCTTGTAGGAGGACTCAGCTTCTCGCAGATAGACATGTATGATAAAGATGCAGTAACTACATCAAGTGTGGTATTGTCCATGGATGGATAAATAGACTGATGGAATAGAGCAGAGGGCCCACAGACAGACCCACAAGAGTCCAACTGTGATTGATCACCAAGGAGGAGCGTGATGGTGAAGGACTGTGCTTGTTATAATGTGCTGGGGCCTTTGGATAACCACTGACTAAGTGGGCCAAGTGGCCTTTTGGCTTAGGCTGAAGCAGGATAATAATAACGTTATCTATTCATAGAATTGTTAAAATTACCTGGTTTTATATTTGCAAAGTAATTAGAGCAGTATTGAGACAAAGGGAATCTTCAGTGAACATTTCCTCTAGTCATAGTTTTTTCCACCACTTGACTTCCTGCCCTATTCAGAGTCTTATGTTTGCCAGGACTCAAGCACCTCCTTATGGGGCAGACTCCACAGGGCATGATATGGTTTGGATCTATGTTCCCCACCCAAATCTCATGTCCATTTGTAATTTCCAGTATTGGAGGTCGGGCCTGGTGGGAGGTGATTGAATCATGGAGGCAGATTTTCCCCTCTGTGCTGCTCTCATTATAGTGAGTGAGTGCTCACCAGATCTGATTGTTTCAAAGTGTATAGCACCTCTCCCATTGCTCTATTCCTGCTGTTCCTGCCATGTGAAGACGTACCTGCTTCCCCTTCACCTTCTGCCATGATTGTAAGTTTCCTGAGGCCTCCCCAGCCATGCTTCCTGTACAGCCTGTCAAACTGTCAGCCAATTAATCCTCTTTTCTTTATAAATTACCCAGTCTCAGATATTTCTTTATAGCAGTGTGAGAATGGACCAATACAGGGCATCATGGTCAGTCCTGGGGAACAGCTTCCTGGAGTGGGAGGAGCTCAGTCCTGGTAACCTGCTGTTCCCTTGCCTGAAACCCCTTGTTTCCTCCACCTTCCATCTCATTCAACAAAGCTCTTGGGAGAACAACTTTAAGGACTCCCTATGCCTCTTCCTTCAAAGGTAGCCAGCCAAGAAGTAGATGGCTGGTTGAGCCATACTGACTACCATGGACAGCAGCAACAGAAGGTCAAAGGCAAAGGTCAGGTATTCTTTTCCTGGCAGGTACACAAGGACAACTAAGGGCAGGCCCCAAACCAGGAAGCTGATGGCCACAAAGCGGACAATGTGGTAGATCCGGATGGGTGAACAGTTCTTCAGGCAGTACAGGCTCCTGATGATCAAAGTCAGGCTGGAAATGCCCACCACAAGACAAATAAGCATGTGAAATATTATAAAGCCTGCCTGAAATTGGTCACATGCCAGGCCCTTCTCCCATTACTCACAAACCTGGCTAACCACATGCAAAGAAAGGGCCAGGGCCCAGCTCAGGATGCTCATCACAGCAGAGGTGTGCTTTGGGCGGTGGCAGCACCAGGTGGGACAGAGGACACACAGAAAGCTCTCAATATTCATGGCCACCAGGAGACAGAGACTCACTGTGTCAGAGAAATAGGACACAGGCTCCAGAAACATGGCCACCTGCAATGTCACCTGGTGATACAGCATGAGGATTTTCTCCAACAGGATCACAGTTACACAGGAGAGGTTGACCATATCAGCAGCGGCCAGGTTAAGGACATAGGTCACGTAGGGGCTGCTCCTGACCTGGAAGCAGAAAAGCCAGCAGACCACACCATTGCCCACCAGCCCACAGAAGGCCACCAGCACTGTCAGGATGAAAACCACCTGTTTGCCCACCAACCACTCGCCTCCCGTATGACTCATGTTCACTTGTCCTGGGGTCTCTGTCCTGTTGTCCCAATCCAGCTTCCCAGAGAACACTGAGAGAAACTGGGCCATGGTGGGCTGCCTTGGCTGCCTGGGCACACCCTGCAAAGACAAAGGTTGGTAACTTACCAGGCCTAGGAAGGAGAGTCAGGGTTGCCTTCTGACCTGCTGGGCTTCCCAAGAGGGTCCTGCTGGGCCTCCCAAGATTGGTGGGAATCTCACAGAGCAAAGTCAAGGAGAGGAATGAGTCTCCTGCAAGTGATCCATCCATCCCATATCCTCCACTGCAGGGTACCCTCTCCTGCTTGCCCCCATCCCTCTCTCCACCTCGTTCAGGTATTCTTGATGCTGTGCCCAACACCAGGTGTGTATCCATGCACCTAGGTGCCCATAAAGGAAAGAGGTGCATTTCTTTACCTTTGTTCTCCAACTCTCTCATTGACACAGACAGTTTTCATGGCATGGTTTTGGTGGAGGCACCAGGCAATTCCTCTGCCCTAAGGTTCTGAGATATTCTGAGTCCCACATGGGGCAGTTGCTTTTCAGTGCTCTAGGGAAGGTCTACCCAACCTCTCTCCTGCTCACCTCCCCTCAACTCCTCACTTTCAGCACGAGGGCCTCCTGGTAGGACCTTTATGTTGTTCTGCTGCCTGGAAGGGCCTCTGCACATCTGTAAGCTTTGTATCCTCTTTCCAATCTTTGCCCCAGTATCAACTTCCAGAGAAGCTTCTGCTTCCTATTAACATTGCATTCATCACATGCTGAGTGTCTATGCAACTTACTTACTTCTGCAGAAATCCCTCTGTGGGAATGGAAGATTTATCAGGTTTTTTATTCTCTTCACAATGTTGTTCAATAACTTCTCCAGCTCCTGGAACAGGGTTTGACATAGAGGACTCACTTGGGTATGGCACCTATGGAGAGCTTTATGCAGCTCAGTTACACTTGGGGAAGTGCTGGTGACCTCTTCATAAAAGCAAACTTTGCTTCTGAATCACAGAAGCTTCTGGAACAAAGCTTGTTCTGCAAACTGATTTAAAAAAAAAGGCTTCTTGGACTCCTGAGGGAGACTCACACCTGAACCCTGGGCTACGTCCACAACAGGAGCAGGCACTCTCCTCCACATTGCCAATCACAGGTCTTTCTTTGTAGAATCATGAGGGGAGGGTGACCAACTTATCCTGCTTTGCCTAGGACTTTCCCAGTTTAAGCTCTGAACATCTCTTGTCCTGAAAATCCTCATAGCCCTAGGAAAACCAAGGTGGTTTGTTGCCCAACTTGAAAGTTAAACAGGAGAAGGTCAGTACCCCTTCTGGAATCCCACAGCTTGGTTAAACCCAGTGATCTGAGGAGTTCATGCTGAGACTGTGAGAGCTGACCTCTTGGGGGCAAATCCCAGCTCTTTTTCATAGTAGCTGACTCTTTCTTTGCCTCAGCATCCCCATCTAAGTAAGGGCTGCTGCTATGGGATGAATTGTATTCTTCTAAATTCATATGTTGAACTATCCCAGTACCTCAGAATGTGACTGAATTTGGAGACAGGGACATTAAAGGGGTAATTATGTTTAGATGGGTCATTAGGGTAGGCCCTAATCCAATAGGGGTAGTGTCTTCATAAGTAAAGGAGATTAGGACACAGACACCCACAGGGGGATGACCATGAGAAGACACAGGGAGAAGGCAGCCATCTACAAGCTAAGGAGAGAGGCTTTGGAAAGAAATGATCCCGGCAATCTTTGGATCTCAGACTTTCAGCCTCCTAAAACTGAGAGAATGAACTTCTGCTGTTTAAGCCACTCAGTCTGTGATCTCTGTCATGGGAGCCTGAACTGATGATCACATTTATGATGAAAAGTTTACAGACGGAATTATGGAAAGTCTCAGAACAGTGAGATCTACCTGGTTCTACAACCCTGAGCTGCTGAAGCTTTGCTTCTGAATCACAGAAGCTTCTAGAACAGAGCTTGTTCCACAAACTAACTGATAAATGCCTGCGATATGCCTGGAAATATTCCACAGGTGACCTTGTGGCCTGCAGTCACATATTGGTGCATCAGCAGGGTTTAGGAGAATGCTAGGGACCAGCTCCAAGTGAGCCCAGTGTTTGAATCTTCCCTCCTTGCTGGGATGATGGAGTCCCCTTCAGTTGGCAGCTCTCTTGAAATGGAAGGGTCCAGCCCCAGCCCCTCCCCTCCCTGCACTTGTTACCTAGACACTCTTACCTGAGGCCAGGGAGGACCGCAGATCTGGCTCAGATCTAATCTGGTCATAGGATGAGTCTTGGGGCTTGGTAACATTGGTGCCCATGGAAACATCAGGGTGACCTGCAGTTCTGTGCCTGGGCCAGGGTGTCAGAACTCGTGATGATGACAGAAGAGAAGCTGCAAACAGACCTCCGTGGCCCACCCCAGGCCACCAAGGCACCAAGCAGGAGCAGTTGGGCTCTGGTCCCCAACAAAGAAAGGAGATTTATAGATAAAAGAGTTTCAAGGGGAGAGGTGACTTACCCTTCAACAAAGAGAAAATGCCCATTTTGGAGGCAGCATGTGGCTTCAGGGACAGAGCCAGGCTTCCCATCCCTGGGCTCACTGAGACCTAGCTCATGCCCAGAGACCACTACTGAGGCCAGTGACTAAGCAGCACATTCTTCCTCATCACACAAGAGGAGGACACAGCCCTCCTGGGGTGGGAAGGCTTCAGTGCCTGGTGCAGCCCCAGCACTGGGCACAGAGAGATCCTAGCACCTGGAAATGTCATTTCCAAGTCGGGTCATGAGCCAAGCTCCCCAAGGAGCATAAACAACAAACAGGTTGGATCCTGGGATTCAGGGAGCCAGCTCTGATGGAAGTGCTCAGGTTGATGCAGCCAAAATAGCCAAGTAACCTTTGCATTGGGATTGAAGTACTTGCTCTGGTTCTGAGTTGAGAGCCCACCCTCCCCACTTAATCTTTATTTGAGGTGAAATTTACATAACACAAATTAACTAATTTAAAGGGCACAGTTCTGCCTCACTTAGCACCTTCACAATGTTGTGCAACCACCACCTCTATCTGGTTCCAAAATATTTACATACCCCCATAAGAAAGCCTTTTACCTGTTAGCAGTTACTCCCCTTGTCTTCCTCCTCCCAGCTCTTGGCAACCCCATCTACCTTCCATTTCTGCACATTCACCTATTCTGGACATGTCCTATTAGTGGAATCAGACCCTCTGTGATTTTTTGTCTGTTTCTTTCACTCAGCCTCTTGTTTTCATGGCTTCTTCACAGGGTAGCATGCATAAGAACTTCATTCCTTGCGTTAGATACAAACTAAATATGAATATAGAAGCTGTGAAATCAGAAGACCCAAAAGGATTTTCCTAGAAGTCATAGACTACACCTCAGTAATACAGTGGCTCAAATCCTACCTTTAACAGAATAACACACCCTCTGCCCATCTACACAGCTGGGGCATTTGTGAACCAGGGGCCAGAGCACAGTTGTGGCTCACCTGCTGGGACTACCCTGGAACCCCGAATCCTGCTTTCTCCAGGAACCTGGTTTCTGTCCTGTCCCCATTTTCCTGAGAAATGCACCTTCCCCAGTAAAAAATCATGAGGTTTCAAATTCCAGGAAAATATGTCTCTGAGTTAAAATGGTTTGAAAATGAAAGAAGGAAGAGAGATCTTTTCTCATACCTGGGAAGTCTTGGATAGAATTGGTACCACAGAGGCCAATGTCCTGAGAGATGAAAGTTCTGCCCACAGGTCAGGAAGCAATCTAACGATGTCTGATTTGAACTGGGTCCTGACAAGAGGTTGTCAATTTCTCTGTGTCTGTTGGGTCTTCCTGTACTGGGGCAAATTGCATATCAGGGCCCAGGCCTTTATCTGAAACATTGTATCTCAGCATCTCCTGATATCCCCCATCCCACTGACACTTTTAATTACTCCATCCTGAACAATAACTTCCCTCAAAAAAGAAGGATCTTTAAGACAAGTTGTCACCTGCCTCCCTGTGTGAATCTCCTAGAATGACATCCAGCCCAGCCCAGCCCATCTGAGACAGGCAGGAGAGGGAACTCTGGTGGGCATTTTGTCAATAAACTTGAGCATGCCAGGAACTCAAATGTGCTCCTTTCATTTTGCTGTCAATTGAATTGCATTTTTTTTTTTTTGCAAAAGATGTGGAAGTTCTTGTAAATCTGTGTCAGAAACTTACATTGGATTCACCAAGCCTAGGGAGATTTGGCTGTGCTTTGTTGGAGCCAATATTTTTCACCCTGGTTTACCCCACCACTGACTTGCTTTCTTTTTTTTTTTTTTGAGACGGAGTTTCACTCTTGTTGCCTAGGCTGCAGTGCAATGGTGCAATCTCGGCTCGCTGCAACCTCAGCCTCCTGGGTTCAAACGATTCTCCTGCCTCAGCCTCCTGAGTAGCTGGGATTACAGGCATGCACCACAACACCTGGCTAATTTTGTATTTTTAATAGAGACAGGGTTTCTCCATGTTGGTCAGACTGGTCTCAAACTCCCAACCTCAGGTGATCCGCCCACCTTGGCCTCCCAAAGTGCTGGGATTACAGGGGTGAGCCACTGTACCCGGCCTTGACTTGCTTTTATGAGGCAAGAAAAGACATGTCTCCTTGTTGCACTAATTTCGATCAATCAATAAGTCAATTAGTTCATTTTCATTACATCTCTCTGAATCAATTGAGAGATAAATTGAGAAGTCAAAACAATGCCCAACAACATAGCATCTTTATTCCTCCCTCCCCTAATGACCTGGGAAGCAGTTTGTGACCCCAAAGCACTTGCTTATATGTTATTCTCTCCAGGAATTGAATTTACTCCTCAAAGTAATAGGCACAGGCACCCATGGTCAACACCTGTCTCCTGAAGCTTATCACTTAATGGAGGGAACCCAGGAGTATGATTCCTCCATGCAGACAGTCAGATTCCAAGGAGAAAGGAGGAAAAGTCCTTCAAATGCCACATTCAGCCCCTTCTTCTGGATGCCCCACTCAGCAAAGTCACTTGTGGCTGATGCTGGTCAGAGAAGCCCTTCCAAATGGGAACATGGGTGTAGGAAATATGTGCTTCTCACACTCCCAAAGGATCACAAATGGGGCCCTGTGTCTCTTAACTTCCTTATGTACAAAAGTACATACTCACTAGAATATGATTTTACAACATTTCCATCATTCCTATACAATGTGTTGGGAAGTGATCCTTTCTGATCTATATTTTGGAAGAGTTTGTATAGAATTGTATTATTTTTTTCTTTAAATGTTTGGTAGAATTCACCAGTAGAGACATCTGGGCCTGGGCCTTTTTTGTGGGAAGATATGCAATGACAGTTTTAATGTCTTTACTTCTTGTAGGCTTATACAGATTTTCTATTTCCTCTTGAGTCAATTTTGGTAATTAGTTTTTCTAGAAATTTATCCATTTCATCGAAGGTGTCTAGTATGTTAGGATAAAGTTGTTCATAGGATTTCTTTATAATCCTTTAAATTTCTATAAAGTTGGTAATGATGTGCCCAATTTCATTTCTGATTTTAGGAATTTGAGGCCATTTTTTTTTCTTGGTAAGTCTAGCTAAAGGTTTGTCAATTGTGTTGTTATTTTCCATGATTCAACTTTTGGTTTCATTACTTTTCTCTATAGTGTTTTATTTTCTATTCCATCTACTCTTGCTCTCTTCTTTATTATTTCCTTTCTTCTGCTTGCTTTGGGGTTAGTTTTCTCTTCTTTTCCTTGCTTCTTACCATAGAAAGTTGAATTACTGATTAGAGGTATTTTTCTTTTCCAATGTAGGCATTTACAGCTACAGATTTTCCTCTAAGCACTGGTTTATCTCCATCTCATAAATGTTGACATGTTATGGTTTCATTTCATTTCATGCATATTCTTTTTAATTTCCCCTGTGTTTTTTTTTCTTTCACCTGTTATTTGTGGATTCCTGAAGTTTCCAACTGTTGGTGATTACTCATTCAATTCCATTGTGGTTGGAATACATATATTGTATTAGTTCAATTTTTTTTTAATTTATAGATAATTTGTGCCCTCCCATCTAGTCTATCCTGGAGAATGTTCCATATGTGTTTCAAAAGCGTGTATAATTCATTTGTTGTTGTCAAGTAGGTCAAGTTGGTTGATAATGTTTCAGGCTCTGTATCCTTGCTGATTTTCTATCTAGTTGTTCCATCAATGATTGATAATGGAGTGTTGAAATCTTCAACTATTTTTAATGATTTGTTTATTTATCCCCTCAATTCTGTCATTTTCATGTTTTATGTATTTGGGGGATGTGTTGCTAATTGTGTGTATGTTTATAATCCTCATATCCTCCTGATAAATTGAAATTTTATCATTATAGAATATGCCTCTTTATTTCTAGTAACGCTATTTTTCTCAAGGTCTACTTTGTCCAATATTAGTAGAGCTGTCTCAGCTCTTTCATCATAGTTTTCTACATGGTATACTTTTTTCCACCCTCTTTTTTTAACCTATTCATTTTAAAATCAAAACTGCCTCTGGTAGACTGCATATACCAGACATTGGACATACTAGGTGAACATATTAGACGAACAATTTTAAACACGTTCAAAGAACTAAAGGAAACCATGTCAAAAGAACTAAAGGAATGCATGAGAATGATATCTCACCAAATACAAAACATCAATAATGAGATGGAATGTTAAAAAAGAAACAAGGCCGGGCGCGGTGGCTCACGCCTGTAATCCCAGCACTTTGGGAGGCCGAGGCAGGCGGATCACGAGCTCAGGAGATCGAGACCATCCCAGCTAAAACGGTGAAACCCCGTCTCTACTAAAAATACAAAAAATTAGCCGGGCGTAGTGGCGGGCGCCTGTAGTCCCAGCTACTTGGGAGGCTGAGGCAGGAGAATGGCGTGAACCCGGGAGGCGGAGCTTGCAGTGAGCCGAGATCCCGCCACTGCACTCCAGCCTGGGCGACAGAGCGAGACTCTGTCTCAAAAAAAAAAAAAAAAAAAAAAAAAAAAAAAAAAAAAAAGAAACAAATAAAATTCAGTAATTGATAAATAAAATCGTAGAAATAAAAACTTCACTAGATAGCCTCAATAACAGATTTGAGAAGGCAGAAGAAAGAATCAGTAAATTTAAAGATAGGTGGGGAAATTATCCAGTATGAGGAACATGAATTAAAAAGAAGAAGAATGAACAGAGTTTCGGAGACCTGTGGGACACAATCCAGTGTACCAAAACACATAAACGAGAATTTTCAGGAGAGGATAGAATAAAAGGAACAGAAGGAATATTTAAAGAAATACTAGCTGAAAAACTCCAAATTCAATGAAAAAATGTTAATCTACACTTTCACAAAGCTCAACAAACTTAGATAAAATAAATTCAAAGAGATTCACACATAGAAACATTATAATCAAACTGCCAAGAAGCAAAGAAAGAATCTTGAGGGCAAAAAGAGGGAAGCAACTTATCATGTACAAGAGATTCTCAGTAAGAATAAGAACTAATTTCTCATGAAAAATTACAGAGTCAGGAGGCAATGGGATGACATATTCAAAGTAGCAAAAGTAAAATACTGTCAATGAACAATTCTAAAGCCAGCAAAACTATTCTTCATAAATGAACTAGAAATTAAACATTCTCAGATTTTGAAAACTGAGAGAAGCTGTAATTACCAGACCTGTCTTATGGGAAATTATAAAAGCAGTCTTGCAGGTTGACATGAAAGGACACTACATAGCAACTCGAATCCACATGAAGAAATGAAGAACTCCAGTAAAGATAACTACATGGGTAAATATAAAAGACAGTATAAATGCAATTTGTTTGCGATTTCCTCTCTCATATGATTTAAAAGACAAATACATAATGAAATAATTATAAATCTGTATTGATAAGCCTACAATGTATAAAGATGTAATTTGTACGGCAATAAAAACACAAAGAAGCAGAAGAGAATGGAGCTGTATGGAAGCAAAGGTTTTGTGTGCTATTGAAATTAAATTGCTATTAATCTGACTAAATTGTTATAAATTATTAATTGCAAGATCCAGGGCAATATTTAAAAAATACCTCAAAAAGTATAGTAAAAGAAACAACAAGGAGAATTAAGTAAAACACTAACAAAATTTATTTAACATACAAAGGCAGTAATAATGGAATAGAGCAATAAAAAACACGATATAAAGAAAATAAGTAGCAAAATGACAGGTCAAAATCCTATACTATCAGTAATTACATTAAATGTAAATATATTAAACACCCCCTTTAAATGGCAGAGACATGAAAAAAAAAAAGAAATCCTGTCATTCATGGCAACATGGATGAACCTGGAAGACACCATGTTAACTGAAATAAGCAGGCACAGAAAGATAAAGACTGTGTGTTCTCACTCACATATGGAAGCTAAAAAATGTTGAGCTCATTAGAAATAGAGAGTGGAATTTTGATTATTAGAGCACAGGAAGGATCGAAGGGAGGAGAGAGGGAAGGATAGGAAGAGATTGGTTCATGGATACAAAATTACAGCTAGATACCAGGGGAGGAGGCTGGCAAGATGGTGGAATAGGAATAGCTCTGGTCTGCACCTCCCAGCAAGATTGACCCAGAAGGTGGATGATTTCTGCATTTCCAACTGAGGTACCCAGTTCATCTTATTGGGACTGGTTGGACAGCGGGTGCAGCCCATGGAGGGTGTGCCAAAGCAGGGTGGGGCATCGCCTCACCCGGGGAGCACAAGAGGTCAAGGAACTCCCTCTCCTAGCCAAGGGAAGCCGAAGCCTTGAGGGACTGTGTGGGGAGGAACGGTGCACTCTGGCACAGATACTGCGCTTTCCTCACGTCTTCGAAACCTATAGACCAGGAGATTCCCTCTGGTGCCTATGCCACCAGGGCCCTGGGTTTCAAGCACAAAACTAGGAGGCTGTTTAGGCAGACACCAAGCTAGCTGCAGGAGGTTTATTTTTTCTGATTAAGTCAAGCAGCAGTTCTCACCGTGGCTAATTAGGCCTCCCACTGGGACATTTGGCAATGTCTGGAGCTGGTTTTGATTGTCACAATTAGAGAGGATGCACTACTATCACCTAGTGGGTAGAGCCCCGAGATGGTGCTAAACACCCTACAATGCACAGGACAGCACCCCCAACAAAGGATGATCCAGTCAAAATCGTCAGTAGTACTGAGGTGGAGGGCACTGATCTTTAGATCTTGTGACTAGGCTTTTTCTTTCTGAGTAACATGGAAACTGCTGAAAGATTTTGAGATAAGAAGTGGTATGATCTGAGTTGTTATAAATGGGTTACTCTGGCTTCCATGTTGAGAATATACTAAAGGTTAAGGGAAGAACCAGAGGATTATTTCAATCATCCAAGCAAGAGATGTTGACAAGGACAGACCAGAGTGGTGGTCCTAACAGTGATAACGACTTGTCAGTTTCACAACATATTTTTGCAGGTAGAGCCAATAGAATTTGTGGGTAGATTATATGTGAGTGAGATGAAGAAGAGTCAGTATCACAAGATTTTTGTCTGAGAAACTAGAAGAATGGATTTTCATTACGGGAGATGAGAAAGGCTACAGAAGAAGCACATTGTGGGGGAGAGGGTGGGTAGTAAGGAGCTCAGTTTATGGCATGTTAAATCTGAGATGTGTATTAGATACCAAAAGCTGCTGGTGGGTAGACAATTGGACATAGGAATCTGGAGGTTAGGAGAAAAATCCAGCCTGGAAATATAAATTTAGGAGTCATCAGCATATAGATGGTGTACAATGTCATAAGACTGGATGACGGAAGTGCATGTAAGAAAGGAAAGAGGACTGAACCCTAGGCACAGCAGGGAGAGGAGGAGAAACCAATAAAGGAGATTCAGAAGGAGCAGCTGGGAGACTTTGGTGATTTGAAGCTGTCAGTCAGCTCAGACTGCCATAACAAAATACCATAAACTGGGTGGCTTCAACAACAGAAGTTGATTTCTCACAGTTCTGGAGGCTGGGAAGTTCAAGATCAAGATGCTGGCTGATTTTGTTCCTGGTGATGGCTCTCCTCCTGGCTTGCAGACAACTCCCTACTTGCTGCCTCCTCACGTGGCCTTTCCTCTTTTATAAGGAAACTAATCCTATTTGGCCCTCACCTTTGTGACCTCATTTAACTATAATTACCTCCTAAAATGCCCATTTCAAATACCATCACATTGAGGATTAGATTTTCAACATATGAATTTTGGGGGGGGACACAATTCAGTCCATAGCAGAAGTGAAAGGCATGTTCCAAAAAGGAAAGCTAAGTCCACTCTATTGAAAAGCTTCTAACAGGTCAAGTAACATGAGGACTGAAAACTACTATATCAATGTGGAGGTCAGTTTGTGACCTTCGATGAAAGGTTTCCAGTGCAGAAACCTTGTTGGAGCCAACCCGAAAGAGAATTCAAGGACTTGGATGGTAGCTAGGGGGAAGTGAAGTCAAGAGAAGATTATTTTCTGATGAGTGAAATCAAAGTATGTTTATGTATTGATGGGGATGGTCCACTGGAAGGACAAATTATATTACAGGAAAGAGGGGAAAGATTAGAGTAATGTCCCTGAATAAGTGGAAAGGGATGGAATATAGTGGGCAAGTGGGGGTACTGGCATCAGACAGATGCAAAATAGTATATTCCTAGCAGTATCAGAAGAAAAGGTGGAGTCCCATATGTGAGCACAGATGCAAGTAGGTGAACAGGTGGGTTAGTAAGAACTTCTCTTTTTATTGCTTTACATTTTTTCAGTAAAAAATGAAGTAAAATTTTTATCTGAGAAAGATGATATTATTTGAGAGAGAGGAGTACTGGGGATTTGAGGGGAGACCAGAAAGTATGCATGAGTTACGTAGGAGAGGGGAAAGTGAGTGGACTAGGAAAATATGATTATCAATGACATTAGCCCCTTCCTCTTAAAGTAGTGGTCATGAATGTAAAGTGAAACCTCTCAGTGTGGCTATTGGCTTTCCTTCGGCCACAGTCAGCTGAACAAATATAGGGAGAGAGTAGGACTATAGTTGGATTTAAATAGGAAAGCAATTTAGCTGAAAGAGTGTAACAAGTGAAAAGGGCAGGAACATTGATGTATGCAAAGGAGTAATAGTGATTGACGAGACAGTCTAAGCTTGATAGAGAACTGAAGATACAAGGGGCGTGAGGGGCCACGATGAATTTGCGGACCTCTCACTGAGGAAGAAACTGAGAGGAAAGTATAGAAAGATAATCTATGAGGATACTGAATTCACCAAGAATCATCACAGTACTGGAGAGAGTGAGAGGGGATCAGGGACAAAAATCTTCAAGGACGAAGGAGGAGCAAAGGGAAAGAGAATGATGAGAGCCACAAGTGGGGAGGTGGACTTTGGAGCAAAGCTGATGACATAACAGTCAAAGCTACATTCAAAACTAATAATGACTTCAACAAATCTACAAAATTCCTGACAGAAAGGGTTATTTTCCTTGTTTTACAGATGATGACATTGAGAGTCACTGAAGTTAAACAATTAGCTTAAGGTCACTCCATCAGAGAATGAAATTCTAAACCAGTTCCAATTGAATAGTAGAAATGTTAATGAGAGGGAATTACGCTGCCTTTGGCCTTCATACACTGCCAGAGGCACACTACCCTAAAGGGACTTTCCCTCCAGAATTTCCTCTTCCCCACTCTTGGGGACTCCTCTCCGGACACCTTCATGCAAAGTACTAATGATAGGAGTGGGACATCTATTCCCCAGAGCTCCATCCTCTCTTCTAAATAACAGGGAACGTTGAGTCCCCTGTTTTTTCTCTAGTGAGAGCACTCATCAGCATGCTTCCTCCTTCTCTCTAACTGTGTCCTTTAGATCCAGGAGGGATATTTGCTACCACCACCAGCTAATGCTGATTTGCTACCAGCACAAGGCCCAGGTCCTTGTCTGGTCTGTACCCCATTACAAGGTTCTCCAGGAACAGACATCACCACCTCTGCCTAGATCCTGAAATTTCACAAATGTAGGTTCTTTCTTACCCGTTCTTTTTATTCCTCTATTTACAAGCACAATGACACCCACCCCTCATCTTCTTCCTGAAATACCTGGCTCTGATCTCAGGCATCCATTCCAGAAATCAACACAGCTATGCAATTGCATCTTTTATTAAATACTCCCAACTCCATTTCAAATCCAGAGAATCCAGAGCAGGAGCAAGAGACCAACCTATCATCTGGAAACTCAAGGTGTAAACATTAGTGCCAAAGATTAGTCATGAAGGTAAGTTGGGTATTACAGTGCCCTACAACAAAATGGTCTTGTGCCGAGAGCCACATTCTGAAATACCAAGTGAAGTTTGATGACACATTATATTATATATTTCACAACAGATTTGTCTTCTAGATGTGTGAGGGAGATGATGGGTTTATGTGTACAGGTGCACACATGCCTATGTTTTGGGGAATTTGTGCATACATGTAACAAGAATGTTATCTGTGCAGTTTTATTATTGTGTGCCTGTTTTCATGGTGTGGCATATTTGAAGAGGAATGGTTTAGAGCTTGCCAGGCTGAACAGTTATGTGTCCGTGTAATCACCGCATTAAAGAATTTGACCTTTTGTAACTCAACATCTCTAGCCACCATTGGTCTGTAAGCCTGAATGTCACCTCTCCTACTTTATTCATCTCTGATATGACCCCAAATTATAAAATGATCTATAAATATAGGTAAGACTTTGCATGTCCTTTCATACTCCACAGTCTCTAGCACAGTGGATCCTGGTTGATCAAACAGGAAGGACCTCGAAGTTAGTCAAATATAAGTGGAAAACCTATTAAGCATTTACAAATAATGTGGCCTTGGGCAAGTAATTTAACTTCAGTTACTCTCCTAACATACTCTATAAAATAAGGCTATTGCCTAATATTCAAGTGAGTTAAGATTAGAGTTAATAAATGAAAAGAGCTGTAAATGTTCATAGCAGTTGTATCACTGCCTAGCATAAGAACCCCTTAAAAACCTGTTTCTTAATTTGGGAAACAGATATGACGATAGTTAGCATTTATTAAAGGATGACAGTTAACAACTGCTATGTGCCAGGCCTTGTTCTAACAGCTTTTCATATTTAGCCCACTTAACATATTTCTATTTTCATATGAGGAAACTGAGGCAGAGAGAGGCTAAGTAACATACCCAAGTTTTTCCAGCTAGAAAATGGCAGAGCCAGGACTCAAACCCAGGCAGTCTGGCTGCTGAGCCCTGGTTCTTAATTATGACATTAATGCTTATTCTGCCCAGTGAGGATAAAATGAGTGAAACATAAAATCAAACAGGATGTTTTGGTAGGGAGCAGTGTTTTTTCCCTCTGAAAAATGAAAAATTAGGTTATTGTGATTTTGTAATTTACAGCAGTGAATATGATGTGAAAAATAAGTTATCCATATAATAATTTATGTCAGGAGTCATGCAGCAGAAAGATTTCTGTCCATCACGTAAACTTTCATCCATTACATAACCCATATGTTTCTGTACCATTAAGACACTTGGTTCAACAAGACCCTTGGAGAATGAGGTTCCTTTTGTTCCCTGGGGTTCTCTTTTTATTTTATTTTTGGATTAATATTTGATAGTAAAGCCAAGGATTTGGGACAGGAAACTTAGATGACATCTAGTTCAAACTCCTTGATTTACATATGAAAAAATTGAGACAGAGGGAAATGAAGATTTCCCCATATCATATAACTGGCTAAAGGGAGCTATGTAGGTAAAACCAAGATGTCCTGATATTCTAGTCTACCAGAAAGTGTTCTTTTTTTCTACCCAACTTATTCCTGATTTAAAGGCTAGTATACGTGTGCTGATCTCCCCTCAGTGGGAGGGGCATGGACGTTGGGAGTAGTCTCTATTCACAACAAATTAAAAATCAGTAATCAGCCGTATAATGGGTTGTGTTAGAAAGTAAACTAAGGCCCAATAAAATATTTAAGAGTTTATTTGAGCAGTGATCCAGAAGTGGCTAGGGAGCTCCCCAGAGAGAACATGAGGAGGAGGCTTTTTAGGACAAATAGATAAAAGCAAAGATAATATTTCATTGGTTACAGTTATACAGTTACACAGTTATACAGTTGCCTTATTTGGTCTATCCCATGAGGAAGTCCTAGTTACTAATTACGTTTTTGTTGGCTGCTTCTGATTGGTTGAGCTTAAGTTCTGTGTTTCTTTAACATAGGCATTTACAAGAAATACCACAAATAAAGTTTCAGACATGCTTGCAAATCAAGCAAGGTTAAGGTCACTTAGGAGGCCCAACTGGCTCTGTCTGCTCAAGGATTCTTCTGGCCTCGTCTCCATTTTACATGAACTGTTGCATAAATAAACACAGAGTACCTGAAACAACGGAGGTGATCATTCTGCCTACCGAGTGTTGGCCAGGCCAAGCTTGGAGTGTTGCTCTTATTCTTAGGGAGTTTATTTTTAAGTAATCTCATCTGTAAATGGGATTACAATCCACAAACTGACCTTGTATATGATTCCATTCCTTCTCCCAGCCCAGCCCCACACTCCAAGGTTTTCCCTTTGCTTATAAGGGGTAGTCACCCTTTTTTATTTCGACCTTCCAAACATTCTGGGAGTTTTCCTCCTTTAGGCCAACTACAGCGCAGAGGAGCGCTTTCTCCTGCTGGGTTTCTCCGACTGGCCTTCCCTGCAGCCGGTCCTCTTCGCCCTTGTCCTCCTGTGCTACCTCCTGACCTTGACGGGCAACTCGGCGCTGGTGCTGCTGGCGGTGCGCGACCCGCGCCTGCACACGCCCATGTACTACTTCCTCTGCCACCTGGCCTTGGTAGACGCGGGCTTCACTACTAGCGTGGTGCCGCCGCTGCTGGCCAACCTGCGCGGACCAGCGCTCTGGCTGCCGCGCAGCCACTGCACGGCCCAGCTGTGCGCATCGCTGGCTCTGGGTTCCGCCGAATGCGTCCTCCTGGCGGTGATGGCTCTGGACCGCGCGGCCGCAGTGTGCCGCCCGCTGCGCTATGCGGGGCTCGTCTCCCCGCGCCTATGTCGCACGCTGGCCAGCGCCTCCTGGCTAAGTGGCCTCACCAACTCGGTTGCGCAAACCGCGCTCCTGGCTGAGCGGCCGCTGTGCGCGCCCCGCCTGCTGGACCACTTCATCTGTGAGCTGCCGGCGTTGCTCAAGCTGGCCTGCGGAGGCGACGGAGACACTACCGAGAACCAGATGTTCGCCGCCCGCGTGGTCATCCTGCTGCTGCCGTTTGCCGTCATCCTGGCCTCCTACGGTGCCGTGGCCCGAGCTGTCTGTTGCATGCGGTTCAGCGGAGGCCGGAGGAGGGCGGTGGGCACGTGTGGGTCCCACCTGACAGCCGTCTGCCTGTTCTACGGCTCGGCCATCTACACCTACCTGCAGCCCGCGCAGCGCTACAACCAGGCACGGGGCAAGTTCGTATCGCTCTTCTACACCGTGGTCACACCTGCTCTCAACCCGCTCATCTACACCCTCAGGAATAAGAAAGTGAAGGGGGCAGCGAGGAGGCTGCTGCGGAGTCTGGGGAGAGGCCAGGCTGGGCAGTGAGTAGTTGGGGAGGGGAGAAAGTATTAAGCCAGAACCCAAGGATGGAAATACCCCTTAGTGAGTCAGTTTAGACTTCAGGCTGTTCATTTTTGTATGATAATCTGCAAGATTTGTCCTAAGGAGTCCAATGGGGGATATGTTTTCCTCCCGTGAGGAAATGTTTAGTTCTTGAGGGAAAATCCCTAAATCCTCTATATACTCAGGTTTAGGGAAGGAAAACCTACCCCTCACAACTCCACGCGCAGGGAAAATGATGGACGTGATGCTCGCCTTTAGCTTCCTCCCTATCTGATGGAAGACCATGGAAGACCTCTTGGTCTCTGCAATCAGAAGTCTCAAGTTGACAAGAAAATCATAGTCCCTACCCTGCAGGAGAGGGTACATCCAGAAAAAGCGACCATGGACTCTATTCTCAGAAATCAGTCCAACTTAGTGCAGACCTGGCCAGATGACCAGTGCCCTCCCCGGGGCATTTCACCCATAAATGTGATGAGGAAAGCCCATAAATGGTGGTGAATTTTGCTGAGTGGGGTTAAGACTGGAAACCCCCCTGCAGGAGTTGGTTCTTGAGCAAGTTTTAAAGAAACAAGGAACTAGGATGAGTGTGGAAGAAGGCGGGCACGTCTCAGCCCGTGAAAAAAACTCACAGGTGATCAGTAGTGAGTCATGAGAGAGAGAGCAAGAGAGAGAGTCAGAGAGAGGAGTAAATGGAGGGAGGAAGATGGAGGAAGGGACTCAAGTTCTCAAGACAGGAACAGGGATCTCCTCATGAAAAAAAGAAGAGAGGAAAATGCTCAATCAGCAGAACCTGAGCAGAATATTGAGGTCAACCCAGAAGCCAGCTCCTCACCCACCCTCACCCAGACTGGCGCCCTCATCCTGGAGAAGACCTGCTAGACCCTAAGGCAGGTAGGAGAGAGGGTGGTCCACAGTCCCCCAGCTTTAGAAAGTTTGTTCGCTCCCAATGTCCATCTACCCCTAGGAATCCCCACTAGTTAAACAGAATTGCTAGATCCCTGTGGAAAATACCTTTCCTTGCCCACCATCATCCCCAGAAATAATAACTATTTTAGTTGGGTGTGAGACATAGAGAATAAAAGGGGGCATGGTGCCAGACTTCATTTCATACAAATAGCTTTAAAGGAGAAGAGGGGGGAAGGAGTTTAATTTAGTTTCTAAAATGTTTAGTAATTTGATTGTGATCATGTCAGAGCAACTAATTCATTTTATAAAATATCATTTCACTATGCTCTATAAGTAGAAATTCAATTTGGTTCAACCATTATTGAGTGATATAAATAAAGCACTGGACTTAACAAAGACAGAAATACAGAAATCAGTAGAACATGGATCCCAACCTAAAACTTACTCTCTTGTCATAAAGGAAAGGAGATAGGAGTTTTTGCATAAATAACAAGGTATCAAGACAGAATTAAATTCCAAGCTGGCTTTGAATGCTCTATTTTGCCTTAAAAATTTATTTACTAGTCTCAGTAATACATTAGTAAAAATCATGTCACTTAATTAATTGTGTTAGAATCAAAGAAACATAGAGTTGGGCAATATACTTCATCCTACCCATCCCACCCAAATCTTACTCTACTCATCTCATTCTCATTAATTTTGGGAAATCATCAGAAGATGTGTTCGTTGAGTAAGAGATTAAAAGAAATAAGCTTTTTGACCCCTGCCAACACCCCATGCCCAGGGTGGTCACCCTCCAATACAATAAGATGCCAGGAAGAGTAAGTTGCCCTTTCTGATGCCGTAATCTGCCATCATCTTCCCATCTTCCAGTCTCTTTCCATTGCAAGTCACAATCTGGGTCTCAGGGATTATACCCGTCTTAGTCTCGATCATTGCTTTCACTTGTGCCACTGAGCTGGACCTTCGCACCTGGAGGAGGTGCCTCTTTGCCTCATCACCTGACTCCACAAGAAACAAGGGCAGCTCCTCATCACTGGGCTTCACCACTTTCAGGGTAAGGTGGATGGTCTTCTCTTTGTCAATGCCGTAAGATGAGAGGCTTCTCCGTGGCTTTAAGATCTTGGAGCCCAGCAAAAGAACCTGGTCCTGCACAGGAACCTTGGTCTTAGACCGGACATGTTCTTTGATTTTTTTCACGCTGTCATATGGGTTGGCATCAAAGGTCATTAAATCCCATTCCTCGGAACGGACATGCACCTGGGAAGTGAAAGCCACAAGACAGTTACCTAGGATGCCTGCCTCCTTTACACTTCTACTCCCCACCACAATGGCTCCCCCTCTTCCACTATCTATCTGGTCCTCTAGCTCCTATTCAGTAGCCAGTGTCCCTCTCTTTCTTGGAACTTCTTTTTTGGAATTACCAAGTTACAACACAAATAAGATAATTTGTCCCATTCCTTTATAATCACACCTTTTTTTCGATCTTGAGAATGGAAAATAAAATCCTGAGCCCCCAACCAACTGAACGGACGCTCTTTTGCTCAGGGGGACCCTAGAGAAACTTTAAAAACTTAGTCATTGGGCCAAGGGTGGTGGCTTACACCTGTAATCCCAGAACTTTGGGAAGCTGAGGCAGGCTGATCAATTGATGCTGGGAGTTCGAGACCAGCCTGGTGAACTTGGTGAAACTCTGTCTCTACTAAAAATACAAAAATTAGCCAGTAGTGGTGGCAAGTCCCTGTAATCCCAGCTACTCAGGAGGCTGAGGCAGGAGAATCATTTGAATCCAGGAGGCAGAGGTTGCAGTGAGTGGAGATGGCACTACTGCACTCCAGCCAGGGCAACAGAGTGAGACTCTGTCTCAAAAATATAAATAAATAAAACATTCAGTCATGATGGAACAGGAGGTTGGATATGCCTCATTGTATCTTCTCCCTTTTGCAGTTTAGACACAACTGACCAGCAAAGTTAGAGATTATAAGACTGAGAGAATGGATTCTTTGTGGCAATAAGATAGCAAATTATAAACAAGACCGAGGGCTATAACAGGCAAAAGTTAAGTCATGCATCCCTTACACTTAAAGAATAAACTATGTTCTGCCACAAAGTTTTTTCTTTTTTCTCTAGCAGCTAAACAAGCACTGGCCTTGACAGGAACAATATTAAAACAATTACAGCTCACCCTGTGTTGGGGAACACAGGCTAACTGACCCCGTGTTCCACAAGCCATAACTACAGTTTTAATTGGACAAAAGACTGATTTCAGTAATTTTCTCCTGATAAGAGACCACTGACCATGGACTGGTTCTGGCTAGTTTACAGAAGCTGTGCATTTGAATGCCTTTGTGTCCCTGCTTCACCTTTTCATGTATAAGGCCTAACTGTAATGCAATTAAATGTTAAGTCTCCACTTCAGAGTGACCATGGGTGGTATGTAACATGCAAGCTTATTCAATATGCATGCATTAGGACCCCCTCCATGAATATTCATTGCCTCTGCTATAACCTATTGGATATGTATACTTAGCAAACCCCTTCAGCATAAATTCCTGTGTCACCTTTCCTCCTGCAAAGTGCTTGCTTTTGGTTTTCAATCAGAAGCAAAACTTCCCAGCCTGTCAGAATGGCTACCTTGCAGACTATAACCTTTCATAAGAAATAAACTCCCCTTCTAAATTTATGAATTGTGTGATTTTTTTTAGTTGACAATCTTTACATTTCGTTTTTCTGTGCATTTCAATGGATGTAAAAAACATACCTTTATCCATCTCAAAATGTAATTAGTGATTTTCCACCTTATTTACCTGCCTCTCCTATCCAGATAAAGTTTGTCAAATGTCAACAAGTAAATACGAGGCTTCAAAAGATGTACATCAGACTCTAAAAACAACTCTCAAAGAGAATTTCCAAAATATGACAGCCTCATGAAGATACTCATAGCCATAGGATACCCTCTGTCAATACTTCAGAAGGAAATCCTGGGTAGGACACATAATCACTGAACTGTTAGTTTCTTTTCAAATATCCCACTGCTTTATAATAATAACTCACATACTACCGTGACACTATGTTCAGTGTTTCTTGTTAATTTATATTTCTTGTGTTTTTATTTCTATCTAATGAGAGACAGGACTAGCTGGATTTCCTAGGCCGACTAAGAATCCCTAAGCCTAGCTGGGGAGGTGACTGCATCCACCTTTAAACACGGGGCTTGCAACTTAGCTCACACCTGACCAATCAGGTAGTAAAGAGAGCTCACTAAAATGCTAATTAGGCAAAAACAGGAGGTAAAGATATAGCCAATCATCTATTGCCTGAGATCACAGCGGGAGGGACAATGATCGGGATATAAACACAGGCATTCGAGCCAGCAACGCTACCCTCTTTGGGTCCCCTCCCTTTGTATGGGAGCTCTGTCTTCACTCTACTAAATCTTGCAACTGCACTCTTCTGGTCTATGTTTCTTACGGCTCGAGGTGAGCTTTCGCTTGCCATCCACCACTGCCGTTTGCCACCGTCGCAGACCCGCGGCTGACTTCCATCCCTCGGATCTGGCAGGGTGTCCGCTGTGCTTCTGAACCAGTGAGGCGCCCATTGCCGCTCCTGATTGGGCTAAAGGCGTACCATTGTTCTGCACGGCTAAGTGCCCAGGTTCTTCCTAATCGAGCTGAACACTAGTCACTGGGTCCACAGTTCTCTTCCGTGACCCATGGCTTCTAATAGAGCTGTAACAACCACCACATGACCCAAGATTCCATTCCTTGGAATCCATGAGGCCAAGAACCCCAGGTCAGAGAACACGAGGCTTGCCACCATCTTGGAAGCGGCCTGCGGCCATTTTGGAAGCAGCCCACCACCATCTTGAGAGCTCTGGGAGCAAAGACCCCCTGGTAACACTAATATAGAATGTGATCTCCTTTGATAAGACTAGGGCCTCACTCACAGAAGGTAGGGACTATATCTAAGTCTTACTTCAATAGCTGGAAAATCCTAAAAGATGGGAAAACTCACCCCTAATGGCCACTTGAAAGCCTGAGAAGACCTCCCTCATACTCCATTCAGAAATATTTTCCCAATCTAGATATTGCAGACATTTCTTCACTGGAAGATCTGTGTTAAGCATTGCCTTAATTCCAGGTTCTCTCCATAGTGCATATTTTCTTATATAATGTAATGTGTTAGATCATTAACAACTTCAGATGAATGAGTTTTGTGAAGCTCTCCTTTGAGAGGAGAGGGAAGATTAAGTTTAAGAACCTTAAAAAATGTTACCATAATTTCAAATCTCACCAGCCCTGTGGAACACAAAGCTCACCCCCACTTTTTCTTCTACCATTTATCCCTAAGAGTAGCTAGTCCAATGTTTTATTTAAAAAAGAACACAGAAGCCAGATAACCAGCTTCTCTTCAGACAATCCCTCTTCCCATTCTGCAAATGTCAATGCCAGCCTCTTCTCCTGAAGGATGCCTGCCCAGCCCCCCAGAGCCCTGAGTACTGCCCAGCCCCCGTTTCTAAGATCTCTCCCCAACTCTTGAAAGTGCTTTTCCTTTCCCCATCCCCTTTATCAAATCCCAACTTACACAGAGGCAGGAAGCATTGGGAGCCATCTCTGCAGACAAGGGGCCAGAAACCAGAGACAGAAAAAGGACTTTGCATGCAGCTTATATACCAGAGTTGAGTTGGAAATCCCCTGCCTGGATTGCTGTGTTTGTCCAGCTTTGCTGTGCTCTTTGTTCTTGCATGCTCCCATGAATTTTCTTTCACTTTTGCTGGGCAGGAGTTAATAGACAAAGAATGCTTTCTGATCACATACTTCTCTCCTCAAGCAATCTATTTGCAAACCTCATTCCAAACATGGGATGGTCTTTCTGTGTTGAAAACTTTTCCCTTTTCTCAGGAAAGATCTTTGTCTGTTGAAGCCACCTGGATCTATACCCACAGCCCAAACCTAAGCTGCAGATCTCTATGTCTAGCTGTGTCTGTGTCTATGGGAATTCTCGTTCCTTGAATTCCCGGCATATCCTTGAACACCCCAATCTCTCTGCCATCTCCACGCCACTGAGCATGCCTTTTCCTCCAACTCTATCCCCACCACCATGAATTTATAAGAACACACGGTGTAAACAGTATCTTCGTCAAAAAGCCTTCCCTAACTCTTTTCCTCCCCATCCTGGGTTATGTGTCCATCTTCTATCCTCTACACTTCCTTCAAATGCCTCTCAGAGCATGTTTCTTCAACAATAGCATCGTCTGCTTGTCTGTAATCTTTAGAAAAGAGTAGGAATCTTGGGGGTCGTGATTGTGTCTTAATTAACTTGTATCTTTAGCACTGTTCCAGCATGCTGTCAGGCACAGGAAATAATTTATAAATGTTTACTAAATGCACAAATGAATTAATAAATGAATGAAAAGTAAGTAAATAACAAAAAAAGGAAAAGTAATATTTGGTGAGTACTTAAATTTCAAGAACTGCACAACATATTATTAAATGTTACCTTATTTACTGTTTCAGCATTTTAATGAAGTAAGTACAGGTGCTCCTTCACTTATGATGGGGTTACATCCCTGTAAACCCATTGTACACTGAAAATATCCAAAATCAGAAATGCATTTAATACACCTAACCCACCAAACATCATAGCTTAACCTAACCTGCCTTAAACATGCTCAGAACACTTACATTAGCATACAGTTGGACAAAATTATCTAACAAAAAGTGTATTTACTACTGAAGTGTGAAATATCTCATTTAAGTTATTAAATACTGTACTGAAAGTGAAAAGCAGATGATTTTATGGGAACTTGAAGTAGGTTTCTACTGAGTATGTATTGCTTTGGTATCACTATTAAATAAAAAATCATAAATGGAATCATTGTAAGGAACCACCTCTATTAGTATCCCCGTTAATAAGTAAGAAGCTACCTCATCCACAATCATATTAGTAGTAGCTGGTAAGCAAGGGTTCAAACACTAATCTGTATTTCTATAGTCCTTGTATTCTTCCTATATTATTATGTTATTTCAGTGGGAAAAGGCAGGGAGAAAAGTGCTACTGGAGTTGGGTATTTCCAGCATGGGGTTACTGTGAGGGCAAATCTAATATACTCTCAGAAAAAACTAATTCAGGGGATTCCCTACCCAGAGATGACCTGGATTCTGGGAAATAGTGCCCTTTCAAGAAAACATATGAACAACAAACCTGGACTCTGACCTCTCTCTCTCTCTTTACTCTTCCCTTCCTATGGGAAATTCCCTCCCTGCCCAAAGCCAGGGCCAGGACTGTCCCAGACACCTTGGTGCCCCTTTGCTGACCACAGGCAGGACTTCATCTTGGGACCTGACCTCCTTGCTTCTTACCCAGTGTCAATCTGACTTTTTTCTGTCTCTCTCTATGTCACAATAAGTTCTTTCAGAGACAGATCTCTTTTCATTTGCTGTTTTAGTCTCTTTTGCATACTATAAAGGAATACTTGAGGCTGGGTAATTTATAAGGAAAAAAAGTTTAATTGATTCATAGTTCCTCCAACTATACAAGAAGTATGGCACCAGCATCTGCTTCTGGTGAGGCCTCAAGAAGCTTTTACTCATGGTGGAAGGTGAAGGAGAGCAGGCGTGTCACATGGCAAGAGAGGGAGGTAAGAGACAGTGGGAAAAATGCCAGGCTCTTTTAAACAACCAGCTCTCTTGTGAGCTAATGGAGTGAGAACTCATTTATTACAATGATGACAGCCCCAGGCCATTCATGAGGGATCTGCCACCACAACCCAAACATCTCCCAGTGGGCCCATTTCCAACACTGGGGGTCACATTTCAACATGAGATCTGGAGAGTACAAACATCCAAACTACATCATTTACCCCTCTGACAAATTCAGAAAACCAACTAAAGTGTCAGAGGTGTTTGAACCAGAGCAACTCCATCTTGAATAGGGGCTGGATAAAATAAGGCTGACATCTACTAGGCTGCATTCCCAGGAAGTTAGGCATTCTAAGTCACAGGATGAGAGAGGAGATCAGCACAAAGTACAGGTTATAAAGACCTTGCAAATAAAAGGAAGCAGTAAAGAAGCCAGCCAAAACCCACCAAAACCAAGATGGCAACGAAAGTGACTTCTGGTCATTCTCACTGCTCATTATATGCTAAATAAAACATTAACATGCTAAAAAATATTCCCACCAGGGCCATGGCAGTTTACAGATGCCATGGCAATGTCCAGAAGTTACTCTATATGGTCTAAAAAGAGGAGGAACCCTCAGTTCCAGGAATTTCCCACTTCTTTCCTGGAAAACTTGTGAATAAGCCACCCCTTGTTTAGTATATAATCAAGAAATAACCATAAAAATAGTCAACCAGCAGCCCTCAGGGCTGCTCTGCCTATAAAGTAGCCATTCTTTTTTTCCTTTACTTTCTTAATACGCTTGCTTTCAGTTTACTCTATGGATTCACCCTGAATTCTTTCTTGTGCAAGATCCAATAACGCTCTCTTGGGGGCTGGATCAGGATCCCTTTCCAGTAACAAAAGTAAAAAGATGATGGTATGAAGATCTTGCCAAGTTATAAAACAATTGTGGCGGTTATCTACGAGTGTCCCAATGTGGCCCTGGCTGACGGGATGCTCTTGGGCCTGTCACTGCCCCCATTGAAGCCTACTTGAAGCCTACTTGGAACAGATGTCTCTTTCTAGTCTCTTTAATAACGTCCATGAAAGAGTTTCTAAACTGCTTTGAGATCTAGAATATTGCTTCAAAAATGCCAACCAAACTCAGTCAGAAAGCTAGTGTGAATTCTCATTTATTGGTGATTGGGAAAAAAGTCTACACTCAAAGAAGAACAGTTTGAAAATACCTACCAAAATTTAACATGGACATACCAAACCAAGACAACCAAATGCCTATCAGTATTAGGGAAATAGGTAACCAAATTGTAGAATATCATAAGCAGCATAAATAGAAGGATCATACCTGCAAACAACGATACAGATGAATGTGCTAGAACCTATTGAGTGAAAAAAGTGTTAGAAACAAATGCTTATTCCACGGTGCCGCAAAGAAATAGCACTCAGACATAAATTCAATTTTCTCAGCAAGGAATTTTTACTTCTATAGAAGGGTGTGACTCGCGGATGGAGTAATGGCAAGAGCATACCTGGACAAGGGAGGGGAAGGAGTTCTTATTCCTGAGGCAGGTAGCCCCTACTGCTGTGTCGTTCCCCTATTGGCTAGGTTTGGACCACACAATCTAAGCTAATTCCGATTGGCTATTTTAAAGAGAGCAGGGGTATGAGCCAGAGCGGCAGGGTGGGTAGTTTGGTGGGAAGGGTGGTTACAGAACAGGTGACTCAGGATGATTCAAATCAAAGCAGGTGGCCGAGGGTGACTCCGGATGGAGCAGGTGACCAGGGGAACAGATATGAACCACTGATTAGAACTGACAGGAAAGTTGTTTACTGAAACTAGAGGCAAGAGGGTGAAGAGAACCCGGAAGCTCAACTTTCAAATGGAGAATCAAAGAATAAGAGAGATGAATATGCTGACATACTGATTCTTTGAAGAGAATCTTGGAGTTCACTATATCTAACAAAAGCAAGATGAGTAAGACTACATAAAGTATGATACTCTCCATAAATCTCAAAAGCAAGCAAAACTACATAGTGAGACAGAGAAAAAGAGGAACTACTTGAAATTCAGGATATGTCTGCTTTTTAACAAAAATGAAGCCCAATCTAAATTTTGATATAAGCTACTTGAAGGAGATTTTCAACAGGAAGTAAGAGGGCATTAGAAGCCCTGATATTATTTCATCTTGCCATATTCAGAATCTGAAGTTTAACCAAGAGAACTTAATGTTTGTTAAAGCAATTTATTACTTGAGAGACATACCGTATATTCACTTTATTAAAGGTAAAGTAATAATATCTAAAACAAATGTTCCAAAGAAAACTAAACATAAGCAAAACTGAATATAGTATCTAGAACTACATATGTAAGCAATAAGGCTCTTATAAAAATGTAAAAACCATGAGTGTTCATTATGCTACTATTATGTTTTATAGTGTTACATTATATTATTCTATATGGGTTACATTTATTTATCTGTAGTATCAAAGATTATAATAAAAATATAATTTAAAATTTTTCATGTTCATATCCTCTAGCTCAGCAATTCTGCTTCTAGGAACTTATCCTATTAGTACTCTTTTGGTTTTTTTTTAAGGAGTATCACTCTTGCCTCCCAGCCTGGAATGCAATGGCGCGATCTCGGCTCACTGCAACCTCCGCCTCCTGGGTTCAAGCGATTCTCCTCCCTCAGCCTTCTGAGCAGCTGGGATTGCAGTCATGTGCCACCATGCCTGGCTATTATTTATTTATTTATTTATTTATTATTTTTATTTTTAGTAGAGATGGGGTTTCAGCATGCTGGCCAGGCTGGTCTCGAACTCCTGACCTCAGGTGATCCACCTGCCTCCGCCTCCCAAAGTGCTGGCATTACAGGTATGAGCCACCATGCCTGGCCCTATTAGTACACTTATATATGTGTGAAATAAGCCATGTACAAGAATATTCATGTGAAATAATTATTTGCAACTGAAATAAATGGGAACAACACTTATCAATAGACAACTAAATAAGTGCTGGTGTATACAGTTGAATTAAATTTAAAAGCCAAGTTGCAAAATATATGTATAATATTTTGTTATTTAGAAAGGAAGAAAATATACACATATGCTAAAATGTGCATACAACATCTCTGTGAGGAGACACTGACTCTGCAAGTTGCCTGAGGAGCAGGAATGAGAGGTGGACTATTCATTATATGTCTTATCTTATTATTGTTGCTATTTTTTAGTTTTGCAACTGTGCATGTTTTACACATTCAGATAGGCAGATAGTATGGGAAGGGATAGTATATTTTTTATGTAGTCATCAGCTCAGAATGGAGCTGGCTATAAGCTATGCACCAATGGGAACCAGTTTCAGTGCTCATCACTAGTTGACAGGCAAAGGGCCATGAAAAGTTGGTGGCTATAGTAGGTTAACTATTGTGATTCTGTGCCTTCCCTACTCCCCAAAATTTATTTTCCACTAATCTTTTACATACTGCAAAATTTAGAAACATTGATAATATAGCCCATAATATATCTGAAAGCAAAGAAATTTATAATTAGCTAAAATCAGAGACCAAACCTAATGAAAAAAAAAAAGTAATTCTGAGACAATTGCTGAGCCTGGTACATGGGACTGATGTCAATGTGCAAAAATTGTCCAACCTGACAAAGCAACTGGAATAACTAATGCAGTCATAAGTGCAGGATGATGTGTTGACCAATGGCGCATTTCCACTTTGTAGCAGTCAGGCCATCTTGGAGTGAATCCAGGCTCTGCCTCCTACTTCTCATGCAAGTTATTTGGTACTTTCTTTTGTCAGCTGGGGATTTCGGATTTCACTTAGGATTAGGCTCTGCTACCATTAACAGACATCTGAAAATAATGTGCCTTTAACTAAAACCCCAAAAGGACCAGATCTTAGAAGTCAAAATGACAACCAAGGCTTAAGGAGTTCACCCTAGAACCAAGAAAAAACTGCAATGATCCATTCCAGCAAAATGTAAAGCCAGTTTTTCAGAAGTTCAAAGTGATAAGTGGGTAATATATCTGCTTATTAAACAAGATTCAATACGCTTCAGAGAAAGATAATAGAATACAAAATAGATAAAGGTAATAGAATACGGAATCTCTGTAACATATTACTCACATCATCAAGTGTAAAACAGGAAATCACCAATCATGTGAAGAAACAGAAATATTAGACAAACAGTTTTAAATCCTCAATAAAAACAAACCCAAACGCCACCGAAATGTTAGAATTATCAGATGGAGACTTTAAAATCACTATAGTATTTTAAAGAATCCACAGGGAAAGATTTATACAATGGGTAAAGAAATGATGAATTTTAGGAGACAGATGTAGAAACTGCCATTTTAAAAAGCCAAACGGAAATGCTGGAACTGAAAAATACAATATCGTTGACCCTTGAACAACAAGGGTTTGAACTGCATGGGTCCATTGAATGTAGATTTTTTTCAGTAAATATACTGGAAAATTTTGTACCTTTGTGACAATTTGAAAAAACTCGCAAACTTCATAGCTTAGAAACATCAAAATAATTAAGAAACAATTAGGCATATCATAAATGCATAAAACATACGTAGATACTAGCATACTTTATCATTTACTATAAAATATACACAAATCTATTATAAAAAGTTAAAATTTATTAAAACTCACACACAAATACTTATAAACAATCATAAAATACAGTATTAAATCATAACTGCGTAAAATTAGTCATAGTACATTCTGTCCTACTATAATAATTATGTAGCCACCTCCTGTTACTATTGGGTGAGCTCAAGTGTTGGGAGTATGGGATTAAAATGTCATGTAATACTAATCATTCCCACGTAAGCAGTTCGTCTTCTCTTTAGGAAAAAGTGATGTCTCACGGTTCTTGCGGTTGTCCTGTTTTTGTTTTGTTTGTTTGTTTATTACAGAGTTTTGCTCTGTCGTCCAGGCTGGAGTGCAGTGGCACGATCTCAGCTCACTGCAACCTCTGCCTCCCGGGTTCAAGTGATTATCCTGCCTCAGCCTCCCAAGTAGCTGGGATTAGAGGCATGCACCACCACGCCTGGCTAATTTTTGTATTTTTAGTAGAAACGTTCTTTGGTTCAAGACGGCCAGGCTGGTCTTGAACTCCTGACCTCAAGTGATCCACCCCCCTCGGCCTCCCAAAGTGCTGGGATTACAGGTGTGCCACCGCGCCCAGGATCTTGTGTATTTTTAATTGTGTTTAGTGCAATTCCATAAAGCCTGAATAACACCACGAGACCCATATAGTGATGCTGGAAGTTTTCCCTGGAGACAGAGAAAAGCCATAACATTACAGGAAAAAGTTGAATTGCTTGATATGTGCTATAGATTGAGGTCTGCTGCTGCAGTTTCCTGCCATTTCTGACTGATGTTTCATCTCTTAACAGATGACACAAACTTACATAATTGATAAATACGGTATTGTACTGTCAGTGTATTTTCTCTTCCTTATAATTTTCTTAATAACATTTTCTTTTCTCTGGCTCATGTTATTGTAAGAATACAGTATATAATACATACAACATACAAAATATGTGTCAGTCAACTGTATATATGATCAGTAAGGCTTCTGGTTAACAGTAGTTTATTAGTAGTTAAGGTTTAGGGGAGTCAAAAGTTATTCATGGATTTCCAAATGTATGAGGGGGTCAGCACCTCTAACCCACGCATTGTTCAAGGGTCAGCTGTATACGACTTTCTGGTAAAAAGAACCAGGAGTCCTTGGAGAGATGGTTGATCCCAGACAGAGGAAAGAGAACATACAAGATAACCCTGGAATACTGTATGATGCCAGAAACTAAAGAAGTCATTAAAAAAAAAAATGAGGACACATCAAAAAACTCACAGTAATCACGTTAAAGGATTTCCCCATAGCCAAGTCTGGGAAAATGTAAACAGCAAAGTAAATAATGAGAATAATGAAGAAAGAATAAAATAAACATCCAGGAGTCATTACTGGATATGAATAAAGAAAATAAACAGTAAACGAATAGGAGGAGAGGGACAGCTCTTACAAAATTCAAAATAACAAACATAGGAGAAATGATGAAAGTTATCATTAGGCAAACAGCCCAATAGTAATTGTTACAGTCAAAACTCATTTGTGGATGCTAAAATTAGTAGGCAAAACTATAATGAGAAAAAGATACTTGCATAATCTCAAAGTATTACCATAAATACTTATTATGTTACTTATATTATTATAAGATATGACTACAGTTTTAATAAGACAACACAGTTAAAAAAATGAAAAATAATTTGAATAAAAGACACGTAAGGACCAATAAAGCACATGATAAGATGTTTAACACCATTAACCATCACAGAGCAAATTGAAACGACTTGAGGGAGCACTTCACAGCCGATAGAATGCCTAAAACCAAGAGACTGACAATTCCAAGTATTACCAAGGATGTGGAACATCTGGAACTCTCATCGCTGTAGGGAGTGTAAATGGCACAATCACTCTGGAAAGCAGTTTAGCAGTTTCTTATAAAGATAAACAGACAGCAAATGACTCAGAAATTCCAATTCTAGGTATTTACCCAAAATAAAGAACACATGTGTTCACACAAAGAACGAAGAACCATATACAACACAACTAACTGTTCTCTCCTTCTTCTTCTTCTTCTTCTTCTTCCTCTTCCTCTTCCTCTTCCTCTTCTTCTTCTTCTTCTTCTTCTTCTTCTTCTTCTTCTTCTTCTTCTTCTTCTTCTTCTTCTTCTTCTTTTTTTCGGACCCAGGCTGTTGTGCAGTGGCATGATCATGGCTCACTGCAGCCTCAACTTCCTGGGCTCAAGTGATCCTCCCACCTCAGCCCCCCAAGTAGCTGAGACTACAGGATGCACCACGATGCCCGGCCAATATTTTGTATTATTTTGTAGAGACAGGGTTATATCATGTTTCCCAGGCTGGTCTCAAACTCCTGGGCTCAAGTATCCTCCCACCTTGGCCTCCCAAAGTTCTGGGATTACAGGTGTGAGCCACCATACCCAACAATTGTGGCTTCTTTCATAGCAGCCCAAAACTAGAAACAACCCAAATGCCCATCAATGCATGAATGGATAAACTGTGGTATATTTATACAGTGAAATACTATTAGCAATAAAAAGGAGCAAATTACTAATATATGAAACACTATGAATGAATTTCCATAACAAGCCAGATAACAGAAGCCAGAAATAAGGCATGAAGCTAGGCATGGTGGCTCATGCCTGTAATTCTAGCATTTTGGGAGTCCAAGGTGGGTGAATCACTTGAGCCCAAGAATTCGAGACCAGTCTGGGCAACACAGCGAGACCCTGTCTCTACAAAAAGTACAAAACTTAGCCGCGTGTGGTGGCCTGCACCTGTAATCCCAGCTACTTGGGGGGTTGAGTCCAGGAGGTTGAGGCTGCAGTGAACTGTGATCACACCACTGCACTCTAGCCTGGGTGACAAAGTAACACCTTGTCTCAAAAAACATAAAAAAAGTAAATTTCATTGAAGTACAAATTACGGGTAATAAAATGCACACATTTTAAGTATATTGTTCAATAAGTTTTGACAAGTGCATACACTTGGATAACCAATACCCCATTCAAGATATAGAGCATGCATTTTCATTATTCTAGAAAGTTATCCTATGCCCTGTCCCAGACAACCAATCATCTGATTTCTATCTTGCTAGATTTGCTTTTCCTGTTGTAGGAAAGTTATGTCAGTGAAATCAGGTGGTATGAATGTATGAATGCTTGCTTGCTTGCTTTTTTTTTTTTTTTTTTTTTGAGACAGGGTCTCACTCTGTCACCCAGGCTGGAGTGCAGTAGTGCAGTGGTGCAATCACGGCTCCCTACAGCCTTGACCTCCTAAGTATATTGAACAATATACTTAAAATGTGTGCATTTTATTACATGTAAATTCTATCTTAAAGAAGTTTATTTTATTTTATGTTTTTTTGAGACAAGGTCTGACTCTGTCACCCAGGCTAGAGTGCAGTGGCATGATCACAGCTCACTGCAGCCTCAATCTCCTAGGCGCAGGTTATCTTCCCAGCTCAGCCCCCCAAGGAGCTGGGACTACAGATGAAGGCCACCACACCCGGCTAAGTTTTTGTACTTTTCGTAGAGACAAGGTCTTGCTATGTTGCCCAGACTGGTCTCGAACTCCTGGGCTCAGGTGATCCATTCCTCTTGGCCTCTTAAAGTGCTGGGATTACAGATGTGAGCCACCATGCCCAGACTGAAGTTGATTTTAAAAGCAGAAATGAGCTACTGATACTTGAAACAACATGAATAAATTGCAAAATAATTACTCCTAGTGAAATAATTCTTACTCAAAGGAGTATATATTATTCCATTTGTATGAAGTCCTAGAAGAGGCAAAACTAAGTATCAAGGAAAGAGGCAAGTGGAAGGTTTGTAGGATGATGGAAATCTTCTGTTTCTTCATTGAAGTCATCAAAATTCATCAAAGCGTATATTTCAAATCTGTGCATTTTATTGCATGTAAATTATATCCAAATGTCTACCAGTAGAGAAGAAACAAGAAATAACGAAGTCTTACATGGGTTCAAATGAGACTTGAGAGAAAAGAATGGGACACACTCAGGAGAGGTGGCAATGAGAAAACATGACCTTGTGCTCCTCAATGACACAGAGGAGCAGAAGTGACCTTTTTACTTACCACAGGGAGCACCAATGCTGGCACGTTTCCTCTGAATCATCTCCTTCTTTCTTAATCATCATTAGCACCAGTGGCTAATTAATTGTCTGTGAACTGTGACGCTCTGGAGTCTTGGGAGAATTAACAAGCCATTTCTCTCCATGGGATGGGAGTCCCGGGATCCCTCCCTCCATCACTTCACCACGTTTTCTTCTCTATCTCCACTACCATTAAAAGACAGGTTAACTTACTAGGTTGAAGAGGAGAGGTTGTGGGCAAAGAGCAACCTTCAGCCTTACAGGTCCAGAAGAAGGATGGTGGTGGGGTATAGTTTGTGCCTGACTCTAGAGCCAACCCACCTGGGTTCAAGTCTCAGCTCTGGCTATATAATTCTGAGCTAATTATTTAACCTATGTTTTAGTTTCTTCATCTGAAAATAAATATAGAATATAGAAATATTATCCAGGTCATACAGAGGTTGTGAAGTGCTTTGAAAGGTGTGGCAGCAGCATTAGAAGTCAACATTACTACCTGAGCCCTAATCCACCACCCTTTCAAAGGTGCCCAACACTCCTGACTTTGCTTGTAGATTTCATTGTGAGGATTAACTAGAGGCTCACTCAGTCTAGAAGCTCGTTGTCAGGGAGAAGCTCCGGCAGCAGGCAATGGGGAGATTGTGACATGATTGAGGAAAAGTTATAAGTTTATTCTTCTCCTACTGTCCATTAATGTCCACATATCGTCAATGGTAGAGCTACCCCAGGAGCACCAGATTTGGAATCAAACAGGACTCAGACTCCAGGCCTGGTCTTCATCGGCTATGTAACCTTGGGCAAGCTACTTAACCTCTCTGCGACCATTTCTTCTTCTGTAAAAGGAAGATGATATTAACTACCTCAAAGAGTTATGAGAACCAGGTATTCAGGAAATGTTTAGCATGGTGCCTGGTGTATAGGAAGCACACAACAGATGGTAGCTGCCAAAGTATTAACGTGGTTTTCACTAATGAATTGGAGAAAAGAATTGATATTTCATTCCCTTGTAGCACCTAGTACACAACTAGGTCTTTGGTGATTAATAAAGAAATAAATACATCCGTGAATATGAAATTAATAGGAAGAGAGTAAAGTTGTACTGGACTTTTGTGGGTGTCCAAGAAAAATTAAAAAGACCAGAAGAAAGAGAGTGAGAACAAATACACGTTGTGAAACACAGAACAAGAGAGAACAGAAAGAGAGTCAAAGAACTATGTAAATTGAAGAGACTGAAAAATGACATAGAGTGAAGCAATGAATTACCAAGAGTATAAGAGTGTAAGAGAGGGATGCAGAAAGTGTATTAGAATGATGGTTGACAGATAAATAAGGAGGAGTTGGCTATTTTTTACCAACACAAAGGGTGTAATGTTATAAGACAATATAGGAATGATTTTGTAAAAGTAATAATTGAAATAGTCATTGCGTCTTCAGGAGTAGGTAGTAGGTATGATTAGGGAAGGGCACGCAGAAGGCTTTTAAGATTTAAACAATCTTTTGTTAAAATATTCAACAATATTTTAAAGGAAAAATTTTTCTCAGAGTAAAAAGAATATAGGAGGAAGGAAACGAAAAAAGAGACAAATATAAACAGGTTGAACAAATAAAAAGATGAGATGGGGCTTTTAAACACACAAAAAAGAGACACTGCAATGGGTAGATGCTGCCAACCTATAGCCTCTCCAGCCACCTCCCCATCAACTTGCCCAGTTCCTGCCTCTCAACTGCCAGAGTGGCTGCCACCGTCCACCCATATCTGAGTTGGCCCTGTGTGCTGAAACTCTCTTCACCTTCTCAAAAACACAGTCCCCTCCTCCAGGAAGCATTCCCTGATTCACTCAACCACCCTACTCATTTTCTTTACAGATCTATCTCTCACCTCTAGCCCCCTACCCCAATATTTTTGCCTTATTTGCCTGCAATGTTTCAAGTTTTCTGCTGATGTTGAATGTACTACCCAGGGTTTTTCAAAGCCATGAGACTACTCTTTCTTCCAGCCCATAAGCTCCTCCGCCTTGAATGACCACATTGTTCAATAATTTGAAGTAGACTCCTTACTTCAGTGACTTAGGATAGGCTACTAAAGAGGATAAAGTCAGACCTGACATCTAAGTACAATATGTGACTCTCAACTGGATCCTACGTGGAAAAAAAAAAATCCTACAAAGAACATTATTGGGACATAGAGAAAATAAGAATATGGACTGTGTGTTACATAACAATACTGTATCAATTTTAAGTTTATTGAATTTAATTGCTGTACAGTGTTAATTAAGATCATCTTGTTGTAGAATATGAATACTAAGACAATAAGGAGAAAGAGGCATGATGTCCACAAGTTATTCCCAAGTGACTCAGAGTAAAAATGAAAATACATAAACATATTGAGTATAATGATAGTGAAAATGAGTAAAAATACTAAAAATTGATGAATTTGATAAAGGTTATATAGAAGTTCTTGGAACTACACTTGCAACTTTTCTGTAAGTTTCAACTTATTTCAAAATCAAAGGTTTTTAATTGCATGTGAATAAAATTAACCGAGCATTTTCAAAAGCAAAATTCTACTTACATGTCCCAAACTCAACATGGTATGTTTTTACTACTATATTTTATCTTACATGAAAAGGAGAGGATATTGAAATCTATTTCAGCTTTCTAACACCAAACATCAATTCTTCAGGATTTTTTTGCAGTTACAGAACCAGAAAATAATCTTTCTGACTGACATTATATTTTTTCTTATTTTTACATATTACACATAATGGAAAATTTAGGCAGGACATTTCATTTGCAGGAGAAATGTTTGTTCTTAGTTTAATAAGTCATAATTTTTTTTGAAAGACCTAAATCACCTGACTGATCTTTCTAGCAGTTGAGTCATTTCACATACAGAAGAAATCTCCACAGTCCACATTTCTATCACTGGTCAAATCTCTTGCAAAAGTGTAAAGTAGATAGAATGTGAATGATTTGAGAAAATTTATGCCCACCACTAGAAAACATGATGAATTCTCTAGTAATGTTTACAATTAGGAAACTCACTGAACACACATTTCTTTGTATTTCCTTCCACACATAACAAAGGGAAAATTCAGTAGTAGCATAGCGATCAGAACATAATAGGTACTTAATAAATTTTTGCAAAATTAATAAAAACTAACTAGTTAGCTGATCTATGCTTCACATCAGACGTTTTGCATTCAACCAGGAAGTCAGAGGCACCAGTGTGAGGCTCAATCCGTTGTTGAGCACATTAATGGTTTCCTCACTCCCACTAGACAATGTTTGATCAGAAGGAACAGGGGATGAGAAGGAGCTGCTTGATGGTGATGAGACTGGGAAAGGAACGCTGGGCGAGCAGAGACAAAAGAGAAACACTCACCTACTGGGACCTCACAAACACCCAGGCTGAGTTTTAATAAGACAGGTTGAATCACACTGGGGTGACAGCCTCATCCTTCCAGATACAGAGAGGAACAGGCCATGGTTAACCAAAGCTCCGCACCAGGCTTTCTCCTTCTGGGCTTCTCTGAACACCCAGCACTGGAAAGGACTCTCTTTGTAGTTGTCTTCACTTCCTACCTCCTAACCCCGGTGGACTCATCATCCTGCTGTCTGTGCTGGACCCCAGGCTCCACTCTCCAATGTACTTTTTCCTCTCCAACCTCTCCTTCTTGGACCTCTGTTTCACCATAAGTTGTGTCCCCGGGATGCTGGTCAACCTCTGGGAGCCAAAGAAGACCATCATCTTACTGGGCTGCTCTGTCCAGTTCTTCATCTTCCTGTCCCTGGGGACCACTGAGTGCATCCTCCTGACGGTGATGGCCTTTGACCGCTACATGGCTATCTTCAAGCCCCTGCGCCATGCCACCATCGTCCACCTCTGCCTGTGCTGGCAGCTGGCATCTGTGGCCTGGGTCATTGGGCTGGTAGAGTCAGTGGTCCAGACACCATCCACCCTGCGCCTGCCTTTCTGCCCCCATCAGCAGGTGGATGATTTTGTCTGTGAGGTCCCAGCTCTAATTCGACTCTCCTGTGAAGACACCTCCTACAATGAGATCCAGATGGCTGTTGCCAGTGTCTTCATCTTGGCTGTGCCTCAGCCTCATCCTTGTCTCTTATGGAGCCATTGCCTGGGCAGTGCTAAGGACTAACTGCAAAAGGGCAGAGGAAAGCTTTTGGGACCTGCTCCTCCCATCTCACTGTGGTCACCCTCTTCTACAGCTCAGTCATTGCTGTCTACCTCCAGCCCAAAAATCCCTATGCCCAAGAGAGGGGCAAGTTCTTTGGTCTCTTCTATGCAGTGGGCACTCCTTCACTTAACCCTCTCATATACACCCTGAGGAACAAGGAGGTAACCAGGGCATTCAGGAGATTGCTGGCGAAGGAAATGGGGCTCATACAAAGTTGAGGGAGAGCTGTTTAATGTGCTTTCTAAATTAAGAAGAAATTATTTATCCTTTTGTGAACAAGTTTGAGCTCCCAAGTATACTACCTTTCATACACCCATCACAGTGTTTACAATGGGTCACAGTATATGAGTGTGTGTGAGAGAGAGAAAGAGACAGAGAAAGACTAAGAGTCAGGTAAGAGGAGGTAGGTATCTTTAATTAACATCTAAAGCTCAAAAAGATTATCATACCTGCCCATTTTTAATATTTAATTTCTATATTTTTATTTTCTTTTCAATTTGGTTTTTAACTCTCTTCTCCCCTACAGGTTCTCCAAATGCACCATGCCTATTTCTGGTTATGTAACCCCTCTCCGATTGTTACATTATCATCATCATTTTACCATCACTTGTGATTCTTTTTTTTTTTTTTTTTTTTTTTTGAGATGGAGTCTCACTCTGTCGCCCAGGCTGGAGTGCAGTGGTGCGATCTTGGCTCCCTGCAACCTCCGCCTCCTGGGTTCAAGTGATTCTTCTGCCCCAGCTTCCTGAGTAGCTGGGACTACAGGCACATGCCACCATGCCCAGCTAATTTTTTATTTTTAGTAGAGACGGGGTTTCACCATGTTGGCCAGGCTGGTCTCGAACTCCTGACCTCAGGTGATCCACCCGCCTCGGCCTCCCAAAGTGCTGGGATTATAGGAGTGAGCCACATCACCCAGCCACTTCTGATTCTGACAATGTCTTCTTTCCTTTGTCATCAGGATGGTTCATCTCCACTTGCTTGAGGTGGACTGACAGGAAGCTGACACTCAGAGAATTTAGTAATTTCACCCAAGAACACACAGCAATTTGTTAGACCTAAATTGAGATGCATATCTGTTAACTTACCAAGTGCATGCTGTTGGTTTTACACCATTATAAATATACCAACATCATTAGGATTTATACCCAAATGGGTTATCAGGCAGAAAACTCTATTTTTCCAGTCCTAGTAAGTTTTCTGATCATCCAGCTTTCCAGGGATCACAACACTAATCTCCTGCCAAATCCTGAAAATGTGCTCCCATTCCTGGAGATGATTTTCCTTTACCTCTTCTCAACCTCTGCATGACAGTGACCATGAGGAGTTGTGAGTCTGCTCTTCAGTGGCTACACAGTGCTAACAGCTGTCCTGCATCCATTTTCTAGTGCAGTTCTGAAATTCTGACCAACCTCTACTAGCCAGGCACAAACATGAAATCCAATTGTAAGTAATAAAGTGCTGCAATGGAGCCTGGATGGAGCAAGGGCCTCAGAAAAAAGGGAGCAGCAGTGTAAGCCCCAACTTCTATGAAATCTTATTTCCTTTTTCAAGTTGATCTACATTCATTACATTCTCAAAGCCTCACATGAATGGAATGGAGAGTGTGATGGAAAAATCTGTTTAGAACTGAACCATTCTCTCCTCTTTCCTGTCAGGAAAGAGGTTATGCTGTGATAACAATACCAATCCTCAGTGACTTGAAACAGCATAGGTTTATTTCTTGCTGCTGCTGCATGCCCATTGTCATCCAACCAGAGGTTCTGCCTTGTCATCTTCACCCAAAGATGTGGACTGACAGAACACCCACCATCTCAAACACTCCTAGGTGCTGGGAAAGGAGGAAATAATAAGCATGACAAATGGCAAACTAGCACTTAGTTTCCAATCGGAAGTGGCATAACACTTTGACTCATTGGTCATTTGCCAAAGCAAATCTCATGGCTACATATAACTTCAAGGTGAGGGGAAATAAACCAATCATGTGGCAGGAAAGGGAACCAGAAATATTTGGTGGATGATATGAATGACTACTAACTGGCTCTTTGCCTCCAGTCTTGACCGATTGAAATTGATTATCCATGTTGAACCAGAGTAATCATTCCAAAATACAAATTTGAATATGTTACTCCCTTAGCCAAAAATAATATATAGAATCCCCCTGCAATAAAATGTGGAGCCCAAACTCCTAGATCGGGTTCCTGTTTTCCAGACTTTACCATCCCCACCTCCTAAGGCTCAACCACCTAGAATCCTGCAAGTTCACACAACTACCTGCAAGTGCAAGTGTATGAACCACACCAGGCTCTCTGCCACCTTTAGCCTTTGAACGTGCTCCTCCCTCTCTTTGGAAGACTCTCCCCTCCAGCTCCTCTCTACCACCAACAAAAAGCACTTCCCATGAAGTAACAGGATCTTTTTAATTGTCTACCTCTCAAAGTACACAGTAAGGAAAGTGAGGGTCAGGGTTTTGGCTCACTTATCCTTATACTCTTAGTGCCTGGCATAGTATCTGGCACAGTAGGTATGTAATGAATATTTATTACAGTCACCCCTCAGTATCCCCAGGGAATTAGTTCCAGGACACCCCTCAGATACCAAAATCTGCAGATGCTGAAGTCCCAAAGTTGACCTTGCAGAACTCACAAATACAAAAAGTCGGTTCTCACATCCATGAGTTTAGCATCCTGAGAATATTGTATTTTCAATTCATGTTTGCTTGTGGATGCAGAACCTGTGGGAATGGAGGATAGACTATATTTACAGAAAGAAATCCTAGGGCCTGCGTCCTCACGAAAGCATTGGCCTCCAGCGTGGGCTAACAGCAGAGCAGGGCGGAGCTGGCCCATGGTTGCAGACCTCTGTGCCAGCCTCCCCTAGACAAGAGCGCCGTGTCGAGGAGAAGAAATCGGCTCAAGCTCTGGGCCCATGATGCCTGCTCCTTCCAAAGACTGTGGCAGATTACGCCAACTGGGATCCGGCGGTCGCAAGGTCTAGAGGAGTCAAGAAAGCCATCACCAACGTCGTTCAGCAGGAAGTAAAATCCCTTTGTGTCTTGGAAGCCTCCCAGGTTCCTGCAGAAGAAGCTGTTTCTGGAGCTAGTGAGCCCTATGACATCATCGACAGCAGTAACTTGAAGAAGAGCAGACATGGAAGAGAAATCTGCTTTTCACTTTATATTTTTGCCTGTCTTTTAAATGTTACAGCTGTGTGTGCTTTACATATTCAAAATAAATTGTGTGTATGTGTGTGTGTGTGTGTAAATTTTAAGCAGTTAATAGGTTCAAGGCAGAAGTGGCTACAAGTTTATGCCCCAGTAAGAATCAGTTCCAGTGCTCTTCATTAATTGCCAGGCAAAATAGCCATAGTAATGTAGTAACTAGAATAAAATTTAAATTAGGTTAGTTATAAACACCCTATCCATTATCGACTCCCAAAGCTGCTTCATCCATGAATATTTAATATGCCACAAAACTATCAGAGATTGCTAATATATCCCATAATATAATATGAAACCAAAAGATTTTTCAAAAAGCTAAACTTGGGAGAGACTCATAGCAAAATGACATGTAATTCTGAGGTCATCACTGAGTATGGTACTTGAGTCTATCGCCACATGTGAAAAGCATCTGAATATAATCCAAAAAGCTATTGCAGTCATGGGCTGCAGAATAATGCGGTGGCCAAGAGGCTGTAATATTGTGATATAATAAGATATACATATTTGGCCTTTGATCCCAGTTCCTGGCACAGAGTTCCTAAGGCCCTTGTAATTCCCTGAGCAATAGGGGTGCTAGGAGAGTCTTTTGTTCTAATATTTGGTCTTTGACCAAATATGTCAGTTCCTAACATTGAGCTCTAATCCCTTGGAATTTCCTGGGTAACAGGAGCATCTTTTGTTCTAATGAGGTGACCCCTTGGGGGACCCCTGAATGGGGACTCTGACTAGAAGGACCAAGCCATGATTAGAAGTTTGAAACTTTCAGCTCTACCCTCATCTTCCAGAAAATCGAGAGTGGCTAGACATTGAGTTAATAATCAACTATATCTATTTGATGAAGCCTCCACAAAAATCCCTGAACTACAGAGCTCCGAGAACTTCCAGGCTGGTGCACACACAGAAATGCTGAGAGGGCAGCATGCCCCAGAAGCTCTGTAACCCTTCCCACACACCTTTTCCTGTACATCTCTTCTATTTTGTTGTTCATTTGTATCCTTTGGAATATCCTCTATAATAAACTGGTAAATTGAACTAAAGAGCTTTCATGTATTCTGTGAACTGCTCTAATAAATCATCAAACCCAAGGAGGGGATTGTGGGAACCCCCAGTAGGGTTCCCAGTAGGTCAGAAGTTCCAGAAGCTTGGACTTGTGATTGGCATCTGAAGTGGGGAGCAGCCTTATAGGATCCTTTAACCTGTGGGATCTCACTGTATCTCCAGGTGAATAATGTCAGAAGTGAATTGAATTGAATTATAGGACACCAAGTTGGTGTCCACTGAAGAATGTATTGGTCAGTCTGGAAGAAAAACCAACATGTTGGCCGGGCGTGGTGGCTCAGCCCTGTAATCCCAGCACTTTGGGAGGCTGAGGCGGGCGGATCACAAGGTCAGGAGATCAAGACCATCCTGGCTAACAAGGTGAAACCCCGTCTCTACTAAAAATACAAAAAATCAGCCAGGCATGGTGGCAGATGCCTGTAGTCCCAGCTACTCGGGAGGCTGAGGCAGGAGAATGGCATGAACCCAGGAGGCAGAGCTTGCAGTGAGCCGAGATCGCGCTACTGCACTCCAACCTGGGCAACAGAGCAAGACTTCCATCTCAAAAAATAATAAAATAAAACAAAACAAAATAAAATAAAATAAAAACGAACATGTTTTGGTGACTAGAAGTGTTGAATGTTGAGAATATAGTAGGAGAAAATGGTCAGTTTGGGGGTTTTCTACAAATACACAGAGCCCTTTCGCATTGCGCAGCATCCAATTTGAATCCTGGACCTGCAAACTCATGCCCAGGATATAGTGCCATATCAAGGGCAGCATTTGCATGTTTCTGGCAGGCCGGACGTTCAGTAGCTGCAGGAGTTAGATCAGTGTTGGTGAGTGAAAGCCATGCTGTTGAACACATACAGACCTGCATCCTGCCACCATAGTTACTGCCTTCATAAGTCCATTTTTACCAGCACTAGGGTGGCCTGTGGAGAAGACTGCTTAGTGTGAACTGGCCTATAGTCACTGTTTACTTGGTTTAGAAGAGGTTTAGAGCCTCTTCTATTGTGGATGCTTTCTAGTGGGCATTAGCATGTAACACAAAGATATTCACAATTTTCCCAATTTCATAAATAAAAAGATTTCCCATTTTCATAAACCTATCCAAGTGCCTCTTCCTCAAATTTCATTGTTCTTCATCTTCTAAACCTCCTCCTTCCAAGCACTTGACCAACCAACCAAGCCATTTGCCACTGCCCATGTATTCACAAATATTCTTCCATTAGGCCATTATTCTTTCTACACAAAATAGATAATCAGGTGCACTACTCAAAGCTTTGCCCATTGGGAAGATTTACAATTTCTACTGTCTTCCAGAACTACTCTTGAGTGTGGCTATAATGCAGCAGCAGTCCATTTTCAGCTCACACCAATGTGTTGAGCAGATACATCCATGAACCAAGGTCATCTTATTTTTCCTCCATTAACCAATCATAAAGTACCCCTCCCCCCCCATGACAGATTAAAGATGGCTGCAAACTATCGGACAATCATCCCATCAGGAGGGCTATCTATTTCCCCTCCCCTTGAATCTGTGCTAGTCTATGACTGTTTTGACAAAAACAGCGTGGCAGAAGTGACACCATGCCAGCTCTGGGGCCAGCCTGTAAGAGAACTGGCTGTTCCTCCTTGCTATCCTGGAGTCCTGAATTTCCAAGTAAAAAGTCTATCATGCTGGGCAGACCATGTAGAAAGGCCCTGAGATAGCATGAAGACAGAGAAAATGAGCCCAAACTTACAGTGAACCCACCAAGGTGCCAGGCATGTGAGTGAAGCTGTCTCGGACCCTCTAGAGCAGTCCATCTGCCAGCTGAATACTTCCAAGGGATCCCAGCTGATGCAACATGGAATATAAGGAAACCCAGCCAATTTCGTTCCAAATTCTTGGCCCACAACATGTGAGATACAATAAGGTTTGTGTTCATTTAAGCCATTAAATTTGGGGAGACTTTGTTATGCAGCAATAAATAACTAGAACACTCCCATGAGCCACTGGTATGAGCAAGTTGGGAAGTACCAAGGCCACAGCGTGGAGGACATGGGAATCTGGGCCCCCCACTTCAGCACCTTGCATTTACCCTCCAGTTCTGCCCATGACTGATGCAGGATATACGACTTCTCTCTTACAACTGATGATGTTGCAACCACTAGACCTCATCACTTGATTGATTTGACAGGACCCAGCTCATGATGGACAGTTGTAGCCTAATAGCCATTTGATGTCTCATGATCAGGAGCTCTGTCTCTAGTAAGGCCCAAGAGCAAGCTAGGACTTGTTTCCTAATGGGGTTTACTTTCCTGCAGCAGACAGCATAGATTTGATGAAGAACCCCAGGGATCTATGTTGTGATTTTCCTTTCAAGGCTTGCCCAAAATGCCACACTGTATCTTTTCCCACCACTGATACCTTTAGTGCCCCAGAGTCTATTGAGTCACATGACCAAAGCACTACCACACGGCTGATATGACAGCTTAGAACAGCTGCGGACCCCAGGTCTGCTCTGGGCTTCAGTCAGTCGCTAGTAAACTGTTCCATGTGGTATTCCCATGAGTGTGGAATATGTTTCCTCTAGATCCTAAATAGGACAACCAAGCATTCTCTACCCTGGAGAAGAGGAAGGAGAAGACCAAGATTCACTGCTGGAAGAAGAAAACAGCCTATGAGGCTACAGAAACAGGCAGAAAAGAACGTGGAGAAGAAAACTGACAAATACACACAGTTCTCCTCAAGACCTATGGACTCCTGGTCTGAGCCTAATAAAGACTGTTTATTCCAAAAAACACCTCTGTATTATAAATTCTTCTGTGTAATAGTGTGTTACTGTGCATCTCTTTCCAATTCTGCATTACTGGTGTTAAGTGTGAAATGCAATAATGTGTTCTTACTTTAGAGGGATGTCCTGGCACAAAGTCTAAAAACTTCAAAGATGTGGAGGATGCTGAATCTTCACAGGGTGTATTTCCCACTCTCTGGAGTGCATTTGTCTTACGAGTGCCGCCAATATGCTTGCCCTCATGGCTCATTCTGTTTGGTTAATAAGATATTGTTGATACAGTGGAACGATGTCATGTTTTGTGGAATGTCCAGAAGGTCCACGTCCAGTGGTGTGCTGCATGCAGCTAGCTCATACTGCCTCATGGAGCCAACTGTTAAATTTTCAGAAATTGTGCAAACCAGTTGTTAAACATGACTATTATTTTAAAATAAGTTATTTTAAGGCATAGGTAACAAATCCCTAAGCTCTTCATTTTCTAGGTATTTAACTATCTTATCATATTTTCCATACTCTTCTGGTTATTTATATCTGTTATGTCTATATAATAAAGATACTAAATAATGTTGTCTGTATAATAAAAATATTCTGGATTGGTGATGAGCAACAATCACCATCTTTCGTTTGAGTCTCATGGCCATGAGACCAACCCCATGCACTGCTCTGAGACCTGCCAGCCACTCCCATTCCTGGGGTGCGGTCCTCCTGGTTCAGAAGTGATTTTCCATTAGGCTATCTTTTAATTTAAACATGAACTCTGCTGTGCCCATCACTGTCTGTGTGCAGTCACAGGTAGAGGGAGAGCCTTCAGATGGCACCCTCAGCACTTCCCAACCCTTTCCTTCCCTCTAGGCCAGAAGGTGGTGGTCGTACAATGCGAGAGCATCAACATTTCTGGCAAGTTCTACAGAAACAAGTTGAAGTACCTGGGCTTTCTCCGCAAGCGGATGAACACCTTCTGGAGGCCCTGCCATTTCTCGGCCCTAGCCGCATCTTCTGGTGGATGGTGCAAGGCCCACTGCCCCACAAGACTCACCAAGGCCAGGCCGCCCTCAACCACCTCAAGGTGTCTGACGGCATTCCACCGCCCCATGACAAGAAAAAGCTTTGGTGGTTCCTGCTGCCCTCAAGCTTGTGTGTCTGAAGCCTACAAGAAAATTTGTCCGCCTGGACACCGAGCTTATGAAGTTAGCTGGAAGTACCAGGCAGTGACAGCCACCCTGAAGAAGAGGAAGGAGAAGGCCAAGATCCACTACCAGAAGAAGAAACAGCTTATGAGGCTACAGAAATAGGTGGAAAAGAACATGAAAAAGAAAACTGACAAATACACACAGGTCTCCTCAAGATCCATGGACTTCTGGTCTGAGCCTAATAAAGACTGTTTGTTTATTCCTCAAAAACAAACAAACAAAAAAAAACCCTCTGTATTATAAATTATTCTGTGTAATGGTGTGTTACCATACATTTCTCTACAACTCTGCATTTTCAGTAATCTCACATTGACAGTTTAAAATTGGCCATGGTGAGAATATTTACACTGCAGAAATCAGCAAATGATGTAAATCAAGGCTTTTTTGCCTGGACTTGCAGCACATCCATGTCCCATTGGACCCTATTATGACGGGAGAGTTTTAACATGGTACTGAAGCAAAAATGTAAATGTAAATGTACACTTATATCCATACCTGTAAATTCAAACTGCCTTTGGTCTTTCTTCCTGATAGTATTTGAAAAGAACACATTCAGCCAGGCACGGTGGCTCACGTCTGTAATCCCAGCATTTTGGGAGGCTGAGGCAGGCAGATCACGAGGTCAGGAGTTAAAGACCAGTCTGATCAATATGGTGAAACCCTGTCTCTACTAAAAATACAAAAATTAGCCAGGCGTGGTGGCATTCGCCTGTAGTCCCAGCTACTCAGGAGGCTGAGGCAGGAGAATCGCTCGAACCCGGGAGGGGGAGGTTGCAGTGAGCCAAGATCATGCCATTGCACTCCAGCCTGGGCAACAGTGAGATTCCATCTCAAAAAGAAAAGAAAAGAACACATTATTCACCAGATTAATAGCCATATAACATGGACCTGAAACCGTGCTAATCAGGCACAACAGCTGTAATTACAGCTATTTCTTGGTTGAGTTTGTGCTAGTCTGGTCATCTTTCAAGTTGCATCTGATATTTGTAGTGACCAGACTGGTGAATTAAATGTGAAATATGATAGAAACAAACCCCCGCACCCTTTAAAGGTGGCCTCAATCAGCCATTTCCCTTGAATTGTGATATTGTTCTTGATTCACTGTCTTTGCGGTAAGAGGTGTAGATTCAGGGCTTCCACTTCAATCTGTAGCTCGTACTCCACAGACTAAAGAACTATGTGGGGATTCTGCCAATGGCCAAGCATGTGCATTCCAGTTACAGATTTAGAGACTGCAGAAATGACTACTGGGTAGATCCATGGACCTAGTACATGCCATTTATTAGCTGATCTCATAGGCTCCCTTTCTAATGGAAGAGAAGCATAACGATTCAGTTATATGAAGATTGGCTAAATGTTCTAAGTACTCTCCAAACCCAGAGCTTTATAATTCTCTGTTACTACAGTGTGCTCCATCTCAGAATAACTAAATAGAAAAGGAGGAAGCTGAGAACTTTAAAAACTGAGGTCCTGAATAGATGAATCATAAGCCTGAGAGGACTATCAGGATGCCCGGGACTCACTGGAGGTGGGAGTAGAGACACTGTCCTTTTTCTTCCTGTTGACAGAAAGAAGCAATGAGTGACCTCTTTTACCTACCACAGTGATGACTATTGTTGGCATATTTCCTATAGATATTCCCCTGCCCCTTTTACCATAATTTGTGGCTAATGAATTGTCTGTGGGCTATGGACCCTAGAGTCTCAGCAGAATTAATGAGCTCTTTCCCTCCGTGGGATCCCTCTACCACCATACCATGTCAACATTTCTACCTCCAATGCCACTAAAACAGAGGCACACCTCTGCCTAGACTGAGGGGGAAAATTGTTGGCAAAGAACTCAATGGCAAAGAACTCGATGGCAAAGAACTCGATGGCAAAGAACTCAATGGCAAAGTTCTGACCTTGGCTTCATCCTCCCTGCAGAGATTTGGTGGGCTTTGGTTGGTGCAAACCCTCTACAGTTAGCAGATTTGGGTTCAAACATCAGCTCTGGTGCTTACTAACTATACTGCCTTGGGAAAGTTATTTATATTTCTTTGTTTCAACTTCTTCATATTGGAAGGAAGAGAATAATATGTAGAGTTGTGAAGGATAATCAGCAGTGTAGAGTAAATGTTTAATAAACAACTTGGTTGGTGGCAGATGGGGAGAGCCCTAATTTGTAGTGTTTGCCAATTTTCATAGTGTAAATATTCCTGCCATGGCTGTCTCAAGCCACTGATGGTTTAATAACTGTCTCACAAAATTCCTAAAAATTTACTAATCAAGAGATAATCTGAGCCAGCTCCAGCTCATCACACACATGTGTGCTTAGAAAAGTGCCAGATGGTCAGCATTAGCAATCCCTATTGTGACCAGAGATGCAGTTGCCCATTCAAGGATGCCCATTCCTTTTTATTTTTTTGTTTCTTCCTGATGTACAAGTGGAGGCTGGGCACCAGTTAAGAGCTCTGTCATGGGGAATTGCTGGTACCAGAAGAGATTTTTATTTGATTGAAGGTAAGCAGAACCTTTGCTCTTTGGCTGTGAGATATCAGTTTCCGCCTATCCTCAACACTGGAGGACCAGATTTGGAGTTAAACTTACTCTAAAATCCTAGTCCTAGCACTTATTGACTAGGTAACCTTCTACAAGTCTCTTGTCCCGTCTGTGACTGTTCACTTTTTGGTAAAATTGGGATAATTTTATCTCTTTGTAGGGTCACTGTGAGAACCAGATGTTCAGGGAGTTGTTTATCACCATGCTTTGATGGTAGCTACTAACAGCAAGGGTAGCTCATGGTCACTAGACTATCATAAACCCCTTTCAAAGGACCTCCCAACTCCTTCCCCAGCTCCTAACACAATGCTGGCACTTTGGGGCTCAAGAAATGAATAAATGCGTAGACCAATGCATGAATATTTCAGAAGGAAAAGGAGTAGGAGAAAAATAATGAGAGTGGAAAAGACAGAGAACAAAGAGGGAAAGGGAAACAGTCACTAAGAAAGGTGTAATCTAAAGAGATTCAGCGATATAGCAGAGAAAGGAAAGGAATGAAATGCCAAGATAATGACAAAGTTAGAAATGTAGAAAATTAATTAGGATGACACATGATGGATAAATAAGAAACAATTGGCTATTGTTTAAGGTTACATGCAAAGAATTTTATATTACAAAGAAAACAAAGGAGGGGGCGGCAGCCAATGAGCATGAGGTTTCTTTTGGGAGTAATGAAATATTCTGGAAGTAAATGGTGTTGGTTGCACAACTTGTGAATATACTTTAAACCACTAAATTACACACTTCAAAAGGGCGAATTTTATGGTACGTTAAATACATCTCAAAAAATGAAAGCGAAGGCATAATTAAAAATTTAGAGGCCAGGCACAGTGACTCATGCCTGTAATCCCAGCACTTTGGGAGGCCGAGGCAGGCAGATCACCTGAGGTCAGGAGTCTGAGACCAGCCTGGCCAACATGGCGAAACCCCGTCTCTACTAAAAATACAAAAATTAGCTAGGCATGGTCTTGAGTGCCTGTAATCCCCGCTACTTGGGAGGCTGAGGCAGGAGAATAGCTTGAGCCCAGGAGGTGGAAGTTGCAGTGAGCAGAGATCGTGCCATTGCACTCCAGCCTGGGCTATAAAACGTGACTCTAAAAAAAAAAAAAAAAAAAAAAAATTAGAATGGTGGTGACATCTTGAGGGGTGACAAATTGAGAAAATTGAGAGATCAGGGAGGGGCACACAGAAGCTTCTAAGATACTTGAAACATTTGCTCAGTTCCTTAACCTAGTTGTTTAAATATGTAACAATATTTTGAAAATTAAAAATATATTTTAAGTGAGAAAAGAATAATGGGAAAAACAGGAAGAAGACAGAGACAATGGCAGAGAGTCCTGGCAAAAAGGGAGATGTGATAGAGCTTAATACAAGATGGGGACCCTGTAAGAGGAAGACATTCCTGCCATCCTCTGAGCTCCATGGCACGTTTGTGGTGTGGCCCACCATCTCATCTCCTCCCCTCATGGCCTTCCTAAGGTCCTGTAAGACCCTGAGTCCTTGTCTCTGACCTGCCAGAGTGGCTTCAGTCTCCCACCCCCAGCCCTCAACTGACCTTCTATGCCCCAATACATCTCTATTTTAAGGAAAAAGTCCAGTCACCTCCTCTAGGAAGCTTTCCCTGATATACCCAACCAAATTGGTCAGTCATCCTACAGAACCTTTACTCTCATTCACCCAGTACATTGGTGTTACTGGCCTTTAAATTTTGGACTCTCTTTTTGGTGGTGTCTGAAAGACTACAAGATTTAGGGAGAGTGATTCTTGGAGTCTTTCGATAATGTTCCTGTGAACCCTGGTGATTTTAACATGCTTGTGGCCACTCTTGCCTCCTACTTGTAAGCTACTCATGGCAAGGACGAAGCATGTGGACCAATTTCCACCCCTCCCTGAAAGTCAGTTGGTTCAGAAACTTAGGTTGCTAAAAAGGCCAGGGCAACCAACCTGATCTCTCTATAAGTAGGGATATCTTAAAACAAAACAAAATCTCTCTCATAGATAAAACACTGTCTCTGATAAGCTTACTTGCAAATGAAAAAATACAAAATAAATGGAATGTACAGAGTTCTATAAAATTCATTCAACCAATAGAGCAATAATTGAGCCTACAGAGACAACTTATCAGAAAATTCATTCAATATACCTTACGAGATCATCCAATAGATAAGAGACAACTCTAGAACAGCATTCAGAACATAGTGGCACTCAATAAATTTCCCCTGAATGAATGAATTAATGAATTAGTGCATATTTTAATCAGCCTCCTTTGCCCTCACCCAGGAAGTCAGAGGCACCAGTGTGAGTATCCATCTGCTGTCCAGTACATTCATGGATTCCTCACTCTCACTAGACAATGTTTGACCAGGAAGAACAGGGAATGAGAAGGAGCTGCTGGATGGTGATGAGCCTTGGAAAGGGAGGCTGGGCGAGCAGAGACAGAAGAGAAACACCTACCTGCTGTGACCTCACAAACACCCAGGCTGAGTTTTGATAAGACAGGTTGAATCACACTGGGGTGACAGCCTCATCCCTCCAGGTACAAACAAGAACAGGCCATGGTTAACCAAAGCTCCACACCGGGCTTCCTCCTTCTGGGCTTCTCTGAACACCCAGGGCTGGAAAGGACTCTCTTCGTGGTTGTCTTCACTTCCTACCTCCTAACCCTAGTGGGCAACACACTCATCATCCTGCTGTCTGCGCTGGACCCCAAGCTCCACTCTCCAATGTACTTTTTCCTCTCCAACCTCTCCTTCTTGGACCTCTGTTTCACCACGAGTTGTGTTCCCCAAATGCTGGTCAACCTCTGGGGCCCAAAGAAGACCATCAGCTTCCTGGACTGCTCTGTCCAGATCTTCATCTTCCTGTCCCTGGGGACAACTGAGTGCATCCTCTTGACAGTGATGGCTTTTGATCGCTACGTGGCTGTCTGCCAGCCCCTCCACTATGCCACCATCATCCACCCCCGCCTGTGCTGGCAGCTGGCATCTGTGGCCTGGGTCATTGGGCTAGTGGAGTCAGTGGTCCAGACACCATCCACCCTGCACCTGCCCTTCTGCCCCGATCGGCAGGTGGATGATTTTGTCTGTGAGGTCCCAGCTCTAATTCGACTCTCCTGTGAAGACACCTCCTACAATGAGATCCAGGTGGCTGTTGCCAGTGTCTTCATCTTGGTTGTGCCTCTCAGCCTCATCCTTGTCTCTTACGGAGCCATTACCTGGGCAGTGCTGAGGATTAACTCTGCAAAAGGGCGGAGGAAAGCTTTTGGGACCTGCTCCTCCCATCTCACTGTGGTCACCCTCTTCTACAGCTCAGTCATTGCTGTCTACCTCCAGCCCAAAAATCCCTATGCCCAAGAGAGGGGCAAGTTCTTTGGTCTCTTCTATGCAGTGGGCACTCCTTCACTTAACCCTCTCATATACACCCTGAGGAACAAGGAGGTAACCAGGGCATTCAGGAGATTGCTGGGGAAGGAAATGGGGCTCACACAAAGCTGAGGGAGAGCTGCTTAATGTGCTTTAAAAGAGAGGAGATTCTATGTGCTTTTATCAGAAAGTTTGAGTTCCCTGCCCCTCTGCCTTCTTCACACCCATTACATTGTGGGAATGGATGAAAGCCACATGTCTGTGTGTGTGCATGTATGTGTGCAAGAGACAGCGACTGAAATGTAGTAAAGGGAGGTATCTTTATGCGAAAAATTATAGGCATCAAGTATATTTTATATTTTTTTCTACTTTAAGTCTTCGCCTCCATAGTCATGTTCCTACCTTTATCACTTCCATTTTTAATTCCCCTCCCTTGCCATATCCCCACTATTCCTTCACCTCCAATTCTAATTCCTACCATATCTTCTTTGCTTCTCCCTCATGTTTTTCCCACTTCACTATATGTCTGTTTTGTATTCTCATTCTATTTTATTCCTCAAATAACAGCAAAAGAGAAGGGGAAGCTGAAGCCCAGCTAAGTTCGGAAACTCACCCAAGAACACACAGTGTCCACAGCATCAGAACTAAAATCCAGGCCCCATAATTTTCAGTCAGGCAACTCTCAAATACACACTGTTGCTTTCACACCATAATCAAATATCCCAGTATTTCAGGCTTGAGCCTTACAAAGGAAACTTAGCTTCTTCAGTCCTATTTCTTCTCTTACAATGCCCACAAATCGCAGGTAAAGGAGCAGCCAAAAAGACACAAAAATATCTTCATGTTTAGGCTGGCACATTGTGGACCTTGGTGTCATCTACCGGCCAAATATGGTATTGCATGTGACATCCCAGACTTCTGCTCCAGGGTCATCCGAACTGTACTTTGCTCAAAGACATAGATATGGTTATGATACTATAAGCATTTATGTAATTGTTATGTTAACCCAAGTAACACTTAAAGTACAGATGCTCCTTGACTTATAATGATGTTACCTCCCAAAAAACCTATCATATACTGAAAATATTGTAAGTTGAATATGCATTTCATACACCTAACCTACCAAACATCATAGCTTAGCCTAGCCTACCTTAAACATACTCAGAACACTTACATTAGCCTACAGTTCAGCAAAATCCTCAATACAAAGTCTATTTTATAATAAAGTTTTGAATATCTCATGTAATTTACTGAATACTGTACTAAAAGTGAAAAAACAGAATGGTTATATTGGTACTCAAAGTACGGTTTCTACTGAATGTATCTCTTTTGCATTATTATAAAGTCAAAAAATGGTCAAAGTCAGGAACCCCCTGCAATTTACACATATTGACTTATTTAACCCTTATAACAACACTATGAAGCAGATAATATTATTATCCTTTTTCAGAGGTAAAAACTAAAACACAGAATTTATGTTACCACTTGCAAATGTGCAAGACAGGATTTGAACCCAGGAAAACTGGCTCCAGACTCCTTGCTCTTAACCTTGCCTTTTGGTAAAAATAATGCCTCCCAGGCCCAGGTGAAAAGCTTCAACTTCTCAACAAGCTTTGAGGAAATCATTTCAATCTAAAACTATATCTAAATGATCCCCCAGCCGAAGGGGTTTCACTTCCTTAAAATAAGAGTTTTTCAAATACTTCAAAGCATAAGAAACAACAGAACAATAAAACTTTTGGAAAAAGTTGTGTTACAGTTCATTGTGTGTGTGTTTCTGGCTTAGTTCACCCACTAGATTTCAGGCTCTCAGAAGGCAAGGACCAGAATTTTGCATAAAATTGGCACCCAGTTTTATAAATGTATAAGTGAATGAATGAATGAATGAATGAATCTTACTCTCCAAAGAGAATATATAAAAGGTTCTGGGGTTCCAATCCCACATACGCTGTCTCCCAGCTTTTCCCTGGCAAGGGCAGCAATACCAAATTCCCTTTTGAGTACACGCCGATAAAATAAGAAAAAGGAAAATCTTAGTTTTATTTCTAGTTCCAACATAAAATGATTTTGATTCAACATTTATCCTGGCATCAGCACAGAACAGCAACATTAATTCTATTATAATCCTAATCTTTATCCTAGCCATCCTTGTGTTAATCTTATTGTCTCCTTGACCTCGTTATTAGAGCATATTCTAATCTTAATGTAGAGCCCCCATTTTATATTTAATAATCCTAATCAGTCAGGCGCAGTGGCTCACACCTATAATCCCAGCACTTTAGGAGGCCAAGGCGGGCGGATCACGAGGTCAGGAGTTCGAGACCAGCCTGACCAACATGGTGAAACCCTGTCTCTACTAAAAATACAAAAAAAAAACTAGCCTGGCGTGGTGGCGTGCTCCTGTAATCCCAGCTACTTAGGAGGCTAAGGCAGGAGAACCTGGGAGGCGGAGGTTGCAGTGAGCCGAGATCATGCCACTGCACTCCAGCCAGGGCGACACAGTGAGACTCTATCTCAAATAATCATAATCATAATCATAATCTCAGCCCTACAGGTAAGGCTAAGCTTAATTCCACTTTTCAAATCACTGTAGTAAGACCTTTTTTTCATGACCCCCTCTATCTGCTTTCTCTTACTGGCACCTAGAAATGTCTACACTTTTCTCCTGTTTATCATCTCCCTACAGCCAGAGGCTATAATGTTTGTATACAGTAAAATCGTTTCTAGACTGACTCTAGGGGAAATGCAACAGAGAATTAAATAAAGCAGTCTAAAAGAATCTGCTTTGTTGAATAAATGGTTTAACATAGGACTTAGGACTAACATCTCTTATCCTAAATTCATTGTTTCCATGTGACAGTCATCTATTGGATACTCTGTGAGAAAATCCAATATAAAGTTACTCAGTCACAACCCCCACAATGTCCAGTGAAAATAGGGATGGTCAGGCACATAGTGCCAGCATACATGACAGTTACACAACTGAATTGGAGCAAATAAGAGTCTACAGGAATACAGAATTAAAGAATAATGTGTGTGAGTGCTTGGAGCGGCAGTGATCATGGAAGCCTCTTAGAGGTTTGAACCACAGAAGAGTAAACAAAATAAGAAGTATTTGCTGACTGTGTAGAAATGAGATGATGCAAAGACCCCCTTTTTAGGGGCTTGGGGACTCCTAAGCATGGAAATAAAGCAAAATCCTGTGTTTCTTCAAGGAAAATTCCAGGCACCTAGCTGGCTCTGAGAAATAAGTAGCAACTTGAAAAGCAACAAGGTAATAGCAGCCTAAGACAATAGCCAAGGAAGTTAAGCGTTCTGAATAGGTTTGCTTTCCTCATAGAAACTAAAGATAACCTCTTAACATATGTCTCTGCGTTGTCTCTCAGAAACTCGGAACCCCACCAAATGAATCTGCTGGCATAGACCTCAGAGGACAGGAAAATGACTGAACTTTATAACCATCATCCTTTGTTCTAAGTTTCTTCCTGAGGAGCTTGGAGAAAGTAACACCTTCTAGGCAGTTAACATTTTTCTACTGGACCCCAAATTTTTAAACAAAGGTTCTCTTCCTTAACTAATTGCAAATTTGGGGTTTTTTTGTTTTTGTTTGAGACAGGCTTTTGCTCTGTTACTTAGGCCAGAATGCAGTTGCAGTCGTAGCTCACTGCAGCTTAACCACCCAGGCTCAAGCAATTCTCCTGCCTCAGCCTCTAATTAAAAAAAATTTTGTGTGTGTAGATACAGAGTCTTGTTATGTTTCGCAGGCTGGTCTCAAACTCTTGGCCTTAAGGGATCCTCTCTCCTTGGCCTCCCAAAGTGCTGGGATTACAAGCATGACCCACACCTGGCCAGAAAAATCTTTGAATCTACCTATAACCTGTAAGTCCCTGATTCAAGATATCCCACCCTTTTAGATCAAAACCAATGTGGAGGCCGGGCACGGTGGCTCACGGCTGTAATCCCAGCCCTTTGGGAAGCAATGTGGGCGGATCATGAGGTCAGATCAAGACCATCCTGGCTAACACGGTGAAACCCCATCTCTACAAAAAATACAAAAAAAAAAATTAGCCAGGCGTGGTGGTGGGTGCCTATAGTCCTAGCTACTCGGGAGGCTGAGGCAGGAGAATGGCATGATCCTGGGAGGCAGAGCTTGCAGTGAGCCAAGATCACACAGCTGCACTCCAGCCTGGGCAACCGAGCAAGACTCCATCTCAAAAAAAAATGTGGAACCTCTATGCACTGATTTCCAATGTTCCTTGTAGCTTCTGCTTTTCTGAAATTTACCCCTGCCTTTTTTTGTTTCCTGTTTTTTGAGACAGGGTCTTGCCGTGTTGTCCAGGCTGGAGTGCAGTGGCATAATCATGGCTCAGTGCAGCCTCAACCTCCTGGATTCAAGGGATCCTCTCACCTCAGCCTTCTGAGTGGCTGGGAGTACAGGCATATGCCACCATATTTGGCTAATTTTTTTATTTCTTGTAGAGTTGGGGTCTCACTTTGTTGCCCAGGCTGTTCTTGAACTCCTAGGTTCAAGTGATCTTCCTGCCTCAGCCTCTCAAAGTGCTGGGATTACAGGTGTGAGCCACTGCACACTGCCTTACCCCTGCCTTTAAAAACCCATGTTACAATAGTTAGTCAGACACGAGCAGGGCAGGAAAGGGCCTCCTTCCCCACCAGGAATGTCAGGCAACCATCAGGTGATAGGCGGTTGTTAAGCTGTCTCTCTAAAATAATCATTGGTCACAGCCTGTGCCAGGGAAAAACAGTCTCCCAATAAATAGAAAAACCTGAAACTAAGATCTCAGGAGTTGGGCAAGTGGGCTCATGCATGGGCACTAAGGGAGAAATGACAGCATTTAACTGGTTTATAACCTTATAGGAACACTCCCTGGTAAGGGAAGAATGCCTCAAGTCAGCATGCATACTACTCCAGTAAACATACCGTGCATGCAGCCCCTCCCAAGCACTAGCAGGCCACTGTACATGCAGACAGCCCACCCCAAGGGAAGATTCAGGGGAGAAGGGACCCTGGAACCCTGCCAACATATAAAACCCTAAGTCAAGGTCAAAACCACGCACTTGATCTCTCAAGTTGCCTGCTTGGCCCCCTTCCAAGTTGGCTTTACTTTATTTTGTTCCTGCTGTAAAGCTTTTTAATAAACTTTTACTCCTGTTCTAAAATTTGCTTCGGTCTCTTACTCTGCTTTATGCCCCTCAGTCAGATTCTTTCTTCTGAGGAGGCAAAAATTGAGGTTGCTGCAGACCTGTACAGATTCGCAGCTGCTAACATATTTTCATGCCATGTAACTCTGATACATTCTGCCGCTAATACCCTTGCCTGCAAGACATCAGGGAGGCCAGGACTTGAGTGTTTAGCTGCCTGGTCCTCCCTGCGTAGTGTCCTGCAACAAATGCCTTTCTTTCTATTGGTGCAATCCTTGGTGTAAGTATCTGGTTTTATTGCACCAGGCAAGCAGACCCCAGTTTGGTTCTATAACAGAAAAGGCTAAAGACAAAAATAAGCATGTTGTGCATTAAGATAGGGAGATGTGGGGGAAGGAGTTACACCGAGGAGCAAAATGATTAAGCAGGAAGGTAGAGATTATTTCAGAAAGATACAGAAGCTACTGAATTGAATACAACCAGAAAAAAAAAAAAAAAAAAGGATCCCTTACAGATGTTTCAAACCTACATGATTTAGGTCTCCTGAGGGCAGGCACTTAACTATTCATTCTAACATGACATGTGAGTTGGAAGCCTTAAAGGAACATTATTCAAGAACCTCGTCTCTACTAAAAATATGAAGTCTCTAATAAAAATTAAAAAGTCTCTACTAAAAATACAAATAATAATAATAATAATAATAGCCAGGGCTGGTGGCAGGTGCCTGTAAACCCCTTGCTTGGGAAGCTGAGGTAGGAGAACCACTTGAACCCAGGAGGCGGAGGTTTCGGTGAACCGAGATCACGCCACTGCATTCCAGCCTGGGAGTTAGAGTGAGACTCCATCTCAAAAAAATAATAATAAAATAAAATAAACCTCAAACGTCTGAAGGGCTCACCGAATCATGAATAGATGCTTATGTGTAGGGCCCAGCCCTGTCTTATCCTTCTATCTCCCAGGGAAGGGGAAACCTTCTGGCTCCTCCTATGCAGAATTAATCGCTCACCCTTGAAGGGTACCAGTATATGCCACCTCAAACTATCTTTAGCATGTGGATTATTTTGAGCTAACAATTGAAAATCATCAGACTAGTGAATGCTGTAAAACAGGATACAAGTTTTCCTTTTGTAAATAAATTCACATCTGTAAAGGTACAACTCTTACTAATGGAGAAGACATCAGTTTAAATCTACATAACAAACCTTTTCTATCTGTAAAGGTACAACTCTACTAATGGAGAAGACAGTTTAAATCCACATAACAAACCTTACTAAACCACTTTGTTCCATATTTTCCTGGTCACTTTCCCATAACTTGCCTGCCCATCTACCACTCACCCAGAAGCCCCAAACTCCTTTTCCTTTACCTAGCCAAGATGTTATACAGTTGCTAAGAACAACACGATTTGAACTCCATGGATTCACTCACACATGATTTTTTTCAGTAAGTATATTGAAAATTTTTGGAGATTTGTGACAATTTGAAAAAACTCACAAACCACATAGCTTAGAAGCACTGGAAAAATTAATGGGCCAGGTGCTGTGGCACATGCCTGTAATCTCAGAACTTTGGGAGGCCAAGATGGATGCATTGCTTGAGCTCAGGAGTTGGAGACCAGCCTGGGTAACATGGGGAAACCCCATCTCTGCAAAAAAAAAAAAAATTAACTGGGCATGGTGGCACGCACCTGTAGTCCCAGTTACTAGGGAGGCTGAGGTGGGAGGATCTCTTGAGCCCAGGTGGTTGAGGCTGCAGTGAGCTGTGATTGCACCACCTCACTCCAGCCTCAATTAAAAAAATAAATAGGGCTGGGCACGGTGGCTCACGCCTGTAATCCCAGCACTTTGGGAGGCCGAGGCAGGTGAATCACGAGGTCAGGCAATCGAGACCATCCTGGCTAACACGGTGAAACCCCGTCTCTACTTAAAAAATACAAAAAATTAGCCAGGCGTGGTGGCACACACCTGTGATCTCAGCTACTTGGGAGGCTGAGGCAGGAGAAACGCTTAAACTCAGGAGGCGGAGGTTGCAGTGAGCCGAGATGGTGCCACTGCACTCCAACCTGGGCGACAAAGACTCCATCTCAAATAAATAAATAAATAAATAAGAGAAAAGTATGTCATGTGTAAACCAAAAATAAAATTCTAAGCCCCCTAACTGACAGGAAGAAAGGTAAGACATGCCAATGATACCCTCCTTCCTCTGGAGTTTAGGGACAACTGACCAGCATTAACATTACAATAGAGATCATAAGACTGACAAAAGATTCTCTGTAGCAATAAAATAGTCAACTCCAACCTGACTCTGATACAGCATCACACCACAGATAGCAGGCCCTGAAGGAAATCAAAGTATTTTACCCCAAAATATACTTATTTGACATTTTGAAATGACTCTGCAAAGCCATTTCTTGTCATGGGGATTTGCATTTTGTAGAGAATCCCCTTCCCCTTCCAGGTCTTTTTCTGATCCAGGAGGGATTTTACTAATGAGTCTGACATCTTTTAAGGTGCGATAAGAAACATTTACCATCTATTCTTTCTGAGGCCTGGAAGCTTCATCTACGTAACAAGAATCTTTGCTTCCACAAACATCTCCCCCAACGCCACCTCCACGCCCCCTTAACTCAAGCATTTCTTTCTGCTGACTTCAACTCTTTAGGCAGGGCTTAACTTTTTCAACCAATTGGCAATCAGAAAATCTGAATCCCCCTATGACCTGTGAGCTCCCTTGCTTCGAGATGTCCCGCCTTTCTGAGCTGAACCAATATATACCTTACATGTATTGATTTATGTCTTTGTCAGCAACTTCTGGCTCCCTAAAATGTATGAAACCAAGCTGTAACCCAACCACCTTGGGCACATGTTCTCAGGAACTCCTCAGAATGGCTCAGAATAAACCTCTTCAAATATTTTACAAATTTTACTTTTTTCATCAACAAATAAATGTATAAAATATATGTAGATACTACCAAAAAATATACACAAATCTACTATAAAAACCAAAAATTTGGCCAGGCACTTAGGGAGGCTAGGTGGGCAGATTGCTTGAATCCAGGAGTTCATGACCAATCCGAGCAATATGGTAAAACCCCATCTCTACTAAAAATACAAAAAATTTGTCCGGCATGGTGGCATGTATCTGCAGTCCCAGCTACCCAGGAGGCTGAGGTAGGAGGATCACCTGAGCCTAGGAGGTTGAGGCTGAAGTGAGCCAAGATCACGCCACTGCACTCCAGCCTGGGCAACAGAGTGAGACCATGTCTCAAAAAATAAATAAAATTTATCAAAACTTACGCACACACTTACAGACCATACATAAGCCACTCAAAGTCAAGAGAAAGCTTAACAAAAGATGCAGAATTAAATCATAACGGCATAAAATTAACTGTAGTGTATACTGTTCTACTGTAATTTGATAGCCACCTCCTCTTACTATTGCAAAGAGCTCAACTGTTGCAAGTATCTGCCTAAAATGCCAAGTGACACTAATCATCTCTGCATGAGCAGTTCATCTATCCAGTAAATTGTGTATAGCAGTAAAGAGTGGTCTCTCAAGATTCTTGCATATATTTCATCATGTCTAGAGCAATACTGTGAACCTTAAATAACACCATAGGGCCCATATGAAGTGCCAACAGTGATGCTGGAAGTTCTCCCAAGAAGCAAAGTCATGACTCTATAAAAAGTTGAATTGCTTGATATACACCATAGATCAAGGTCTGTTGCTGGGGTTGCTGCCATTTCAGACAGACGATTCATCATGTAAATGATGTAAACTTAAGGCATCAATAAATACAGTATAGTACCCTATATGTATTTTCCTTACAATTTTCTTGATAACATTTCCTTTTCTCTAGCTTACTTTATTATAAGAATACATATATAAGATGTATAGCATACAAAATATGTGTTGATCAACTGTTTACACTACTAGTAAGGCTTTCAGTCAACAGTAAGCTATTAGTAGCTAAGTTTGGAGAGAGTCAACAGTTATGTGCAGATTTTCGTTTGTGTGTGGGGTCAGTAACCCTAAACCCCAAGTTGTTCAAGGGGCAACTATATGAGCTCCAAATTCTTTTTTTTTTTTTTTTGAGTCAGAGTCTCGCTCTGTCAACCAGGATGGAGTGCAATGGCGCGATCTCTGCTCACTGCAACCTCCGCCTCCCAGGTTCAAGCAATTCTCCTGCCTTACCCTACCGAGTAGCTGGAATTACAGGTGCCTGCCACCACACCCGGCTAATTTTTGTATTTTTAGTAGAGACAGGGTTTCACCATGTTGCCCAGGCTGGTGTCAAACTCTTGACCTGAAGTGATCCCCCAGCTTCAGCCTCCCAAAGTGCTGGCATTACAGGCATGAGCCACCACACCCAGCCATGAGCCCAAATTCTAACTGCCCCTTTGCATTGTTCACCACTGGGTACTCCCATGTGTACATGCATGAAGCAAATGTTAATAAACTTCTATTTGTTTTTCTCTCATTAATCTGTCTTATGCCACTCTAATTTACACAGCCACGGCTGGAGAACCTAAGACAGGAAGAGGAAAAGGATTTTCTTTCCTACACTCCCTACACACACCTGGGGAATGCACTCTGCAGGCCACATGACGTTGCTTCTGCATCTGTCTCCCTAGCTTTGCTGCATCAGTCCCAGTGTCCAGCCCACACAGGCCTCAGTACGTGTCCCTATCACAGCTGCTGCTGGTGCTGAACTCACCTTCCAGGAGAGTCTCCAGCATATCCTTCCACACTCCAGGGAGCCATGTAAGTGGATGCCATACTGGTTAAATATTTTGAGTAGCATCCCATTTGAGGGAAGCTGTCACTTAACATGAACCCACCATAAGGTGGCTAATGAATAGCACCTTTCTGCCTGCCTTCAAGTGACAGCCTCCCTTAACATGAAGCCTACCTTTTGGTAAGCTTCATGTCAAGTGATAGCTTCCCTCAAGGGCAAAGTCACAGAATTATCTGTTTCAAAAGCCTGAGTGGATAAACAAACTGTTGCCTATCCAGGGTGTCCTAAAACTACCAAGGACTGTGGGAGGAGCAATTGGCAGGACCATCTTCAACACTTCCCATTTTCTGCTGGGGTGAGATCACAGCTGGCCCCCAAGCATCCAGAGGAATCCAGGGCCTGGTAAGAGGCTGTATGACAGCAAATATACAAGGCTAGGGTGCTCAGCTCAGAGGGCGGACAAAGAACATGTTAAAGTGAAGTGAACACTGGCTTTGCAGCAGGCAGACCAGATGCAGCAGACTGCTTTTACCAAAGCAGCCTGCAACACACATTTGTCCCATTCCACATGTTCTCTTTACAGTGTGACTTACGCTCATCCCACCAACAGGTGAAGTGTTTCCTCTCCTGAACCTAGGCATGGCCTTGTGACTGCTTGGACCAGTGGAATATCTCAGAAGTGATGCTACGTGACTTTCAAGGCTTTGTCAGGGAAAAAAAAAATACAGCTTAAACCTGGCTGACTCTCTACAACTGCCTCCACTTGCCTTTGGAACTGTCATTAGGTCATGAGGAATACCAGGCCACATGGAAAGGTCATGTGTAGGGGTCTCAGCTGACAGCCAATACCTCCTTTAGATGCTGAGTGAAGGATCTTTTGGACAACAACCCTCAGACTTCAGATCTTCCAGATGCTGTGGAGCAGGGTGAACCCTCCCCACTGTACCCTATCTGAATTTCTAGCCCACAAAAACCATGATGGATAATAAATGATTATTGTTGTCTGAAGCCATTTAGGGTAACAGGTTTTGTGGCAATAGATAATAATATATGCAGTTTGAATACTGGCTTTGCTCCTTAGTTTTGTGACCCCAGAAAATGAACACACAGTCCCCTTGCTTTTAGATTTGTCCTTCACACCAGAGCTAATGGCTGTGAGATGCCCAACACTCCTGGTTGCTCTCTTAAGTGATCTCGTTTGTTTTTCTGCTTACTGGTCATCTTCCCACGTCGAGAAGGTACAACGCTTGAAAGCCATCTTACTCACCATTTTGCCTCAGTGCCAAAAAAAGCACCTGCCACAGCAACTCACCATCAACACTTGTTGAAGATCACCTAACTAATGTAGCAGCCAAGTGCACACAAAGTGCTCTCTACTGGTAGACAACCAACAGGAGGGCAGGGAGGCAACAGGCTAAGTCAGGGAAAAGCAGGGGACATGGAAGCCTGCAGGCAGTCTACATTCTAGGACATTCCAGAGTTAGAAAGTGATCTGAACCCTACCCAAAGGCAGGTCTGAAAGGCAAAGCCTGCCTCACAGTGCACAGGGAGCAAGTCCTCCCAGAACTGCCAAGCGGTAGCCTCTCCACCTGGCAACACATCTCCTTTGCACCCCTTGGGGTACAATTATATATTAATTATATATCATTGTGTGTGTGTATATGTATATATGTGTGTGTGTATGTGTGTGTATATCTCATTGTAATTATATATAATGTACTAATAATTAGTATTAGTGCTAATCAATAGCACCATTCACCCTGAAAAGACACTTTCAGAAATGAATACATGAAGTCTCATTGTAGATAAGCATTGACAGATGAACATTTGCAACTGATCTTAATCATCAGGAACATTAACTGTGAACTCAAATAAGTAGTTATCTCAAAATTGTTTTTCTTATTAGTAGGAGGCCTGTATGAAAAATAGTGCTCAGTCATGTTTTAAATTTGGCCAGTAAAAATCTTACAAGTTCTCTTCTAAGTACCTTTTTAATATTCTCAATCTCACTCCTTCCCACCCCTTTGCACTGGGCACTCTGCTAGCCGCACCGTTTGGCTCTCGACTCCTGCACTCCTGCTAGCAGAGTGTCTGGCTTACCTTTGGCCACAGTAGAACTTTTCACCCTTTGTTTATAATTTACAGCCCACTTAAGTGCAATGCAAGTTTGAGATGATAATTTGGGTCTTTTAGGTTCTACCCAGGGCTGTTCTATAGCTCCTGCTACTGTTGTTTCTTTTTTTTTTTTCTTTTTTTTTTTTTTTGAGACAGTCTCACTCTGTCGCCCAGGCTGGAGTGCAGTGGCACAAACTCACTGCAACCTTCATCTCCTGGGTTCAAGCAATTATCTGCCTCAGCCTCCCGAGTAGCTGAGATTACAGGCACCCACCATCACGCCCAGCTAATTTTTGTATTTTTAGTAGAGACAGGGTTTCGCCATCTTGGCCAGGCTGGTCTTGAACTCCTGACCTCGTGATCCACCCACCTCAGCCTCCCAAAGTGCTGGGATTACAGGCGTGAGCCACCACACCCAGCCTCCTGCTGCTGTTCTGATGCCAACTATTCATTTTCCAAACTGCAGGCTTATCTACTCCATAGACTTCTTCTCTTTTCCTAGCGGATATTTCACTGTGGGAAGAAGAGAGACTCAAATTAAGTCCAACTGGTCCAAGGTGGATAATCACAGTGGAAAGTTTTTCAAGTACTGGTCTAAGATTCAACCAGCCCATGCTTTAGTGGAAGTTCAGAAATTGGCTCTTAACAGGTCAGTGAATGACAGGGCCCATCCAACCCTTGCAGCTGTCTTACAAAAATCTGAGAATCACTTTAAAAATCAGTGCCAAAATAAAAGAAAATTTGAGCTTCAAAAAAGCACTCTCCAAGATGACACAAAAAATGTTTAAAGTCTCAGGCAAATGTTTTTGCCCTTGTCCATTCAAGATTTTTTTTCAGTTTGATAGCAAATTATTTCCAAGATGCTCAGAGTTCCTAAACAAAGATGTTTAAGGTTGGAAGCACTCAGCAGCCATCTCATCCATTACCTTCTAGCAGTCATCATTCTTTTACTCTTCTTAGTTCCTGGGAAGGAGCGTCCCTAGAGGGGATGCTTAGGCACTTGCTCCAGGCTCCCAATACATGCCCACTACTGTCAAGGAACTCATTAAACAGCAGGGACAGAGGCTAACATTCACGCAACATATACCATGGCCCAAGGGCCAACCTAGGCACCTGAATGCACAATTTATAATAGTCTTTGTACCCAACCTATGGAGGAATGTATTACTGTTATTCTCATTTTCATAAATGAGGACATGGGGAATAGAGACTAAGAAAATGTTTGCATGTGGTTGGATCTGATACCCTGGCAGTCTGACTCCAGAGCCCACACTTTTAACCAGTAGTGTCCTCACTCACTAATCTCAGACTTAATCATGTCCTGCTTCATTCTGCTAAGCCCTCAATGGATCAATAAAACACCTCTTTTCACCCTCCGCTTTAATGCCTTTTCATGAACTTGGAGTCCTCTGAGCCTCCCTTCTTGGATTGAAGCCCATTCTGTTCACAGGAAGACTGCAAGGTGCCGAGTCACACTGTTCACTGGTTTATTGAGATTCGGGGAGATCCTTCCCCAAGAGACACCACAGTGTGAAAGGGACACCACCTCCCACCCCATAGGTCCATCTGTCTATCCCAACAGTCAAGGGTGCCTTCCTTTGGTCAGGATTCTCATCAACTATCCACTGGAAGCAGCTCTCCAAACCTGCCCCCACTTATTTTTCCTTAATTCCCCTCAAAAAAACACAAAACAAAAGGGAGCAGTCTTGGGAGAAGATGATTGTGAGTGTAGACTGAGGGTAGTACATGAATGCAATGGAGATGGGGGGAATCTGAGCAGAAATGGAGATTCTGTGACAAGGAGAGGGTGTGGATGGCCCCACCAAACATGAATTGGGGAAAAGTGCATAACAATGTGCAGGGTAGGGTACATATGGCTCTGTCAGAAGAATACCATGATTTAAGGGAAGAAAGTACACAAGGTACATGGAGGGTACACAGGGAAAGTACATGGATAAACATGGACGTGTGCAAATAGGAAAGACATGACTCAGCATGCTAGACAAATTGCACATGCCTACCCAAACACGCTCAAGGGCAGACCCATGACCATGAGAGGGGCACACGTAGCTGTGAATGCAGGGCACCCGAGAGCACATGTGACTGAACATGAAGAAAGCATACGGGAAAAGCGTGTGTACACATGAGCATGTTCAGTGGGCACACGCAGGAGAGGGGAGGATGCATGTGTGCTGAGCGTGAGTGCACAGAGCAGAGGCAAGGAGCATGTGAGCCTTGGCGAAAAGAATGAGCTCCCAAAGGAAGCAAAATTCAGGGGGAGCCACATGTGAGAAAGTATAGAAGGGCAAGTAAGATGGAAAGAGATTATGACAGTGGAGAAAAGGAGAGGCCCCTTTGGGGTGGAAAGAGCACTTGTTGGGAGACCCCTGCTGGACAGGAACAGAGCACAAAGGCAGAGGAGCTGCAGGGGTTGCCGTGGTAACTAGAAGAGGGTGTTGCATGGGAAGAGAAAGATGCAGTGAGGCTGCTGAGGAGGCAGCGTGTGAGCAGTGAGCAGCTTCAAGCCAGGTACGAACTAAATTGTGAAGAGGTGATACAAAATTACATGAAGCAGTAAGAGAGAAAAAGGTCTGTTTCCCAGAGGTATGAGAGACCCAAATCAGCCCAGAACTCACAGGGGGACATGTATTTACAAGAGATGAGATTGGATAGCATGTTCTTCCCAGCTGGGGATGGGGACCCCCTGCTTCCTGAGTCCCCTGCCCTTCCCCTCTCCCTTTCCCTCCCCCTACTGGCCTGTCCTCCCTCACCCTACCCTCACTTATAAAGCAAATGCACTCGACTCCCATCACAGCTAAGCCGGTCGGGGGGCTCAGGGGGTCCCCTGGGCAGGCCCCCAGAGGGTTCTGGGGGTGTCGGTGGGTGGCGCCGGGAGCGGAGCTGCTGCCGAGACTGGAGTTGATGGCGCAGTTCAGAGACACGCTCCTCTTTCTGGAGGAAGAAGCACAATTGGGATAGTAGGAGAAGAGGAGGTGATGAAGGAGTGGGGAGGAGGGAAAGAGAGGAAGGGCACAGGGAAAGAGAGGAAGGGCACAGAAAAATGTAGGGGGAGGACGTAGGGTAAGTGGACAGAATAAATTAAAAGGAGAAATCAAAACAGAACAAGAAAAGCCAGAGAACATAAGGATACCGATAGAAAAAATGCGATCAGGGAAATAAGAGAGAATTTAAAAACAAAAGGAAAAAGTGGGGAAGGAGAGAAAAGTCAGTGCACAGAGCTTCCAATAAATCAGAGAGATGTGTCAACCCAGTTGGAACATCCCTCTCTTTGGCATTGCACCAGCCCCTAATGACAGCCTGGGGCACAGTGAACGCCTGCCCAGGTCCTTTATGCTGGGGCTGCATGCTACACCCAGCTGCTGTGAGTGTTGACTACTAGAGGCTCACAGCTGCCTCTCTCCAGTTGTCACCTACAGCCAACAGCCATCCTCTTGCCTTAAGGAGGCTGAGTCAACCACATAGCTCCCACTCCAGAGCCCTTCCACCTGCCAGGCCAACACTGGATTTTGCCTGAGATAGAATCTTGCTCAGCCCTTTCCCCTCCCCTATGCTGCTCCATTCACTCCTTACAGGTTGTCTCCTAGGACCCTCCCTCCATGAGCCAAGAACATCTGACCCTGTATCTCAGGCTTGGCTTCAGACAACCCAAGCTAAGACGCAAGCCTCCTGGACCACTCCAACACCCTACCCTGACACCCACCCCCGCACCTCAGCAATGATCTTTTCCAGTTCACGGTTCTCCTTCTCCAACAGCCGGGACTTCTCCTCCTCGTTGTTGTTGGTCGATGACCCTGTCTTCATGGTGTCCTGCGCCTCCGACTGCCATTCCCCTCGGGTGATCAGCCTGCGCATCTGGGGGCAAATGTTTGGGCGTGGGGTGGCCCAGCAAGGACTGTACTAGTGACTGGCTGATGGAAGGTTGGAGGTGGAAGGAATGCTGATAAGAGTTGGGCCCAAAACAAGGGGAGGAGTGAGAGGAGGGTGAACGGAAGGGCAGAGGAACTCAGTAATATAGGAAGGAGGGATGGAGGGAACATGGGAACAAAGAGGGTGGGAGAAAAGCCAGATCCTTACCTTGGGCACAAAGAGCACAACAAGAGTGATATAGGAGGAGAAAACTATGGCAAGAGAGGCAAAGGCAAAGGCTGCATCCTGCTGGCTGGACAGAATCATGGTGACAGGAGCAGTGATGAGGCACAGGACCTAGAGGGAAAGACACATTGAGGGAGTCTCAGGTCTGCAGGCTCAGACAAGATCCAGAGTTTACTTCCCATGGGAGGGAGTCTATGCAGACAGTTTCCTGGTGAACTTTCCCTTTGAAAAGGATCCAAATTCAGGATCATCCTCAAATATAGATTGAGAAAAATCTCAAACTGTCCCAAACCAGTTTTCACTCTTGGTTAACCCCTCCCCTCAAGGCAGGAACTCCCAGGATCTCTATGCACAGATTCCGGGTCCTCCAGAGTCGGTCCCTGGCAGGAAATGTCAATAGAGTCCAGCCCATTAACCACAGACAAGCAATTTAACGTCTCTGTGTTTCTGTTTCCTCACCTATAAAGTGGGGATACTAATATCTACTTCACTGGGTAGTTGCAAGATTAATGATACAATGTCTGTAGTGAGCTTTGTAAACTGTAAAGTGCTTTATAGACCTGAAGAATTAACAAACTTTTTAAGACTTCTAAGCAACCGATCCCAGATCTAGCATTGATTCTTCCTAGTCCTCTATATCTGGGCTGCTGTGGTCAGCCTACAGGGTCAATGCCATGGGGTCAGTGCTCACTGCCACATTGTAGATAGCCATGCCCACAGCCCGGTGATCATTGATCTTCTCAGTGGACACACTCTTGGTCTCATAAGCAAGGAAGATTCCCAGCAGCAGCAGCAGCCCCTTGTAACCATAGAAAATGCCTAGGATGGCAGGAGAGAGTCACTTGAGCAACAAGGACCACAATGCTCCTCACTCAATCCCCATCCCCTCTCTGCCCTTCACCTACTCTGAAATGGAAAGGGGGCCCTCCTCTCCAATCCAACCCCTCTGACCTAGCAAACCTCACCCTGTGTCCCCTATCCCTTATGTCCACCCAACTTGCCCAGACCACATCACTTTTTCCTGGGATTCACACAGGAAAGCAATGGTGGCAAGCTGCTGTCAGTCAGGCAAGGGCTTGTTGAATATCTAGAAATAGGCCAGTCTGGGCCACACATGCCTCACCCTTACCCTACAGGTGGGAAGGTGGCTTTCCAGGCAGAGGGTAGGTTTGCAATTTGTGACCATGAATCGAACAATGCTAATAAGGCCAAGGGGGATCTAAAAGATAATGTCAAGTCTGGAGGTGGGGTTACCCCCACTTGTTCCTCTGCTGAACACAAGTTCTTCATCTGTGCTTTCTGTGCTTTGGGCCCTAAGCTCCTCATAGCAAAAGAGCAACTCTCCCCTATTCTCAGAAAAGATTAGTGCAATAACAAAGAGTAGGGTGTTCAAACTGGGTTGACAAGCTCTCTACCTCCTCTTCCAAAGACCCCTCTCCCTCCAAGCCCTCTACCCCTGCCTTCCCTCCTGCCTTTGTGCATCCCTGCCCTCCTTTGCCCACATCCCACACACCAAGCCATGTATTCATCTTCCTGGAGCTGCAATGCTCCAGCTGGGGCAGAATAGAGACGTCAATATCTTCCTTAGGTTCCTCCTTGGCAAATGTCTAGGGCAGAAACAAGGTCACAAGAAAGATGGTTGCCAGCCTCCCCTCCTCTCCTCAACGCTTCTCAGTCTCTGGCTTCCAACTGTTTTCCTATGAGACCCTCAATGCTGATGCCAAATCTCATTCTAGGCCTAAGAATGTTTTCCTGAACCCTTGGAGGTGCTTGTTCCCCACTTTCCCTGATGCCTGGAAGTTCTACACACCCTTCCCAGATTCCCACCCCTTCCTTTCTTCAGCTGAATCTGGAGGCCTATGAGGGGCTCCTTCTAGGAAGGAAAGGAAGAGCTTCCAATACGAGGAAGGCACTCTCTCCAAGTAGCTTCATCCCTCAAGACACACACAGCCCCAGGGCCCTGATGGCCACTGAGCCCTGCTCATTCTCCTGACCATAGCACCTCCTCTCCAGTGGTACCTCAATGGTCCGGTGCAGAGGGTCCACGATCTGCCAGATGGCGAGAGTGAGGACATCCATGCCCACCAGCAGGCCCACTGTGGCATACAGCTTCCAGGGTTCCAGAGTCTGGATAAATATGTGGGGAGAACAGGCACGTCAGGGGAAAATGCTCTGTGCCCCAGGAGCCAAGGATCTGGGGGCTGAGGATTGGGCAGCAGCTCACCTTCCTCCACTCCTTCTTTTCTTCCTTCTTTGTGAAGACCGTGTGGACCCACCAAATCTTGGTGAACATGGAACCGTAGCCCAGACTAAAGCCCAGGCCCAGGAGCCAGAGGCGGGCCTAGAAAGGAAGAGAGGGCACAGGCAGAACAGGGTAGAGTAGTAGCCGGGACTGCAGTAAGGATGGGCAGAACCCTAAGGGAGAGTGGGCAGGGAGCACGGGCAGGGAGCTCATGGTGGCACAGGGAGGATGCGAAAATGTGAGCAGGACGGGGAGCGGCAGGAGGAGAGCAGTCTCCCCACCTTGAACAATTCCTCCCATCCACCCTCTACTTCCACACCACCAGGGTGATCTTGCTAAAACCTCCTGGCTTTAGTGGCCAAAAACCTCCAACCACTCCCCAATATCTATAAGTTATAGCCTGAACACTTCTGGATATGACACAGACCCTTCACAACATGCTCCCATCCACCTGTCCAGCTAGGCTCATCTCCCAGCCCCACACCTACCCCACGCTCCAGCCATGCTGAACTACTCACTTTCTCTTCATCTACTCTCTTTCATGTATTTTCTAGCCACACGATGCTCCCTATGCCCCTGAAGTAGCCTTCCTCTATTTCTCTAGCTGATAAAATCCTATTTGTCCTTCAGTATTCAAATGCCACCTCTTCAGTGAGGTCCACCCAATCACGCCAGCAGTGAACTGTGTTCCCTTCTTTGCCCCCAAAGCACTTTGTGCAGATCCCTACTCTGGAACCTCTCCTATTGCACTACAGCTAATTGTCTGCTTCTCCAGCTGCACTCTGGCCTCACTGGGAACAGAGGATTCCTGATGAACTGCATGTGCATGTGCATGGAAATGCCATGTGCACAGATGTATGATCAGGACAGCACAGAGCAGAGGAAAAAGAGAGAGCAAGGACAGGCAGGCAGATCAGGAGAAAGAGTGGGTGTTTCCACCAGTGGAAAAGAGAACCACTCAACTATCACTGTTGAAGCTGGCCTCTCCCCACAGCACTAGAACCTTCCATGTACCAACAGTCCCAGAGCCCCTCCTCCCTGTGTGGCAGTGGTCCCTTCCCCCCAACTCTCTGCTGTGTTTCCATCTCTGCTTCTATCCTTCCAAACCCAACAAAGGCTCCCAAAAAAAGTCCACAGTTCTGATTCTCAGCCCCCATACCACAGACAAGCCACCATTGTTCAGGAGACCTTTGAGCAGATCCCCTTCCTTTGCCTTCAATGGCTCCCTCCTCTTCTCTGCAAGGCCTGCCATGGCAACCTTGGAACTGACAAGTAAACTACAGAATGAAAATGGCCTGCAGACACAGAAAGAAGGGACAGAGCCAAACAGAGAACAGAGGGGTGATGCTAGAAGGAAAGAACAGGGACAAGAGTCAGGGAAAGCTGAGGAGGAAGGGCAGAGAATCATAAATCATGGAAGGTGCTCCTGAGACGGGTGGGAGAGTCACATCCTGTAAGGAATTTGCCCACCACCTCCTCACCTGGCAGACGAAAGGAAACTGGTTCCTCCCAATGTGGTAACCATCGAGCCCCAGGGGGAAGACAGCAGCTAAAGCCAGTGAGCAGCCCACAGCAGTCAGGTTGTTCAGGTTGGGCTGTGAGTTCTGGATATAACTAGGGCAGAGGTGGAGAGGGTGAGAGGGAGAGAGAATTACCCCTCTTCTCCAGGGAGGCTGAGCTCTCCAAATACCACGCAATGGCATGACCCTAATTTCAGGGCCAGGGGCTAAAGGAAGACAGGATTGGAGAAGACAGTGGAGCCTTGAGAGGCAGAGCAATGCAGTCATGGGGCTGAAGATGGAGTTGCAGAGGGCTTCCCAAGCACAGGCCCCCACTAGAATACAGGCTATTTATGTAGAGTCCAAGACTGTGAGACCTGGCCCCAAAGGTTGTTTTTTTCTCTTCTTTTCTTTTTTCCTCCCGTTAGCTACTTTGGAGTAGGAGTGGGGGTTATATCTGGTTTCCCTGTTTTCATTCTCAACAAGTCAGAATGAAAAACTCCATGATACATGGCCATGGGAGTTACACAGGTTTTATTCTCATCCTGTCCAGGAACATGATCAGTATCTCAGAGAGGCAGACAAGGAAAACGTCAGAAGAGAAACTTACCGGACATGTGAGTTGTAGATGTTAAAGGACAGACAGACAACAGCTAGGACAATGCCCAGGCTGGAGAGAACTGAGACGGAGATAAAGAGTTTCTGTGACAGGAAGCGGAATGTCTTGATGACCAGGGTCTGGTCAGCTGGGGGGGACCCTCCTGCATGGCACAGGGGAGGAAGAGGGGAAGGGAAAAGAGAAGGGAAGGAGGACAAAGGAATGAAGACGGGATAGGAGAAAAGGGCAAAGAACTAGATTGCTGATGGACATTCAGTCATTGGCTGGGGACATGAGGCCCTAACTGCACTGGACAGAGGTTACTGCAGGCAGAATGCTCAGTGCCACTGGGGCCGTTAGGAAGCAACCAGAAATGAGATGAGAAGATGGAGTGAATGGTCTATCCATAGGTTGGGAAATGCTGAGGCATGTCCCCAAAGTTGTAGTCTTTGTTTTTGTTTGTTCTTTAAGTTTTTCTGTCTTTCTTACAGCAAAGGAAAATGGGAGGAGAAAGAAGGGGATCATTAAAAAATGTTATAAGGTTTCTTATAACCCAAATCAAAGTTTTAAATGACAATTATGGAATCATAAAGCTAAAAAGGCCTTGAAGTATCTAGTGTGGACACCTATTCTTAAGACAAACAAAAAAAGAAGGAAAGCTAATCTGAAATTTTAATCCTGGCAGGGTAATATTCCCAAATATGTTTTCCAGTTATTATTAGGGGGAAGTTCAAATTTGTCAGAGTTCACCAAAAAAAACTAATTTCAATTTGCTTAGTTTTTTTTTTAAAGAATAATTTAGGCCATGCAGCATTTATAGCAATCCAGAACATTGTCCTAAATTCGAATTGTAAAAAAAAAAAAAAAAGGGCAAAACTCCAGCAGTGCTGGGAATGACTGGATATCTGCTGGGCAGGGCAGACGGCAGCCATCTTCAATGGTTGAGCCTCCCCTTCATTCTCAAGGAGGCTTTCTTTTATCAGTAGGTCCTTCCTTTTGTCCACCTTCAGTTTCTCTCCTATGTCCTATCATTTAGACCAAGTACACAAAGAATAACTGCTTGCTTTCTCTCTTTAAAAAGTATATTTTGAGGGATGTAATACTACCTATTAGGTACAAGGTGCACTGTTCGGGTGACAGGCACACTAAACGCCCGGACTTCACCACTATGCAATATATTCATGTAACACAACTGCACGTCTACCTCTAAATTACATAAAAATAGGAAAATTTTTAAAAATACATATAAAAATAAAAAGCACATTTTGGCAGATGACAATTACATGAGGTTTTCCCTCCTCCTCCATAGTTTAAGCAACCGTTTTCCTGACAGAGACAGACAAAGAGACAGCTCTGGGCTTGAAGTAGCTGGTTCAAATATATCAAGACACCAGGACATCTGGGAAACCCAAATGGAGTTTCCATTTCCCGCCCTCTGCCCACCCCCTGCCTCTAATCCCCAGTTACCCCAGCAATGCACCATTAAAAATAGTACTAACCACCGCCTATTCCCTCTCCAAATACACCAGTCTCCCCTACCCACGCCTTAGGGGTTGTATTCACTCTCACTTAACCCTTTCTCCTGGCCCAGCTGCCAGCCACATTCCAACCTAACAGTCTCTACCATTCCATCCTCACTCAAAGGCATGACTTTTTCCCTTGACTGTCGAGAGGGGCTGAAGGAAAATACAAACAAGATCCACTCACCAATCCATTTATCTGTTTTGGACCAGGAAAGATCATCCTTGGTGCTGTCATAGTAGCCAATCTTCTTGTAGCTGCCACCTGGGCAGACGACAATAAAAGGAGTGACCACAGGTAGCCAAAGAGCTGATCCTAGGCATTTTCAACTTCCCACTTCCCTAGAGCTTTGCATGGTTGTATCTGATTTTATTTTCACCTGAGGCCCTAAGGATGCTTGGAAGGACCTACGAGACTCTTGAATCAGCAACATGACTTAAAAGCAATATAAGGTGGTTCCCAAGACAACTCAAATAAATAAGAATATCTATGTTTAAAAGTCTTCAGTGAGGAGGCTCCACAACATGTCTGCCACCTATTCCATTCCTCACACCTCTCTCGGCGAGATGTCTCTCACTTTGATTTTGGCTTCTAAAGCTTTACACATATTTCTGCTTATTCTTCCTCTCATGATGGGCAGGCTCTATTTTCCCAGTGGCTTTCATTTTAATTTTAGAACATTCTCTTCTGTTGGCTTGGGTTTTAATTCCTTGGATAAGTTATATCTGCCTCTTAAAGCGCCATTGAGTAAAATTTGGTCATTTCTAAGATTTCTGTTCTAGAACTGTTTCCGTTACCATAACTTTTCCTTCAAAAGCCAACTCACACTCCTTTCACCATGGCTGAAGTCCATTTCCTCTTGTCCTGGATACAAAGAGGAGCTGAAAGGATGTGGAGGTGGGGAGAAAGGAAGAAAGAAACTTTTCACAGGAGGCCAAGAAATAGCTCTCTTGGCCATGCCGTAAAAGACTGAGAGCCGAGTGGAGCAGAAAAATTAACTCCTAGAAGTTCTGCAAATACCTGTGTGCTAAGTTTCAAGAAAATACAATCTACAAAAGCCAAGCTATACACATTGAAGCTTTACACAGCAAGGAAATTTGGCAGATTCCCTTAAAAAAAAAATAGCGGTTCTCCTAGATTCAGCTTTCTTGAGTCTAACTGACAGGTCATCAACCTCTCAACCCAAGCCACTCAAGGGGAAATTCCTGAAATTAATGGAAGCCACTGGGAAAGAGAGTAGCTGTTTTTAATTTGCATGTCTCTTTTCTTTTCTTTTTTCTTTGAGACAGAGTCTTACTCTATCACCCAGGCTGGAGTGCAGTGGCGTGATCTCAGCTCACTGCAACCTCTGCCTCCTGGGTTCAAGTGATTCTCCTGCCTCAGCCTCCCAAGTAGCTGGGACTACAGGCACCTGCCACCACACCCAGCTAATTTTTTTTTTTTTTTTTGTATTTTTGGTAGAGACAGGTTTCACCATGTTGGTCTGGCTGGTCTCAAACTCCTGACCATGATCATGATCTGCCTGCCTTGGCCTCCCAAAAGTGCTGGGATTACAGGGGTGAGCCACCACACCCAGCCTGCACACCTCTTTTCAAGAGCAAAACCAGTGCAACTCAAAGACATCAATCTTCTTGTAGTTAAGCTTATTATTATTATTATTTACAAGCTTGATGAACAGAGTTAAAAGAGAAGGGCAGAAGTTGGGAGGTGCCAGGGCAATCTTGTGATGTCTCTGGCATTCTTCCCCAGGGGGCATCCCAGCCCAGCCCCAGCCTAGCCCCCATGTCCGGTCCCCTCCTGCCCCTGTACTAACCCTGAAGCTGCTCGATAAGCGTCCATGCCATCCGAGAGCCGCTGGCATCAAACACCACATGGCCCTGAGGGAAGGAACATGTGGAGCAAGGCAAAGGAGACAAAAGCAAGAGTGAAAGAGAACATCAGGGACTCTTTAAATCCTTCTGTTTTTGATGTAATTGAGCCTCTGAATGAATGCTATTTATGGCATTTGCCTGCATATAGGACATACCCCAGATGCCCATACCCTAGATTTTAGAAACATTATTCTTTGGAGAAGGAGCTTCACTTATGAGATTTGAATGGGAAAAAATCCCCAGACAGAACACCAGCAGGCTTCTGGTTGTGTGGCCTAAGCAAGTCAGCAAATCTCTCTGGAAACTAATCTTTTCATTTTAAAAGGAATAAGAAGATGACCTTTCAGACTGTTTTGTCTTTCAAAATCCTATAGTTCTCATCTGACTCATGAATACTTGGTCTAGTTTGAAAAGAAATGAGGGGAGGGGTTTAAAAAAATGGAATACATCATTTTTTTTCCTCTAGTCTTTGATGGGTTCTTCTAATTTGAAGGTCCCTACTTCTCTGGTCGGAGACTGATTCTGCAAAGAAGTAACTGAGAAAAACAGAGAATGCATGTTTGTAGAAGGTGCCTCTTGGGAGTCTCTCTCAAGATTGGGAAGACAGGGGAGTATGAAGGAAGTTTTAACTCACAGAGACACCCTCAAAGGACGAAGAGTTCATTGCCCGGTAGATTTGGTCGGTAATGGTCTGGTTGTTGTAGTTGAAGTCCTCCAGGCGCACACCAGAACGGCCGCCTCCTCCAGATGTCTTGTTCAGGGCCAGTGCCAAGGCCCAGATGGCATCATAGGCCAGCGGTGCCTCCTGGAAGCCTCCTGTCTCCTCAGGGTGTCTTTTCAGTCGCTTGGTTAGTTTCTCCACAAATTCCTGGGATGTCTTGGGAGGAAAAAATCATGAGGAAAGAACTGAAATGTGTGTGGGTGTGGGGGAAGGGGTGCAATCCAATTCTGACTCAATCACTTCTACTTGAATGGATGGTTTGTGTTACTGTTGTCAGATTGGACACATGTACATTCAAAATCTTTAACTATACCCATGTGTCTGCCTTAGATCGGAAGCTACTAGACTAGAGTAGGTATTAGCTGTGTCTGATGGTGTTAGTGTGTACAGTTGCTAGCTCAGAACTGCAAACAGAGAATTTTGACAAACACTCTGGATAATTAGTGGCAAAGGATGGAAGGTAGAGCAGAGTAAAGGAGGAGACATGGATATTCCAATGAAGAGCTGTGACACTGATGTTCTCTGATCCTTCTGACTTTCTTCATAGAGTTAACCCAGGATCTAACAGCTCCTACAATTCCAAAAGATTCTAGAAAAGGTGATAGCAGTCTTCTCACTCTGCTTGCCAGCCAGGAGGATATTTCTTCAGCATGCTAACTTCTTGCCATTCTTGTGTGCTTTTGGTTCACTGCCTCTTAGAAGGCTTTCAGAAGAATGAAAACTACAGAAATACCCTTCACATTTTTGAAGTCCATTATCAATCCTACCCACACCCCTCCCAACACTCAACCTTCTTTTTCCATGAAAGCTAAAAAGAATGATAGTTCCTTTAACTCTCTCATGAACTGGGTCAAGAGACCTGACTTCATATACCTTGCAGTAACCTTGTTTGGCTAAATAACTGTAAGTAAATTACTTAACCTCTTGGAACTGCATTCTACATACTGGAGAAAATCACATCATTCCTTCCTTACCTCACAGAAACCATACAAGGAAAAGCTTAGCAACTACTTCTTGGGAAACCACAAGTAATACACAGGGGACCATACAAATAATTGTTTGGGTTTGGAATGTTTTAACACAAACGGTAATGAAAGAATAAATAGATGAATGAAGAATAAATAAATAACTTTGTTCCTCATGCCTTGCTCACTTTTCTCTCCAACTTTCTAGAGAGATAGAGGAGTGAGATACGCAAAGGGCACAGGCAAGGTACAGCAGTTGCTACTACACTGGGCTTTGAAGGAGCCTGGGCTTTGAAGATGCAATGGGCCTAGGTTCTACCCTTGAGGACAAGACCAAATCCCATGCCCTCTCTTAATCATCAGCATCTAGCACTGTGCCCAACCATAATGAAGTAACAATAAATGTCCATTGGATTAGGCCAGTGAAAATACTCTGTAAAGTATTTAATAGTAGATACGTCTCATTATACATTTGTCCAAACCCATAGAATATATAACACCAAGGGTGAACTCTAATGTAAACTATGGACTTTGGGTGATTATGATGTATCAATGTAGGTTCATCAGTTGTAACAAATGTACCACTCTGGCGGAGGATGTCGATAATGTAGAAGGCTATGCATGTGGGAAGCATATGGGAAGTTTCTGTACCTTCATCTCAATTCTGCTGGGAAACTAAAACTGCTCAAAAAAAAAAAAAAAAAAAAAAAGGCCAGGCACAGTGGCTCACACCTTTAATCCTAGCACTTTGGGAGGCCAAGGTAAGCAGACTGCCTGAGCTCAGGAGTTAAAGACCAGCTGGGCAACATGGTGAAACCCCATCTCTACTAAAATACAAAAAATTAGCTGGGCATGGTGGTGTGCACTTGCAGTCCCAACTACTCAGGAGGCTGAGGGCTGAGGTGAGAAAATCACTTCAACCCAGGAGGTGGAGGTTACAGTGAGCTGAGATGACGCCACTACACTCCAGCCTGGGCGACAGAGCAAGACTCCGTCTCAAAAAAAAAAAAAAAAGGCATTATAAAAAACAAGTCAGGCTGGGCACAGTGGCTCACACTTGTAATCCCAGCTCTTTGGGAGGCCAAGGAGGGTGGATCACCTGAGGTCAGGAATTCCAGACAGCCTGGCCAACCTGGTGAAACCCGTCTCTACTAAAAATACAAAAATTAGCTGGGTGTGTTGGTGGGCTCCCGTAATCCCAGCTACTTGGGAAGCTGAGGTAGAAGAATCGCTTGAACTCAAGAGGCAGAGGTTGCAGTGAGCAGAGATCACGCCACTGCACTTCAGCCTGGGCGATGGAGTGAGACTCTGCCTTTAAAAAAAAAAAAAAAAAAAGGCAGCCAGGCACAGGGGGCTCACGCCTGTAATCCCAACATTTTCATTTTCAGAGGCCAACGCAGGAGGATTCCTTGAGCCCAGGAGTTTGAGACAAGACTGGGCAAAACAGAGAGGACCCAACTCTACAAAATTTTTTTAAAAATTAGCCAGACTTGGCCTGGGCACGGAGGCTCACATCTGTAATCTCAGGACTTTGGGAGGTCAAGGCGGGCAGATCATGAGGTCAGGAGTTCAAGACCAGCCTGGCCAACATGGTGAAACCCTGTCTCTATGAAAAATACAAAAATTAGCTGGGCACGGTGGCTCACGCCTGTAATCCCAGCACTTTGGGAGGCTGAGGCGGGTGGATCACCTGAGGTCCGGAGTTCGAGACCAGCCTGAGCAACATGGAGAAACCCTGTCTCTACTAAAAATACAAAATTAGCCGGGTGTGGTGGCGCATGCCTGTAATCCCAGCTACTCCGGAGGCTGAGGCAGGAGAATGGCTTGAACCTGGGAGGCGGAGGTTGCTGTGAGCCAAGATCGCGCCATTGCACTCAAGCCTGGGCAATAAGAATGAAACTCTGTCTCAAAAAAAAAAATACAAAAATTAGCTGGGTGTGATGGTGGGCTCCCGTAATCCCAGCTACTCAGGAGGCTGAGGCAGGAGAATCGGAGAATCGCTTGAACCCAGGAGGCGGAGGTTGCAGTGAGCCAAGATCATGCCATTGCACTCCAGCCTGGGCAACAGAGCAAGACTCCATCTCAGAAAAAAAAAAAATTAGCCGGACTTGGCTTGGAGCAGTGGCTCACGCCTGTAATCCCAGCACTTCAGGAGGCTGAGGAGGGTGAATCATGAGGTTAGGTGTTCGAGACCAACCTGACCAACATGGTGAAACCCCATGTCCACTAAAAATACAAAAACTTATCTGGGCATGGTGGCACGCACCTGTAATCCCAGCTATTCAGAAGGCTGAGGCAGGAGAATCACTGGAACCCAGGAGGCAGAGGTTGCAGTGAGCCGAGATCACACCATTGTGCTCCAGCCTAGGCAACAGAGCAAGACTCTATCTCGAGAAAAAAAAAAAAAGTTAGCCAGACTTGGTGGCATATGTCTGTGATCCCAGCTTACTTGGGAGGGGCTGAGGTGGGTGGATGACTTGAGCCCAGGAGGTCAAGGCTGCAGCGATTGTACCACTGCACTCCTGCCTGGGCAGCAGAGGGATACTCTACCTCAAAAAAAAAAAAAAAAAAAGGCTGGGCGCGGTGGCTCACGCCTGTAATCCCAGCATTTTGGGAGGCCGAGGCGGGCGGATCACGAGGTCAGGAGATCGAGACCATCCTGGCTAACACGGTGAAACCCCGTCTCTACTAAAAAAAAAAAAAAAAAAAAAAAAGTCTGTTGGATAGATAAATGGATGAATTCATATTCTAATCATTTTACCTGCTATGAAATCTCAAACAAGTTATTAAACCTCACTAGTTGGTTATTCAGCTTTAAAATGAGAATAATACTATCTAAAATAGTATGAAATGAAATTAGAACATGTATAAAAATGCTGGGTATGAAGTAAGTTACATTTTCTCTACGTGAATTTCCTTGACTCTCAACCTCATCTTTGTTATTGATACTCAGATCTATAATTTCAGCCCAATATTTCAAGTCCATATTTCTTTTCTTTCTTTCTTTCTTTTTTTTTTTTTTTTTTTGAGATGGAGTCTTGCTCTGTTGCCAGGCTGGAGTGCAGTAGTGCGATCTTGGCTCACTGCAACCTCTGCCTCCTGGGTTCAAGCGATTCTTGTGTCTCAGCCTCCCAAGTAGCTGGGATTACAGGCACACGACACCACACCCAGCTGATTTGTGTATTTTTAGCAGAGACGGGGTTTCACCATGTTAGCCAGGCTGGTCTTGAACTCCTGGCCTTGTGATCCACCTGCCTCAGCCTCCCAAAGTGCTGGGATTATAGGCGTGAGCCACCGCGCCCAGCCTCAAGTCCATATTTCTAACTGACTCTGAGGCATTTTTAATGTATGATGAATAATCTCAAAATCAAAATATCCAAGATGAAGCTCAATTTTTTCTTACTCCCAAACAGCTCCCAGTAAATGAGACTGAAGCCTTGGAATTACATCAGACCCTTTCAAATCACTGAGTCCTCTTAACTCTTTTGTTGAAATGTTTCATTGATATCGATCCCTCCTTACACAGGATGATGATGATAATGATAACGATGATGGTGGCTAACATGTATACAGTCCTTAGGACGTATCGAGCATTTTCCTGAGGAAACTATATTACCTTATTTAATCCTCAAACAATCCAATGAGGTGTTATTATCCCCATTTTAGAGATAAGAAAACTGAGGCACAGAAAAGTTATATAACTTGCCTATAAAAAAGTTATACTATTAATGAGTAGCAGAGCTAATCCATACTCTTACCAGCCACCCTACACAGTCTCTGTACATGAGACTGCCTCTCTCTAAGAGCACCTGCACAAATAGCAGCTAGGCTAATACTTTGAGTAGTCTTTTGGCTTCAAATTGAAAGATTGGTCTATCCAATCTTCAGTTCAAGGTAAATATGGCATCAAAAAAATCACCCAGAAAGAAAGGGATTAATCTGCTCAGCACGATGCGGTCCCCTGCTCAGGTGGTCAGACCCTGTGCTCACGCCAGGTCACTACCACTAACACGCCTAACCACTGGGGGCACCACTGCTCCTGCCACCCCAAGAGTAAAGAAGAGTAGAATGCTTCCCCCTTGAGTCAGTAAAGATACAGTTATAGATTGTCAAAGAGACACTCTACTCTGCAGCTTAAGGAAATCTGAACAATAAAGACCCCTCAACCCACAGCAATTAGTTAATCAACCAAGTGCAAATTTATACCTAATTTTTTTAACAGCCTTGTCTGGCTCTCAAGAATGGATGCTTGACAGTGGGCTAAAATGTATATCTTGAGGTAGCTTTTTAGTTTGTACTGGTCCTAGGTCTGATGGGATCTCTACCCCAATCAAGATTTCCTCACAATCTTATCTCCAGGATGCCACCTCCCACATTCCCCTCTAGCCCACAGCTACATTTCTCTAAAACCACTCTAACCCACTCTCCATTTCCACATATTGCCCCTAAAGATGTTTTCTCTAAACTAGGGTTTCTCATTCTCTGCACTATTAACATTTTGAGCAAGATAATTCTTTGTTGCCAGGGGCTGTGCTTTGTAGGATATTTAGAATCATCTTTGGCTTCTACACATTAGATATCAGGAGCATGTATCCCTCCCCATCCCCTACCCCCAACTGTAACAACCAAAAATGCCTCCAGATAGTATAGCGTCTGAGTCTAGGGTAGTAGTTGAAAACCACTACCCTAACTAATAGTTCTCGAGGTGTGATCCCCAGACCAGTACATCTGCATCCCCAGGGACTTGCTAGAAATGTCAGTTCTCAGGCCCTAGCCCAGATCTACTGAATCAGAATTTCCAGGGGAAGGGCCTGATAACCTGTGAACTAACTACCTTTCCAGGTGGTTCTGACGGATGTTAAAGTTTGAGAACTATTGATCTAAACATAAGGCCATCCTTAGGGAATAAAAGCAACTCTGCTTCTTTTCTAAGTCTCCATGGCTCCGGCCCCCTAGGTCCAACCCTTGCTTTGATCCACTTCTATTTGTGCTGTTTGATTAATCTATAATCTCTTTTGCCCCTAACCTATTGTTAAGACTGCTCTATCCTCTTCAGAAAACATTGGCTTCCCCACTGGCATTTTAGGCTGGTCCCACTGGAAGCCCTATGGCCTCAAAAGCAGGAACCATCTTTCTCTAGACACAAAGTCAGAAAGGGACCTTCCAAGTCTTCCCACCCCAATGCTCAGGTGTCCCTCTATGTCCCTAACCATCTCTCTGTTCTCTCTCTCTCTCTTTTTGTTTAGAGCTGGGGGTCTCACTATATTGCCCAGGCTGGTCTTGAACTCCTGGGCTCCAGTGATCCTCTGCCTTGGCCTCCCAAGGTGCTGGGGACTACAGGTGTGAGCCACTAGATCCAGCCAAATCCCTGTTTTCTGTCAGCCTCCTCTAGCTCCCTGCTATAAGACAGAAGCAACGATTGGCAAGTCCTGGGCTCAGGGCACCAACAAGTCTTTCTGGCTTTGGTAGCCAGTTCCAATACTTTCCCAGGTTTTATGGATGACTCACCTCTTGGGTACTCTACAGGAAAGTGATCTTCCAAAATTTTTTCATTGTATTTTTCAACTAACATACCTTAAAACATAGAGTCCATTTAGAATGTCCCAAAACAGTGTGTATCATCAGAGTCCATGTGGCAGCAGATCTTTCATCACAACACACCACCAGAGTCAACTTCCTAAATCTTATTTCTCCTTTGCTCAGCAATTGCCAGTAGCTAAACAGTGTTAGCAGATAAAAGTACAAACTTTTTAGTCAGGCTTCATGGTTTTCCATGGGAAGTGATGAGCAGAGCAGTTTGGAGCCAGATTTAACTAGGATTCAATTCCAGCTGGACTGCTGAGTAGCTGCATGACCTGAGACAAGTCATTAAACCACTCTGAGTCTCATTTTCCTGGTCTACAAAATGTAGATAAGTCCACATCAGAGTTTTGCTGTTAGAATCCCTGAAATCATGAATCTAAGTACCACACAAATGCCACTGTTAGTAAAACTTTTTAAATCAAGCTATTTTGGGGCTTTACAACCATTAACTCACCCCTAACATGCTCTCCAAAGCAGGTACACACTTGGTGTAATAAGCAGACACATAGGTGGCCGTATCGAGCTTACCCAAAATTCCTGTACTCTTTACAATGTAGTGCTGAGCAACAAAGAAGCCTCTTCCCCTGTGCCCACACCCACACTCACTTCTGCCCCTCAGCTGCAGGGCTGCCCCAGCCCTCTCAAATCAGAGAATGCGCCTCCTCGCTCCAAGTCTGTCATTAACCAGCTGTCTGGGGCTAAATGATTTCAAAAGCCCCTTCTCCACATAAAATTCTAAAAAAAGAATCATTAAAAAAAGCAACAGGATCCAAGCTAATTGCATATCAATCATGAGTGAATATTAAGCAACTCTAAAACACTAACATAAATCACCAAGAAAATGAAATGCAATTCTGCCCAGACACAGTGCTCCTGTAAAGGTGTGCTTGAGTATACAAGCATCCATATTATCATTAATGCCGGTTCCTCCTGACTTCTCACCAACTGCTCCTCGTCTCCATGGTAACAGCCCTTCCACTCATCAGGAACCTACTGAACATACAACTCCATCGTTTTTTTTTTTTTCTCTCTCTACCCAAGGAAGTCAGAGCAAAGGTAGGATCCACAGGAAACATAATGCAGACAAGTTCAGGGTGGGCACAGCCCCCTCTTCTCCTTTATATCCAAATTCCGCACCCTCTCCCTGCCACCCTTTCCCCTGCAAGGCCCCCTCAGTCCTCTCCACCCTCCCAGGTGCCAGACTGCAAGTCCCCACACTCTCACCATGTTGGAAATGCTGCGGGTATTGGCAGGATTCAGCATGACAATCTCAGTTGTGATGTGGCCCTCCACCGCCTCAGTCATCTCATCCACTGTGCAGTTGATAGAAGGGTCGTAGATCTTGAACCAATTGTCAGCATACCACCCAATGAGGAACCAGACGTACTTCTTCCCAAAGAGACGCTCCTTGTACACCTGAATACAGAGGAGAATGGCTGAGTTTTTGTTTGCTCATTTGTTTGTTTTTGTCTTATCTCACTTGATACTATTTAGCCTCTTGGGAATCAGGGAAGAGCAGTAGAACTAAAAAGAGAAATCTACAAGTCTTGGGGATAGTAGGAAAGGCTGACAATTCTTCCTTCTAAGTTTCTCCCCAGCCCCTGTATTTCTGAGTGGCCTTTTCCAGCCAGTCAGGACAGATGGAATTCATGGGCTTCTCAGGAAACACAAAGCAGTAGAAAAATGAGATCTGAAGAAAGTATCATGTGTGTGCAGACAAGGGATGCAGTCAGAGCCAACAGACAGAGACATCCTATGAATCGTCACCTCAGATCATATGCTATCAACTCAGGCACAGATGCCAAGAGGAGGCCCCACAAGAAAACCAAGGGAAACTCCCACCCAGTGCCCCTCCCTCTTCAGATCCAACTCCACCTCACAAAAAACTTTCCGGGCTTCAGTCTCATAGAAAAGTCCCACGATGATTCGGGCATCCTGGCGCTACAACAGAGAAAGAAACAGCTCCTGAGGGATGCCCGGGAATGCCTGAGGGGCTAAGCCAGATGTCTTCACAGCTTTGATTTCCCATCCCAAAGTGCTTAGTGCAGGGTAACGCTCAACGTATAGTGAATAAACGTCAACTGGAAGATGGAGCTAAACTTCCCCAGGAGATGCTATTGCCTCAGAGAATCAAAACCTGCCCCCGCCTGGCTTTCCTCTCCAACCAGTCACTGTCCCCCAGCTTGGTCCCTCCGTAAACAGAGCCCACCACTCCCAGCCATCTGACCTTCAGGTTTTTGACGGGCACAGCTGGATCTGAGAAGAAACTCTGGCGGAAAGTAATCTCAATTCCAGCCTCCTTCACTCGTTCCTCCAGGTCGTCCAGAGTCTTGGGTGGGAATAAAAAACAAGTTGGAAAAACACGGGGTGCATGAGGGAATAAAGACCAGAGAGGTTAACTGGGGATTTCAGAGCAATACTCAGATAGAGCAAAGAAGCAGCCATTCTGAACCTTCCTTCAACAGCTTCTGTCCCTGAAGTGAGGAGTTCGGGAAGGCATCTGGTCTTAGGATGTGGATTCCAAGTGGGAAGGTGAATGGTGAGCCCCTGCTGAGGCTCTGTGTGGGGGAAGCCACTCCATTCACCCACTCCTACCACTGAAGGCAAAGATGGGGTAAAGAAACATAAAGGAACCAGGAAAAGACAAGGCAAGGACTGGGACAGACAGCATGATGTCAACCTCAAGAGGCAAATGGGCAGACAGACAAAGGATCAGAGAAGAATGGTCTGAATCAGAGTGAAAGTGGGGGAGGATTAAAGGGCCACTGAACACAGTGGATAGAAGACCCAAAGAATAGAATAAAAGGGAGGGAGCAGACTGCCTTCTTCAGATGTAGAGCCTGTATTTCCTCTCTACCTCCCCAAATCTCCCTCTTCCCCCTCAACCTCTCCTTGTCTGTCGGCTTCTCTCTCTTAGTACCAACTACCAGATCCATGCAGCTGCCTTTCTGCCCCTCTCTCTCCTCTCCCTCATTCCTCTCTCTCTCTCTCTTTCCTCTCCCTCTCTCCTCTGTAATCCACTGGCTCCATCCCCTCTGTTCCCATTCACACCCACCCACCACCCCCCTTGAAAGCCTCTGGAATCTGCTGCCTTCCTGGATTCCTATCTCATCTTCGCTCCCATCTCTTGCCCCCACTTTGGATTGAACCTACTTTAACAGAACTGAGTCATTCTGGGTCTATATGTCTGGGGAACAGGGCATCAAACAGGGGAAAAAAATCATAAAATCATAAAGACAGAGAGGATCCCAAAAACTCAACTCATTCTTTCCCCTGGCTACAGAAAGAACTGCACTTAATCCACATGGAATGCGTTCTCTTTCAATGAAGAATCAAGTTCTTGCCCCTAAAAGTGACTCTCACGTCACATCTCCTGGTGCTGGAATTTGAGCTTATGTCCCTTTACCCCTTGCCCAACCCCTCCTCACCGAAGTGAAGACCTCAGTGGTCTGCTGGATGGTAGCAATCTTCTTCCAGCCCCACTTTTCAAAGAGTTTCACGCGGGTAGGGTTGTGGAGTGTGGCTGATGGGTGCGTTCGGAAGAAAGTGGGGAAACGCTGCCGGTTTGACAGGGCTGGTGAGCTGGAGCCATAGGAAAGCTGTGGGGCAGGGAGAGTGAGTGCAACAGGGTCTGTTCACTGAGGACACCAAGAGTGGCCAAGAGTTCCTTTAACCCTCTTCCTGCCTTTGGGTTTCTCTTCCTTACTCTCTCCAAACCTCCCCACCTCTGGTCTGCCTAAGGAAAAGAGATTCTCAAAGGCCCACACACCCCTCACAACCGGGATGCTCTTTCACTGATCTAATTTCAATTCCTTCTGAAGAAGGAGGTCAGCTGCAGCACTGTCAGGCCACTGTTGCTAGGAGGCTGCCTAGCTCAGGTCTGCAGAGGACTCTGAATCTTAGTAGCAGGTCCTCCACACTCCTTTTCAATACAAACCCACAATCGCCATCGTCCCTTCAGTAGAGCTCAAAAGGGAATGACCCCATCTTCTGACCCCCATAGCCCTGCTTACCACAATGAGGTTCCACATCCTAGCAGCCTCAGCCACCAGCGTGGAGACAGAGCTGCAGCCAGGCATAAGGATGATCTTGATAGGGTCGTTGTAGAGCAGCTCATATAGGTACTTGGTGGCTTGGCCTGGATCACACTGAAAGACAAGAGGAGATGAGGGCAAGCTCTCCTGGGGCCCCTCCCCTGTCTGCAATTCCTGCTCTTATCTTTCTCGAACAAATTAGTTCCTTTCTCAATTACTCACTTTCATCATTAATTACCGTTTTCTTCTCCTTTCTGGCATCTCTTCCTGTCAAGTGCCTTTTTTCTCCTCTTTCATTAAACTTCCTTCTCTGTCTTCCATCTGGAGCCTTACCCATCACCTCTCCTGCACACCCCTCCTTTGGTATTAATGAACATACCACCTTACCTCCTTTCAGCTCACCCTCAGACATCCCCCTTCCCTCTGTCACCAAGCCCTTTACCCCATGTTTCTATGCTTCAAACACCAGTGGGTGGAAGAAGTCAGTAGGAATACGGTAAACTCTTTCCACATCCCCAGATAGCTTGCTCAAAGCCATATTATGAAAATTCCTTCCTCACCTCTGCAAACCCCTTCTCCCCACCTTCCATTTGTTTCCTCCCTCTTCTCTTTTCAGAGCTAGTGATAAGTAAAGAGAGAACAGGAACAAGACCAGTAGGGGGTCCCGCTCAGTGATCCATCCCTCCTGCTGGGCGCTGACATTTGACAGGTCCATTAGAAAAAAAGACACTGGGGGGTGGAAGTAGGGAAGAATGTAGGATGAGGAAAGAACAGAGAGAATGAATAGAATGGAACTCTCAAGAAACCAGACAATTTGAGAGGTGCCTTAAAGAGAGGCTTGGAGCTAGGGAAAGTAAACAAGCAGAAAGCTGGAGAAGAAAGGAAGCTTGGGAGGAGGGGAAATGGGGGAGGAAGAGCCAGCCTTGGGTCTCCCACTGCCTGTTCCCCTCCCACTGATATATGACATTTCAGAAGCTGCTGGAACCCCAATGCATGTGAAGACGAAATGGCAGCCAGTGGGGAGCCAGGGCAGAGGGGACACAGACAGGGGGCTCAGGGGACTAAGGAGGGTGAAATGTTGCCAGGAGGGGAGGATAAGTAGAAAGGAAATAAAGAAAGCACTCTGGAGCCTGCTTACCTCCCACTGAGGCCTGACATTTGGGACACGGTGGGAAGTTGGAGAAGGGGGAGCCAGGGGAAGCTGTTGGAATCTGAAGAACCAGCAGTCACTGAGAATTCTCTGTTGCCCACCCTACCCTCACTCTGGCCAAGGGCAGTGCTCAACAACATTGGAAGGTTTTCTCTTTATGCCTCCCACTAGGGCAACTTTGTAAATCTTTACCATTCTCAGGACCCACCTTCCTGCACTCTCCCCACATCTATTACTCCAGATCCTGCTCCCAGCTTCTCCCACAGCCCCTCAGTGCCCCTCCACTTCTCTAAAGACAGGGTTAATAGGAACAATGAGGACATACAAGAACATATAAGATACATATCAACAGGGCAAGGCATGCCCCCCATTTTGTTTCCTGATTTCTTATCTACCTTTTCTTGCAACCGTTTCCCTCTTCCACACACTATTCATCACTGCAGATTCTCTCCACCACGTGATTCTCTCCCCCTCCCCAATAGATTTCCTTAGTTCTCCTCCCTCTCTTTGCTCTTGCAAGGATCTGGATTTGCAGGCAGGAAACCGACTCATTCCAATTGACACATTCTGGTTCTTCTGCCTTCCCATCCCACCCCGCTTGATGCCTCTGATGTTCTCCAGTTCCCTTCTCCCAGGTCCCACGTCTGCTCCCCGCCACCTCCAGGGAATCACCTGTCATGGTGGATGAGTTTGAGCTCACAGCCAGGCCTCCCCTATCTCCTGTGATCCCCTATCATAAAGCCTGCACCCATCTCTCCCTGTCATTTTCTTCACACTCCACTCCCCAAAACCAATGATCTCTCTGACTGTCCCAAGTCTGACCCTCTACCAGATCTGATCCTCTACTTCTCTTCCTGCCTCCCGTACCCTAATACCTAATTATTTTCCTGTACCCTGCTGCTCTTCCCATAGGCATTCTGGGGTTAGCTTACAGCTCAGGAATCCACCAAGATAGGATGTCTATTAGTAAAAATACAGATAAATACTTGGGATTCATCCCTGACCAAGGAGCTAGAATCTGTATTTTTAACAAACTCCTCTGGTGATTCTTATGTACACTGAAGGCTGAGAACCACGAGAAAGTAACAGTCAAAAAGGATTTTAAGTTCTCTTGCCAAGCTCCTGATAATCCTTGTGCTCTCTTCTCTTCAAGCACCCTACCTTCAACCTCACTTCTGTCCCCTCACACACCTATCCCAGACACACACCTATTTCTAGGTGTATAGTGATGTTCTAAAAATGAATATAAATCCTTGGATCACCCCAAGGTTGATATTTGGTAAGATCACCAAATTCTCACCTTGTGTACTCTATTTCACCCTAACCCAATTCCTTAAGTCTCTGGGGCCACATGTCAGTGAAGATAAATTTGAGATCTTAAATCTCCTTCCCTGTGTCACATCCTTCCCTGCACCCCCAATTATTCATGTAGGGGAGAGGGGTGGGAAAAAAAACCTCATTATAAGCTATCCCCTAATACCCCTGGACCCAAATTTGCTTACCTTCTCTCTCTCCCTCAACTCACCTCCCTAATCCCTACATCCCATTTCCCTTCTCACATCCTAGAGGCCACAATGCTATAAGGGAAGGGAAGGTCAGGACCCAAGTTCCATAAGGTGCCCCAAGATCTCTCATTATCCCCACGCTACCTCCTTGCCCCTCTCCCCCACTGCCATTCTTTTCTGTTCTCTTCTCCTTGTATGTTGACTCTTCTTCATCCCCATGCTATTGTGGGGGTTCCCATGTGGATCCCCAATCCAATTCATTTTCCCAGTGCCTCTGCCCACCTCTTGATCATTAGCCTTCCCCAATCACCATATGCCATCTATCCCACAGTCTGGGAATGCTCAACAGGGTTGGGAATAGAAGGATGAGAAGGAGTCAGGTAGGGCTCACCACTACCTTGCTGTTTTGTTAAGATAAATAAACTAGAGCTCTCAAGTCTCTCAAAATTTTCCTCATTCTGTCCCTATTCCTTCCAGCTCCAACCTACGCCAAGATTTTACCTTGTTACCATGGTAAATGTAAACCCCCAATCCAGCTCCCCACCTCTGACATTCCCTCCACCCCCAACCCATTCCAGGGTTAGTTTACTCCCTCAGAGGATCAGTGTCTCCTAATACCTTAAATCCACCACCAGTTTCTCCAAACCCCGACACTTCTGCGAGACTCCCGCAGCGGGGCAGAAGGGTCTGCCTTGCAGCATGCTTAACCATCTTGAGCCCCTAGACCCTCATCTTGGACCTCCAGCCCCTGCGACTCTCCCCAAGCTCCTGCACCCCCAGCCCATCTCCTGCCAGTCACACAAGGGAGGGGTCTGCCTCGCAATCCCAGAGACGACTCAGACAGATGGGGGCGCGTGCAGCTGGCTGGCCCCCTGCCCCGCAAGCCCCCACCTCCCACCCACCCCCATGTCCAGGGCTACCTTGCTGTCGTGGTGGATGAGCTTGAGCTCATAGTCCGGCAGGATGTCCCTGCGGCTATTCACGTCCTCCAGCGCCATCTCCACCGCGGGCTGGCAGGCCTGGCCCCCTGGCCAGCCCCCGCTCATGGGAAACAGTGCCCCGATGTACACTGCGCGCCGTTCTGAGGAGGGGTGCGGGGGGACCCGCGAGTGAGGCCGCGGGAGATGGGGGGAGTGGGAGGCCCACACCGGAGCCACCCCTGCCGCCATCACAACCAGAAGCGGCAGTGGCCACCCCACCCGGGCAAAAGGGGCCCCGGGCCCCATGGCGTGGGGGGCAGGGGTAGCTGTTGGGGAGCGTTAGGAGCTCAGGGGGGACACTTTTCCTGGGGAGGGCTGCTAAGAGGGTGCCGGGGAGGCGCCTCCATCCCTGATTTTGTGGGGAGGAGGGGGCGAGGGCCCCGGAGAAGCAGGGAAGGTTGGCTTCCTACGGCCCCCGCGGCTCTCGCCACCGTCGCCGCCACCGCGGACTCTCCTCGCGGACTGACTGACCGACGGAGGGGAGGAGGAGGAGCAGGAGGGAGATGTGGGGCTGGGAGGGGGCTCTGACGTCACGGGCGGCGCGCGGCAGCGGGGGGTGGGGGGGCGGGCGGGAGCTGGGGAGGCAGGAAGGGGGCGGGGAGGGAAGCGAGCGCCGAGGTGGGAGCGACAGTCGGAGGGGCGGGGAGGGGAGGGGGGATGCAACCTCGAGGAGGAAAGGAACGAAAGAGGAAGGGAGGGATCTCACTTAAGGGGACCCGAGGGGAGGAGAAATGGGGACGGGGCGTGCCAGGAGGGCGGGGTGGGCGGAGGGAGCCGCGGGAGGCTGAAGCACGGAGGAACCAGGGTAGGAAGGGAAGGATGCGAGTGGGACGGGAGAGAAACGGGGCTGGCGCCTGAGGTCTGAAGTGGGAGTATGAGTCGATACAGTGAAGCACTGAGGATGTGGGGGAGAGGAAACGGTTTTGGAGGGAACGAGTTGGGTACGGAAGGGAGGCTGGTTTGAGGGAGTGGTGGGGTCGTGGAAGGGAGCCTGGGGCTGGGTAGACAGAAGCCTAAGAAAGGGAGACAGGACATGGAATTGAGAAAAGACGAGGGAAGGGGTACACGGAAGGAAAAGATGTGGGGAAGAGCGCGAGAGGCCTGGCCAGGGTTGGGATGGGTGGGACAGGCTGAGAAAGTCCATTAGGTGAAATCCTAGGAGGCAGCAGGCTGGAAAAGGTTCCAGCGAAGGTCGCAAGGAACCCCACAGGGGAAAACGTGGTGGGAGCTCAGGGTCTCCCAGCACCCTGCCGCCCTCTGCTGGGCTCTGCCTGACACCGGCGAGGCTCAGTCTGGGAGGAGGTGGAGCCCAGGGAAGTGTAGCCAAGCAGGGACAAGGAGAGACCGCAGCCTCGTGGAAAACCGGGACTGGAGGCAGGAAACAGGTAGGGAGGGAAGGGGGTGGCCGCAAACTGGGGTGGGTTGGGGAAGGTGCGAAAGGACGACGCCCCGTAGCCTAAGGGCAGAATTTCAGGGGGGTGGAGGGTGCAGAGTGAAGGGGAGGGCATTGCAGTGCGCGCGGTAAGGGTTTCTCATCTCACCTGAGTGTGGCGTTCGATTCACTGGCAGCAGGAAAGACGGGGATCAGAGAAGAGTTACCACTGGCGCCCAGCTTCCCTGGCCTGATCCCCAGCCCCCTCCCACACCTGTCCATGCTGAAGACCGGGGAGAGCAGAAGCCTGCGTTTCTGAGGGGAGGGTGCCTGGGGATAAGAACAAGGTGGGTCTGGGGGTAAGGGGGTCAGGACTTATTTTCTTCTTCGATTTTTCATAGGACAACAGAATTTGAGACGGGAATGCCAATAGCTAAGTTTGGGGCAGATCTTGGTTCTGTGGTGCCTGAATATTACAAAATTGGGAGTCTTTAAGAAAAAAAATTACACATACAATTGGCTTTAAGCAATTGCTGTTAAAATCTTATTTCTGCAATTTTTACAAAAGCCTGTTACCATATGAACACATATCCATCGAGCCCTCTATATTATTAGAGCACAGGAAGAGGGCCCTGTAGGTGAGGAACCTTGAAGTCTAAGTTTCAGTAGTGTCATAAGTCCACCCCTGGATGGGACTCTCAATTTCCAGAATAAAATGGTAAACTAGAAGCAGAATAACTGAGTTATGTGAGGAAAGTAAAGCCCAAGGATCTTGAAAGAATCTACCAGGGTAGAGGAAGTATGAGGCATACAAATGGGATGACTGCATCCCAGGAGAGAAGATGGCAGAGAGTTCGGGTGCCTAGAAAAGGGAGAGTTTGTAAAATTACGTGGCAAAAAAAAAAAAAAAAAAGTAGACAGACACAACACTGATTCCCTTAGGGAATAATGGAGGTTGTCTAGGAAGTACAGAAAAGGACCTGTCTTCTTCCCACCCCATCCCTGAGTTGTTCTTCATCTTCTGATAATGCTGCCTCCAATTTTAAGTCTTTTACCCTAATATGTTTCCACCCCCAGAGCTCCCCTTCTCAATTTTTCTTAGTAGAATGTTTGATTTATTTCTGAGTCTTTACAATAAATCAATTATATAAGGAATGGTGAGGGATGAATTCTAGAAGAGGGTGATGCATGGAAATTTCTAAGTTTAGAGAAAGGGAAAATTGGAGTATTTAAACCTGAAGAAGGTGAGAGAGGTGAGATTCATAAAGGAAAAGAGAAAACGTGAGGTCTAAGAATCGGGAGCAGGAAGATTTTTTTAAAAGGTAAAGGAAGGAAGCCCCCAACCTACAGAGGATACCGGGGACTGCAAGAGGAAGTTTGAGGCAGGTGATGGAGGAAAAAGGGACTTTCATCTCCCCTTTCCAGTGTCCTCCCCCACATTTTTATAGCTCTCCATTCTTTCCCATTATCCATTCCCACCCCACTCCCATCCTCACACAAGCGTCCTCATCAGCTGCATGCAGGCAGCTGTTCCCCTCACCCTGGCAGTGGGGCTTGGGGGTGCTCCACTGGCCCTGACTACAGATGCTCCGGGAGCTGCCCACCAGATGGAAGTCGGGGTCACACCGGAAATCCACCCGGGCTCCGTCCAGAGCTGGGAGGTCCCCACCCGTCAGGAAAACCTTCCCATTTTCCAGGGTCAAATAAGACTTGGAGCAGATTCGGACTGTGGAGAGATAGGAAAATAAGAAGAGAGGCGAGTTGAAGAAGGCTCTTTCCCTTTAAAGAGCAGGGGACTCAGGTGCAGGTTTGGGTCCACAAGCATCCTGCTCTAAAGAAAATCACATGTGAAAAGGATTTGCCTACCTATCTTCCAATCCTCCCTTACCTGTGCAAGCATCCACACATTCCCAAAAGAAAAAAAAAATTACCATTTTAGGAACCCAAGATGGGGCTATAAGCACACAAAATGGGATCTCTTCAAAGTCAGCTACAGTGGGCGGTTCTCTGGCTTTGAAATATGTAGATGTATATAACTTTGGATGCACAATCAGATTTGCTTTTCTTATTATAGTTGGCTTCTATTAATATTAAACTGGCTTTTGTTTCTTGGGCATATGGTCTCTGGGTTGGTGACAGAGGTATTCAAAAATGTGATGAAATCATTTTAGAATTTTTTTGTCATCATCTGCCACTAATGATCCTCAAAGAGAATAACTGACAAGATGAATTATCAATGTTATAGGCCAATGATCAGTGGCCTAATGAAGGGAGGATGAAATGAACTGTGCAGGCTGCTAGCTCTACTACCTCCAACCGCACAGAGCAAAATTGCTCTTATGTAGTAGTCATTCAATAAATGTATTTGTGAATTTTGGTATACTGGATTTAAAGTGCTGACTTGCAAGCAGTAATGCTAAGTTTGCGGCAGGAAAAGGAATAGTCTTGAAGAGGGGAGGGGCTTCCGAGGCTACTCACCACAGCGGCTGGGTGTGTCCATATCTGTCCAGGAGCCGTTGGCCAGGCACTTGCGGACCTTGGGCCCCACCACCTCGCGCTCCCCCCGGCACACATACTCAATCTCATAGTCCACTGGCAGGAAGTTGATAGCCTTCACCTGGTCCCGAGTCAGGCCCCGGTACCTGATGCCCCCTTCCCAGGGCGGGTGTATGATCTGGCAACCTAAGGGGTGAGTCGGGGAGGCATACAGAGAGGAATGGTGGGAAAGAGGAAAAGGCAGGCTCCCCAGTGGGAGGAAGGGGAGAGTAGGGCGTGGTCTGTGGGCAGGCTGGGGACAGAGGAAGAGGGATGGGGCACTAGAGGGTGGGAGTGGGGACAGGTACAGATCCCCTGGCTAAAGGACAGAGAGTAAAGGGCCAGGGTTAAAGCTGATGAGAGAACCCACAAGTGGGGAGGGAAGGGTGCTGGGTGGAGGTAAGAAAGAAAAGTAATTAAGAAATCATGAAGGGTATGATATGTGGGTGGAGCTTTTCTTTAAAAAAAAAGGCTAAATGAGGATATTCGAGTTGAATTAGGATAGGAGGATAAAGGGAGGCTAATAAGATCATCTGGACAGCAAAGTGGGACCAAGAAAAGGGAGTAATTGAGGTAGTAATGTGGGGCTGGGAAAGGGGATTGAGGCGGAGAAAATGCACAGGAAGGTGGTATAGTGTAGCAATGTGGGCAGAGAAAAGAGGTGCTGGATAGTAACGTGGGGTGACAGAAGGAGGTCAGCAGTAGTAAAGTCGGGCCGAGCAGAAGGGGTTGCCAGACCGGGATGATATGTGGGACTGATGGGATAGTGATGAGGACCAGAAATGAGGAGATGCAGGGAAAGGGAAGTGGAGCGAAGGAGGGCCGGAGGTCGTCGAAGAAGGATGCACCTTCTGAGGTGGCGTTGGGGGTCTGCGCCCCGCCCGCGCCCGGGGGGCGGAGGAAGAGTGGCGCCAGTAGCAGCAGCAGCAACATCTAAGTGAGAGGCGGCCATGAGGACTGGACCGAGCCCCGCCGGCGCGGCCCGCACCCGGAGACTACTCGACCTCTTGCCGGTTGCCTCGCAGGCTCCGACCGGGCTCAGCCTGGGGACCAAGAGAGCGCCCCGCGGAGGAGGCGGGGGCGGAGCCCCGCGCGGGGTGGGGGGAGAGGAGGAGAGAAAGCCTGTCCCCACCCTCCTCCTGCCTCCCTCGGCCCCCAACCCTCCCGGGACTCCACCTCTCACCACCTCCTCTCCCCCGGCCCCCGCGGCTCGCAGAAGCCTGGCTTACCCACGCTCCCGGCATCGGCCGCCTCAGCGCTCCCCGATTCCATCCCCGCGGTTCCTCCTCTCCCCCAGCCCCGCTTCCCCCAGCTGGGCCCTGCGCCCACTGCCCCCTCCCCCACCACGCCGCGCGCCCCCTCTCCGAGCCCTGCTAACCCGGGGCCCTGGCTCTTACCTCGGCGCGCGGGCCCGGCTCCCCGGCTCTCCCCGGGCCTCAAGGCCCCAGGCCCGGCCGCTCCTCCCCGCTCCCCCCTCCCTTCTCCTCCACCTTTCTCCTCCTCCCGTCCCTCCTCCCCTCGAATCCAGGCTCCAGCCTGGCCAGGGTCTCTCCCCTCCTCTCTCGCTTCCCCCAAACCCCACCCCTGTCTCTTCTTCCCCGGGGCGGCGGCAGCCACGGGAGCGGGGAGCGGGGAGCCGGGAGGGAAGGAGGCGGCGCCGGGGACCAGGGAGAGCTCCCGGGCGGAGGGAAGAAGGAGGGTGCAAGGGAAGGCAGGGCGGGGGGAAGAGAGGGGAAGACCGGGGAGAGGGCGCCTCCCACAACCCGAGCCCCGGGAGCCGCCCCGGATCCCAGCCCCGCCCTGGACCGCCCACAGCGCGGTGGGGCGGGCGGTGGAGAGGCGCGGGGCTGAGAGGTGGGGGAGAGGGAGGTGCCCTGGTGCACACGCACTCGTCGGGGGGCGCCGGTCACTGCCGAGGGACCTGCGGGCCAAACAACTGGAAGCTGGGGTGGGGGAGAGGGAACCCGAGCCAAAGGCAGAGGAGCTGGCGCTGAGACAGGGAGTCTGGGATGAAGGTGGAGAAAGACGGCTGCACAAAGAGAAGGCAGCCCTAGATCCGGGTGAGAGGAGAGAGGCAGAGGCAGATGCCCAGGAGAACTGCGACCGGAGGGCGAGAAAGAAGCCTGGGTCAGAAGGAGGTGGGGGAGGGGGACTGAGGACCACCTAAGCGCAAGAAGGGTTGGGTGTAGAAGAGATTTCTGGGAGACTAGAGCAGCTCCATGGTCCAGCAGCATTGCTACTCGCCTGCTCTGCAGGGAACGCGCAGAACGGATTGGAGGCAAAAAACAAAACAGGGAGGGGGACATCAAGGAGAGAAATTGAAGTACGAAGGGAGTAAAAGGACAAGAGAAAAGAACCTCAGGGTGGTTTAGAAGCCAGTATTACCTGATGTACTCCAGCAGAGCCTAGCAAACAGTATTTCTTGACCAAGGGCAAACTGGAAGCTCTAAAGACAGCAGGTACAGACCTTTTTGACGGCTCCAGAAGCTCTTGGCTATACCTTGAAGTGGAGGGGTGTGTGTGTGTGTGTGTGTGTGTGTGTGTGTGTGTGTGTGTTGTGCTGTTGTTGTTCGTAGGCCTGAGTTTGGGCTGGGAGAGGAAACAGTGGGCTCCTTGTTGGGGGGGACAAAAAAAAAGCTGCTTTCTGGCTGGTCCTAGGGGGAAAAATGGTAGGAAGAAACCAAACACTGAGAGACTGACTAGAATTGAGATTCTCAACCTCCAACCCTTTTTTACAATAAATATTTTGTAATGACACTTTTACTGTCCTAAATTGAGATTCATAGATGAGGCTCACGCCTGAAATCCCAGAACTTTGGGAGGCCGAGGCGGACTGATCACTTGAGCTCAGGAGTTTGAGACCAGCCTGGCCTGGCCAGCATGGCGAAACCCCATCTCTACTAAAAATAGAAAAATTAGCGTGGTGTGATGGTGTGCGCCTGTAATCCCAGCTGAGACACCAGAATCGCTTGAACCCGGGAGGCAGAGGTTGCAGTGAGCCAAGATCGCACCACTGCACTCCAGCCTGGGTGACAGAGCAAGACTCCATCTCAAACAAAAAGAAAGGGAAGGAGGGAGAGAAAGTCATAGATGATATAACCTACCTACATACACAACTTTAAACAGAAAGCAAAATGCTTCCCTTTCTGTAACGTAAAGGGGAAATGAAAGAAAAGTAACTTGCAATAAAATAACATAAACAGTATTTTAATGTGTGAGTGCCAAGGCCCGACTACCCTAGAAGTCCTGATGGAGTAAGCAGATGCTTCCACCTATTCACAGAACCACGGGGATGAAACTGCTACCAACACAGGCTGATCCAGGTGCTGAGTTGGTGACTCAACTACCTCCAGCATGTTGCCATCAATGAAGTGATTTAACAAAATGTTGAACAACTCTTGGTAGCAAAGTTAATTTTCCCTAATTTTACACACAACTATAATTGCATTCCTAGAAAGTTCACTGTATATTTAAAAAAAAATTTTAAAACTGTATTAAGTTATAGGCTCAGATAATTAAACACAGGTTTTCACTACGTGAATGTCCTGGGGGACTTTTGAGAATCTGGGTGAGGAACAATTCTTCAACATGTAGGTAGTGCTTTGAAGAATATCTTACACCTCTGCCCCAACCATAAATGTCAATAGTGCCCCTTCCCTTATCACCTGAGGTTGGGAGTTCGAGACCAGCCTGACCAGTGTGGAGAAGCCCCAACTCTACTAAAAATACAAAATTAGCCAGGCATGGTGGTGCATGCCCGTAATCCTAGCTACTCAGGAGGCTGAGGCAGGAGAATCACTTGAACCCGGGAGGCGGAGGTTGCAGTGAGCCAAGATCATGCCATGCCATTGCACTTCAGCCTGGGTGACAAGAGTCAAACTCAGTCAAAAAAAAAAAAAAAAAAAAAAAACAGCTAAAAGATGCATCAAAATGTTAACAAGGATTGCCTCTGGGCCATTAATTGTTGCATAACTTTTCTTTTTTACTTTTTTTTTTTTTTAAACAAGAAGTTTATTTAAACAACAAGACGCTTGACTTGAAGGGAAAACTATCTAGGATTCTTTTTTGTTTTAGAGTAATTTATCCCTACTTAAAGACAGATTGCTCTGCATGTAACAGCTAAGTACAAAAAAGTTATAAAATTGTCCTTGGTTTTACAATGATAAATGAAAAACATTAAAATTCTCCAATTGAACAAGGTATGCAAGGATTTTTATGTTGTTGTTTTTTTGTTGTTGTTGTTAAAACAGTGAGAGCAAAATAACTTACTGGAATATAAAGATAAGAGCTGAATGAGCATGCCACTAATGGAGAAAGGGGGTATTTTCACAGAATCAGTATTTTTCCGCCCCGTCTCCACTTGATGTCAATCAAAACATACCATTGGCTGTTTAGTTTTAAAAAAAAAAAGTAATATGCTTGTGCACATATACCAGTTACTTTATGTACAGTAAAGGAATGGGGAAGGGGGAAATGAAAGAATAGAGAAAACTATACGGTAGTAGTCAGGATGTGGTGGAAGCAAATTGCAGTTTTCTAATTGAGAATGTAATCTTGGTCTTTAAAGAACAGAGTTCTGGAGTAAAGAAGCAGGTTCCCTTTTCAGTAGACACCTCCCGTCTGCTGTTGGAACACATCAATTGTATCTTCATCCTCCATTTCCAACTGTGCAGGTGTGTCTGTTTCATTGGTTGCCCGTCGAATCGGAATCTGATCTGCCTCATTGACAATCCCTGTCGTTCACAATAGGCTTTCATTAGTTTACTAAGTGGTGTATGCCTCTTAATCTTAAACTGCACCACAGAACCATCCTGCCCCGCCACCTTCAAATTAATATGATCGTTGTTCTCAGTCTTGACTCCTTCCTTGGGCTTTTCTTCGGCCATGGCGAGCGCCGGAGTCTCCTCAGCTGCCGCTTCACAAAAGAGGTACCAGGTCCGCTCCAAACGAGCACACAAGCAGCACCAGGAGCGGCAGAAGAAGGAGGCGGCAGCAGTGGACAAGGGGAGAGGGTGCGCGCACGTCGTGCTCTCCCTCCCTCCACCCTCACTTTTCTTTTTTTTTCTTTCTTTTTTTTGGTGGGGGGACGGAGTTTCACTCTTGTCACCCAGGCTGGAGTGCAATGGCGTGATCTCGACTGACGGCGACTTCCGCCTCCCGGATTCAAGCGATTCTCCTGTCTCAGCCTCCCGAGTAGCTGAGACTACAGGTGCACACCACCATGGCTGGCTAAATTTTGTATTTTTAGTAGAGACAGGGTTTCACAATATTGGTCAGGCTGGTCTCGAACTCCTGACCTCAGGTGATCCACCTGCCTCAGCCTCCCAAAGTGCTGGGATTACAGGCATAAGCCACTGTGCGGGGCCTGCACACTTTTCTTTCGTCATATTTGTTGTTCAACTTTTATTCAAATGTTTTACAAGTGTCTCCTCTATAAATCATTTTTAATTGATTTATAAAGGTTTAAAGAAAACCTTCCTAGCAAGTTGCATCAGTATAGCTAAAATCTGTTACTTGTTTGGGAGGCAGAGGCATTTGAGGGTACAGACAAGGGCTCCAATTATGTTCATTATACAAACCACTCACCTTTTTCCACCAGTAGCTACAACTTCCCCCTTTCACATCTTTTCATATTCCAATGTCACTGCCAGGATTCCTGGCCATATTTTTCAGGATATTTGTAGAGGTCCTTCCAGAACCACTACTTGAGTATCCTAATTTCATCCTCCCCACAATCAATCTACTTCCTTCTTTTCCTTTTACATCAAGCACAAAACTTCTTTCCTCTGGAAGGATCCCCAGGCTTGATCCCATCCTTCTCTCACTTCTGTACAATTTGTGCCTTTGGCAATGCCATCTCCTTTTGTAGTTTTTGACGGTTTTTCATAGAGATAGTGGAGTTCCTACTCAGATTACTGGAAAATGACAAATCTTATTCATTTTAGTTCCCATACTTTCTTTTTTTTTAATAATTTTTATTTTTTATTCTTATTTATTTATTTTTATTTTATTTATTTATTTATTTTTTGAGACAGTCTCACACTGTCGCCCGGGCTGGAGTGCAGTGGCGCGATCTCGCTCACTGCAACCTCTGCCTCCTGGGTTCAAGCAATTCTCTTGCCTCAGCCTCCTGAGTAGCTGGGAATTACCGGCGCCCCACCACCACGCCCAGCTAATTTTTTGTATTTTTAGTAGAGACGGGGTTTCACCATGTTGGCCAGGCTGGTCTCAAACTCCTGACCTCATGATCTGCCCGCCTCAGCCTCCCAAAGTGCTGGGATTACAGGCATGAGCCACGGGGCCTGGCCTCCCATACTTTCTTTCTACTTCCTTTTCTCTCTTCTGCCTCATCTTCCATCCATCCCTGAGAGCATATAGCCCAGAATTTAACACTCTGGGAGCCCTGAAAACATATTAACCAACGTAGTTCACTTGATTGATGATCAGGTAGATGCTAGGTACATTTTGGGAGTATCTCATTAAATTCTCACCTAACCACACAGAGTGGATATTCATGTTCTATACTGAGCCTAGTAAACTACCATTTAAAGAAAGTAAGAAGCAAATCAGAGGTCACACAGCTATAAAGCTGACAGAGCCAACATTTGAACTTAAGTTCGTTACCCTATTTTCAAATTCTTTCTACTGCATTGAGAGGCTTAGTTTTGAGGCACTTCTCTCACCCAACTCCCACTCCAAGGCTTTTTCTTTCTTTCTTTCTTTCTTTTTTTTATTGAGACGGAGTCTTGTTCTTTTGCCCAGGCTGGAGTGCAGTGGCACAATCTCGGCTCACTGCAACCTCCGCCTCCCGGGTTCACACCATTCTCCTGCCTCAGCCTCCCGAGTAGCTGGGACTACAGGCGCCCGCCACCATGCCCGGCTAATTTTTTTGTATTTTTAGTAGAGTCGGTGTTTCACTGTGTTAGCCAGGATGGTCTCGATCTCCTGACCTCGTAATCCGCCCACCTCGGCCTCCCACAGTGCTGGGATGACAGGTGTGAGCCACCACACCCGGCTCCAAGGCATTTTCTGTCAAGGGTCAAACTGCAGTTCTATTCTCTCATCTAAAGTAGTGGTGATCACTGGGTGAATGGAAGATGTTCATGTCCTCTTGGGTTAGGATGAAAGACCTGTCTTCTGGGAGAGTTTTCTGTCCTGTAACAGCTCTTGCTCTTTAGAAAAATGTATAGGGCAAAGGTTTATTATTCAAACGTGAAGTTATTTACACTCTGGGATTCACTCTGGCTTTTTAGTGAGGTTTTGAATCCTTTGCATCATATTTAATATCACTAAAATAGGATATTTTTGTGAAACTGTTTGATCCTTCCCCTCAGTTTCCATTTGTGTGTTCTCTTTCTTCCCGTCTTGATAGGCACAGGCACTCAGAATCACTGGGCCAGAAAGAAGTAAGAGAGTAGGCCGGGCACGGTGGCTCATGCCTGTAATCCCAGCACTTTGGGAAGCCAAGGCGGGCAGATCACGAGGTTATGAGATCAAGACCATCCTGGCTAACACGGTGAAACACCATCTCTACTAAAAATACAAAAAAAATAATTAGCCGGGCGTGATGGTGGGCGCCTGTAATCCCAGCTACTTGGGAGGCTGAGGCAGGAGAATGGCGTGACCTGGGAGGCGGAGCTTGCAGTGATCAGAGATCGAGCCACTGCACTCCAGCCTGGGCGACAAAGTGAAACTCCGTCTCAGGAAAAAAAAAAAAAAAAAGAGAGAGAGTAAGGGAACATCTTTCGTTAATAAACCCTCTCTATTGCTCCCCACACACAATCCTAGTTTGGTTGCTGTCTTCGTCTGTTTCAGCTGCCATAACAAAATCTCTTGCACCGGGTAACTTATGAACAACAGAAATGTACTTCTGACAGTTCTGGAGGCCGGGAAATCCAAGATTAAGGCACTGGCAGATTCAGTGTCTGGTGAGGGCTGGCTTCCTCATAGACTGCCATCTGCCATCTGCGATCTAGCTGTGTCTTCACATGGTGGAAGGGCAAACAAGCTCCCTGGGGCCTCTTTTAGAAGGGCACTAATCTCATTTGCAAAAGTCCCCACCACTTAATACCACATTGCATTGGGGATTAGGTTTCAGAACATGAATTTTGGGGGAACACAAACATTCAGACCATAGCAGTTGTACATTCTTGGCAGTTCTGGCCTTGGTTTATTGTGCCAATAAAAGTAAGCTCGTGAAGCTATTTCTATCATGTCTTTACAGGCATGTACAGGTGAGCCCAGTTTGGGAGTCACAAAACTTCAGTGAAATTAAAAAGCCACACTATGAGTACCTGCACTAGCACTTACCACTCTCACACACAAGAATCCCTGAGGCAGTGGGGATCCTACCCCTGTCTCAGGAGTGCACAGAGCCAATAACCAAATTACAACATTGACATTGTGAAGTTGCCTCTAGAAATAATTTCTCAATAAGTACACCTTTATATAATAAGTGAATGAACACAATGTAATTAAATGCTAGATTAACCTAAGAAACAAAAAGGAAAATAGCTTCTTTGTCCGTTCATCTACAGGATAATGAGGTCATGTTAAAAGACTTAGAAAAGGTTCAGTTCTCCTGCCGGGCGCCGTGGCTCATGCCTTTAATCCCAGCACTTTGGGAGGCCTAGGCGGGCGGATCACCTGAGATCAGGAGTTTGAGACCAGCCTAACCAACATGGAGAAACCACCCATCTACTAAAAATACAAAATTAGTCGGCCATGGTGGTGCATGCCTGTAATCCCACCTACTCGGGAGGCTGAGGCAAGAGAATCGCTTGAACCCAGGAGCTGGAGGTTGCAGTGAGCTGAGATTGTGCCATTGCACTCCAGCCTGGGCAACAGGCAAAACTGTCTCCAAAAAAAAAAAAAAAAAGGTTCAGTTCTCATAAACACAAATTTAATGAGCATTTTGAAGATCTCAAAATAAGTATTATATTTAATTAAACATGTGTAATTAAGTATATACTGGTATGAATATCTACAAATAATTATTCATACTAATCTGAAAAACGTATGCATCATAATGTGTGTATATAATTGGTTGCTAGGGGATTTGTTTGTTCATTTTGCTGCAATAGATTTCTGTCTCTCGTCATATTCTGTTCAAGTACCTAAAATGATTGCTCACTTATTCGAAGCACACTAATGAAATAATACTCAGAGTAAAAGGATATATCACCCAGATTTTTCTATTAGAAGCTACACAATACTCAAAAATCTATCATTTAATATGTGTATGCAGGTCTAAAGCCCATAATAAGCAAAAATATATTTTCACGTTAAATGTATGGCTATTTACACTAGATGAGGTAAAGAAAGACTATAAATAGCTTCACATCTCGTTTTGTCACAGAATGAATGCAAGTCAGGCCAGGCTTTGCCGCCAAATGAGTTACAAAATTTTGGTTTTCAGAGTATTGTGAATTTTGGAATTGCAGAAAAGGATATGTGAAACTGTTTATAAACATGAGAAGATGTTTACAGATAGATGTTTTAGAAGTCAAATGAACAAATCTGAAGCAACAGACTAGAAATTCTATTCATGGAAATATGATAAAAATGCCAGTAAGAGGGCTGGGCGTGGTGGCTCACACCTATAATCCTAGCACTTTGGGAGGCCGAGGCGGGTGGGTCGCTTGAACTGGAGTCCGAGACCAGCCTGGGCAACATGGCGAAACCCCATCTCTACCAAAAATACAAAACCCCGTCTCTACCAAAAATACAAAAAATCAGTTGGGCATGGTGGCAGGTGCCTGTAATCCCAGCTACGGGGGAGGCTGAGGAAGGAGAATTGCTTGAACCTGGAAGGCAGAGGTTGCAGTGAGCCGAGATCACACCACTGCGTTCCAGCCTGGGCGACAGAGCAAGACTCCATCTCAAAATAAAATAAAATAAAATAAAATAAATTTTAAAATGCCAGTAAGGATCTCCATAAAGGCTATGTATGAAAACCTGACCATGTCACATCCATGACCCTATTACAGCAGGTCAGATTAATCTTACCCTAGTCCAGAGAACCACGGGAACCACTGAGTCCTAGTGGAGGGAAAGCCTGGAACAGATGTGAAGCAAGCTTGGCTTTTAGCAATTGAGAGTAAACAAACACCTGCTGAGTTTACTCTTCCTTGCCTGTCTTTCTAAGCCATCACTCTGAAGACCTAAAAAGCAGACATGACTCATACACACCTTCAGATGCTTTCAGTATTTGTTACACCTAGATCTGTGCAGAAACTGAATACCTTATTGGTGCATAATTTACAAAGAATTCTCACATTAGCTCTTCTAATTCTTTCTGTTGTTTCTATATGATAATATCTCCATTTGTCAGATAGGAAAACTGAAGCTCAGAAAGTTTGAATGAACTTCATAAGATCACACAGCCAATAAATACCAGAGCTTGGCCTCAAAGTCAAGTCTCAGGTCCTTCTGCCCTTCACTAACAGTGCTCCAGCCATGGTCGTCTGACTGCTGTTCTTTAAACTTCCTTAACTTTCAACTCAGAAACCAAACACACCCAGCTCCCTCTGCCTGGGCGTGGTGCTCTGTTCAGCCTCCTCACCCCACACCCATGTTGCTAACAGCTTAAATGGCACCTCCTCAGTAAAGCCTCCCCTGAATTCCCCAGACTTAGAACACTGTTTCCCCAATCCCACTAGCCACTCTCATATATGGCATACTGTAGTCGTTGTTTTGTTTGTTTGTTTTTTAGAAAGAGAGAGAGAGAGAAAGAAAAGAAGAAACGAAAGAAAAGAAAAAAAGAAAAGAAAAGAAAATCAAAATCCATGTGGGTGTGGTGGCTCATGCCTGTAATCCCAGCACTTTGGGAGGCCGAGGCAGGCAGATAGCTGAGGTCAGGAGTTCCAGACCAGCCTGACCAATATGGTGAAACCCCGTCTCTACTAAAAATACAAAAATTAGCTGGGGGTGGTGGTGCATGCTAAAGGGAAGGGAAGGGGAAGGGGAAGGGAGAGAGGAAGGAAGGGAGGGAGGAAGGAAGGAAGGAACTTATCTCCGTCTGGGTAACATGAGGAGACCCTGTCTCTAACAAAAATTAAAAATATTAGCCGAGTGTGGTGGCATGAGCCTGTAGTCCCAGCTACTTGGGAGGCTGAGGCAGGAGGATCGATTTAGCCTAGGAAGTCAAGGTCAGTAAGCTGCGATCATGCCAATGCACTCCAGCCTGGGTGACAGAGAGAGATTCTGTCTCAAAATAAAAATAAAACCACAAAACTTATCTCAGTGGTAATTAAGGTAACTGTGGAATCGTGTATTTACATTTGCCTTCCTGACCAGACCATAAACTCCAGGAGGGCAGGGATTTTGACTATGTGGCTCATTTTATCCCACTAAAAGAGCTACATATTTTCTGACTCAGAGATGAGTTTCATTCCATTGTACAGAATGATCACACCAGTTTCCAAGTCTATTAATCTAGCGGTCTCTGTTGTTTGTTGAAGACCTACTAGGTATTGGTAAAATGGGTTGCTTTGTTCCATGGGCCATAATAGTGACACATTCTAAACACATTTAAGTCATTCCACCCTATAAGTTACAGGATAATAATAATAATAGCATTTATTTTACTATAACCAGTTTTGGGCTGTGTGTTTTACTTGGATTGTCTCACTTGCTCCTTATAGCATTCTCTGATATAGATATTAGTCTTCCCATTTACAAAATGGGAAAACTGAAACTCAAACATGTTTAATAATCTGCACAGTGTCTCACATGTAACAAGCCAACATGAGATTAGTGATTCCAAAGACCCTGCTCAGCCCAATGACAAGATGTGGAAAGCACCCTCAAGGCACCCAGGGGTCTCTCTCCCTGAGAGTCCTGTGCATATCAGCAATGCTGCTAAGGATTAAATCACTGCGGTTATCACTATGTGGGTAAGATTTCTGTTAGTAGAAGATCCAGAAGATTCACCCTGCCATAGAGCAGGGGGCCTTGGCTGAGCCATAGGCAGAATCACTCTCCAAAAAGACTTACCAGTGTTTATCTGAATATTTTCTTTTAGCAATAACTTTACTTACTTGCGTTATTTGTAGGTGCTGCCATTTTGCTGTCCATGATGCTACTATGCTCAGTACCCTTACTGTACTGCCCAGTAGCCCTTACCATTAGCAAACTAAAGCTTCCTCACCAGCATTAGACCTGGCAAGACCTCTGTGCATCCCCCACCACCCATGAGCATTTTGATAGCATTGCAAGTATAATCTCTGGTGCATGCACAAATTCTGCTCCACATAGCAGCGCTAATGGTGGCCCACATCGGGAATAGGAGTAGAGCAAGATGTTACCAGGAAGAGGGCCTTACTTCTCTTCTCTCTCTTCTCGCTGCTTTTTTGTTTGTTTGTTTGTTTGTTTGGTTTGTTTTGTTTTTTAGATGGAGTCTTGCTCCATTGCCCAGGCGAGTGTAGTGGCGCAATCTCAGTTCACTGCAACCTCTGCCTCCCAGGCCTGTCCCAGCCTCCCGAGTAGCTGGGACTACAGATGCCTGCCACCACGCCTGGCTAATTTTTGTGTTTTTAGTAGAGGTGGGGATTCACCTTGTTGGTCGGGCTAATCTCAAACTCCTGACCTCAGGTGATTCACACGCCTTGACCTCTCAAAGTGCTGGGATTATAGGCATGAGCCACTACGTTCAGCCATTCGCTGCTCTTAAGAAAGTACTTTTCCAAAGATCATTCTCCTTGGTCTTATCTTAAGATCCTGCTATGAAATAGGGACACGGGTGGAAAATTTTCACCTGTGCCTGCAGCAAACTTTCATTCTGTCTGAATAATTATAAGTAGGATGGGGGAGGGGAGAAGAAAAAGAAAGAGACCATGATCTGAAGAACCTTAACTGTTCCCCTGTTATCCCTGGTTACTGTCAAGCAGCTAGCAGGCTAGGCTAGGTGGGGTATCTTCTTTAACTCTACTCCTGCATTAGCTGTTCTAAATCCTAGAACTCATGCCCTGTTTGAAATTTCTTTCCCTATGCCCAACTCAAGTGATGCCATCCTATTTTCTATTTTCCACCATGGGAAAAATGGAAAATAACAGGAGAAATGTATTAAGAAAGCATTCTTGAATTTGATTTTGTTAACTTTTTTTTTTTTTTTAACAGTCTTGCTCTGTCACCCAGGCTGGAGTGCAGTGGTGCAAGCTTGGCTCACTGCAATCTCCACCTCCTGGGCTTAAGCAATTCTTGTGCCTCTGCCACCTGAGTAGTTGGGATTATAGGCATGCACCACCACGCCCAGCTAATTTTTGTAATTTTAGTAGAGATGGGGTTTCACCATGTTGGCCAGGCTGGTCTTGAACTCCTGACCTCAAGTGATCCTCCCACCTCGGCCTCCCAAAGTGCTGGGATTACAAGCATAAGCCACCACCCCCGGCCTGAATTTGTTAACTTCTTACCAACATTTTACAAAGAAGATTGAAGGTAATGTGGGTTCTAAGACTGAAGAGTACAAGGTAAGCTGGTGGTTAATGGGGAGGAGGGATGATGGATGAACTGGTCAGGGAAGAGGATGAAATGGCTCAAAATAGAGGTACAAATAGAATGGGCTGGGCTCCTCCAACCATTCCTTGTGATTTTATTTTTACTTTTTTTTTTTTTTTTTTGGTGGAGTTTCACTCTTGTTGCCCAGGCTGGAGTGCAATGGTGCGATCTCGGCTCACTGCAACTTCCACCTCCTGGATTCAAGTGAGTCTCCTGCCTCAGCCTTCTGAGTAGCTGGGAATGCAGATGCGATCTCGGCTCACTGCAACTTCCACCTGGGTTCAAGTGATTCTCCTGCCTCAGCCTTCTGAGTAGCTGGGAATGCAGGCGTGTGCCACCACACATGGCTAATTTTTTGTATTTTTAATAGAGATGGGGTTTTGTCATGTTGCCCAGGCTGGTCTTGAGCTCCTGACCTCAGATGATCCGCCCACCTCGGCCTCCCAAAGTGCTGGGATTACAGGTGTGAGCCACCGCGCCTGACCTATTTTTACTTTTTTAAAAGACAGGTCTCACTCTATTGCCCAGGCTGCTCTTGAACTCCCGGCCTCAACCAATTCTTCCTGCTCAGCCTCCTGAGTAGTTGGGACTACAGCACTCACAACTGTGCCTGACCCTTCTCTTAATTTTAACTCCTGAGTGATTTTCTTCTCTGGACCCCAAGGAGTCATGATATCTCTAAATTATATCCTGAAGTTATTTCAACTTTAGAAAATAAAGTTTTAGGCCTGGTTCAGTGGCTGACACCTGTAATCCCAATACTTTGGGAGGCTGAGGCAGGCAGATTGCTTGAGCCCAGGAGTTTGAAGCTAACATGGCAAAACCCCATCTCTATCAAAAAAAAAAAAAGAAGAAGAAGAAGAAGAAGAAAAGAAAAAAGGCTAGGCGCGGTGGCTCACACCTGTAATCCCAGCACTTTGGGAGGCTAAGGTGGGCAGATCACGAGGTCAGGAGTTCGAGAACAGCCTGACCAACATAGTGAAACCCTGTCTCTATTAAAAATACTAAAATTAGCCAGGTGTGGTGGTGGACACCTGTAATCCCAGCTACTCAGGAGGCTGAGGCAGGAGAATCACTTGAACCGGAGAGGCAGAGGTTGCAGTAAGCTGAGTTTGCGCCATTGCTCTCCAGCCTGGGTGACAGAGTGAGACACCATCTCAAATAAAAAAGAAAAGAAAAAAAAGATCTTGGAATGCTTTTTTTCTGCCTGTGTATTGATATTATTCTTAAGGGGCTCATAAGAAAACTAAATATATATATTTACATATATATATATATATAAAATCACCCAGGTTGGAGTGCAGCGGTGCAATCTCAGCTCACTGCAATATCTGCCTCCAGGGTTCAAGCAATTCTTTTGCCTCAGCCTCCCCAGTAGCTAGGATTTCAGGCATGCACCACCATGCCTGGCTAATTTTTGTATTTGAAGTAGAGACAGGGTTTCGCCATGTTGGCCAGGCTGGTTTTGAACTCTGGACCTCAAATGACCCTCCTGCCTAAAGTACTGGGATTACAGGGGTGAGCCACCATGCCTGGCCCAGAAAATATTATTGTTATTTAATATGACCTGCCATAACTACCATTAAAAGTAGTACAGGTGTGCAAAAGAAACTTATCTGGCTATGGCTGGGCGCGGTGCTCACGCCTGTAATCCCAGCACTTTGGGAGGCTGAGGCAGACTGATCATGAGGTCAGGAGATCAAGACCATCCTGGCTAACATGGTGAAACCCTGTCTCTACAAAATATACAAGAAAAAATTAACCGGGCATGGTGGCGGGTGCCAGCTACTCGGGAGGCTGAGGCAGGAGAATGGCGTGAACCTGGGAGGCGGAGCTTGCAGTGAGCAGAGATCGCGCCACTGCACTCCAGCCTGGGCAAGAGAGCAAGACTCGGTCTCAAAAAGAAAAGAAAAGAAAAGAAATCTTACCTGGTTGTAAGATTTTTTTCTCATTTAGTCAATAAATATTTATGGAATAGGGCAGTTTGGGATCACACACATGAGCTAAGCATGATGTCAGCCTTCATAGCTCCTACAATGTGGTATGGTGATTTTTTTTTCTTTTTGAGATGGGAGTCTCACTGTGTCAACCAGCCTCAAACAGTCCTTCCATCTCAGCCTCCCAAGTACCTGGGACTACAGGTGCATGCCACCATGCCCAGCTACTTTTTTGTATTTTTGATAGAAACAGGGTTTTGCCATGTTGGCCAGGCTGATCTCAAATTCCTTTCCTCAAGTGATCCGCCTGCCTTGGCCTCCAAGAGTGCTGGGATTACAGGCATGAGCCACTGCACCCAGCCAATGATTTTAAAACTGGAATACAGAAAGAGAAGAAGAAAGTCATGCTCCATCTTTATTATTTAAAAATCAGAACAGATACACATATTTGTTGTGAGCACTAATTAAAATATCCTTAAAGTTTCCTTACCTTGGAGTGGAATTATTTGCATATGTATACACATGATGCTGACTTTAGAAGAAAAGTTACAAGTTAAAACACGTTTGATTAATAAAAGAAAAAGAAATAAATTATACATAAATTTAGCTTTGTTGCTGAAAATCACCTCTCCAAACATAGAGTTCAGGTTGGGGCAAATAAAAAATTGCATAAAACAAAAAGGCTAAGAAATGGTACAAAAAACTCAGAGAACCACTACTTCACGTTTCCCAATAAAGCATCTTTTATATTTATAAAAGTTAAGCCTGCATATCTCTGCCCCCAATTGCAGCAGAAACACCTGAAAAAGAATGCCAGTCTGGTCTTGCTCTGACAATGGTTTTCTGACTGACCTTGAGCCTGTCACAACCCGTCTGGCCTCAATTTCATCAACTGTAAAATAAGAATAAAACTATTTGATATCTTTAACTCACATACTATTGTGAGAAATAAATACAATCATAGACAAATGTTTTCAGAATGTGAAAATGCTATAGGAACACACTTTTTCTCCAGTGGCTGGCATAAAAGTGTTGGTATGCTATACCACCAAGTCATTAGATATGAGTTAATTTCTGGATTACTGTTTCAGTAAGAATAAGCTCTACACAACTTCAGCAAGTGATGTTGGTATGTCATCCACAAAGTTCTGTCACCCTATTCCATAGCATACCCCTGTTGAACTTCCCACATCCCTGTCTTCCCTTAGCTTCCTGTATCCAACCTCAGCGCAATAGCTCAGTTTGACCATTAGATGGTACCAGTTACAAGGCAAACTTAGGTCCCTTCAGAAACTGAGCATTTCTAAAAAGCAAATATTTTTTCAGGTTTGTTTGTAACTTAAACAACAAAAAAATCATTATTTTAAAGGCCATATGCTCACTGTGAAAATATATCAGGTGGTGTATGAAATAATAAGTAAATTATCTGCCGGGCGCGGTGGCTCACGCTTGTGATCCCAGCACTTTGGGAGGCCTAGGCGGGCAGGCAGATCACGAGGTCAGGAGTTGGAGACAAGCCTGGCCAACACAGTGAAACCCTGTCTCTACTAAAAATACAAAAATTAGGCCGGGCGCGGTGGCTCACGCCTGTAATCCCCGCACTTTGGGAGGCCGAGGCGAGCGGATCACGAGGTCAGGAGATCGAGATCATCCTGGCTAACACGACGAAACCCCGTCTACTTAAAAAAAAATACAAAAATTAGCCGAGGGTGGTGGCGGGCGCCTGAAATCCCAGCTACTCAGGAGGCTGAGGCAGGAGAATCGCTTGAACCTGGGAGGCGGAGGTTGCAGTGAGCTGAGATCACGCCACTGCACTCTAAGAGTGAAACCATGTCTCAAAAAAAAAAAAAAAGTCAAAAATACTAATAAAAATACTAATCTCGTAGTTAACAGATTGCTGTGACCTAGAGCAAGTAAAGGTGTAATTATCAGCCTATAGGGGTTAGAGTGGCAAGAAGATGCCTGAGGGTGAGCCTACAGCCTAAAAGATAATAGAATACAAAGGCTGAAGACCTACAGGCAGGGATTCTTTGTCATTCATTCTTTCAGCAAACTTATTCTAATATGTATCCCTCACTATTCAATGCCCAGGAGGGCACAGGGAAAATAAGACGAAGTCCTGCCCTCACTGGCTAACATTCTAAGCACAGGTGCTGCACAAGAGGTGTTATGTTTTTTGGGGGAGCCAGACACAGGCCTAAGCACTTTATGTACCTTGTCTCATTTAATCCTCACATCAGCACCACGAGGTGACAGAATTATCATTTTGCAGTTAAATAAATTGATATTTCTTCATGGCCAGGTGCAGTGGCTCACGCCTGTAATCCCAGCACTTTGGGAGGCTGAGGCGGGTGGATCACCTGAAGTCGGAGTTCGAGACCAGCCTGACCAACATGGAGAAACCCCATCTCTACTAAAAATACAAAATTAGCCGGGCATAGTGGCGCATAGCCTGTAATCCCAGCTACTCGGAAGGCTGAGGCAGGAGAATCACTTGAATCCAGGAGGTGGAGGTTGCGGTGAGCCGAGATCGCGCCACTGCACTCCAGCCTGGGCAACAAGAGCAAAACTCCGTCTCAAAAAAAAAAAAAAAAAAAGAGAGATTTCTTTAAGCTCTTTGCCTAGGGTCACAGGTCTTTCCACAGGACCGTAGACTAGAGTCAGATGTGTTCCTCAATCAATTAGGAAAGGGTGGTGCTGGAATTTGCATCTGAGTATTCCAAGCTTCTATATTCTCATATTCTGGAATGAGGATATTATGAGTCCTGAAACAACTCTAGAAATTCTAGGCTACATAATTATCCCTCCATAACGTGTTCTCTGCCAGAATAATAATGAAAAAAAAGTACTGTGGTGGCCAGACCCCAAGATGATTGGCGAAGTGAAAGTTGCCCAGTTCCAAAATGGCCACCACCGCACTTTCCTGGCGTCGGAGCGACTACGTAGTGACAGAAGGACCATCAGCAGGTGGGTGCTCACAGGGACTGTGCCAGTTGCCAAACTGGCCACCTGGGCCTTTCTTCTCCTGAGCAACAGCCAAGCAACATTATAGGCTTCAGGCCTACCTAGCCCAGGCTGGGTTAAAGCAGATAAACGAAGCGGACAGCGGAGGAAAAGCACGTAACCAAGTGCAGTGGGTCTGAAGCGAAAGGCAAGAAAAGCTCTGCCCTTAGGAACGGGGTGTCACTGCGCGGCTCGCAGGCACCTCTCTTTGACCTATTTATAATCTGCGCCTTATTCTCCGCCCCCAAAGGCTGCTGGCAACCAATTCTCGGTGGCGAAGTCGTGACGTCAGCTGTTGCGGGTCAGATTGGGAGAGCTTCCTGGTCCTTACCTAGCAAGATTCTGCCGCTAGGTGGCGAAAAGCGAAGGGGCCAAAGAAATGGAAAGAAGGCGAGGAAAAGCGGGAGAAGATGGGGAAGGAAAATGTATATTCTTGTATCATCCTACAGCTAGGCAAAAATATTAGGATAATGTGGCCTAACCTCCAGTTCTATGTTGGCTGGAAAATCCAGGAATGGGAAGCTCACTCCCGTAGTTCCCACTCATTCCCACCACGGTTGGACAGCTCTGAAGGAGGGAAAATTCTTTCTTTTGAGCTGAAATCTGCCTTCAGAGTCTTGCACCCAACTGTTCTACCCCACGGGGACCTACAGAACAGCCCAAAGCCTCTTACGCAGGACAACCCATAGCAGTTTGATTAAAATCAGCGCAAACCCATTCCCATTTGGTGAGGGGGGAGGGGGAGGGGCAAGCCTCAGTGCCTGACTCACTTGACTCACAAGAAGCTGAATGTTTTTCCTTTTGAAAGATAAAAATATTGGTGAATCTCAGACTAACAATAGGGAATACACAAAAATGGAAAAAATGTTGATAGATAAAATTTAAACCTTTGGTAGAACATAATTAGTTTTTTGTTCTCTACATTTTTCCATATCGTTTCTAATTTTTCTACACTGTATGTGTTACTTAAAGAAATAAACCAGTAGGCCAGGCGCGGTGGCTCACGCCTGTAATCCCAGCACTTTGGGAGGCCGAGGCGGGCGGATCACGAGGTCAGGAGATCGAGACCATCCTGGCTAATACGGTGAAACCCCGTCTCTACTAAAAAAATACAAAAAATTAGCCAGGCATGGTGACGCACCCCTGTAATCCCAGCTACTCAGGAGGCTGAGGCAGGAGAATGGCGTGAACCCGGGAGGCGGAGCTTGCAGTGAGCCGAGATCGTGTCACTGCACTCCAGACTGGGCGACAGAGCAAGACTCTGTCTCAAAAAAAAAAAAAAAAAGAAAAAGAAATAAACCAGTATGGCCGGGCGCGGTGGCTCATGCCTGCAATCCCAGCACTTTGGGAGGACGAGGCGGGTGGATCACGAGGTCAGGAAATCGAGCCCATCCTGACCAATATGGTGAAACCTCGTCTCTACTAAAATACAAAAAATTAGCCGGGCGTGGTGGCGGGTGCCTGTAGTCCCAGCTACAAAGGAGGGTGAGGCAGGAGAATCCCTTGAACCCGGGAGGTGGAGGTTGCAGTGAGCCAAGATCGTGCCATTGCACTCCAGCCTGGGCAACAAGAGCGAAACTCCGTCTCAAAAAAAAAAAAGAAAGAAAAGAAAAAGAAATAAAGCAGTATGAAAGAGCAGCCCCTGGCTGCATTCACCACAGCACCCATGCTCACACATGCTACAGGCGCTCACTTGCTGGGAGCTGCCTCACATTGATTCGGATCAGTGTTCTCATTTCTCCGACCTACCTAGGAAGCATCTGGCTAAATTGATGTAAATTAGACATTTTATAGTCTATCGGTCATTGAGCCTCAGTGGAATATCTAGACCAATTTAAACACACAAATATTATGGGAAATAGGGCCACAAAAGTAGAAAAGAAAACGTGAATTCCTCTTTATATTTATGCCACTAGAGGGAGTTCCAGAAGAAAATCACTGCATGTAAGGGCTAATGACTGTATTTACTGAGTGGTTACTGTGTACCATTCACAGTTCACAGGGACTCATTCATGTCATTCTCATGATAACCCTGATGAAGTGGATGATATTATTCCCTCACTCACTAAGGAGAAAGCCAGGGTACAGTGAAGTATACAACTTTGTGCAGGGCAATTTATCAATATTTATTGAAATTACCAAAAAACATGCTCTCTGAACAAACTATTCTACCAGTGTAGAAAGCAGAGTAAACTTCATGGGTGAGTGACCAGGGCAGTCACACAAGGGCCCCATGCTTAGAAGGGATACTGTGTTTGGGTTCTAAAGCTCTGTGGTTCCTGTCTTGAAATTCTTAATAATTTTATCTTTCAATTTGTGTCTTATAATGAAGTCCGATGAGAAAGCAGAACATGGGCTAGAGACTTTTGGAGCCTGGCTCAAGCGAGGTCCTGCTCCCCATGCCTCCCAGCCTCCCCAGGACTGGTTTTCAGCTGCCGGCTCCACCACCTTCTGTGCAGGCTCGCTCCCAGCAGGGGCCTGGGAACAGTGGAAAGGAGGGGAGCGGTCAGGCATACACACCTCCCTTGCCAAATGGAAGGCATGGCCCTAGGCACTTGTGAAGATCTGCACTTCCCCCTAGGTACTCCTGTGCCTGGAGTGTGACATTAAATTAAAAAAAAAAAGGCCGGGCGCGGTGGCTCACGCCTGTAATCCCACCATTATGGGAGGCCAAGGCAGGCGGATCACGAGGTCAGGCGATCGAGACCATCCTGGCTAACACGGTGAAACCCCGTCTCCACTAAAAATACAAAAAAATTATCTGGGCATGGTGGCGAGCGCCTGTAGTCCCAGCTACTTGGGAGGCTGAGACAGGAGAATGGCTTGAACCCGGGAGGCGGAGGTTGCAGTGAACCGAGATTGCGCCACTGCACTCCAGCCTGGGCGACAGAGCGAGACTCCGTCTCAAAAAAAAAAAAAAAAAAGAAAAGAAAAAAACCCCACATAATAGGTTGACAGTGGAACCACAGAAAAAAGGAAAAGGTTGGGTTTTTTTTCTGCTTTTTATTTTCTATTTTATTATTTTTTAATAGATTTATTTAACTAGAGATGGGGTCTCACTATGTTGTAAAGGCTGGACTCGAGACCCTGGGCCCGAGCGATCCTCCAACCTGGTCCTCCCAAAGTGATGGGATTACAGGCGTGAGCCACTGCACCTGGTCTTTTCCTGCTATTAAACAAGGAGCTCCATAGTTTCATTTTGCCCCTCAAAATATGTAGCTGGCCTTAGTAGACTGATATTCATTGCCAAATTATATGTAAGAGCAAAAAGGTTGAAAATGATGGCCTGACATTGATCAATTTGTGCCTTTAGGTAACATATAACTGTAATATAACTGCAATACAACTAGAATATAACTCATAAAGGCAAGAATCTTGTCTGCCTTGCTGAAAGTTTTATAATCAGGGCCTAATATAAAGTATGACACATAGCACTTGCTTTTAAATATGTATTGATTTAAATTAATTGAGTACATTTTTGCTTCATCCTAGTAAAAATAGGTATTTAAAAAACTGAAACAGTCTAAATGTCTTGGGATGCTACTTAAATAACTATATTATATTCATCCAATAAAATATTGTAAGCTGTTTAAAAATAACAAGGATGTTCTTTAGGTACTGATAAGGAAAGAGCTTCAAGATAAATTGTTACCATTTATGTAAAACAGGTGGGAGAAGGGAGAGGGAGGGATGTGTGAGCGCTACTTGCAGTACTCACAGGCAGTGACTTTCGTGGAGCGCCCTCTAGTGGTATATATATACAAACGGAAGGATTTAGAGAAAATACAGATCGGCTTTAGCTGGCTGAGATTTATTTTCAAAGCATGTTACTTTATAAGAATCAATTTTTATTTAAAAAATTTTTTTGAGATAGGGTCTCACTCTGTCGCACAGGTTGGAGTGCAGCAGCACGATCAGTGCTCACTGCAGCCTCTCTCTCTTGGGCTCAACAGGTGCATGTCACCACGTCCAGCTAACAATCAATTTTCAAAAGTACAAAAAAGCCATATTATGTATTAATGTGGAATTATGAATTAAGTAGACAACAAGAATCAAAACAGGGTGTCTATTATCACTTCTGATAACATAAATAATGTAAAGATACATATTTTACAGATTATCTGTAAAAGCTTATACAGTACTGTTGCTGGGTATTTATGTAGGAAAGCTACCATTTATTGAATGCTTACTATTTCACATATGGACAGCATAGAGCATGTTAAAAAATTACCACACACATTTACTGTATTCAATGTGTCACTCTGAATATATTACTGTGTACATGGTCTGTCATTGGACATGGTGAGAGATGCAGATTAAGCTGAAATTACTGAGGACAGCAACACTGGAAGAAAATTGAGCTGGGTGTAGTGGCTCAGCCTGTAATTCCAACATTTCAGAAGGCTGAGGCAGGAGGATCACTTGAGTCCAGGAGTTTGAGACCAAGGGAAAGAAAAGAAAAGAAGCTTTCATTTAGCCAGGCATGCTGGCACATACCTGTAGTTTCAGCTACTCAGGAGGTTGAGGCATAAGGTTCACTTAAAGTTGAGAGGTAAAGGCTGCAGTGAGCCCTGATCACGCCACTGCTCTCCAGCCTGTGACAGAGAGAGACCCTGTCTCAAAAACGAGAAAGAAAGAAAAAAAGAGGCAACTCAAGAACTCAGGAATACTTGCAGGATCTCATAACATATGCTATACAAAATCAATTAAAATAATATTTAAATGCTGAAAGAAATGAGCAGCTCCCAGGGTGATACAGGGTGGTTTCACTTCTTGGACACATCTACACTGAGCTCTATTCCTGGCAATACCTGATGTTCCCATACCCCAGATTTCTTTATTTTATTTTGAGACGGAGTTTTGCTCTTCTTGCCCAGGCTGGAGTGCAATGGCGGGATCTTGGCTCACCGCAATCTCCGCCTCCTGGGTTCAAGGGATTACCCTGCCTCAGCCTCCCGAGTAGCTGGGATTACAGGCACACGCCACCATGCCCAGCTAATTTTTGTATTTTTAGTAGAGGCAGGGTTTCTCCATGTTGGTCAGGCTGGTCTTGAACTCCCAACCTCAGGTAATCTGCCCGCTTCGGCCTCCCAAAGTGCTGGGATTACAGGCGTGAGCGGGCCCAGCCCCTATACCCCAGATTTCTGCAAGTGGCAACACCACTGGCTTCATTTTGCTGGTGGCCCCTCTGGCCTTCCCTTGTATATATCACCTTTGCCCAAAGACCATGTCAGCCAAGGGACTGCTCTCACAGCTCCAGGAATCCTCCCCTTTCAGGAAATTTGAGGCAGTTGAGGGCATGAAAGTAAATAAGCTGAGCTCATCAGAGGCCTTGTATTGTGGTGGTTAAAAGAGCCAGTTCTAGGACTAGAAAGCCTGGCTTGAAATCCCAGCTCTGCCACTCCCTAGTGGTGTGACTTTAGCAAGTTCCTTTACCTCTTTTGTACCTCCCTTTTCTCACCTGTAAGATATGGGTGATAATAGTTTAATATTTGTTTTGTTGTTGTGAGGATTAAAGGTGTTAATGCAAGTAAACCACTTAGAACCACAGCACATAGAATATCTCAGTAAGGTGGTTAGTTTTTTTTATTGTTGTTTTCAGAGATGCTGTGATTTCTCCAAAGTGGCTGTGATGGCTCGGCAGGCTCCTGACCCTCTCTGCTCCCACATGCCTCCACCCTCATCCTGATCTCCCATCCAGCTTTTGACAGCTTGCTTGGTGCTGGACAATTGCACACATCTTACCACCCCCAAATCCTGCCCAGAAGCATCTTGTGCATAACTCTCCTACCTGAATATGCAACAGGGAGAAAGAGCGTCCCAGGACATTTTAGGTTTTTGAAGAAAAAAAAACCCCTTTGGTAAAAAGCCAGAGATCCACAGCGGCCACTTTTTCCATGGGATTGACCCCTGCAATCTTGACTTTCAACCACACAGCACCAGAGTAGCCAAACATTGCTTGTGTCCAAACGCTGGCTGCCTTGAAGGGTGAAAGAATAAGCAGTTCCCAAACTCAGCTGACCTTAATGTCCTTCTAGCTCCTTACGCCCATCTCGGACAAAAACAGAAATGTATGTCTCAGTTGTGTTTCTACCCCTTGCTGCCCAATATAAATTTTTGTGTTGCCCAATATAATTTTTTGTGACGATGGAAATGTTCTGTATTTGTGTTGTCTGATGAGATAACCACTAACTGTAGTGCTATTGAGCATTTGAAACATGGCTAGTGTAATCAATGAACCAAATTTTTAATTTTATTTAATTGTAATTAATTTTAAGTGGCCACATGCAGGGAGTGACTGCTGCATTGGACAGCACGGCTCTAAATTGAGCCTTTTTTCCTTATTTGGTGAGGCATACTTGCCTTAAGATTGGGAAGTCTATTTTTGGAACCTGCTACCAATGCTGGTCTCACACTTGCAATTCTCAGCTGAGCCAAGAGGTGAGAGAAAGGTCATTTTCCATTCCAGATCTCACTCTCCCCTGTGACACTGAGGAAACTGGCAAGTGATGTGAAGGCTGGAGAGCGTGTCCTGTATGCTGGCTCTGTCCCTTCTGCCTGTGTTGACTGACATAGTTAGTTGCTGCCCTTGCTGGTCTCCCTTCCTCCAACCTTGCCTCTCTGAGCACACCTGACATTCATCTCATGACTTCCCTAAAAACATTCTTTGGGAACAAGAAACTAACAAATCCCAAGTGACCTATCACATATACAAACATACAGGGCAGAGTTTGGATTCGCGGTAGAAGAAAGGGAGGTTAGACATTAAGAAGAATGGTCTGGTGATGACAGTTGTGAGATAATAGAAACAGGAAAAAGAAATCTAAGTTTTCTTTCTTTTTTTAAGAACCAATAATAATTTCTCTCTTTTGACTAGTCAGTAGGGCTGGGGTGGATTGGAGGAAGCTTACATATTCCATGAACAAGCCTCTTCCTAAGGTCCTGTAAGTGATCCTGCCCCACTGATTAGCCCCTAGAAGACCCTTCAAAGGTTGGATCTCCAGGAGGGAGTGGGGGAGGAAAGCCCTGTACCAGGCAGCCTCTGCTCCATTGCTCTGGGGGGGTGGGGAAGGCAAACCCTGGTCATCCCCTCAGTCTGTAGCCCTTTTGTGTGAGTGCCTGGCAAGGGTGACGTGGGGCTGTTTCTGCGGGCACAGCTGCAGCAATTACCGGAGTGGAGGCAGGGCCCAGGCAGCACTGCCCTCCAAGATCTTCCCTTGGGCTTTTCAGCAGTAAGGGGACATGCACCCCAAGGGCCTCCACTTGGCCTGACCTTGCTGCGGGGGCTCTCTGTCCCCAGGAACAGTAGAGATGGCAAGCTTATCGAGACCCTCTCTGCCCAGCTGCCTCTGCTCCTTCCTCCTCCTCCTCCTCCTCCAAGTGTCTTCCAGCTATGCAGGTAAGACATGTTTTTTTTCCTGCCCTGGGGAGACCCTGAAAACAGAAAGGCTAGTTTCCTGGGGCTTAGCTCCTTCAAACATCCTCAAGTTGCTATATTATCTTTCTAAAACATAGACCTACTGACATGCCTCCCTTCCTCAGAAACCTTCCGTGGGTGGTTCTTACAGCCTTCAAGATGGAGTCCAGACTCTTTTTTTTTTTTGAGACAGAGTCTCCCTCTGTTGCTCAGGCTGGAGTGCAGTGGCATGATCTCGGCTCACTGCAACCTCAGCCTCCCTGGTTCAAGCGATTCTCCTGACTTGGCCTCCCAAGTAGCGGAGACTACAGGCGCCTGCCACCACACCCAGCTAAATTTTTTCTTTTCTTTTTTTTTTTTTTTTTTTGTATTTTAGTACAGACGGGGTTTCACATGTTGGCCAGGATGGTCTCGATCTCTTGACCTGCTGATCCGCCCGCCTCAGCTTCCCAAAGTACTGGGATTATGGGCGTGAGCCACTGCACTAGGCCTAATTTTTTTATTTTTAGTAGAGATGGGGTTTCACCATGTTGGCCAGGCTGGTCTGGAACCCCTGACCTCAAGTGGTCTGCCCTCCTCAGCCTCCCAAAGTGCTGAGATTACAGGCATGAGCCATTGCGTCTGACCCAGACTCCTTAATGTGACTAACTCAAGGCTTTCCTTGAACTACTTCTTACTTGTCTTTCCAGCTTTGTCTTTTCACCTCTCAAATTGAGATAAAATAATAACAACCTCTTGGAGTTCTCATCAGGATTACATGAAATGAGATATGTAACATGCTTAGCAGTGCCTGTCCATAGTAAATCTCAATAAATGTTTGTGGAATTATAATATCTTGTCATGTTTGAGACTTTGCTCTGCATAATCAGGCACCAGTAGGTTTTTATAAAGGAACCCGGCTGTCACGTGCAGAGGAGAAATAAACAGAAAGTTTCCCATCCTCAGGGAGCCACCTGACTGACAGAGGCACAGTGCATCCACTCTCCAGGTCTAGGGGAGAAAGCAGCCTTATTTCTTAGTAGCTCAGAATCTGACTTGAGAAACACATCCACATAGAAAAAAACAAGGAACTTTTTCGGGTCAGGGTCCGGGAGCCACAGTGAGGTGGAAGATACAGGGGAAGGAAGAGGGAAATAGAGCCATCCCCAGGGTGGAAGATCTCAGAAGAGAATTTGGGAAACAAGGTATGAACAAGGACTGAATAGTGAGAAGTGATGGAGAGACAGTTAAAGTAGATGGAGTGACAAAAGCAAAACCTCTAAGGGTAGAATAGGCAGCAATTTGGCCAAGTCCTAACAGGGAGGCCCATAGGAGGATTCAACCTCAAGATGCTGTGCCACATTCCAAGAGGGAACCTAAAGGCTGGGCTGAAGAGTCAGAGATGGCTACAGCTGGCAAAAAGATGGGCAGATGCTGAGAGGAGATGATTGCTAAAATGTTCTGTCCAGGACATTCACAGTATCTCTATAACCAGAGTCTTTTTTGTCGTTGTTGTTCTCAAGAAGGAAACTTGAGGCCGGGTGTGGTGGTTTATGCCCATAATCCCAGCGCTTTGGGGCCAAGGCAGGCGGATCACCTGAGGTCAGGAGTTCGAGACCAGCCTGGCCAACAGTGTGAAACCTCATCTTTACTAAAAATACAAAAATTAGCTGGATGCGGCGGTAGGTGCCTGTAATGCCAGCTACTCGGGAGGCTGAGGCAGGAGAATCACTTGAACCTGGGAGGCGGAGGTTGCAGGGAGGCGGAGGTTGCAGTGAGCCAAGATTGCACCACTGCACTCCAGCCTGGGCGACAGAGAGTAAGACTGTCTCAAAAAATAAATGAATAAATAAAAAGGAAGAAGAAGAAGAAGAACAATTGCAATCCTCCCTGGCTCTAGAATGTCATTTAAAAGTCGAGTGTCTTCTTCCTTCCCTGTTTTGAAGCAGCCCTTCTCATGACAGGCTTGCTTGCCAAGGTTCCCTCTGACCTTAAATCTCTTCCTTTTGGTGTCTTGGACAGGGCAGTTCAGAGTGATAGGACCAAGACACCCTATCCGGGCTCTGGTCGGGGATGAAGTGGAATTGCCATGTCGCATATCTCCTGGGAAGAACGCTACAGGCATGGAGGTGGGGTGGTACCGCCCCCCCTTCTCTAGGGTGGTTCATCTCTACAGAAATGGCAAGGACCAAGATGGAGACCAGGCACCTGAATATCGGGGCCGGACAGAGCTGCTGAAAGATGCTATTGGTGAGGGAAAGGTGACTCTCAGGATCCGGAATGTAAGGTTCTCAGATGAAGGAGGTTTCACCTGCTTCTTCCGAGATCATTCTTACCAAGAGGAGGCAGCAATGGAATTGAAAGTAGAAGGTGAGTAGTGCCATATAATATTAGGTATTAACTGTTGGGTGGCCAAGAACAATTATTCTCTCAACTGAGATGAGATCCCTCAACCCAAACATCTCAGTCCTGGGAATGATTTCCATAAAAATGTACACATCAATAAACAGAAACTCATGCTTAGGGATGTCTGTTGCATCATTATTCAGAGTAGCAAGGAAATTGGGATCAAAATCAATGCCTTTGAGTAGGTAAGTGACAGAATGAACAATGGTAGCCATACTGTGAATATTATGCAGGCATTAAAAAGATTATTTTAGCACTAGGCCAGATGGTTTGGAGGCCTTCTATAAGGTATTATTGAGTGATAAGAGCAAGCTGCTGTAGGATACAAAAACAAAAACAAAACCCTAGGGCATGGTGGTTTGCCTCGCAGCTACTCAGGAGGCTGAGACGGGAGGCTGGCTTGAGCCCAGGGGTTTGCAGTTACAGTGAGCTATGATTGCACCACTGCACTCCAACCCGGGTGACAGAGCAAAGACCTTCACCCCCACTCCCTACCCGTCTCTAAAAAAAACAAAAACAAAAACAAAAAAACCCTTGGGCCCAGCGCCGTGGCTCACACCTGTAATCCCAGCACTGTGGGAGGCCGAGGTGGGCAGATCACAAGGTCAGGAGATTGAGACCATCCTGGCTAAAACGGTGAAACCCCGTCTCTACTAAAAATACAAAAAAAAAAAAAAAATTAGCCAGGCATGGTAGCAGGCGCCTGTAGTCCCAGCTACTCGGGAGGCTGAGGCAGGAGAATGGCGTGAACCCGGAAGCGGAGGTTGCAGTGAGCCAAAATCCTTCCACTGCACTCCAGCATGGGGGACACAGCGAGACTCCGTCTCAAAAAAAAAAAAAAAACCCTGTATTTGTGAGCGCGCACACACACACACACACACACACCTGTGCTTGGTCCTAGTGAATAAGCAAGTAAATCAAATGTCTAAATATAATTATAGAAAGGAGATGTCACCTTTTGGCTGTACCTCCACTATTTCATTCTGCAGAATTGCAGAATTTCTTTTTTTTTTCCTTTCTTTCTTTTCTTTTTTTTTTTGACACAGAGTCTCGCTCTGTCACCCAGGCTGGAGTGCAATGGCGCCCTCCGCCTCCTGGGTTCAAGTGATTCTCCTGCCTCAGCCTCCCGAGTAGCTGGGATTACAGGTGCCCACCACCACACCCAGCTAATTTTTGTATTTTTAGTAGAGACAGGGTTTCACCAGGTTGTCAAGGTTGGTCTCAAACTCCTGACCTCAGGTGATCCACTCGCCTCAGCCTCCCAAAGTGCTGGGATTACAGGCATGAGCCATGGTGCCCGGCCTCAGAATTTCATTTTCAACATGTTTTGCATGATGGGTGATTTTGGAGAATATTTTTTGCTCTATCGCAGGATGATTAAGATGTGGACAAGGTGAAGCCGATGGAGGGGGAGCTTTGAAAGTTACTTGCTATTTAATTGAGGAACTAAACTGCTTTGAGAGCCTGGGGGTCAGATCCTCTGCCTTTTCCTCCTCCCCACCTGCAGTGCAAACATCAGACAATTGATCACTATTGTATCTTGGAGGTGGGAGTGACCATTGCAGTGCTGGGACCAGAAGATGGCATTGTATGTGGAACAACAAAGCACTATTTCTAGAGACTGCCTGCAGGGATATGGAAATAGCTTTATGTGTCTCAGAATGTTCTTCATACAGCTGTTTTTATTGGGGAAATTCTACTTGCCGAAAAGTTTGATAGTGAGACCCTCTCCAGTTTGCAGATTTTTCTCCTTCCTGCTCAACAACTTCCTAGCTCAGTAACTGCCTCTCCCAACAAACTCCCTCAGTTTCACCACACCAAAAAAGGAAGACAAGCCGGTTGCGGTGGCTCACACCTATAACCCCAAAACTTTGGGAGGCCGAGGCGGGTGGATCACCTGAGGTCGGGAGTTCGAGACTAGCCTGACCAACATGGAGAAACCCTGTCTCTACTAAAAACACAAAATTAGCCTGGCGTGGTGGCGCATTCCTGTAATCCCAGCTGGGAGGCTGAGGCAGGAGAATCGCTTGAACCCCGGAGGCGGAGGTTGCAGTGAGCCAAGATCGTGCCATTACACTCCAGTCTGGGCAAGAAAAGTGGAACTCCATCTCAAAAAAAAAAAAAAAAAAAACAAGGAAGACAAAAAGAAAAGCAGCTAAAGACTTTGCCTCAGGGGAGAAAGTTCTCTTTTGGGTTGCTATCCACATTCCAACCTCCTGTTCCCACCTCTTCGTCTGCATGCCTAAGAAACTGTTTTACAAGTAAATAAGGGACGCTTTGTCTAGGCTTTGGAGCCAGGAAGTTGAGACAAATTTAGGAATGAGATGAAGTAATGGTATTATTGCAAGTCTCAGGTGTAACTACCTCTGCTCTTTCTCTGAAGAGTTTCTAATTTCTCTTGTTTACTTATTTTTTTCTTGTCATTTTTGTGATTTTATTACTAGTTGTCTCTAATCCTTTCTTTAAATTCTTCATTATGAAACATAAAAACAAATGCCAGGCGCGGCAGCTCACGCCTGTAATCCCAGCACTTTGGGAGGCCGAAGCGGGCAGATCACCCGAGGTCAGGAGTTCGAGACCAGCCTGATCAACATGGAGAAACCCCGTCTCTACTAAAAAATACAAAATTAGCTAGGCGTGGTGGCACATGCCAGTAATCCCAGCTACTTGAGAGACTGAGGCAGGAGAATCGCTTGAACCGGGAGGCAGAGGTTGCGGTGAGCCAAGATCGCGCCATTGCACTCCAGCCTGGGCAACAAGAGCAAAACTCTGTCTCAAAAAAAAAAAACCACATACAAACCAGAGATAATATTATAATGAGCCTCCAAGTGCCTACCACCTTGCTGCAGCACTTGTCAATCCAGGGACCACCCACCTCACCGGCTCCCCACTCATTACCACCCTCCCCTACTCAATTACTGAGGTAAATCCTAGGCAGCATGATCATTTCTTTTTTTTCTTTTTATTTATTTTGAGACAGGATCTGTCTCTGTCACCCAGGCTGGAGTGTAGTGGCATATCTCTGCTCACTGCAGCCTCTGCCTCCCGGGCAGAAGCCATCCTCCCACCTCAGCCTACATAGTAGCTGGGACCACAGGCACACACCACCACACACTGCTAATGTTTTGTATTTTTTGTAGAGACTGGGTTTTACCATGTTGATCAGGCTGGTCTCAAACTCCTAGGCTCAAGCAATCCTCCCACCTCGGCCTCCCAAAGTGCTAGAATTACAGGCGCGAGCCACTGCACCCAGCGAAGAACACTTTTTAAAAAATAAATAGGCCGGGCGCGGTGGCTCACACCTGTAATCCCAGTACTTTGGGAGCCCAAGGAGGGCGAATCATGAGGTCAAGAGATTGAGACCATCCTAGCTAACATGGTGAAACCCCATTTCTACTACAAATACAAAAACAAAATTAGCCTGGCGTGGTGGCAGGCGCCTGTAGTCCCAGCTACTTGGGAGCTGAGGCAGGAGAATGGAGTGAACCCGGGAGGCGGAGCTTGCAGTGAGCTGAGATCATGCCACTGCACTCCAGCCTGGGGCAACAGAGTGAGACTCAAAAAAAAAAAAAAAAAAAGCCCCCCCTCCCCACACACAATAATATAAATAAATAAATAACCACAATACTATTATCACATCTTACAAACTCAACAAAAATTTCTTAATATCATCAAATACCCAGTTTGTGTTCAAATTTTCCTGATTGTTTCATAAATATACTCTTACAGTTGGTTTCTTTTAGCGAGATTCAAATGAGACCCACCTGTTGACCTTTGCCCTTAGGGTTTCCCAGGGTCTGAATTTTGTTGACGACATTCCCATGTTGCTATGTAATACGGTCCTCCATGCCCTGTGTTTTTCTGTAAACTGATAGATGTGGAGGTGCAATGACATTTGTGTTTGATTTACTTTGGCAAATATAGTTCATCAGTGATACTCTATACTTCTTGTTGCTTTACATCCGGAGGCTGATAATGTCTGCTTTTCTCTCTTTTCTAATTATTTGTGAAAGGAAAAATGTGGGGGGTTGGGAGAAAAAAACCCTTAAGTACATACTCGCTAAATCACATTGCTACAGGTAACTTCCATTAAGAACTTGAAAGTAAAGGTAGCTGCATTTTCCCCTAGGGAACACAATGATAGACAGGAGCCTTAGTCTACAGCTTGAAGGATTGTAATTATACCTAAGCAACCCTCCTGGACCAGTTTAATGTTATTAGCTGTGATGTATCCCTACCTTTGATGTCATTATCCTTACTTAGCTCCCTTAAAGCAGAGATCAAGATGAAAAGGGCTTCAGCTGCAGCATGGCACATGGAGATTAGAGTGGGGCTTTTGGATGCTGAGGAGCAGACCTAGAATGGGAAATAGATGGGAGCCACAGAAGTGAAGGTCCCCCTCCCTCATTGCTCAACCTACTCCACATCTCCAGGTCTGCACATCTGTTCAGTTACTGAATCCTGTGTAAGCTACCTTCTTTTTCTTTTTTCTTTTATTTATTTATTTTTTTTTTTTTTGAGATGGAGTTTTGCTCTTGTTACCCAGGCTGGAGTGCAATGGTGCAATCTCGGCTCACTGCACCCTCCAACTCCCAGGTTCATGCAATTCTCCTCCCTCAGCCTTCCAAGTAGCTGGGATTACAGGCTGCACCACCATGTCTGGCTAATTTTTGTATTATCAGTAGAGAGAGGGTTTCACCATGTTGGCCAAGCCGGTCTCGAACTCCTGACCTCAAGTGATCCACCCACCTTGGCCTCCCAAAATGCTGGGATTACAGGTGTGAGCCACCATGCCCGCTGTAAACTACCTTCTTAAAAGCTCTAGAAGAGGGCTCTTAACCTTTTGTTGTGTGTCATGCACCTTCCGCAAGCTGATGAAGTTGATAGACCCATCTCAGAATTTTTTTTTTTTTTTGAGACAGTGTCTCACTCTGTCACCCAGGATTGGTTGCAGTGGCACGATCATGGCTCATTGCAGCCTCCACCTCCCAGGCTCAAGTGATCCTCCTGACTCAGCCTCTTGAATAGCTGAGACCACAGGCTTGTGTCACCATGCCCAGGTAATTTTTAATTTTTTTTCGTAGAGGCAGGGTCTCACATTATGTTGCCCAGTCTGGCCTCGAGAACTCCTGGGCTCAAGCAATCTTCCTGCCTTGGCCTCCCAAAGTGGTGGGATTACAGGGGAGAGCCACCACACCTAGCCAGAAGAATGTTTTAAATACACCAAATAAAACATTTATACCAAAATACAGTTATCAAAATATTAAATTAACAAGAGTTAGGGTGACCCTATTAATTAGTGTAATTTCAAAATAGTAATGAACATAAGTGATAGTTTGAGATTTCTGTGACTTTTCTAATGTGACGTGAAAATATTTGTGATTTTTCTTTTTCTTTTTTTTTTTTGAGATGGAGTTTCGCTCTTGTTGCCCAGGCTGGAGTGCAATGGCAAGATCTCGGCTCACCTCAACCTCCGCCTCCTGGGTTCAAGCGATTCTCCTGCCTCAGCCTCTTGAGTAGCTGGGATTACAGGAATGTGCCACCACGTCCAGCTAATTTTGTATTTTTAGTAGAAACAGGGTTTCTCCATGTTGGTCAGGCTGGTCTTGAACTCCCAACCTCAGGCGATCCGCCCGCCTCGGCCTCCCAAAGTGCTGGGATTACAGGTGTGAGCCACCGCACCTGGCCAATATTTGTGATTTTTATTGACGACAAAGTCAAAGGTTCTCTTCATATTATTGTGGTGTATCGCCTACAAGCATAATTAAAATAAACACTAAATTTCAGTTTAAAGTTTACTGAAAATAAATATGTATTTTTTATTCCCTATTTAAGCTTTGAATCCCCTGACTTCCTATACCATTACCACTGTCCTAGTTCAGGTTCATGTTGTTTTTTACTTTAATTGTTATCACAGTCTCTTAACATTTCTCCCTATGTTCTCCAGTCCTGTAGGTGCTAAATCTGACGTGGTCACTTCTCAGCTTGGAATCCTTCAGTGCACCACCACAGCCTTGAACTACATATTTGAAATACATATTTATTTTCAGTAAACTTTAAACTGAAATTTAGTGTTTATTTTAATTATGCTTGTAGGCGATACACCACAATAATATGAAGAGAACCTTTGACTTTGTCGTCAATAAAAAGTCCCTTGAGGGACTTCAGATGTAAGTCCCTTAGCTGCTCGTTAAAACTCCCCCAGCCTGACCCAATACACAATCTTGACTTTAAACCACTTGTCATTCTAAATCACTAGCATTTCCTGGAAAAAAAAGCCATTTTTCCTTCAGGGCTAAGCTCAGGGACCAATTCTGTGTCACCTTCTTTGAATCCTGATGATATTCACTTCTTTATTTGACCTGATTTATTGGGCCCCAGACACCATGCTGAGTGTTGGGGATTCAGCTCTGGACAATGTCAAATGTCAGTCCTGCCTTTCAGATCCTTTCTACTGGGTGAGCCCTGGAGTGCTGGTTCTCCTCGCGGTGCTGCCTGTGCTCCTCCTGCAGATCACTGTTGGCCTCGTCTTCCTCTGCCTGCAGTACAGACTGAGAGGTACAGGGCAGAGGGTGGGTGGATCAGGATCCTTTCTTTAAATGAGCTGGCTTCTTGGAGCTACACCACTTAACATGTATTTGTGAGTGACTTCTGGGTTCAGAAGTTCTTCTCACTATTGAGTGATAAAGAAAAAAAATAACTCCATGATGAAAGAGTTTTACATCTTACGGAATGCTTTCATATGAATAATCGGACCTAGCATTTCCCTATGAGCTAACTATGCCATATAGTAACCCCATTTTACAGAGGATACAACTGAGGCCAGGAGTAGTTCAGTGACTTACTCAAACCGATATAACTTATAAGTGGTAGAGCTGAGGCCTCTGTATCATACCTAGCAGCTCCATGCAACTTGGGAGAGTGTGAGCTTCGAAGTCAGACAGGTCTAGGCTATTAGGAGTTTTGAATAAAGATACTGAAGTGAAAGTCTCTACCACACAGTAGGCGTTCGAAAATTGTTTCCTCTTTCTCCATTCAACACTGAGGACTCAGGTTCAGCTGCTGATGAAGCTCCTCTTTTTTGCCTAGAGCTTTCATTCTGAGCCTTCTCCTCCTACCAAGTGTCTCCCCAATGCCAGAGCAGGAAGAGTCTTCACTCCTCCCCATGCCCCACCTCCCATTTGTTACTAAGAGGAGAGGAGAAAGTAGCAAGGAGGGTATGGGGAATGTTCTGGGGGAATGGGTGTTGGTGCGATCAACAACAAAGTCCTTTCTCTCACCTTGAATTCATCCCAGATGCCTGCTTGTTTACTTCTTCCACACAAAAAAAGGCCTTCAGCCCTCATGGCTGAGCAGAAAGAATCTGAATGTTAGAGTCAGGCAGCCTGGGTTTGAATTCCATCTCAGGTACTGAACTCTATAGCAAAATTCTTAGATTCTCCAAGCTTCAGTTGCCTTGTCTGTCAAATAGAGAAAACATCCTTCGTCCTAAATTGTAGGGAGGATTAAAGTCATGCAAAGTGCCTACTACAAATCCAGTCACAAAGTAGCTAGCTACTCACTAAATGTTCAGCTCCTCCCTCCTCATTCAGATGGGAAGTGGCTTTAGATAAACAAAGTGGCAACGCAGTGGGCTGGAGCAGCTCTGTGAACTGAGAATCCAAGAAAAGGGGCGAAGAGCAGCTGGGATGTATTGGATGCTTGTGCTGGCTTGGAGCATTGCTCACATTCTTTATTCGCTATTGTATCTAGACTATAGCTAGAGAAAGAGCCGCAACCATTGGCTTTAAATCCAGTGCTCTTCCTACTCTCCTGAGGTTGTTTCCAGGCTGCAGAGAAATAGCCTGCACAAGGGGCCCAGGCGCTGGGTGTGGGAGGGTCCCCACCGAGAGCCAGAACATGCAGGAACTAAAATGTTGCCTTTTTCTATTTTAGGAAAACTTCGAGCAGAGATAGGTGAGTTCCAGTCATCGTTTCTCCCAATTCTTGCCTTTTGGTTTTTTGGCATAACGGAAATGGTCCCGTTCTTGGACCGTCTCTCCCTCTCAATACCCTGTTTTCCCCTCAGTTTCCCTTTCTCTACAGTGGGTGTGTCGTGCCTAGAACAAGTTTTAAGTAATTAAATAACAAAGACTCAGGATAAAAGATCCTTTTTGAGTGCCCTACTAAATCCATTTCCATTTGTTTCTCTTTCAGAGAATCTCCACCGGACTTTTGGTAAGTTCCGGCATGTCTAGGCCCTCCCAGGTCAACTTGGTATTTCACTCTAGTTCCAGTCACCTGGGGGAACAAGGACCCCTGGCTCCTGGTTGAGTCCCTTCCTCTCTTCTCTTTTCTTTCTTTAAATAAGAAGTCATTTGCATTTAGGATTGGTAAAATCATAATAAAAATACTCATGTACTGTTTTTATGTGCCAGGCACTATTCTAACTACTTTACAAAAACGTTATCTTATTCTGTTTAACTCCTTATGCACATGATCTCTCTTTTCAGGAATGGCAAAACAGAGGTAAATAGATCGTTTACACGTAAACCTGATGTCTGGTTGGGGAGGTGAAACAAACAGAAACAAGACACAACTGTATCACCTGTACTTATATTTCTGCTTTACAAACTCAGGATGTTTCCATGAGTACAGAACATGACTAATCAGAGAAGACCTCATAGAGGAATAGAAAAGCCACCAAGCCCCACTAGGAATTGACCCCTCAAGGACATGGTTTCTAGCCTTTTTGTTCACTGCAGATTGCCCAATGCCTAAAGATAATGGCAACAGAAGAGCACCCAAATATTTGTTAGATAAATGTTGCAGACACTAGAAGGTGTCATTAGGGCACAGATGGTACCTTCTCTGAGCAAACTTCCTTCACAGCTCCTCCTCCCGAGGCTGTAGGTGACTCTACTCTTGTCACCTGGCACACAGAGTTCTATCGTACGATTTAGGAAATTAGACCAGTGTGTGGACCACACACACACACATCTTTACACACCCAAAGAGGAGGAATAGTATCTTTGTTTTGGAGGACTTGACTATGAAAGGTCTTAACTCCTTTTTGTACCATGAATCTCTCTGGCACTCCAGTGAAGTCTAAAGGACCCCTTTGCAGAATGTTTTTAAATATACACATAAAATAGAACACATAGGATTGCAAAAACAATCATTGTACTAAAATACAGTTATCAACCGATAATCACATTTGTGATATAGTAACATAAATGTTTCTTTTTTTTTTTTTTTGAGGCAGAGTTTTGCTCTTGTCACCCAGGCTGGAGTGCAATGGCGCGATCTAGGCTCACTGAAACCTCTGCCTCCCGGGTTCAAGCGATTCTCAGCCTCCTGAGTAGCTGGGATTACAGGTGCCCGCCACCACACCCAGCTAATTTTTGTATTTTTAGTAGAGACTAGGTTTCACCAGGTTGGCCAGGCTGGCCTCGAACTCCTGACCTCAGGTGATCCACCTGCCTTGGCCTCCCAAAGTGCTGGGATTACGGGCATGAGCCACCGTGCCCGGCCATAAATATTTCTTTAGCCAAAGTAATACATTAAGTAATGTAGCAGCAAGTCTAATAACCTGTAATTTCTTTCTTTCTTTCTTTCTTTCTTTTTTTTTGAGATGAAGTTTTTTTGAGATGGAGTGCAATGGCACAATCTCGGCTCACTGCAACCTCCACCTCCTGGGTTCAAGCGATTCTCCTGCCTCAGCCTCCCAAGTTGCTGGAACTACAGGCGCATGCCACCATGCCCAGCTAATTTTTGTATTTTTAGTAGAGACGGGGTTTCACCATGTTGGCCAGGCTGGTCTTGAACCCCTGACCTCAGGTGATCTGCCTGCCTTGGCCTTCCAAAGTGCTGGGATTACAGGCATGAGCCACCAGGCCCAGCCCAATAACCTTTAATTTCAACATACTAATAAACATAAACAGTATTTCAAGATTTCTGCAATAACTCTAATGGGAATGAAAACATCTGTGGCTTCCATTGGTAATTAAGTCACAGGTACTGCTCATATTGTGGTTAGTTGTAAAATGTTTTGGTTTGTTTTGTTTTTTCCAAGACTTGGGGGAATGGGTGTTGGTGGGATCAACAAGAGTCTTGCTCTGTGGCCCAGGCTGGAGTGCAGGGGCAGGATCTTGGCTCACTGCAACCTCCGCCTCCCAGGTTCAAGCGATTCTCCTGCCTCAGCCTCCTGAGTAGCTGGCATTACAGGCATGTGCCACCACGCCCAGCTAATTTTTACATTTTTAGTAGAGATGGGGTTTCACCATGTTGGCCTGGCTGGTCTTGAACTCTTGGCCTCATGATCCACCCGTCTCGGACTCCCAGAGTGTTGGGATTACAGGCATGAGCCACCACACCTGGCAGTTGTTACATTTTTAATGAAAGAAAATGTTAAATCCAGTTATTGAAAATAAGGAGGCAGTACTTTTCTCATCCAAGTTCATGGACTTTCTGAATTTTGTCCCCAGAGTCCTTTGGTGTTCTAGGACCCCAGGTTAAGGAACCAAAAAAGACAGGTGGGTGGGGCATGAGGGGGAACACATGTTAACCCTGTTTGTTCTGGTGAACAATTCAGATCCCCACTTTCTGAGGGTGCCCTGCTGGAAGATAACCCTGTTTGTAATTGTGCCGGTTCTTGGACCCTTGGTTGCCTTGATCATCTGCTACAACTGGCTACATCGAAGACTAGCAGGTGCAGTGGCTGGGCAGCAGGCAAGACCACCAAATAGTGGGGGACCAAGTCAGCTCTGAATGGGAAGCCAAAAGAGAATAGAACCAGGACTCAAGATTAGGGGAGCTGGGATTTCCTTATTCCTCTGTCCCCATGCCCAACCCCAGGCTCTTCTGAGAAACTGTGAAGAGAACCACTTACTGGATCTGTGGGATCCCCCAGTGGAAAGGGCAGTGTGGGTCACTCCAAATGTCCATAGGGAGGATGTGGGGAAGGTGCTATTCATCTTCCACTAATCACATATTTGTTTCTTTTTGTTTTCAGGGCAATTCCTTGAAGAGCTACGTAAGTTCTCTTCTCTCTGTTATAAGCAGAGAATAAAAAGCCAGGAAAGGGAGACAGAAGCAACAAGAGGAAGAGGCGGGCTATTGAGGGATCACATTCCCAGAGGAAAGGAGGAGCTGGAGAGCCTGGGTGGAGGGAAGACTCCTCCTGGGAGGTAGAGGGCAAAGAAGCCAGCTGTTAGAGACACATTTACAGGTGGCAGAGAAGCTGGAGGCACTCCTATCTGCCACCTGATCCATTCCTCCTTCACTGCCCCTAAGCAGGAATCCAACCCTAGCTGGTCTCATTGCCCATTCCACAGCAACTGCCCAGTGCCTCACCTCTCAGATCAACCATTGAGGCAGGAATGGAGACAAGATGACCCCAAGGGCTTTTCTTCTCCCTAGTTCAATGGTTTTATGATACAAACTACTGACATACGTTTTTCAAGTTATTTTCTCCTTCTTCTAGGAAATCCCTTCTGAGTGATGTCACATCTTGGCAGGGGTGGAGGAGAGCCTGGTTGCCCAGGGATTTGTCCTTGGGGACATCTCATCCATCAAGTTGCACACTCACTGGCATCTTTGCTATGGGGACATTCCAATTTGCACTTTCAGGAACACTCTGAATTCCAAGTAGAATTGATTTCCCTTCTTCTGTCATCTACCTTTTCTCTTCATTTTCCCATTTTTATTACCCTTCTTTCCATTTCTCTCTCCAGTCTTCCACCTGGAAGCCCTCTCTGGCTAAGGACAGGCAGGTGCCCCTCTCTCCATCAGAGGACACCTGTACTGGAGAGCAACACAGGATGGTCTCTGCCATGAACTGGAGGCCAGGAATCTCCTCACTGAAAATTACAGTATGGTAACTTTGCAAATGGTGGTTGTTTCTTCCAAGACTCCAGCCCTGATTGCGCAAAACTGAAAGGCATGTGAAGGGAAGGAAGAGGAAGAGTGCAAAACATTGAAGAGAGAGCTGAGTGAGCTGAAGAGTGAGGATATGAGTAGCCCCAACCCAAACCTGGAGATGGGGAGAAACCTACAGAATACTAGCCAGAGCTCCTCCTTGTCTTGGCAGCCTACTAGGGACCTGGGGAAGCAAAAACGAAAGCTGGGCAACATGCCTGCTTTAGAATGTTTTCCTTCTACTTACACATCTTCCACAGGTCTCAGAATCTTTCCTTCCTCTCATCCTTTTCTCCTATCTTCATATCTATCAGAGTATCCACTGTTTATTCAACAACTACTACTTGATGGTCAGACACAAACAAACAAGCTAGGTGCTAATTAATAAAGATACGAGTTTTGGCCGGGTGCGGTGGCTCACGCCTGTAATCCCAGCACTTTGGGAGGCCGAGGCGGGCGAATCACGAGGTCAGGAGTTCAAGACCAGCCTGGCCAACATGGTGAAACCCCATCTCTACTAAAAATACAAACAATTAACTGAGCATAGTGGTGGGCACCTATAATACCAGCTACTCCGGAGGCTGAGGCAGGAGAATCGCTTGAACCCAGGAGGCAGAGGTTGCAGTGAGCTGAGATCGCGCCACTGCACTCTAGCCGGAGTGACAGAGTAAGACTCTGTCTCAAAAATAAATAAATAAATAAATAAATAAATAAATAAATAAATAAATAAATAAATAAAAAATAATAATACAAGTTTTCATAAGCACACTTCTAACCCCTTGTCTTTTATGTATTTCCTTCCTTATCCACGCACCTGTCTCCCTCTACTCCAGCCTCATTACCCCAGAGGTCAGTCCTCAGGAAAACTAAACACAAAGAAAGAGCTCAGTCAGAAAGGCCATTTATTTATGTTTCAAGATGCTCACTGCCTCCTTTGTTTTGTCTCCTTTGCAGGCCTTCTCTCTTAGGCCTCTTCTCCTGGGGGTATGGATCCTGGGGGGAGATTGATCACCTCCATGCTTCCATTCCTCCCCAGCCATAGTGGGGACATCATGAGAGAAGCCAAGCCACTGGCCCAGGATCACCCGGCATTTATGGTGGCTGCTCTGGCACAGGTCCTTGCCTTTATAGCCCCTCCAGTGATCCATAAGGCCCTCTTTCTCCCCAAAGGAGAGGTCACAGATAGGGCAAAGGTAGCTCTTCTGCTTCCAGTGGGTCTGCTGGTGTCTGACCAGCCTGGAAAATGAGCTGAAAGACTTGCTGCAATGGAAGCAGTAGTTGGGCGGCTCTGTGAGGTGGGCCTTCTGGTGTCTGGAGAGATAGGATTTCTTGCTAAAAGTCAAAGAACAATGGGGGCAACAGAAGACATTGAGTCTTGAGGGCTTCACTGGATGAGAGTTGGATCTGGCATCCTGACAGAGGGTTCCAGTGATGGGTGCCTGGGTCCTGGTCACAGGTGCTTGGTTCTTAAGTACAGATGCCTGGTTCTGGGCCATAGGACCCTCAGTTCTAAATATGGGTTCCTGGGACCTGGCCACTGGTGCATGGTTCACATCCAAAAGCCCCTGGATGGACCTCTGGCTTCTGGCGATGGGTGTCTGGAATTCAGCCTGGGTGCCTGGAATCCTCAAAGTACACTCCTGGTTTCCATCCACTGGCTCCTGGTTTTGGTGTATCTTCTGGTGGCGTTTGAGCTCAGACTGGTCCCGGAAGCTCTTCCCACACACAGAGCATGAATGGGGCCGGTAACCCAGATGGACGCGGCGGTGACGACTTAGTCCAGAAGCATCACAGTAGGTCTTGTCACAGAGCGTGCAACAGAAGGGCCTCTCCCCAAGATGCATGCGTCTGTGATAGCTGAGGGACTTGGGGCTCCGAAACAACTTCCCACACTGACTGCAGCTGTTAGTCAGCTTGGGATTGTGAACAAACTGGTGGCTATAGAGGTAGGAGCGCCTGCTGAAACATTTGCCACAGGTGTAGCAAAAAAAGGGTGGCCCAGCCTGGGATGCTTGAAGCACCCGGGTCCTGTCCATAGTCCCAGCTGGGGCAGATAGGGGGCACTGGCCGGCCCCTCTGCATGCAAGGAAGACCTTGTCATCACTAGTCCCCTCATCTCTCAGACTGGGATGTTGTTCTCGAAGCTCTTTCTTCTTGCCTTCTACAGTGAATGAGGAAGAATAACACAAAATTCACTGTAAGAACTCCAACAGAGGCTTGGCATGGTGGCTCACACCTGTAATCCCAGCACTTTGGGAGGCCAAGGCCAGCGGATCACCTGAGGTTAGGAGTTCGAAACCAGCCTGACCAACATGGTGAAACCCTGTCTCTACTACAAATACAAAAATTAGCTGGGCGTCATGGCATCTGCCTGTAATCTCAGCTACTAGGGAGACTGAGGCAGGACAATCACTCGAACCCGGGAGGCGGAGGTTGCAGTGAGCCAAGATGGTGCCACTGCACTCCTGCCTGGGCAACTAGAGTGAAACTCTGTCTCAAAAAAAAAAAAAGAAAGAAAGAAAAAGAAGAAGAAGAAGGAGAAGGAGAAGAAGGAGAAGGAGAAGAGAAGGAGAAGAAGAAGAAGAAGGAAGAAGAAGAAGAAGAAAAGAAAAGAAGAAGAAGAAGAAGACGAAGACGAAGAAGAAGAAGAAGAGGAAGAAGAAGAACTCCAACACAGCACTCCATTCAGCCTAACACACTTCTTGTCTCTGCCCTTGCTCTCCCACCCAACACATTCATCCTTACCCTTGGGCCTCATAGGCTAGAAATAAGAAGAAAAAAAGAAAAAATTGGCTTTTCAAATTAGAAGCAAATAAAAAGTTAACTGGAATCTTTCAACACTGTCAGAAATGTAAATTTTAACTTACAACAACACTTCTTGAAATCTATCTTATCTCATTCTCAATATTGCTCAAACTCCCATAGACAATCCACAGACACCCACATAATAATGCATCATGAACACTGGGCCACTTGAGGGTGAAAAGAGGTGTTATTAATAATCAAGCTGGGATGAGAAGTATAAACCAGGACTGTCCTGGAAAACCAAAAAGTGTATCAGCCTGGCTTGATATCTCTCTCAACTATTTACTACCAGGGACAAGCCTCCCTTACTCCAACCCAGCATGAAACCTATCTCCTTTGCTTCTCTTTTCTCTTGGAAAGAACATTTTAATCAGAGCACTATCATGGACATAAGCAACTTTCATGTCATCTCTCAATCTCTAGAAACTGAAGACATCTACTTCTCCTGAAAGACTTAGATCTTCAGCCAGCCAGGCACGGTGGCTCATGCCTGTAATCCCAGCACTTTGGGAGGCCGAGGTGGATGGATAACCTGAGGTCAAGACATCAAGACCATCCTGGCCAACATGGTGAAACCCTGTCTCTACTAAAAATACAAAAATTATCTGGACACGGTGGCACATGCCTGTAGTCCCAGCTACTCGAGAGGCTGAGGCAGGAGAATCGCTTGAACCCGGGAAGTGGAGGTTGCAGTAAGCCAAGATTGTGCCACTGCACTCCAGCCTGGCAACAGAGCGAGACTGTGTCTCAAAAAAAAAAAAAAAAAAAAGAGAGAGAGAGAGAGAGACTTGGATCTTCAACTTGAAAACTTGAAGTCAAGGGACTTGAGCCTATGATATTAAGCTCTCTTTCAACTCCAAGTCTGACCAGGCTGGACAGAGGTACACTAGGAGAGCATCTATAGAGCATTCATCCTCTTCATCAGCTCTCCATCCTTTCAGGGGTTATCCTGGGCCCTTTTCCCCTTCCTCCCTGCTTGGCAATTCTTACCTGAAAGGCCTTCTGTGTTTGGGAGATGGACAAACTCTCTCCACTGTTCCTCTTCTTGCTCAAGCTTGGTGATTAGCTCTGGCTTATGCAGAAAGATTCTGGCTGATGTGTGGGAATGAGAAAGAGTTGAGTTGGTCCCAGGTATGGCCCCTTCACATCTGATGGGGACAACAGGCTACCTCCTGTAGCCTTTGTTTAAGAACCATAACCTGGGACATGTAGATGCGGAAAGGAGACATTAAAAGGCCAGCTGCTAGCAAAGTACCTGGTTCTCAGGAGTGACTTAGTAAATATTTGTTTGATGAATGGAAAAATTTGCATATTTTGAGAACACTGTCATCATGTTACAAGTGTTATCTTTGCCTTCATGCAGGCTATCATTTCTTCTCTTTACCACTGAGCTTAGTGACTCAGATCTTTCACACCTGGAAAGCATAGAACCAGGGGTCAGTGAAACTAATTGTAAGCTGATCTACCTGTCCAGGGAAACCAGATGTTCCAGGGCCCTTAGGACAGGGGGCTTGCTGAGGGAAGCCCAGCCTCTTACCCACAGATGTTAGATTCTTAAAGGTTTCCGACATAACATCCTGGTAAAGGACCCTCTGGCTGGCATCTAGACAGTCCCACTCTTCCTGGGTGAAATTCACTGCCACATCCTCAAAGGTGACTGGCTTCTGGAAGAACAGGAGAGACTCAAGAAGTTTATATAAATATGTGTGTGTGTGTGTGTGTGTGTGTGTGTGTGTGTGTGTGTGTGTACAAGATTAACATCCAGTCTCAAGATTCAGAGAATTAAAACCTAAGAGAAAGATAAAACCATGGAAGGAAGAGAGAAATATTAAAAGACAGACACAAGGCCAGCAACTGTGAAGTATAGAAAGGAAAGGAGGCCGGATGCGGTGGCTCACGCCTGTAATCCCAGCACTTTGGGAGGCTGAGGCAGGCAGATCACGAGGTCGGGAGTTCGAGACCAGCCTGACCAATATGGTGAAACCTGGTCTCTGCTAAAAACACAAAAATTAGCTGGGCATGGTGGCGCATGCCTGTAATCCCAGCTACTCAGGAGGCTGAGGCAGGAGAATTGCTTGAGCCCGGGAGGCAGAGGTAGCAGTGAGCCAAGATCGCGCCACTGCACTCCAGCCTGGGTGACAGAGCGAGACTCCATCTCAAAAAAAAAAAAAAAAAGAAAAAAAATAAAGGAAAGGAAAGATGAAGAGAAAGGGAGAAAGATAAGATGTGGGGGAGAGGAAAGAGGATATGCAGATATGCAGAATATAAACAGGAAAGCAAAGCGAAGGAAAAAATGCTGCCACTCTAACAAATTTCAGGAAGTACTCCATGAAGGATGCCAGGATGGTGTGGGAGATGGAGAAAGGTCTTGCAGCTCCTTTTTCTGGATGTCGTTCAGTCTGGAACAATCTGAGATTTCATTTGACCTGCAGGCAGGAGTATGTATGAAAGAGCTCCTGGAGTCCAGGACCTGGACCCCATCTCTCTCTAGCTTAGTCTCCTCACCTTCTTCACCCGTGCCTCCCTCCAGCAATCTCTCTTCATGGCTTCCTGCAGGGTGGCAGCTACCTCGCCCACCCATGGGAGCGTCTTCTGTACAGGTTCGATTGGCTTCAGCTGTTCAAACATCTTCTCTTCTGTGGTGTCTCTTTCTAGCTTTATCCACTCCTGGCCTGGTGCCCAGGCCTGACTGGATTCCTTCCTGGGGCTATCTACCTCCCAGTAACTGGGCAGATGGAGAGGCCCAGCAAAGGCCCCAGGGTTTGATGTGGCTTCCTGTGACAAATGTATCTGCTCCAAGAGGCTGTCTTCCTTTTTTGTTCTGCTGTCCAAATTCTCCTCTTCCACAATTGAGAACAATTTTGCTTCCCTCAAAGCTGGGCCACAGAGTTCAGGGCCCTGGTCACCCTTGGCTCACCAGCTGCCATTGTTTAGTAACAACACCAGCCTGGGCTAGGTGTCTGCCCTCTGTTCTACCCTGCTTCTAGAAACCTGAGGTCAGAGAAAAACAAAACATATCAGCAAGAGGGAGGGTAAGAAACAGCTTCCTTATTTGGTCAGGGAATGCCAGCAGTTACTAAACCCCTACAGTGTGCCACTGGATGCTCTCAGCAATGAGGTAACAATTACTGGCCCTGTCTTAAGGACCTAATGCAGAGATGCTAAATAATTTTCCAAGGACAAGTGGACATTCTTGATCTACAAAAGTTAATGTTTAAACCTAATGTTAATGTTAGACTCAGTACCATTGGAAATCATGTAGCTGGGGTAACCAGGCTAGGATCTGTCACAGATCACCTCGAGTGAGTCTCTTTATTCTTTCTGACTTGGTTTCATCAGAAATGTGAGAATAAAGGAGACACTCTCTAAGATCTCTTCCATGACCAAAATTATACATACACACACACACACACACACACACACACACACACACACACACAATTCTGTGATCTGGATTTTCAATACATGTAGTAGTTCCACTTTATCATGGTTTTGCTTTTCAATGCTTCAGTTACCCATGGTCAACCATGGTTCAAAAATATTAAATGAAAAATTCCGGAGGACAGGCACAGTGGCTCACACCTGTAATCCCAGCATTTTGGGAGGCTGAGGTAGGCAGATCATCTGAGGTCAGGGGTTCGAGATCAGCCTGGTCAACATGGTGAAACCCTGTCTCTACTAAAAATACAAAAAGAAAATAGCTGGGCATAGTGGCACACATCTGTAATCCCAGCAACTCAGGAGGCTGAGGCAGGAGAATCACTTGAACCCTGGAGGTGGACGTTGCCATGAGCCAAGACTGTGCCACTGCACTCCAGCCTGGGACATAGAGCGAGACTCCGTCTCAAAAAAAAATCCAGAGATAAACAATTCCTAAGTTTTAAATTGCTTGACATTCTGAGTAGTGTGATGAAATCTTGTACCTTTTCTCTCTGGCCTGCCCAGGATGTGAATCATCCCTTTGACTAGCATATCCACACTGCAGACAATACCTGCCCATTAGTTCCTTAGTAGCTAGCCATCTCAGTTATCAGGTTGACTACTGTAGTATAGCAGTTGCCTGTGCTCAAGAATGCCTTATTTTACTTAATAATGACCCAAAAGCACAAGAGTAGAGACGCTGGAAATTCAGATATGCAAAGAGAAGCCATAAAATAAAAAGGTAAAAATTCTTGTCTTAAGGAAAGAAAAAATAATCATATGCTGAGGTTGCTAAGATTTACAATATAAATTATTTTGAGAGAGATACCACATTCATACAACTTTTATTACAATATATTGCTGTAATTGTTCTTATTACTAGTTATTGTTGTCAATCTCTTACCATGCCTAATTTGTAAATTAAACTTTATCATTATTATGTATGTATAGAAAAAGAAAACCATAGTGTATACAGGGTTTGGTACTATTCATGGTTTCAAAGTATCCACTGGGGTGGGGCGCGGTGGATCACTTCAGGGCAGGAATTTGAGACCAGCCTGGCCAACATGGTGAAACCCCGTCTCTACTGAAAATACAAAAATTAGCTGGGCGTGGTGGCACGCTGTAGTCCCAGCTGCTCAGGATGCTGAGGCAGAATTACTTGAACCCGTGAGGTGAAGGTTGCAGTGAGCCAAGACTGTGCCACTGTACTCCAGCCTGGGTGACAGAGCGAGATTCTGCCTCAAACAACAACAAAAACCAAAGTATCCACTAGAGCTCTTGGAACATATCACCTGTGGATAAGGGGAACCACTGTATACACAGATCTTTGTGAAGAATACTGCTAACAACCCAAGAGCAATCACTTATTCAGGGCTCACAATGAGCCCAGCACTGGAGTTCCCTGCTCATCCTTGGAAATTTCCTGCTCAGATGCAAACATAGCTGAACTCTCACCTTTTCCTGCTGACAGCCACTCACCCACATCTCCCTTACTAGAGATAGAAAGAAAAGAATAAAGACCAAAAAACCCTGTTGACTATTTTTTCCTTTCACTTTTTGAGAAGTGTTAATAGAACTGAAAATACCAGCAAGGAAAAACGCCCTCGAGGAATAGAGTTAATTGGATCTCCAAAATGTTGTCATGAAAGGTGCATTCCTGGGATATGAATTTGATTTCCTTCCTTTCTTCCTCTCTCTTTCTTTCCTCTCTCTCCCTTTCCTTTCCTGTCTTTCAAAACCATTCGCACTCCTTTTATGAGGCATGCAGATCTTGGATTATTCTTCCACTTTCCAGCCAACTGCACTTCAAAACAGCCTTAATAAGGCTGGGCACGGTGGCTCAGCCTGTAATCCCAACACTTGGGGAGGCCGAGGCGGGCGGATCACCTGAGGTCAGGAGTTTGAGACCAGCCTGACCAACATGGACCTCGTCTCTACTAAAAATACAAAATTATCCCGGCGTGGTGGCGCATGCCTGTAATCGCAGCTACTAGGGAGGCTGAGGCAGGAGAATCGCTTGAACCCGGGAGGCAGAGGTTGCGGTGAGCGGAGATCGCGCCATTGCACACCAGCCAGGGAAACGAGAGTGAAACTCCGTCTCAAAAACAAACAAACAAACAAACAAAAAACGCCTTAGTAACAGTGCCCTCAAGAACCTGGCCTTCCAGTTCTCTGGCAGAGAAGACCTACTGCTGCCGCTAGTCCTCAAGATGGCATTTGCTGGAGGCGGTAGGCAGAGGCCCTAAGTGTGGATTCTAACCCCCGTGGGGACTGAATCTCTGCGGCTGTTGCTTGCCCAGGCACGTTTGCCTCCCATGAACTTCCTTCATCCACAGGGCCCCAAACCTCATGCCGGCGGGAGGAGGAAGGAGACTGGGCATAACTCATCAGACTTTCGACTGTAAGAGCTGGAGGCCGCCTGCGGGCTTATCTGTACCCGGGCCTGTCCCCACCCTTCCAGAATGTAAATCCTCTGAGGGAATGTGTCGTCGCCATCTTTCAGTCCTTTGAGTGCACCCAGTCTCTCTCCAACCCAAAACCCTTTATCCACGGCAATTGTGAGAATGATAAGAATCCCCCTCACCCCTCACACCGCAAACAGTTGCAATGCTTAGTGGGATTCACCCTTGTTGTCACCAACCCTGCTACTCCAGCCACGTGAGTTTTCCGCCTGTCAGCCAAGCAAAATGGCCTTCCTGCAGTCGCACGGCCCTTTGGTCTCTGCTCAGGGCTTCGGGGACCCTTTCCAGCCATTGCCCTGCACCTACCCACCAGATCGCCGCCCTGGTGGGCGCTCCTGGCCCTGTCCCCCGCGCTTAGTTTGTCATTGCGCGCCCAGATCCGGAACCCCAGCCTCGAAGCTTCCGGTGGCCGGGAACAAAGCCGGTTTTGCTCACTGTTGCCTGGCAAAGCAGGCGCTTGTTAGCACCCACTGAATACGCTTATGTGCTCAGAAACGGTCCCATTGGTTGGGACTACCTTCCCCGATGCCCATCTGCCCAGAATCTTCCTTCTGGGATGCCGACTTTTTCAACACGTGCCAGGAGCCCTTCCTCGGCCCGGAATCCCCAGAGTGCCCACAGTGGACAGGGCACCTGGATACACCCCAGACTAACCCACGTTTCCCCGGAGGACCCCAGAGGTTGGAAGCCCCTCCAAGATTAGGGGCGCAGTGCTCCCCTGGCCTGCGGAAGAGTCAGAGGAGTGGGGACAACATCCAACATCAGCCTCTACTACCGCTAGCGCGACTCCCCGCCGCCGCTCTACTCACCTGACGCGCGCAGTGGACCGCGATTTAGGGGCACAGGGTCTCCCGGGGACCAGCGGCTGGAGCGCTCCGGCCGAGCACCCGCAGTCCCGGCGCCGCGGCCCCGCCCCGGCCCCGCCCTCTTCCGCTCCCTCCCAGTCATCAGGCCACCGAGAATGTGCCCCTTGACCCAGATGAGAGGGTGAGCCCGCCAAGGTCAAGCTTCCCATCCTAAGAATCACAGACAGCCCGGCCATGCACCACCACTTCGAGCCTCCGACCAACTGATAGCTGCTGGTCCCAAGTAGCGCTAGGATTTTCGCTTTCCCAGTCTTAATTGACTCTAAAAGAAGAAGAAAAAAAAGCCTGGGCGCGATTGCTCACACCTGTAATTCCGGCACTTTGGGAGGTCGAGGCTGGTGAATTACCTGAAGTCAGGAGTTCAAGACCACCCTGGCCAACATGGCGAAACCTCGTCTCTACTAAAAGTACAAAAATTAGCCAGGCGTGGTGGCGGGCGCCTGTAACCCCAGCTACTCAGGAGGCTGAGGCAGGAGAATCGCTTGAATCCGGGAGGTGGAGGTTGCAGTGAGCCCAGATCACGCCACTGCACTCCAGCCTGGGCAAAAAGAGTGAAACTCCATCTCAAAAAAAAAAAAAAAAAAAAAAAAAGAGGAAAGTATTTACGAAAAAAAAAAAAAAAGACCAAAGTATTATGATTAAAACACGCGGCCGAGAGCGGTGGCTCACACCTGTAATCCCAGCACTTTGGGAGGCTGAGGGGGCGGATCACCTGAGGTCAGAAGTTCGACCTCAGCGTGGCCAATATGGCGAAACCTTGTCCCTATTAAAAATACAAAAGTTAGCCGGTGGTGGTGACGCACACCTGTAATCCCAGCTACTTGGGAGACATTGCCGTTACTGGGCAAGTGTTCTTTCAAGAGCATCTTATCTGAATTACTATAGTACTAAAGAATGTCTAGGCTGGGCCCCCGTGGCTCACTCCTGGAATGCTAACACTTTGGGAAGCTGAGGAGGGAGGATTGCTGGAGGCCAGGAGTTCAAGACCAACCTGGGCAACATAGCAAGACCCTTTCTCTAGAAAAAATGAAAACAACTTGGCCAGGTGTGGTGGTACATGCCTTTAGTCCTAGGTGCTTAGGAGGTTGAGGTGGGAGGATTGCTTGAGCTCAGGAGTTTGAGGTTACAGTGAGCTATGATTGCACCACTGCATTCCAGCCTTGGCAATGGAGTGAGGCCCTATTTCTAAACAGAACAAAAAAAAAGAATGCCTGCTGATAAACCTTGTGACAGGACATTCATGAAGGATGAAGAAAAGATTTCTTTTATTTTTTTATTTTTATTTTTTTGAGACAGAGTCTCGCTCTGTTGCCCCGGCTGGAGTGCAGTGGCGCCATCTCAGCTCACTGCAACCTCCAACTCCTGAGTAGCTGGGATTACAGGTGCGTGCCACCATACCCGGTTAATTTTTTTTTTTTTTTTTTTTTTTTAGTACACACAGGGTTTCACCATGTTGGTCAGGCTGGTCTCAAACTCCTGACCTCATGATCTGCCTGCCTCAGCCTCCCAAAGTGCTGGGATTACAGGCGTGAGCCACCGCGCCCGGCTAGAAAAGATTTCTTTCTTTTTTCTTTTTTTTTTTTTAATTATACTGTAAGTTTTAGGGTACATATGCACAACATGCCGGTTAGTTACATATGTATACATGTGCCATGTTGGTGTGCTGCACCCATAACTCATCATTTAACATTAGATATATCTCCTAATGCTATCCCTCCCCACTCCCTAGAAAAGATTTCTTGTGGAGTTTTTAAAAAGTCCTTTGAAACAATTCTTTTCTTTTCCTTTTTTTTTTTTTTCGATACAGAGTTTTGCTCTTGTTGCCCAGGCTAGAGTGCAATGGCATGATCTCGGCTCACCGCAACCTCCGCCTCCCGGGTTCAAGCGATTCTCCTGCCTCAGCCTCCCTAGTAGCTGGGATTACAGGCATGCACCACCATGCCTGGCTAATTTTGTATTTTTAGTAGAGATGGGGTTTCTCCATGTTGGTCAGGCTGTTCTCGAACTCCCAACCTCAGGTGATCCACCCACCTCGGCCTCCCAAAGTGCTGGGATTACAGGCATGAGCTACCACGCCCAACTTAACAATTCTTACTTCAAACATGTAAGCATGACGTTCCTCTCCTTCATGCCTTCCTGGCCTTTTTTTTTTTTTTTTTTTTTTTTGAGACAGAGTCTCGCTTCTTCACCTAGGCTAGCGTGCAATGGTGTGATCTTGGCTCACTGCAACCTCCACCTCCCAGGTTCAAGCAATTCTCGTGCCTCAGCCTCCCCAGTAGCTGGGATTACAACCACATGCCAGCACGTCCGACTAATTTTTGTACTTTTAGTAGAGATGGGGGTTTCACTATGTAGGCCAGGCTGGTCTCGAACTCCTGACCTCAGGTGATCCGCTCGCCTCGGCCTCCCAAAGTGCTGGGATTACAAGCGTAAGCCACCGTGCCTGGCCTGGCCCTATTTTATCTGGGTCTGACAAAAGTTATTTCATCCTAGTATCTGCAATTTTTCCGCAGAAAATTACAGAGACGCACAGTGAATGTGAAAGGAGGGAAATTAACAATAGCTATTGGCAGAGCCAAACAAATCATTACACTTTAGCTGGATCATCTGGGAGTTGAGACCTTGAGGGTATAAGGAGGTAGCATGTCAATGCTTGTTAAGAAAGAATGGCAACAACTGTGCTGCCTTACAGATCAGCACCTTCTGCAGTCTGCGAGCCCAACCTTAGATCCATTTGTAGGCAACAGTAAAAGGTCTCATATTTTCATCGCAGTGAGCCCTGACTGCCATCAGGAAGATTTGGTCCTCTAGGTAAGATTTCCCTGAGACAAAGTACTATGGGAAATCAAGTGCATATTCAGCCTCTTAGTACTCTGGGTTGGTGTTACCGTACTGACGAAGGCGATCCATTGATGAAAAACAAACTGACCTAAAGAAATGTAAATAAATGCTTGCAGTCAGCCCTGTTCCTCTGAAAAATTCCCCTAGCCCTTATGTTGAAACCTGATGAGAACTTTAAAAATGTTAACTTGGTAATGGATGGAATCCTCCTCATTCAAGGTTACCCCTGTGCAAGTCAAGCTCAAGTCAGCCTGAAGGTGCAAACCCCATGGACTCAGCCAGAGCCTATGGCTGTGGGTGCTAGATCCAAGGCCAAAACTGATGGCATCAGCCATCAGGATGTTTCTGCCCAATATAAAGTATTGGGTGGGCTGAGAACACTGAAAGCTTGCCATGCAGAAAGAAACTGAAAGTAAATGCGTGACTTTAATGGAACAGAACTTGTTTCTCCCTCCATGCTCCCAATCCCTTTAGATCCCTTTATCTCACCTCAGCCACTTTAAGACAAAAGGTGATTAGAGGTGTAGAGAAGTTCTAATGGGATACATTCATTTGCAGTAGTCCCCCAAGGTACTGTGATAGGCAGAATTCTAAAGATGCTTTCCCCCTCAAGATTGCTTCCCCTGGTTATTCAGTCAAATACTAATCAAAGTACAGATGCTCTTCAATTTAAAATGGGGTTATGTTTCAATAAAACCATTGTAACTGAAAAATATTTTCAAGTGGAAAATGTATTTAATGCACCTAACCTACTGAATATATTAGCTCAGCCTAGCCTACCTTAAATGTGCTCAGAACACATTTGCCTACAGTTGGGCAAAATCACTTAACACAAATCCCCTTGTATGATAAAGTGTTGACTATCTCATGTAACTGGTTGCATACAGTACAGTATAGAGTACAGTATCAGTTGTTACCATCATAATTGTGTGGCTGATGGGAGCTGCAGCTCACTACTGCTGTCCAGCACCGTCACAGAGTATCATACTCTCTAACCCAGGAAAATATCAAAATTCAAAGTACAGTTTATACTGAATGTGTGTTGCTTTCACATCATCATAAAGTTGAAAAACTGTAAGTTGAGCCATCGTAAATCAGGGACCATCTGCACCACTATGTAGGGATTATGCTGTTGTAATTGAAGTCCCAAGACAATTGACCATAAAACAGGTTATCTGGTTGGGCCTGATCTAACCACATGAACTCCTTAAGGGGCAGAAAAAACAAAGATCAAAGAGAAGTTGGGAAGATTCAAAGCAAAAGAAGTATTCAGTGTACCATGGCTGTGTTTCAAGATGGAGGTGGCCATGAGCAAAAGAATGCAGGTAACTTCCAGAAGCTGAGAGCAACCCTTGGTTGACAGCTAGCAAGGAAACAGGAACCTAATTCCTATAATCACTTCTTCTCCCCTTGTCTTCTTCCCTTTCTTCGTGTGTAAGCGCATTATACTATCTCTGTAAGCACAAAAATTGCCTAAAATTTAAGTGTAGTTTTCTGATCGCTTGTAAAACTGACACAGCTATAATTATCATCCATGTTAAAAACACCATCCCAGTTAGAAACCTGTGAGCCTCTCCCCAAGCAGAACCCATTTATCCTACACAGGTGTCATCAGAGCTGATTCCTTTCTATGCCCCTTTACCTCTAATGTCCCTATTCTGCTCCTGTTTTCACTTCACCAGCAGCTTCTCCAACTCCCTAGGCCAATGCCCTGAGAATTTCCCTTCCTCTCCCCCATCCTAGGGATGGAGAGTAGGGGTTGGTCCCCAGGATAAGCCACATTTATCCCTGGAAGCAGCAGCAGAAGTGACAGTATGTTTGTGGGGTCCACTTGTAACCTGGGAACCACTTGTTTTGGCCTGGAAACCTCGCTCTGTCCCGAGGTCAGAATCCACGGTCACTAGGTGGAGAGGAAACATCTATGTCAGCGTGGATTTGGGAAACACTTCAGATTCCGAGCCTAACACGGGACTGGGGCGCCCCCTTGGGTACGTTGTCCTGTCCAGTTGCTGAAAGCCAAAGGTGACAATGGGGAGGTCTCAACCTGAGGAGGAGGCCAAAAGAGTCCGGTCTTCTGTTCTCAGCCCGGTGACCACACACAAGTGCCGATGTTCTGCTCTCTTGGATTCTGATTGAGCAGCCTGGGAGAGGACTGGGCTGCAGTCTAAACTGGACAGATATGGCTGGTGTGGAGGCTGGCTGTCAATGAGGGAGTGAAGGTCAGCCGCCCGAAAAGTAGATAATTTTTACTTCCACTTTCTTTTTCTTTCCTGAGCACTAGTTATAAAAATATCCTTTTAAAATCTAAAATATTGGCCAGGCACGGTGGCTCACACTTGTAATCCCAGCACTTTGGGAGGCCGAGGCAGATGGATTACCTGAGGTGGGGGGTTTGAGACCAGCCTGACCAATATGGAGAAATCCTCTCTCTACTAAAAATACAAAATTAGCCGGGCATGGTGGTGCATTCCTGTAATCCCAGCTACTCAGGAGGCTGAGGCAGGAGAATCTCTTGAGCCTGGGAGGTGGAGGTTGCGGTGAGCCAAGATCGCGCCATTGCACTCCAGCCTGGGCAACAAGAGCAAAACTCCGTCTCAAAAATCAAATCAAATCAAATCAAATCTACAATATTTTTGGATTTACAGAAAAGTTGCAAAGATAGTACATAATTCTCGTATGTTCCACATTCAGTTTCCCCTATTATTAATGTCTTATTTTATTATACATTTGTGACAGGTTATGAAACAATATTGATACATTGTTACTAACTCCTATTTTATTTGGATTTTATTCTTTTCCCTAACATCACTTTTATGTTCCAGGATCCCATCCAGGATACATTACATTTAGTCCCCTTTATATCTCCTTAGCCTCCTCTGGTCTGTGACAATTTCTCAGACCTCGTTTTTGATAATTTGGTATTTCTTGAGGAGTACTAGTGAGGCATATTGTAAAATGTTCCTTAATTTGAGTGTGGTTGACAGGGCTATAGGTTTGGGGGAAGAAGAGCACAGAGATGAAATGCAATACTCTCAATACAACATACCAAGAGTGTATATTACCCAGTTGATTTATCAAATGATTATGTTAACCTCCATCACTTGGCTAGGGCAGTGTTTCCCAGTCTATAATATATAATTTTTAATAGCAGCCCAAAAAGACTAAAACACTTGCCCTTGCATGAAGAACCCTGTCTGACTTCTGGGAGCCCAAGGAGACGCAGGGGAGGTCCACAGCGAGAAGAAAAGGGGGCTCAGGTCGTCTGTCCTCAGGTCTATGGCCACTTGGGGGTGGCACCTCTCTGGTGTCTCAGACACAAATTGAGCAATCAGAAAAGGCTGGGATGTCTGTGGTCTGAGTTGGGCAGAGGTGGCTGACCCTGGAACCTGACATCAATAGGGGGATGAAGACAATTTCTGAGCAGCCCCAGTAGTCAGAGGACAAGAGAACTCTGGAGCCCCGCACTGTCTCTGAGGTTCCAATCTTTTCTCCCTCTTCGCAGCCCCTTGATAGGAAACCCTGGGAAAACTAAAAAGTATACTGTTTTTTCTTTAACTCCCTATTCCTTTCCTCTTCTGAGGGTTGTTGTTGTTGTTGTTTTTAATAAACTTATTAATTTTAGAATACTTTTAGATTACACAAAAGTTGAAAAGATAATACATAGTTCTCACATATGTCACACTCAGCTCCCCATTGTTAACATATTTTTTTTTTTTTTTGAGGGAGTCTCACTCTGTCGCCCAGGCTGAAGTGCAGTGGCACGATTTCGGCTCACTGCAACCTCTGCCTCCGGGTTTCAAGCCATTCTCCTGCCTCAGCCTCCTGAGTAGCTAGGATTACAGGTGCGTGCCACCATGCCCAGCTAGTTTTTGTAGTTTTAGTAAAGACAGGGTTCCACCACATTGGCCAGGCTGGTCTCGAACTCCTGACCTCAGGTGATCTACCCGCTCAGCTTCCCAAAGTGCTGGCATTACAGGTGTGTGCCACTGTCCCCAGCCCCATTGTTAACATCTTATATCACTATTATACATTTTTCACAACCAGTGAGACAATATTAATATAGTATCACTAAACTTTATTTCGATTTCATTAGCTCTTTCTGTTTTGAAACAAAGTCTTGCTCTGTCACCCAGGCCGGAGTGCAATGGCATGATGTCCACTCACTGCAACCTCCACCTCCCGAGTTCAAATGATTTTCATGCCTCAGCCTCCTGAATAGCTGTGACTACAGACACATGCCACCGTGCCTGGCTGATTTCTGTATTTTTAGTAGAGACAGGATTTCACCATGTTGGTCAGGCTGGTCTCTTACTCCTGACCTAAAGTGATCCACCCGCCTTGGCCTCCCAAAGTGCTAGGATTACAGGTGTGAGCCACCATGCCCAGCCAGGTTTCATTAGTTCTTTTAACTTCCTTTTTCTGTCACAGGATTTCATCGAGGATATCACATTGTATTTAGTCCTAATCATGTCTCCTTAAGGCTCCTCCAGGTTGACTTTGTTTTCAATGACTGTCTTAGTATGTTGAGTACTACTATAACAGAATAACTTGAAACTGGGTAGTTTATAAAGAGAAGATGTTTATTTAGCTCATGATTTTGCAGGCTGGGAAGTTCAACAGGATAGTGCTGGATCTGGCAAACTTCTGGTGAAGGCCAAATGTTAGGTCAAAACATGGTGGAGAAGGGGAAAAGTGAGTGGCATGTGCAAAAACATCACATGGGGAGACAGGGAAGCAAGAGAGAGTCTAGGAAACCAAACTTGCTTTTATAACAACCTGCTTTTTGGTAACTAACCTAGCCCCAACAGAGTAATAAATTACTCGCTCATGTGGGAGGACATTAATCTATTCATGAAGGATCTGCTCCTGATGACCCAAACGCCTCCCACTAAGCCCCACCTCCAACACCACCACCACATTGAGAATTTTTTTTTTTTTGCCTGAGGTTGGGAGTTTGAGACCAGCCTCACCAACATGGATAAACCCTGTCTCTACTAAAAATAGAAAATTAGCCAGGTGTGATGGCACATGCCTGTAATCCCAGTTATTCAGGAGGCTGAGGCAGGAGAATTGCTTGAACCCGGGAGGTGGAAGTTGCAGTGAGCCAAGATCATGCCATTGCACTCCAGCCTGGGCAACAAGAGTGAAACTCTGTCTCAAAGAAAAAAAAAAAAAGAGTAAACAAAATTTAATTTTCCTAATGGAAAAAATTATGGTGCATTCTATAACAATAGAGGACTCACAGAAAACTTTGCAGGTAGATATATCAATAGAGCAATGAAAACAAAGGTATGTAAGTAGTAAATAGAAACTTCAGAGTAAATAGGTAAGAATTCCACAAAACTCAATGTACTGAAGGTTCATTTTACTCTCTAAAGGAGGAAGAATAGTCGTCTTGATGGGTGTGTTTAAGGGGCAATGATTGTGATGGAGTCTCAAATATTTCCTGACAGATTTTCTGATGTGTAACAATTTTCCTGAAAATGCAAATGATTCAGATCTTTTCTTTATCTTTCATTGTTTATTAATATCATATAAACACCAGCCTGACAAAAATGGTGAAACCCCATCTCTACTAAAAATACAAAAATTGGCCGGGCGTGGTGGCACGTGCCTGTAATCCCAGCTACTCAGGAGGCTGAGGCAGGAGAATCCCGTGAACCAGGGAGGCAGAAGTTTGCAGTGAGCCGAGATCGCGCCATTACACTCCAGCCTGGGCGACAGAGTGAGACTCTGTCCGCCCCGCGCCCCCCTCCCCCCACAAAAAATAAACAGCAGAACACCTTAACTATGAAGAGAATACAATATCATTCATTTGCTCTCTTTTTTTCTAGTATCATTTATCACACACACACACCCTCACACCTTTTGCTCAATAGGTAAACATCTCTTTCACTTCTGTATCACTTTCTTTCTTTCTTTCTTTTTTTTTTTTTTTTTTTTTGAGACGGAGTCTCGCCCTTTAAGTGCAGTGGCGCTGTCTCTGCTCACTGCAAGCTCCGCCTCCCGGGTTCACGCCATTCTCCTGCCTCAGCCTCCCGAGTAGCTGGGACTACAGGCGCCCGCCACCGTGCCGGGCTAATTCTTTGTATTTTTAGTAGAGACTGAGTTTCACCTGTTAGCCAGGATGGTCTCGATCTCCTGACCTCGTGATCCGCCCTCCTCGGCTTCCCAAAGTGCTAGGATTACAGGCGTGAGCCACCGCGCCCGGCCTCTGTACCATTTTTTCCACTTTGAGGCAGAGTCTCTCTCTGTCGCCCAGGCTGGAGTGCAGTGGCGGGATCTCGGCTCACTGCAAGCTCCACCTCCCGGGTTCACGCCATTCGTCTGCCTCAGCCTCCAGAGTAGCTGGGACTACAGGTGCCCGCCACCACGCCCGGCTAATTTTTTTGTATTTTTAGTAGAGACGAGGTTTCACCTCGTTAGCCAGGATGGTCTCGATCTCCTGACCTAGTGATCCGCCCGCCTCGGCCTCCCAAAGTGCTGGGATGATAGGCGTGAGCCACCGCGCCCGGCCTTTTTAAGACAGAGTTTCGCTCTTGTTGCCCAGGCTGGAGTGCAATGGCCCGATCTTGGCCCACCACAACCTCTGCCTCCTGGGTTCAAGTCAAGCGATTCTCCTGCTTCAGCCTTCCGAGTAGCTGGGATTACAGGCATGCACCACCACGCCTGCCTAATTTGTATTTTCAGTAGAGAGGGGGTTTCTCCATGTTGGTCAGGCTGGTCTCAAACTCCCAACCTCAGGTGATCCGCCGGCCTTGGCCTCCCAATTTCCTGGGATTACAGGCGTGAGCCACCGCACCCAGCCTGGTTTAATACTTTTTATTTAGTGGCACAATGCCCAGGAATGAATTAAAGTCATTAAATGAGGACTAGGTTGCTATGCACTTGGCTGTTTCTGGACTTCCTGTGCTGTTCCATTGGTTGGTCTATTCATTCACCAGTGCCACACTGTTCTAGTGACAGGGAATTTGTAAAATATTTAACTATTAGGCATAACTAGACACCCAATTCTCAATTTGTTTTTTTCCCCCAAGGGATTTTCTAATTATTCTTATTTATTTTCTCATGTGAACTTTATAATCTACTTGTCTAGCTTGAGAAAAAAAGTAGTTGTTGGCATTTTGATTAAGAGGTATTACATTTGAAAATTTACTCTGCAAATGTGCTGTATAGTCTTCCTATTTGAGAATGTTCTTCTGTACTACACAGCCATAAAAAGGAATGAATTAACAGCATTTTCAGTGACCTGGATGAGATTGGAGACTGTTATTCTAAGTGAAATAACTCAGGAATGGGAAACCAAACATCGTATGTTCTCACTGATATGTAGAAGCTGAGTTATGAAGACACAAAGGCATATGAATGATGCAATGGACTTTGGGGACTTGGGAGGAAGAGTAGGAGGGGGCAAGGGACAGAAGACTACAAGGTGCAGTGTATACTGCTCGGGTGATAAGTGCATCGAAATCTCACAAATCACCACTAAAGAACTTACTCGTGTAACCGAATACCACCTGTAACCCAAGAACTTATGGAAAAGAAAAAAAAAAGTTCTTCATTTTTTTTTTTTTTTTTTTGAAATGGACTCTCATTCTGTCACCCAGGCTGGAGTGCAGTGGTGTGACCTCGGCTCACCACAACCTCCACCTCCCAGGTTCAAGCCATTCTCCTGCCTCAGCCTCCCAGGTAGTTGGGATTATAGGCTCACACCACCACACCCGGCTAATTTTTGTATTTTTAGTAGAAGCAGGGTTTCACCACTTGGCCAGGCTGGTCTCAAACTCCTGATCTCAGGTGATCCTCCAACCTCAGCCTGCCAAAGTGCTGAGATTACAGGCGTGAGACACCGCACCCGGCCCGATTTGTTCATATCTAATTTTTAAATTTCAGATGTGTTTTAATGTTTTCATTTAAAGTTTGCACACTTCTTAGTAATTTTTTTCATTAAAAACCTTTTTGTTTCTATTATATATGAGGTTATCGCCTCACAAAAATTTTAACTTTTTATTGTTTATATGAACAAAGGCAATTGTTTAATGTTTGGGAATTTATATGCTACTATATGCTATTTCTTTTCTTTTCTTTTCCTTTACTTTTTTGTTTTTTTTGAGAGGGAATTTCACTCTTGTCGCCCAGGCTGGAGTGCAATGGCGCGATCTGGGCTCACTGCAACCTCTGCCTCCTGGGTTCAAGCGATTCTCCTGCCTCAGCCTCCCAAGTAGCTGGGATTTATAGGCACGCACCACCATACCCGGCTAATTGTGTATTTTTAATAGAGGCAGGTTTTCACCACGTTGGCCAGGCTGGTCTTGAATTCCTGATCTCAGGTGATCTGCCTGCCTCAGCCTCCCAAAGCGCTGGGATTAGTCGTGAGCCACCTCGCCCGGCCTAGTCCCTTCTTTCAAATTTCATCACCACTCTTTGCTTGTTTTTCTTTTTTTTCTTTTCTTTTCTTTTTTTTTTTTTTTTTGAGACAGAATCTCGCTCTGTCAGCCAGGCTGGAGTGCAGTGGCACGATCTCGGCTCACTGCAAGCTCCGCCTCCCAGGTTGAAGCGATTCTCCTGCCTCAGCCTCCTGAGCAGCTGGGACTACAGGTGCGTGCCACCATGCCCAGCTAATTTTTGTATTTTTAATAGAGGTGGAGTTTCTCCATACTGGCCGGGCTGGTCTCTAACTCCTGATCTCGTGATCCGCCCACCTCAGCCTCCCAAAGAGCTAGGATTACAGGTGTGAGTCACCGCGCCCGGCCGCAATTTTTTTTTTTTTTTTTTTTGAGAAGGAGTCTGGCTCTTGTTGCCCAGGCTAGAGTGCAATGGCGCCATATTGTAGCAGGACGAGCCGCAGACAAAACTCCTCAGACACCGAGTTAAAGAAGGAATGGGTTTATTCGGCCGGGGGCATCGGCAAGACTCCTGTCTCAGGAGCCGAGCTCCCCCAGTGAGCAATTTCTGTCCCTTTTAAGGGATCACAACTCTAAGGGGGTGCGCTTGAGAGGGCCGTGATCGATTGAGCAAGCAGGGGTTATGTGACTAGGGGCTGCATGTCCCAGTAATTAGATAGGAACAAACAGGATAGGGATTTTCACAGTGCTTTTTTTTTTTTTTTTTTTTTTTTTTTTTTTTTTTGAGACGGAGTCTCGCTCCGTGGTCCAGGCTGGCGTGCAGTGGCGCGATCTCGGCTCACTGCAAGCTCCGCCTCCCGGGTTCTCGCCATTCTCCTTCCTGCCTCAGCTTCGCGAGTAGCTGGGACTACAGGCGCCTGCAACCACGCCCGGCTAATTTTTTGTATTTTTAGTAGAGACGGGGTTTCACTGTGTTACCCAGGACAGTATCGATCTCCTGACCTCGTGATCCACCCACCTTAGCCTCCCAAAGTACTGGGATTACAGGCGTGACCCACCGTGCCCGGCCTGAAAAATCCACTGTTAGACTGATGGAATTTCCTATATAGGTTTTTAGGACACTTTTTCTCTTCTCTTGCTCATTTTAAGATTTTTTTTCCTTTACATTGAGTTTAGATTGTCTGATGACTATTTGTCTTGGTGAAGTCCATCTTGCAATGTATTTTCCAGGAGTTCTCTAAGTATCTTCTATCTGGATTTTAAATCTCTAGCCAGGGTTAGGGAAGTTTTCCTCAATTATTTCCTCAAGTAGATTTTCCACACTTTTTACCCTTCATTCTCCCTTAGGAATACCTATGATTCATGGGTTCAGATGTTTTACATAACCCCATACTTCCTGAAGGCTTTGTTCATATTTTAATTCTCTTTTCTTTCTTTTTGTCTGACTGGGTTAATTTGAAAGACCTGTCTTCAAGCTCTGAAATTCTTTCTTCTGCTTGGTCTAGTCTATTGTTAAAGCTTTCAGCTGCATTTGGAACTACTTTGATGAATTTTTTATTTCCAGGTGGTTTAATTTTTTTTTTTTTTTTTTTCTTTTGAGAAGGAGTCGCGCTCTGTCGCCCAGGCTGGAGTGCAGTGGCGCAATCTCGGCTCACTGCAAGCTCCGCCTCCCGGGTTCAGACCATTCTCCTGCCTCAGCCTCCTGAGTAGCTGGGACTACAGGCGCCTGCAACCAGGCCTGGCTAATTTTTTGTATTTTGAGTAGAGACGAGGTTTCACTGTGTTAGCCAGGATGGTCTAGATCTCCTGGCCTCGTGATCTGCCCGCCTCAGCCTCCCAAAATGCTGGGATTACAGGCGTGAGCCACCGCGCCCAGCCCAGGTGGTTTACTTTTTTAAAAATATTTTTCTCTTGGTAAATTTTTTATTCATATGCTGAATTGATTTTTTACATTTCTTTGTGTTGTTTTCAACTTTCTCTTGGATTTCATTGAGCTTCTTTATAATCATTATTTTGAATTATTTATTTGGTATTTCAAAGATTTTATTTTTGTTAGGATCTATTGCTAGAAAGTTAGTGTAATGTTTTGGGGATGTCATAACACTCTATTTTTTCAGAGTATGTTTTCAAAACATTCTACTGTTTTCAACAGAGAAACAAAGGACTTACTTAAAAAATAGAAAACATAGAGAGTTCCAGAATCATTTCTTTGGTTCCTTCTCATCTGTAGAAACTTTCTCTTCTTATTTTTGAATTTATTTCATTTGGGCAGGATTTTTTTTTCCCTTTACAATGTGACTATAATGTATGTTGTTTAAGGTCCTTTGCATTTGGTTGTGAATGCTTTCAGTGGCAAAGACTCTGTAGTTGTCCCCTGGTTATAGATAGCCTTTGTATGGTGGCTTTCTCAAATGCCAGTTGTGGTGGTGATGTACTGGGAGTGTGAACAGGCTCACAGCCTCCTGCAGGGCCAGGATGGCAGAGGTTTAAGAAGTTTATCTCATTTCCTCTTTTGGAAGAGATGAGAAGTTTATTTCCACTCATGTGCCCTTTTGTCAACTGATTTGTATTGAGGTGCGTGGTTCAGCCTCCAGAACAGTAGGTGGGCTTATGCCTAAAAGCCTATGTGGCAGAAGCACGTGAGTATATGCTTCATCATTGTATACCTAGAAAAGTTCTCTGTTGCCTCAGGAAATGTGCTGGTAAGTGGAATGTACAGCAGCCTGGGCTCCCTGCTCAGCACCAGAGAGGGGGACATAGCTGAGTAGAGCTGGATCCCCAAGCCTGCCCCACAATGGTGAGCACAGGCAGCAGCTTTCAGGCAGGAGTGGTGGCATGGGAAACTTCTGGTGAAACGTGCCTAGGTCTCCACAGATGAGGAGAGGGCTGCCCCAGCTTCATGACCTGGCCAGGCAGGAATGCCATCCATTTCCCTGTCATTCCCTAGTCCTGGCATCAGGGAAACTCAAATTGACCAGACACTACTCTCTATCTCCAACTGCAATGTAGTTGAGACTCATTAAAGATGTCTTCTCCTCAGCTCACCATTTAAATGTCTTTGGTGCAGAGCATCCTCCCTCAACCCCAAACACATAGCTTTTCTTTTTCTTTTTTTTTTTTGAGATGGAGTTTTGCTCTTGTTGCCCAGGCTGGAGTGCAATGGCGTGATCTCAGCTCACCGCAACCTCCACCTCCCAGGTTCAAGCAATTCTCCTGCCTCAGCCTCTTGAGTACCTGGGATTACAGGCATGCGCCACCACGCCTGGCTAATTGTTTTTGTAGTTTTAGTAGAGACAGGGTTTCTCCATGTTGGTCAGGCTGGTCTTGAACTCCTGACCTCAGATGATCCGCCCACCTCGGCCTCCCAAAGTGCTGGGATTACAGGCGTGAGCCACCGCGCCTGGCCTGCACATAGCTTTTCAGCTTTCCTGCTCTCCACTGCAGGAATGCTAGCACTCCCTGTAGAGAGGGGAAAGGGCCCTGTCTTTCACACAAGCCTGGCCCAAATGGCCACACTGCCAGTGGAAACACAGTCACCCCTGATAGCCCTAGAAAGGCTCTTCTCTGGCACACGTGCCAATTTCCCATGGGAGTGGCCATGCTGTGTTTGAAGCAGTGGTGGATGGGGGAAGGGCAGGAGAATTTCCCCTTTCCATGCCTGATTCTAAGCACTGGGGCTGCTTGGCTGCTGGGATGGAACTACACTCCTTCAGCGCAGAGCTGAACACAGTGTCCACGACTCTGCTGGAAGTGGTGCAGTCACTCAGCCCACAAACAAGGAGCTCTTGGACACAGATGAGTACATGGCCTGGCCTCCTTTGTCCCAACTGGTACTTTTTTTGTGTACTGCAGTCTCCCTTTCCTTAGGAGCAGCAATCCCTGATGGCTAGACCACTGGGAACCCTGCAGCTCCACTGGGTCCAGCCAGCCCTGTGTGGCTGCCACAATCCAAGTGGGCACTGGGGGCATGGCTGCAGGAGCTTCTGTGATGTGAATATACAAAGGTTGGGGTTCCCTGGGAAGGACACAGTCCCCTGATGGCTACACTCCTAATATGGCACCCTGCCAACACTGCCCGAGTCTGGAGGAGGGACAGGTGACCCAGCGCAAGTTGGTTGTCTGGTGTGATGCCCTCCAGAAGTTCCCAAATCGCCATGCACATCAGTGTTTGGCTTTGTGAGGGCAGAGGAGCTCTCCGACAGTTCAGATACTGGTGGTCTTCCTTAGGGACGACGGGAGTCAAAACACTCCTATCTTACCTTTCAATGAAATACCAAGTCTCTCAAGGTTCCTAGCTGATTTCTGCCAGCTTCTTACTTTCTTCTTTTTTTCTGTCTCAGCTTTTCCCCATGAGTTCTGAAACATTCTGACGTGATTCTGACAGCTATTTCCACACTCAGGCTGGGCCCTGGAGGAGTGCCCTCTGCTGGTTCTCTGAGACCTGTGGCTGGGATCATCTCTGATAAGGTTTGGGTGTTTGTCCCCTCCAAATCTCATGTTGAAAGATCTCCAGTGTTGGAGCTGGGGCCTAGTGGGAGGCGTTTGGGTCATGGGAGCGGTTCTCTCATGAGTGGCTTAGTACTCTGCCCATGGTAATGAGTGAGCTTTCACTCTATTCGTTCACACGAGAGCTGATTATTTAAAAGAGCCTAGCAGCTCTCTTGCTCCTTCTCTCTCCATATGACACACCTACTCTTCCTTTGCCTTCTGCCACAAGTAAAAGCTTCCTGAGACTTCACCAGAATCCTAGTGGAGCTGGCCCCATGATTGTACAGCCTGCAGAACTGTGAGCCAAATAAATCTCTTTTCTTTATAAATTACTTAAACCCAGGTATTCCTTTACAACAACGCAAATGGACTAATACAGTCTCCCTCTGCTGCCTCCAAGGTCACTCCTTGATCTTCACTGCTTTAGGCAGCCTTTTACCCTACTTTGTAGTTGGAGCTTCAGGGGCTTAACATCTTAAAAGTTTTATTTTTTTTTTTAATTTATGCTTTTTAAAAAATTTTTTTTGAGATGGAGTTTTGCTCTTGTTGCCCAGGCTGGAGTGCAATGGTGTGATCTCGGCTCACCGCAACCTCTGCCTCCTGGGTTCAAGCGATTCTCCTGCCTCAGCCTCCCAAGTAGGTGGGATTACAGGCGCGCGACACCATGCTCGGCTAATTTTTGTTGTTTTAGTAGAAACAGGGTTTCACCATGTTGGTCAGGCTGGTCTCGAACTCCCGACCTCATGATCCGCCCGCCTTGGCCTCCCAAAATGCTGGGATTACAGGCATGAACCACCGCACCCAGCCAAACGATTTTTAAAAAATAATTACTATGTATAAAATAACAAATAGGTAATTTGGGTAATTTTATTTTGAACTCTTTGGCTAAATATTTTATGTACATATTGTCTCAGCAATCAGGAATTAAAATTTATAAACACTATTAACAAGCAATACTCTCTGATTTGAAGGAGAATCTAATTTGGAAGTCAGTCACATGATGATTGTGTTTTTAAGTTTTTTTTTCCATGCATTTGTTATTTTATGAATTGGTCTGAATGATGAGGCCAGGCAAGTGTATACATCTTTTCACTGGTAGAAAAATCTGTAGCAAAGCCTGTGCCCTTTTTACAACAATGACTTTTTTTTTTTTTTTTTTTTTTTTGAGATGAAGTCTCACTCTTGTGGCCCAGGCTGGAGTGCAATGGTGCTATCTGGGCTCACTGCAACCTCCATCTCCTGCCTCAACCTCCCGAGTAGCTGGGATTACAGGCGCCCATCAACACGCCCGGCTAATTTTTGTATTTTTGGTAGAGGCGGGGTTTCACCATGTTGGCCAGGCTGGTCTTGAACCCCTGACCTCAGGTGATCCACCCGCCTCGGCCTCCCAAAGTGCTGGGATTACAGGCATGAGCAACCACACCCAGCCTGGATTTTGACAAATGTATAGAATCATATATCCACTACCCTAGTACCATCTACAACAGTTCCTTCATCCTAAAAATTTCCCTTTGAATGTTCTTTATCCCTTCTCCCTCCAACCTTCGATAACCATTAACCTGTTTTCTGTCCCCATAGATCTGCTTTTTCCAGAATGGTATATGAATTGAGTCAGATAAAATGAAGCCTTTTGTGTCTGACATTTTTTTCACCTAGTAAAACGCATTTAAGATTAATTGATGTATGGATTAATAGCTTATTTACATATATATATATATATATATATATATATATATTTTTTTTTTTTTTTTTTTTTTTTTGAGACAGAGTTTTGCCCTTGTTGCCCAGGCTGGAGTGCAATGGCGCGATATTAGCTCGCTGCAACCTCCGCCTCCCAGGTTCAAATGATTCTTCTGCCTCAGCTTCCTGAGTAGCTGGGATTACAGGCATGCGCCACCACTCCCGGCTAATTTTGTATTTTTAGTAGAGACAGGGTTTCTTCATGTTGGCCAGGCTGGTCTCGAACTCCTGACCTCAGGTGATCCACATGCCTTGGCCTCCCAGAGTGCTGGGATTACAGGTGTGAGCCACTGCGCCTGGCCAATTTTTTTTTTTTTTTTTTTAAATAAACATAGACAGCATCTCGGTATGTTGCCCAGACTGGTCTTGAACCCTGGCCACAGCGATCCTTCCACCTTGGCCTCCCAAAATGAGCCACTGCACCAGGGAAACAGCTTTTTTTTTTTTTTTTTAGACAGATCCTTGCTCTGTTGCCCAGACTAGAGTGCAATGATGCAGTCTTGGCTCACTCCAACCTCTGCCTCCCAGGTTCAAGTGATTCTCCTGCCTCAGCCTCCCGAGGAGCTGGGACTACAGTTGCTCGCCACCACGCCTGGCTAATGTTTTCTTTTTGTATTTTTACTTGAGACGGAGTTTTGCCATGTTGCCCAGGCTGGTCTCAAACTCCTGACCTCAGGTGATCCACCTGCCTCAGCCTCCCAAAGTGCTGGGATTACAGGTGTAAGCCACCTCATGTGGCCTGACAATAGCTCATTTCTTATGATCCATATGGTTATACCACAGTTTGCTTAGTCTTGCATGGCTGAAAGATATCTTGGTTGTTTACAGTTTTTAGTGAACATATGTAAAGCTGCTATAAATATTCATGTACAGGTTTTTGTGTGGATATCAACCTTGAATTAACTTGGGTAAATACCTAAGAGCACGATTGATGGTAAGTCTCTCCTTAACTTTATAAGAAACTTCTAAACTGTCTTTCAAAGTGGCTTTACCATTTTCCATTCCCATTAGCAGTGAGTGGGAATTCTTGTTGCTCTGTATATTTTCAGCATTTTTTATTGTAAGTTTAAAAAATTTTAGCTACTCTAATAGTGTAGCAGTACTTTGTTTTGGTGTTCTGTTTTGTTTTGTTTTTTGAGACAGAGTCTCACTCTGTTGCCCAGGCTGGAGTAAAGTGGCACGATCACAGCTTACTTCAGCCTCCACCTCCCAGGTTCAAGCAAACCTCCCGTCTCACTCTCCCAAGTAGCTGGAATCACTGGCACATGCCACCACACCTGGTTAATGTTTGTTTGTTTGTTTGTTTGTAGAGACATTGTCTCGCCATGTTACCCAGGCTGGTCTTGAGCTCCTGGGCTCAAGTGATCCTTCTGCCTTCGCCTACCGAAGTGTTGGCATTGCAGGCATGAGCCACTGCACCCTATTGGCATTTCCCTAATGACAGATGATCTTAAGCATATTTTCAAGTATTATTTACCACCCATATATCTTCTTTGGTGGTGTCTGTTGAGATCTTTCACCCACTTCTAAAATCAAGATTTTTTTCCCAATTATTGTGTTTTAATTTTGTTCACATATTATCTTTACGAGTCCTTTGTCACATCTGTAACTTCCAGTTTTTTGACAAGTATTTTCTTCCAGTCTGTGCCTTGTCTTCTTTTCATTCACTTACCAGTGTTTTTGTAAAGCAAAAACTATTAATTATGATAAAGTCTAATTGATTTGTTTTCTCTTTCATGGATTGTATTTTTGGTGTTTTATCTAAAAACTCAAACTCAAGGTTAAGATTTTTTCCTTTATATTCTTCCAGAAGTTTTATGGCTGTGCATATTATTTTTAAGTCTATGATACATTTTGAGTTACTTTTTTATAGGTGTGAAGTATTGTCAAGTTTTTTTTTTTTTTTTTTTTTTTGAGATTGAGTCTTACTCTGTGGCCCAGGCTGGAGTGCAATGGCGTGATCTCTGCTCACTGCAACCTCTGCCTCCCAGGTTCAAGTGATTCTTCTACCTCAGCCTCCCGAGTAGCTGGGATTACAGGCATGAGCCACCACACCAGCTAATTTTTGTACCTTTAGTAGAGGCAGGGTTTCACCATGTTGGCCAAGCCAGTCTCAAACTCTTGACCTCAAGTGATCCACCTGCCCCAGCCTCCCAAAGTAGATGGATGCCAATTGTTTCAGCATCATTATTGAAAGGAGATTCCCTTCTTCATTGGATGACCTTTGTACTTGTATTCAAAATCAGGTGACTCTATTTTTGTCCTTCCATTTCTGGCCTCTCCATTCTGTTCTGTTGATCTATGTGTCTGTCCTTTTGCCAATACCACACTCTCTTGATCACTGTCCTTTGCAGAAAGACTGGAAATAATATCTAATAATTTTGAAAGGTATGTTTTCATCATCATTCAGTTGAAAATATTATCTAACTTCCCTTATGTTTTCTTCTTTGATCCGTAGGTTATTTAGAAGGAAGATTTAAAATTTTCAATACTTTTTTGCCCCTAGACAACTTATTATTGATTTCCAATAAAATCTATTTTGGTCAGAGAACATATTCTGTATGATTTCAGTCCTTTGAAATATGTTGTTACTTGTTTTATGTCTCAACATATGACCTGTGTTAGTGAATGTACCATATTCACTTTACAAAATATATATTCTATATATTCTGGAGTTGTTGAACACAGTGACTGTAAATGTGAGATCAAGATGGTTGATAGTGTGGTTCATTTGTATTTTTAAAAAACTAAGAAAAAGCTGGGCGCGGTGGCTCACGCCTGTAATCCCAGCACTTTGGGAGGCCAAGACGTGTGGATCACCTCAGGTCGGGAGTTCGAGACCAGCCTAACCAACATGGAGAAACCACGTCTCTACTAAAAATACAAAATTAGCTGGGCGTGGTGGCGCATGCCTGTAATCCCAGCTACTCGGGAGGCTGAGGCAGGATAATTGCTTGAACCTAGGAGGCAGAGGTTGCAGTGAGCGGAGATTGTGCCATTGCACTCCAGCCTGGGCAACAAGAGCGAAACTCCATCTCAAAAAAAAAATTAATTAAAAAAAACTAAGAAAAAATAGAGCATCTTTAACTTCCCACCATATATTTGGCATTTCCAGTGTTGGTCACTCCTATCTGAAGACTCAGGTTACCATCTGGTATGATTTCTTTCAACCTGGGAAACTCCTTCAGTATTTTTCTTGTAGTAGAGTTATGTTTGCAACAAATTATCCTAGTTTTATTTTATCTGGAGACACCTTTTCATTTTTCTTCCCTGAAAATATTTTTACTGGATGTGTAATTCTGAGTTAGGTTGTTTTCTTACAGCACTCAAAAAAATGCCATTTCATTGTCTTCTGACCACCATAGTTTCTGATGACAAATTATGAACACATGGACTGGTCATTCTCATAATTGTTCTCATGTATGTAACGTGTCATTTTTCTCTGATTATTCTCACGATTTTCTGTGACCATAGGCTGCTCAGGGCTGGACTTGGATATGGCCATAAAGTGGTACTGTAGGAAGTGCAGTATCCTGGAATTAATTCCAGACCTTGGAATTAACAGGGCTGGGCCCCTTAGCACCTGCCCTTAGCTCTCCTTTCCCCAGGTCCCTAGAAACCCCCTCCTGATCTACACACACACACACACACATGCACACACAACTTCTAACAGGGCCCTTCTCGTTTTTCTCTCCCCCCTGGTTCCTTCCACTCTCCCCTTTCTCTTATGATCCATTTCGTCTCCCTTCCGCTCTCTGGACCAAGGCCCCAGGCCCGGACTCCAGGGTTGGAGCTCACAGGCTGATTCCTGGGATGAGCAGCCTCCACCTGCAGGAGCAGCAGCAGGAACAAGGGAGGGGACAGGAGGGCAAGGCCCCATTTTGGAGGCTGAGGGACTAGGTCATGTGGTATCAATGGTTTGGGGGTGGATGAGCCCCAGATATGATCCCACTGTTTTGGCCTGGAGGTGTCTCTTCCCTGAAGCCAAAATCCAGAGTCACTCAGTGGTGGGAGGAAACGTCAGTGTCAACATGGATTTTGGGAAGCTGGATGGACTCAGAGCCTGACTTGAGATCGGGAACCCCCTTGTATGCAGAGCCCTGTCCAGGTGCTGGGAGCAGGAGAGCCTGGGAGGTCCTGGCTAGGGAGAAAGGGGAGCGGGGTCTCTGTCCTCGGCCCTGTGGCCACACGGGGGCGTCGCTGCGCTGCTCTCGGATTCTGAGTGCTCTCCTGGACGGGGCTGCGGGCTGAATGGGCAGACGGGGCTGAACCTGAAGTCATCCACGCTGAGATGGAGGTTCCTCCTGAGCACCTCTGGAATCCACAGGACTCAGGTTAGATTTGTTTGTCTTGCAACGTGAGGCAATTGTGATGTAGCAAGATCTGGCTCTAGAATTCTTATGGCAAAATAGCTGTCATAGAATCCAACTAGAATGAGAGTCCAGGGCCTGGGTTGACTGCCCTGGGCACACCTGACTCTTGATGGGGTTGCCAAAATGTAGCTTGGCATTTACAAAAATTCTTTCCAAAGATTGCATCAAAGTCCAAAAGAATTATGTACAATTTCATTTCTGATGTCTCTGGCTGTGCTTTCGAAAGGGCAGGAAGAGCCATGGAAAGAGGCTGAAAGGCGCCTCTGGGAATTCTCAAATCTCTTTTCATAGCAGTAACTTGGACCTAGACAGCAAAGCCTGAAAGACACAGGTAGAAGGATCGCGAGGCGCAGCCCTCCCTTCTGATCAGCACAGGTATGGCTGTCTGGGCGCTTTTGCCCCTCTGTGTTCAGCAGGATGGACTCTGCAGTGAGGCGCAGCCCCTGTCTCCCCACTGCCCCAGATCAGAAGCATGTTTCCTGATCTTGTTTTCCACACGCTCCTTTTCTTTTTCTGTCTTGTGACCACGAATAGAATAGACAGGCAAGGTCCTGTAAGACCAGGTAAAAGATGTTACTGATGCACTTTGGAAGGCTGAGGTGGGCGAATCACGAGGTCAGGAGTTTGAGACCAGCCTGGCCAACATGGTGAAACCCCATCTCTACAAAAAAAATAAAAATAAAAATACAAAAATTAGCCAGGCGTGGTGGCATGTGCCTATAATCCCAGCTACTCAGGAGGCTGAGGCAGGATAATCGCTTGAACCCGGGAGGTGGAGGCTACAGTGAGCAGAGTTTGTGACATTGCACTCCAGCCTGGGCGACAGAGTGAGACTCTGTCTCAAAGAAAGAAAAAAAAAAAGTTAGTGAAATCATGATTGTGAAGGAACAATGGCAAATGGAGAGAAAGAGCAGAGAGACAGACATAGAGATAGATACACACGTACACACACACATAGAGAAAATGAACATCCATCCATCCATCCATCCATCCATCCATCCATCTACCCATCCACCCATCCACCTTTCTATCTCCTTGCAAGGTAGGTTCATCAACACTTTTACATTTATACCCCAGCAAAAATCTTTTTTTGGCTCACACCTGCCCTCCTTCATCCAGCCAACTGACATATTTGCTGAGGTCTTGCCACGTGCCGCACTGGGTGCTGAGCATTGGAGTCTAAACAGGAACAGACCCCTGGGATGCACTCCCGTGGGGCCCTTCACTGTCCCGTCCCTGGCTGTGAGACATCCTCATCTCCCTGAGGCTCTTGTTTCTGGTCACTGGGAAAAGTCCCTGGCCCACCTCTCTATTGATACCTGGGAGACTCTATCGCTACTTTGAATAAAGCACTGATTTTCAGCATTTATTCTGTATCCACACTTACTAATGCCCTTTCAATTTAGAAGTTGTTACAAACGGGAGGGGTTATAACCTTAGGCACGTTGTTTAAGAGAATTGTAAAAATAAGGAAACATGATGGCAATGGGCTTTTCTGCTTTCTCCCAGAACACTTCATATTCATTTTCTCACCTGTGTTTGGTTGGTTGCAAGGTGGCTTCCACACCCCCAAGTTTATTTCAAGTAGCAGAAAACACTTGCTTAGAAAACAAGTACTTTGGGAAATGCAGGGTCTCAGCCTCTGTCCTCAGGACTCCACACATCAGAAAGACATGTGCGTCTCCTGCCACAATCCTGGAGGTGCCCGTGGACTGCAGGTTCGCTCCTCACTGACTTTACTCATGTCCTACTGGAAAAGGATGGAGCTGCTAGAAATGTCCCAATGGCTTGGAACACTCAATTTCTCTGTGTGCACTGCAAGCAAACTGACAGTTTGACTTTTCAATTCTATTCAACACCTGAAAATAAACTGAATTTTCAGTATATTTCCTTCCAGAGAGTAAACTGAAAAGGGAACCTTTCTAAATTCAGTTATGATTTCCTGAAACATCGAAGAAGGCAAATGTGGGGGCCCTTAAAGACAAGAGAATTCTCTGACCTCAAATTTCATGTGGCAGCTGTAAGGTGGAGCTGGCAGCATCTGTCCCCACCTCTGGGTACACAGCAGAATGTGCCAGCTTTAGGGACCCCGGAGGACACAGCCGCACAGTGTCCGGGGGCATCCAGCAAACCCTCAGGAAGGACTCGATCCACGCAGGAGCCTCCTTAAGCAACTTCTCCCTGAAGAAACCCTGAAGTCTTAGAAATCCATAAAGAAAAAAGATATTCATGTCTCTGATAAAGAAAAGAAATGTCAGCAATCCAGCACTGAGAAGGGAAGCTACGAGACCACATTTTCTGCATGTGGAGAAGACACGTCTAATGGAGAGGTGGGAACTTGTCTCAAAAGTGTTGGGCCGCAGTGAGAGGGTGTGGTCGTCACTGCCACCACCCGCTGCTCACTCAGTGACCCCTCCCCATTGTAACTAACGGGCCAGTGAAGAGAAACACTTTTCGTCTGCTTGTACTGAAATAAGGCTATTACAATAAATCATCTCTGTGGTTGATTTTTCATTTAAGGATGGGATAACTGGAGAAATTGGTGCCTGCAGTGCAGGTTTTAAAGAAGTTCCTAGAAGCCCTTCTGAGGCCATCTCCAGGAGGCTGCCCCAGCGGGTATGAGGCCTTGCGCTTCTGCCATCCTGTGTGTCCCTGTGATGGAATTTTGGCCCAGCTAGGGATGGCAAGAGGCCAGGTCATCGCAGGTGGTCTGCAGGCCTGGTGAGGAAGGACAATGACAGACGGGGAGGCAGAAAGGCACACATATGACCAGACCTCCCCCTGGGTCCTGCTCCCATTCCTCTGTCCATCACTCTTGCTCTGTCTGCCCTAGGGGAAATTTCCTGAAGGAAACAGGAAAAGGAACCTCTATTCCTGGCTGCATATCTTTTATGTAGGCCTTTCCTGTTATTCAAGCATATCCCCAGCAGATGGCAGAGAAGACATTTCAATTTCGTGCCTCTGCTTTTCCTCCCCCTCCTCCAACCGGAAAGTCAGGACCAAGGGAATGGATGAAGGCATTAAAGGTATAAATGAGAATGGGTGATAATTTCCCTTTCTCTGAGCTGGGGAGTCCCATTGCAAGGGTGGGAATAGAAATGTCCAGTGTAACCATTCAGAGATGACAGATACTGCCCTGAAAACAGTCACAAAATCAAACCATGATGTGCCTCCCTGGGCTCCTTGGCTCTGGGCTGCTGCTTTCTTTTACTGAGAATCTAAGAGGTGCTGAGCATTCAGTTAAAACGGGACTCAAGGGTTCCTGCATTGTCCTCTGCCTTAATTGCATTTGAAAATATATTTTGTCAGTTCAATCCTTCTCCTGCCCGTCTCTGTTTCTCTTTTTAAAGAAGCTGAACATTGGCACCTTCAAAAGAAAATTGCTAACATGTGAAATAATATATTGTCTAGGATTTAGTTGAAAATAACCTGGTGTTGGGCTATGGTTGAGGATGTAGATAAATCAAGAGTGGGTGTTACTGAGTGAAGGGTACAGTGAAGGTTACTTTACTCTTCTGTCTACTTTTGTGTTTGCTTAAAATATTTGTACAAGTTTAAAAAAATAAGAACCAGGGTTACCAGGGGGCATGGCATATGCTGAATAATCATGAGATACCGGTTATGATTTCAAACAAATCTCCAATAAAAATAGATAATTTGAAGTCAAACCACAGGGACAAAATGTTTTTAGATGTCTCCAAATTCCTCACTTCCCTCCTCTAAATTCAGGTGGGTCACTTCATACTTTCTCCCAACCGCAGGTTCCCAATAGGCAGGTCCTAGAGCCCAACCTTGGTGGGGCAGGGAGTAGGGATTTAAAAACTGCATGATGATCAACAGCAGGAAAGAGGATTGGGGCTGAGAGGGGAGGAGAGGCAGGCAGGAGACCCCTGGGGAGTTGCTGCCCCAAGGAACTCCTTCTTCACCCTCTGAGAGAAAGTGTCACAGGACCACAGACCCTTGGTCTTCATAGGTCCCATAACCTCCCCCGAATTGTATGTAAAATTGTGTGGGAATGCAGGTGAGTGCATTTCAGCTGGGGCTGGCTTTGACAAGGCTGTGGCCTTCAGTAGATATCAAAGTAGTCATCTAGGTCTCGTGTAGATGATGGAAAACTCGATGGGAGGGAGACACGGTGCCTTGACCCAGAGTCAATGCCAATAAACTTGGCTAGGACATAGTACCCAGTCATTTAATCAAAACCTAATCTAGATGTTGCTGTGAAGATATTTAGTACATGTGGTTAACATTTACAATCAGTTGACTTTATGAAAAGGAAATTACCCTCAATAATGTAGATGGACCTCATCCAATCAGTAGAAGGCTTTAAGAGCAGAAACTACAGTTTCCCAGAAAAGAAGAAATTCTGTCTTAAGACTACCATATCAACTTCTGTCTGCATTTTCAGCCTGCTGGCGTATCCTACAGATTTCACACTTGCCACCGTAATAATTGCATGAGTCAGTTTCATAACACGAATAACACACACACACACACACACACACACACACACACACACACACACACACCTTATTGGTTCTGTTTCTCTGATGAATCCAGAATAATACAGATTTTGGTACTTAGAGTGATTCTAGAGGAAGAGAATCCTTTTAAAACGTTTATAGCCAACAATAAAAAACTTTATTAAAAATGTTGAAAAGCATAAAACGGTAATTATAAATTAGCAAACACCCAACAAGAAAAGCACTTATTTTCTTTTCCTTATACAGTACAAGAAAGAGTAATTGGGATCTCATTCACTTTCAGCCACCATTTGCCCTAGATGTCCTTCACTCAAAACAAGTTTTTAGCTTGTGTTTTTGGAGTGGAAACTCACATGGCTACTAAGAAACAACTCTAAAAATGTAACTTAGACACTCAAAATTCCATGTGCCATGTTAACATGTAATGATGGTTCATATTACAGCATCTCACAATGGGTAAGCATTATTTCCAAAGTAAAATTAAGTCACATTTGTGGTTGCTAGTGAATGCGGCAGAAATGGACCCTGAAGATTCAGGCATTGTTCTGCTCTGGAGTAGGACATCTGTGGCTCCAGCAAACTGTACAAAGGCTTTTTTTTTTTTTAATGTATCTTCCGTGATACTTCAATTATTTCACCTTATTAATCATTTTCTTGCAAACAAAACTGAAAATATCAGTTCATAATGTGTTTCCATACACCTTGCCCTTATTCAAATGGTTATGAACAAGTGGTCTTCCATTTTCTATTGCCGCTGTAATTATTTGTTCCTGATCTGGCAACACCTTCTTCAGCTCCTTTCTCTGGCCACCGAGATTAACAGTCCAACAAGCGGTCTTTTGATTCACTAAGTGGCTTAATAGGACAACGTTGATTTGAGCCAATACTTCTGGCATGTTCATTTCAATTTGTAACTTTTTTCTGAATTCATCCCCACAAGGTGAGCTGGAAAACTGCAACCATAACCAAAGCTAGAAAATACTGGAAGTAGCCAATATTTCTCTTCATCACCAAAGACTGGTCTCTAATTTTTACTATTGTTCTATTTTTTCCAGCCAGCCAACAGTAGTAGCTGAAAAGCGAGAGCACACTGATGAAGAACACTGCGGGCACAAAGAAAAGGAAAAGTATGTGGAGCTTTGCTGTGTATCTCTCAGTTCATTCTACTCACTAGAACGTGGCGTTCTCAGGAATTGACGTCCTCCAGGCCCCCAGATGAGGGTAGTGAGCACCCTGAGAGCCAGCTGGACTCCCCTCTTGGTGTGTTACTGCACAGCCACAGCCTCTGGGTAGGGAGTTGTCCTGCACTTCTGGAATCATCTTTTTGGTCATGGTGGCTACTGCTGTACTGTCCTTCTGAGGTCAGTGAGATAGGGTGTTCACAGCCTCCCTTGAAAGGAAACAAGAGACTTGTCAGGTTGATGGAGAGAACAAGCTGTTCGACAGTGCGCAAACCATATCCTGGGCTTGTGGTTAGAACATCCTGCAGCAAAGAGGTAGAAGAGCCAAGGGAGGCATCCCCACATCTGAGGAAGCCCAGAAACCCATGAATAGTGTCCTTGGGCTGACCTATGCTCATTACAATAGTAGCAAACACAACTCTGAGAGGGAAGTTAAGATGCTAATGAGACGTAAGATGTGTGTGCTGATATGTACAACCACAGTGCATGCACGTTCAAGAGACCACAGAACATGCTTAAAACAATACCCCTTCCCACCTATTCATGAATAATCATGTAAGACTCCCGTGAGGGGAGGGTACTGTCTCTCTTTTGAGCAGCTGCTCTGATCAGCTGTCAGAGTGTACTTTCACTTTGCAATAAATTCTCTTGCTGACTTTTACTTTGGACTTGCTCTCAAATTCTTTTGTGTGGCAAAGTCAAGAACCTGAACCGGCCCATTGGCTACATTTCCTTCCTTTTTTCTTTCTTTCTGTATCTTGTTGCTAGGGATAACTTTGCCCCTGCTGGCAGCATGCCCCTGAGGATGGCACCCTGTGGCTGGCGTCTTCCTTGGCTTGGCCTCGGGTCACTAAGCATAGCCCATGGTAGGAGGTTCTGAGAATGAGTGGCACTGCCTTGTGCAACGGTCCCCATGGGAGTGGCCCACAGGTGCTTGCATCTGTGGCATTTTCACAACTGTTTAAAAAGACTCAAGAATGTACTGTGGGAGGAGAGCAGGTCTGGAGACTCACCTGTGTCCCCCACCTGCTCATCTGCATGGCCATGTGCCTGACATGGTCAGAAATGAGAAATGCTGCTGCCCCTTTGCAAAGCACTACTTAGTTTTTCTCTTCTTGAAGGTGGTGGCACGATGCCCAGGTTGAGATGGACGCAGGAGTCAGCATCCTAAAGTAAAAGGAGAGACTTTAACAGAAATACCTGAGCTTTTCAATGAGAATGAACAGGGCCTTTTACCCTCTGGCAACTGTGTATTTCCCATTGACATGTTTCTTGTCCTCAGAATGGTTTTCCCTTTTTGCAGGTGGTTTATTGAAAAAGGAAAGGACAGAAAAGAAAAAGCAGGAGAAGGTGTATGGGAAGCTGGGACCCTGGCCCTGTGCAGGGGAGATACAAGGTGCTTCTGGGGAGGCTGCCGCCATCTGGGGCACTGGCACATGGGGCACGGCAGGGCTCGCCTTCCTGATGATGCCGCCTATCCCAGTTGCCCACCGGAAGTTGCAGTGCCCAGATTAGTTTTGTATTGATGGAAATTTAAAAAAAATTATATTACATAATTTTATGCTTTTTGAAAATAGCTAATAAACTTTTATGGCTAAGTTGTTAGTAACGGTAATCTCTCTAATCTGCTTAAAGACGGTCAAATCTGCAGGGTTCCCATCTCCACTGGACACCTGTGCTTCCTGTGGGGTCTATTTTCCGGCGGCTTTCCCTGTTGGTTGCCCCTGTGACTGCTGACATCCTGCCTTCTTGGTGGAAACCACACTCTTCCTTGCCCAGTGAGGGTTGGAAAATTGGATGACTAAACTCGACGAAGATAGCAAATAACATTTGTTCTGCGTGGGTGCCATCATCACCTGCACTTGAAAGCAAGGCTGAGGTGCAGAAGACACAAAATGTGGCCATGTCCCTTGGCTGGCAAGTGGCCTAGGGGCAATGTGAGCCTGAGTGTATGACACTGTGACACAGGACAGGGTGCGTCACAGTGTTGCCCATTGTGACTGCAGGGCCAAAAGGAACCAGGGCTGAGAGGAACCTGGAGACATGCTGGGGTGGGGCCAAACGAGGGCTTGGAGAGAGCCTCCACCCACCCTCACAGGGCCTGGTGGAGACAGACCGAGGAGGGGCACCTGCCCCTCTCCCCTTGCAGAGTGGAATGATAGCTGATGACATCATTTTGAAAGTCACAGTACTACAGAGATGTTTGGACACTCATCAGAGGCAGACCTGCTGTGGGAAAGTCAAGGCCTTGGTGCGGAAACCTAAGATTCTGCAAACTGGAACAGGGTTATCCTATGGGTGCCCTTTAGAACTCTCTGGGCATGCAGAGGAGGCTCGCCCTTCTCTAGTAATGGTTCCCACTTCCTACACTGGAAGTTGCTGCAGAAACCTCACCCCTATGATGCAGTGGGAATTCCACTCAGGAGCTTTGCAGTAACAGCCGTTATGTCCCCGTAGGAGCCTGAGGAGCAGTTCTGGGATTGGAATTTAAGGGTGTTTGATCAAAGGGCCAGAATCAAGCTGGATAAATTAAAAAAAACACCTTTGGCTTGGGAGCACTTTCTCAGGGTATGGGTTTATCAAGGACCTCAGGGCATGGGGCAAACCCACTGCTGGGGTGGACCCATGTAGACTGGAAAAAATGATGTCCAACTCTCAGTAAGTTAGACATGAGTTAGTTGTCCTGGAACATGTAGAGGATGGATAATGAGGCTGAGGGAAGTGGGTGTGTGGGATGGAGACATCATGTGAACCAGAATGCCCACTAGGGCCATGCTCCACAGAGGACCCATAGGGCACACCTTCCACCAGAGCCTCAGGAATGTGCTGGTGAGAGGGACTTGCATTGCTAAGAAGCGTCGGGGTGGTGTCCTCTGCAGGCTGGGTGTGATGGCAGGAAGGAGGTCCTATAGTTGGGCTCATTGATATTCCTGAGGAAAGTGTGGCCTTGAAAAGGCAGAGAACTAAATGGTGACAGTGGCCTGCAAAAGCCAGAGGGCACGGTTAACTTGACAATCTCAGAGGAGCAGCTGAGGCAGCTTGATCTGCAGGGAGTTGTGGGGAAGGTTAATAGAGGGTGGTGTCAGAAAAGACAGCAGCCAACAAGGGCACTGCTTGACATCTATGATAAGAAAGCAAGAATTGATGAGCAGGGGGCTGAGGGTGTTTAACTCAATACAAAGTCATGATCCCATTCTCAATTCCTAAATGTCAACCAAGTTTCAGATTCAGATCCCAGTTACAGAGAAGGAGTCCCTATCCCAGGAGGAAGGACCCTGGAACCTCATGGCAAGTATATGCTGGAACAATTCCCTCTGTCTTTCTGCAAAGGAGCCTACAGTCATTTACTCAGGGGACTGTACACTAGGAAAGGGAAACAGGCAGAATTTGGGGGAGTGTTGACATTGGGTGTGAGCTAATATTGATGCCTACAGGCCTACAGCACCATTATGTCCCCAGCACAGTGGGGCTTACAGAAGCTGGGAATAAATCTGGACACATCACAAAGAGACTACTGGGTCCACAGACCCAGCCCTGTTTATCTCCCCATTCTCCAAGTGTGTAATTGGCATTGATGCCCTGGCAGCTGGAGTAACCCCCACATTGGGTCCCAAGTCTCTGGAATAAGGGCTGTCATTTTCTGAAAGCCAAAGGGAAACCTCTGCAACTGACTTCATCTTGGCCAAATAAAAAATGATATTGAGTCCCAGGGTGAGTCTTATGAAAGGTGCTGTAGGTATTGTAGGTGTAGCACCGCCATTAGGGAGCTGAAGGATGAGGGGTGCTGTTGGAGTTGCCTATTATCTTCATGTAATCCAGCAATCTGTCCCCAAGGAAGCCTGATGGGGCCTAAAGAATGAATAAGATTACTTCAGACTTGAAAAAGTAGGAGTCATAATTGCAGCTGCCATGCTGGCTGGATATCACGGGTAGAGCAGATTGATAAGGCCTCAGGCACAGAGTGTGCAGCTGTGGATTTGGTGAGTGCATTCCTTTCCATTCCAATGAGAAAAACTATACATGAAGTGATTCATGTGGGATCCACAACACATTTATTGATAATTGGCCTCAGGGTTATTGTAACTGACCTGCCCTCTATAGTATAGTCTTAAGAGATCTGAAGAACCTGGCATCCTATAGAATGGTAAACCAGCTTATTTCATCAACAACATCATGTTGACTAGGATGGATGAGTAGGAGGTGGAAAGTATGCTGAAGGCCTTGGCAAAACACGTGCTCTCCAGAAGATGGAAGATAAACCATACAGAGATTCAGGAGTGGCCACTGTGGTGAAGTTTTATTCATCCAGTGGTTGAGGACATCCAGGAGTTTCTCCTCCACAGTAAAAGACAAAGTGTTGCATCTTGCATCCTCACTACAAGGAAGGAAGCACACTGCCTGGTGAGCCTCTTTGAGTTCTGACAATACCACATCCCACATCTATTGTTTTGACCTACACTCTAGGAGAAATAGGAGGGGACTTGCTTCAATTAGGCCTGCTGAGGAAAGGACACTGGCAGATTCAGGCCATGAGGCAGCGCCATCCCTCAGACCCACCTAGAGGTGTCAGTCCTGGGGAAAGATGCAGGATGGAGCTGAAACAAGCACCAGTGGGGGAGTCACATGGACGGCCTGGGATTCTGGAGTAAGGCCATGTCATCCACAGCAGAGACATATGCCCCTGTTAGAAGCAACTTTTGGTATGTTACTGGCCTTGATAAGATAGAATCCTTGCCATGGGACAGCAAACAACCATGTGATTTCAAATGCCCATATGAATTGGCTTCTGTAACTCAGAAAGTCATAGATCGGACAGACCCCAAAGCATCCATCATGAGATAGAAATGGTCCATCTGGATTGAGCATGAATCCTATGTTGACACCTCCAGAAAACATCCAAACCTGAAGTGGCACTAAACAAC